>NC_000008.11:57177265-57802265 GCF_000001405.40 Homo sapiens | reverse complement strand
GGGCTTGTTCTCTCCAAAGACCTATGTGAATTAAGTGATCAAAGGTATTGTTCATAAGGATTGAATAGGCAGACACATTTACAGAGCAGCTGAAATCATTAGTAAATGAACAAGATTGCATGTGGGTAGAATGACCAATGAATAGGCTGATAGACACATTTAAAGACCAGCTGACATCATTAATAAATGGACACACTTGCCGGTTAAGATCAAAATTCAGTTTTTATTTTAATTTAAAATTGCGTAATTTAATTTAGTCTCTATTTTCTTAACAATATGATACCGGTGCACATATTTTAAAAGGACACTGAACCGTGAGGACAATGACATGAAATTTCTTAAATATTCTAACATATTTATATAGAGAAAATTACTTTGTCCTTAGTATATAGATGCCCTCCCTGCATAAGCCCTGGTTAGTGGTCAACTCCAAGATCAAGGTAGATATAACCATAGCTCAGGCGAAGTATGGTGGATCATTGCTCTTGTCAAATCTGCTCTGTGCAAATTAGACTTTTCCATGTAGTTAAATCACACTTTTCACACATTTGTGGCCAATGGCTCTATTGAAGTAGACTAGAGAACATGTGGATTGTTACAGTGTACAAAGGATTCTGTGATTAATTTGCTACTTTATTGGGACTTCCAGTGATCTTGGCCAGCTTTTTAGCCAAATGATTCATTCCGAAGCTCCTGTCAGCTCTAACAGTTGATAGATGTTTGATTTTGGTCTGCTTTCTTAGCAGAATGCCTGAGAAAATCTTTGTTAGAATCACTTATTAATTTATAATCCACCAAAATTGATTTTCAAATCGTGTTTCTTACATCAAGGAACTATTTTGACCAATATTTTTTATTTGATCAGACAAAATTAATTTTTTTTTCATTTGCTCCACTTTGCCAATATATTTAGAGCCAATCGGAGAGTTCTCTGATCTTCAGTTTTGTGTGGAATTGCATGTAGTTTATCAGGTTTAATCATGTAATTGACAGACTAGCCAGAAAGATTCAAGATTTCAAGGGCTAAGCACAGTTGGTAAAGTGCTAGCCTTTTGTAATCCAATCTGACTAATTCCAAGGGATGAAAATAGCATTAGAACAAATGCACAGGAAGTGCAAAATCGAAGGGCAATGAACTTATTGTTTTACTTAAGATTATCAAAAAGTAAAAGTTAAAAAATGAAAACTTTAAAAAGGGGTTTTTAAATGCCGTAGCATAAACCCATGTTTGTCTGAAAGTGCTTTGTGCATTTTTTCTTATAATTCCCATCTTTTTATGTATAACAGAGTGTTAGTCTTCCAAGTTAAAATTTGAAACATTTAAAATTTCAAATTTGAAGCATTTAAAGATCACTATTGATAACACTTACAAGCATCATGCTGATTAGGAACGAAAGTAGCTGAAAAAGTGGTATTGGTAAAACTTATAATGGTTTTTCTCATGTCAGATCATAAAAAAATCACTTACATTTACAAAATTTATTTTTACTAGAAGACTATTATTATGTTCATTATAGTTTTGCTCTAGATTATACGCTTCAAAAATGTGTTGATTTAATGCTTTTTATTTATAAAGGAAGTGATTTATTTTCAATGAACTGCCTGTATTAAAACTCAAGTTCTACCATTTACTAGCTGTATGACCTTGGGCAAAATACTCAAAACGCTTGTTCCCTGTGTGCCTCAGTTTGTCTGTAACACGGGGATGATAATCAGCCCTACCTGTTAATTTCTTAGGAGGATTCAATGAGTTAATTTTTTTAAGGTGCACGGAGTAAGTTTCTACGTGTCTGTTAAATAAATAAGTAAATCACGTTTGACCTTTTTTCCTTTGTCATTTGTTCCTTCCTGTCTGTTCCCTTACTCCTTTCCTGGTTCCCTACTTGCCTTTATGCCTTCCTTAGCTCTTTCTTTTTTCCTTTCTTATCTCAACACATCAGAAGGCTGAAACAGAAGTTGTATTGAGATCTTTTTTATCAGTTTATTGGCTAACAGATATTTTTAATGGCTTTACTTCTCCTATATATTTTATGTCCTTCTATTTGCATATTTTTTTGGTATCATAAGGAAACACTACTCTCCATGCAAAATAAATATATAAAAATCTAGACTGAAAAGCCCAAGGTGTGTTTCATAATTAAATCATCATCATGTAGGTGAGATTAGGAGAAAGGGAACAGTTTGACATTTACTGACATTACTGATCCCCAGAAGTCAGATCCTATTTCTCAGAGCTTGTTTGAAGGTAGTGGTGCCCAGAGCCTCTTAATAAAGATAATGGGCCAATGTGATTAAGGAACTTTCCTTTAGGGACCTTACAGTGATGATCAAAGATCTGATGCCTCATTGAAAGCATGTCAGTATCACCTCATTTTAACATTGAATGAGTTCACCTTAGGATTACATTCACATTAGTGTGAGTTAGATGTCCAGGCTCAAGTATCAAGGAGCAAGAGAAGAAAAAATGAAAATATATTCATCTAGAAATCAGCCATACACCTAAAGAACTCATTTTAAAGATCATTATAAAAGATGTGTGCTAGGTACTGTGGTTTCCAATATAAATTAACAATGGAAACTCTTGAAATGGGGGCAACTGGGTTTCAAAGAATTTTCTTAATCATGAAACTAACATTATCATTCATGAGAACCATTCTAGGAAGTATGCCAAGGAATATGCCTTTGGAAATGCCTAATATTTATTTTGACTTAGATTGTCTTAGTATAGTATCATTTGTTTCCCAGGATTTGGCTATTTACAGAGAAAATAAAGAATTTCCTACCAATGTGAAGGAACTAGATTTAGATATAACTCACTGCAAATAATAATTCATTGACTAATTGTACATGTGACAAACACTCACTGTCTTTGTGAAACATTCTTGGTAGCATCATCTTCAATGTAAAGGCGAGTTTTAGTATAGTAATAGTGACCTTGAGCACCTTCTGCTGAGGCCCTGTGAACAGGCAAACAGGCACAGATGCCCTGGGCTTGGGGTGGGTGCTGTTAATCCATTGACCAGGCACTCTTTCCTGCTGAGCCTGGAACCAGCCTAGGACCCCTTCTCAGCAGTGTTCCAGGCAGGTACCAAGGATGGCACATAAGATGAAATTCATTTTTCATCCCACTGCAAATTCACCTTTCAACAAGGTGCATGAAACACCATAGATCCTTAGCTCTTAAAGCCAGGAAGGAACAGCCACATCCTGACCTTGCATCTTCAACTTAGGGGGATATTGTATATTCCTGAAGAGTAAGAAGCAGAGGAACAGCCACGCTGGAGATCGCAAAGTCTGCTATTCTTATTCTATCTTTTTGTGAATGCTTTGTGCTCCTTGCTCATTGTTATTTCCCAAGTAAATTATTGAAAGAGGCTTCTTCAGTTCAATGCACACAAGTTAGTTATGGTCACTGGCCTCACTTCATTACGGTGAAAACAAATTATCTAATTAACGTAGCTGGGCAAATGCTATGATGAAGACCAGGCTGCTCTTGTTGGTGACTGCCATATTCCACCTTGAGATTGGGCTATTCTGGCAGCTTACTTTATGCTCTGGGAACATAGCACAGCAAATAGGAAAGGGCCTCATTATACTCCAAAAGAACATATTGCAGGTAGCTGCTTCCATCCCTAGTGCCTGCCTGCTGTCCAACCCTGTTCAGCCCTCCAGGGTAACCATCAACTTGCAAGTACCAGGAACTCTGGAGGGAAACACATGCTTATTTGTCTTCTGTACTTGATACAGGTAACCACACACACTTACCTATCCACATGAGTCCCTCATATAGACATACCTTGGAGACGTTGTAGGTATGGTTCCAGATTCCAGATCCCTACAACAAAGTGAATATTGCAATAAAGTAAGTCCAAACTTTTTGGCTTCTCAGCACATATAAAAGTTGTCTTTACACTGTACTATAGCCTATTAACTGTGCAATAGCATTATGTCTAAAAAAATGTGCATGCCTTTTTTTAAGAATAGTTTGTTACTAAAAATGCTAATGATCATCTGAGCCTTCAGCAAATGGTAATCTTTTTGCTCCTGGAAGTTCTCATCTCAATGTTGATGGCTGATGACTGAGTAGGGTGGTGGTTGCTGAAGATTGGAGTGGCTGTGGAACCTCTTAAAATAAGACAACAATACACTTTGCCTCATCAATTGACTTTTCCTTTTACTAAATATTTCTCTGTAGCATGTAATGCTGTTTGATAGCATTTTACCCATCATAGACTTGTTTCAAAATTGAAGTCAATCTGCTCAAACCCTGCCACTGCTTTATCAATTAAGTTTATAGAATATTCTAAATCATTTCTTTTGACAGATCCTTTGTTGTCATTTCAATAATGTTTACAGCATCTTCACCAGGAGTAGATTCCGTCTCAATAAACCATTCTCTGTTCATCCATAAGAAGCAAGTCTTCATTCATTTGTTTTATAGTGAGATTGCAGCAAATTCAGTCACATCTTCAGGCTCCACTTCTAATCTTCTAATTCTAGTTCTCTGGCTATTTCTACCACATCTACACTTACCTCCTCCACTGAGGTCTTGAACTCCTCAAAGTCTTCTATGAGGAGGCTTGTAATCAACTTCCAAGCTCCTGTTAATGATATTTGGACCTACTGTGAATCACAGATGTTCTTAAGGGCATCTAAATGACAAATCCTTTCAAGAAGGTTTTCAATTTACTTTTCCCAAATCCATTGGAAGAATCACTATCTGTGGCAGCTAGAGCTGTACAAAATGTATTTCTTAAATAATAAGACTTGAAAGTCAAAATTACTCCTTGATCCATGAGCTGCAGAATGAATATTGTATTAGCAGGCAAGAAAACGTTTATTTCTTTCTACATCTTCTTTAGAGCTTTGGGATGACTAGGTACATTGTCAATGAATGATAATACTTTGAATCTTCTTTGTTTCCGTAGCAGTGTGTCTCAACAGTGGGCTTAACATATTCAGTAAACCTTGCTGTAAACAGATGTACTGTCATGCAGGCTTTGTTGTTTTATTTCTACAGCACATGCAGAATAGATTTAGTTTAATTCTTAAGGGCCCTGGAATTTTTTGAAATGGTAAATAAATAAGCATTGGCTTCAACCTAAAGTCACCAGCAGCATTAGCCCCTACTACGAGAGTCAGCCTATCCTTTGGAGCTTTGAAGCCAGGCTTTGACTTCTCTTCTCTAGTTATGAAAGTCCTACATGGCATCTTCTTTCAATATGTGGCTGTTTCATCTACATTAAAAATCTGTTGTTTAGTGTAGCCACCTTTATCAGTGATCTTAGCTATATCTTCTGGATAACTTGCTGCAGCTTCTCCAGCAGGACTTGCTGCTTCACTTTGCACTTCTATGTTATGGAGATGGCTTCTTTCCTTAAGCCTCATGAACAAATCTCTGCTAGATTTCAATTTTTCTTTTGCAGCTTTCTCATCTCTCTCAGGCTTCGCAGGGTTGAAGAGCATTAAGGCCTTATTCTAGATTAGGCTTTGATTGAAGGGAATGTTGTGGCTGGTTTAATCTTCTATACAGACCACTAACACCTCCTACATATCAGCAATAAGGCTGTTTTGCTTTCTTATCCTTTGAGTGTTCACTGAAGTAGCACTTTAAACTTCCTTCAAGAACTTTACCTCAGCATTCACAACTTGGTTAACTGTTTAGCCCAAGAGGCCTAGCTTTTGGTCTATCTTGGCTTTTGACATGCCTTTCTCACTAAGCAAAATCATTTCCAGCTTTTGATTTAAAGTGAGAGATGTGTAACTTCCATTCATTTGAACACTTAGAGACCAATGTAGAGTTATTAATTGGCCTAATGTCAATATTGTTGTGTCTCAAGGAATAGGGAGGCCTTAGAAGACGGAGGGAGATGGGTGAATGGCCAGTTTATGGAGTAGTCAAAACACACGTAACATTTGTTAAGTTCACCATCTTATATTGGCACAGTTTCTGGTGCCCCAAAGCAATTACAATAGTAACATCAAAGATCACTGGTCATAGATCATCATAACATATATAATAATAATAAAATTTGAAATATTGTGAGAACTACCAAAGTGCAACACAGAGAAACAAAGTCAACACGTGCTGTTGGAAAAATGGCTCTGATAGACTTGCTCAATGCAGAGTTGCCACAAAACTCCAATTCGTAGAAACAAATAAACAACAAAAAACAAAAACCACACACAAAAAAACTGGAGTATTTGAAAAGTGCAATAAACTGAAGCACATCATTAAGATGAGCGTCTGCCTGTAATTTAACCCGTCACCCTTTATTCTTTTGGAAGCAGGCTTCTTTTCTCATTCTCTGTTTCTTTGGCATTTGATCCTTCAAATCTGAATCTGTCTTTGATCATGACATTTACCCCCTCTAGACTGTCCTACTTCTCTATTACAGCAACGCATCCAAAGACCCATTTACTTCTGCCTATACCACCCCATTTTTTCAGTTGTTCAGTATTCACACTTATTTCTTGTATAGCAATTGTATCTGGGAATGAAGAAGTAAGAAAATTAAAATATTAATCAATTTTAAGGGAGAATCAAACAAAACAGATTTGCTGTTGTTAAGAGGAAGGAAATGCTTTCTTGCAGACAGCTTGGCACTCATAAAATTCAGCAAGTGAGGAATGAGGCATTCGAAGGAATCTTTTATAGTAGTAAATGAGCCACAACAAAAAGTGATCTTTGATTCATGGCCAGCTCTTCCAAAAAAAAAAAAAAAAAAAAAAAAAGGCAGATAACCATGGGATCTAGCTGGAAGGACACAAAGATTTTCTGCTATGAAACACTGCTCTTGTTAGTTTGGCTAGCCAGCATTGCTTGTTTGAATTAAGGGGATGCATTAAAATTGCATGACTTGAAGCTTCACGGTACTGTGCCAGACTCACGGGTTGCCTAGGGGAGGTGAGAAGTTCAAGTCATGGGTTCCAAACACCCCATCTTACTTTAATCATAGAAATTCTGCTTTCGTTTTATATATTGGGGGTTCTTTATTTAGAAAAAATGATGCTGATTAAAGAAAAAAATTTAGAATGCCCATAGTTTAATGCATTATTTTTAGAAAGATTTTGATAAAATGCAAATCTGTCTCTATATAAGAGGAGCATACTCATATCTATACACACACAGAAACACACACACACACACACACACACACACACACACACACACACACACAATCACAAACACATATAGCCACCCAATCAGAGCATAAAGCCCTAGGGATTTAAGCAAGTTCATTTTTGATGAGGATGGGGATGGAGTATCTATGGTCTGAGAGGCTGGGGCCTGGGAAGGACAAAGCCAGGCTGGGTAGGATGACCATGGGGTACTTAGCAGGGTGGAAACGGGGGAGCTAAAGGCAGATGTGACCCTTTCCCAAGGCTGTTCCGGCTCTGAGACTCCTTTCCGGGCAACCCTGATTTTTGGAAATGCCTGACAAGTAGCTTTATATATTAAGTTGTATGGCACAGTATTCTAAAATGTGCTTCAGGGAATAAGCTCCTGGCTAGCTGGCGTTCACATTGAAGAGAGAACAGACTGAATTATATTGCCTCAGGGACAGTACATCCCATTCACTGGGCAGAACTAAACCATTCCAATAGAGTGTTCAGCTTTAATCCCTGCTTCAGCTAAAGAGCAATTTTACTTTGCCTTGGGAATGCACTGGTTCTATAAAATTGGAATTTCAAAAGGGTTTTATCTTTAAAGAGACCCTGGATATTGCCTTATTTTCTCTCTGTATGTTATCATTTAGACATGAAGGCATTTCCATTTACTGTTATGCAAGATGGTAAAATAAACAGTTCTCATTAATATTGCATCTGATTTTATTCCTAATACTCAGTGTTCTTTTGCCATTATATATGGACAGAATTTGAAGAAATTTTAAAATTTGTTATGGTTTCCTATGATCCATATATATTCCTTAGTCATTTTCTTTTCTTTTGAGAGGGAGTCTCACTCTGTCACCCAGGCTGGAGTGCAGTGGCTCGATCTCGGTTCACTGCAGCCTCTGCCTCCTGGGTTCAAGCAATTTTCCTGCCTCAGCCTCCCAAGTAGCTGGGATTACAGGCATGAGCCATCGCGCCTGGCTAATATTTTTTTTTGTATTTTGTAGAGATGGGGTTTTACCATGTTGGCCAGGCTGGTCTCGAACTCCTGACCTCAAGTGATCTGCCTGCCTCGGCCTTCCAAAGTGCTGAGATTACAGGTGTGAGCCACCGTGCCTGGCCCATATTTTAAAATAGAAGCTGAATTTGATTTTTTCTCCTTTAAATGTTTTCTTCTCTTTCTCTTGAAATAGGTACAAGCATTTGTTAGCTTTTTTTCATTCCTCAT
This sequence comes from Homo sapiens, assembly GCF_000001405.40. Taxonomy (NCBI): domain Eukaryota; kingdom Metazoa; phylum Chordata; class Mammalia; order Primates; family Hominidae; genus Homo; species Homo sapiens. Next base: position 57,793,921 of record NC_000008.11, on the reverse strand, counting down.
CCATTCCTCAGATATTTTTTATTACCTAAAATATGTCAAAAACTGTGCTAGGAGATGGATATCCAAGAATAATTTATGTTCTAGGTCAAATTATGAGTGTCTATTTGGAGAAAGAAAAATCAGTGATGAGCCAGGCACAGGAAAATTTGAAATCTTTTATAAATACAGCAAAAGGAGGATATATATGAATGGTACTGAATCCAAAGAATAAAAATATATTTAGTTGTCTAAAAAAGGGAAGAATATAAATTTAGAACAGGCTCTAGACTTCAAATCATGTTTTCATTCAAATAAGAATTTTAATTAATTTGCATTCTTAAAGGAAAATTAAATATGACTTGGAGATTTTGTCTTCATTCTATTTTACATTATTTAATATTTTACATTTTTTCTTATAAGAATTTAAGCATATACATAAGTAGAGTTAATAGTATAATCAATCGAACATCAGCTTCAACAATAATCAACATGTAACTATTCTTTCATCTATATTCTCTGCTGCCAACACTTTCCCTCCACATTCTTGAAACATTGTTTTAAAGCAAATTCTATTATCGTATAGTTTGTTTAGTAAATATTTAAGCATGTACCTCTAAGAGAAAAGGATTTTTTTAACATTACCAGAAAACCATTACCATACTTAAAAAATTTAATAATTTAAGGCAATTTCCAGAAATTACATAGTTTCATCCACAAATACTATTTTTTATATATATATATGTATATATGTGTGTGTGTGTGTGCGTGTATGTACATATACACACATATATATTGCTAAGAGATAAGATTTTTTAAACCATGGCAATACCATTATCATACCTAAAAATGACAGTCATTGTTAAATATAATTTATTATATGGTCAGTTTTCAAATTTACTCAGTTATCTCATAAAAAGTCTTTCTATAGGCTGGGAGCGGTGGCTTACGCCTGTAATCCCAGCACTTTGGGAGTCCAAGGCGGGTGGATCACGAGGTCAGGAGATCAAGACCATCCTGGCTAACACGAGGAAACCCTGTCTCTACTAAAAACACAAAAAATTAGCCGGGCATGGTGGCGGGCGCCTGTAGTCCCAGTTACTTGGGAGGCTGAGGCAGGAGAATGGCGTGAACCCAGGAGGCGAAGCTTGCAGTGAGCCAAGATCATGCCACTGCATTCCAGCCTGGGTGACAGAGTGAGACTCCGTCTCAAAAAAAAAAAAAAAAAAAAAAAGTCTTTTTATAGTTACTTTGTTCAAGTCAAATTCTGAAGATCCATGCAACAATGCATTTGGTTAACCAGTTTTTTAGGTCTATACCAGTCCCTCCCTCTCTTTGTCCGCTGCTGTTTCTGCTGACGATTAAAGGTATTTTGCCATATGAAATTGCTCACTATTTGTCTTTGGTTGATTGCATCCTCCCAACGTCATTAACATGTTCCTTTGTCCTTTGCATTTTGCATATTGTTGGATTCAGAGGCTGAATCAGGCTTAATTTTTTGGCAATAATACTTATTAGGTGATGCTGTGTATTTAATTGCAGTACATCAGGAGGAACACAATGCTGGGTTATTTCTTTTTGTCATGAGAATATTCATTAGTAAGTTTAGATATTGTTGGCTTAGCCATCCATCTATGAAGTTTCCCATTATCTTTTCAACCAATGGTGTTAGCAGCCATTGATTATTATTGTCCCAGCCCATTATTTTATTATTTTGTTAAAATTGTAGTAGACTAATTAGATTAACCTTATTGCTTTTATTAGCTGTTATTTTTCTATAATTTTTTTTCTCATCATCTGTTTGATTATCCTGAAATATAGTTTGCATAAGAAAGGTAGGATGTATTATTGATTGTTTTCCTTTACTTACCAGTTTTAGAATAAAGACTTAGCCTAGCAGTCTCCAAAGCTAACCAATAAGTTTTGCCCCATCATTGAAAATCCATATTTTAAAAATATATTTAACTTAATGTTTTAAATGTATTACATTATTTATTATTGATTTATTGTCCTTTATTTTATTATTTTATAAATTTAAAAATTAATGGGATCTTTGTGAAATTTTGTTAAATGTCTATAGTGCCAAGTAATCAAATAAGAATATTTAGGGTGTCCATTAACTATTGTCCAGCACAATACACTTTTGTTAAGTGTAGTCACCCTGCTCTACTATCAAACATTGTATTTATTTCTTCTATCTTATCGTATGTTTGTACCCTATAACCCACTTCTCTTCATCTTTCTCCCTCCCCATCACACACCCTTCCAAGTCTCTGTTATCTGTATTTCCACTCTCTACCTCTGTGTAATCAAATTCTTTAGGTCCCACATCTAAGGGAGGACATGTGATATTTGCCTTTTTTGTGCCTGGCTTATTTTCACTTAACACAATGACCTTCAGTTCCATCCGTGTTGCTACAAATGACAGTGTTTCATTCTTTTTTATGGCCAAATAGTCCTCCATTGTATATAAGTATACCTCATTTTCTTTATCCATTTTTCCGTCAATAGACACTAGGGTTGATTCCATAAAATTGCTATTGTGAATCATGTTGAGATAAACTTGTGAGTGCAGGTATCCCAGCAGTGGGATTGCTGAATTGAATGGTAATTCTATTTTTAGTATTTTATGAATCTCCAGACTGTTTTTCATAGTGACTGTACTAATTTACATTTCTACCAATAGTGCATAACAGTTCCCTTTTCTCTGCATTTTTGCCAAAATATGTTATTTTCATTTTTTGTATTTATTTATTTATTTTTTTTGAGATGGAGTCTCACTCTGTTGCCCAGGCTGGAGTGCAGTGGCATGATCTTGGCTCACTGCAACCTCCGCCTCCCGGGTTCAAGCAATTCTCTTGCCTCAGCCTCTTGAGTAGCTGGGACTACAGATGCATGCCACCACGCCTGGCTAATTCTTTGTAATTTTAGTAGAGAGGGAGTTTCATTGTGTTAGCCAGGGTGGTCTTGATCTCCTGACCTTGTGATCTGCCCTCCTTGGCCTCCCAAAGTGCTGGGATGATAGGCATGAGCCACCACACCTGGCCTATTTTTTTGTCTTCTTAATAGCAGCCATTCTGACTGGAGTAAGATGATATTTCACTGTGGCTTTGATTTGCACTTCCTGATGGTTAGTGATGTTGAGCATTTCTTCATAAATCTGTTGGCTCTTTGTATGTTTTTTCAGAAATGTTTGTTCATGTCCTTTACCTACTTTTTAATGGGATTATTTGCATATTTACTGTGGAGTTGTTTGAATTTCGTGAATATTCTGGATATCAGTGCCCTGTTGGATGAATAGTTTACAAATATTTTCTCCCATTCAACAGGTTGTCTCTTCACTTTGATGATTATTTTGCTGTGCAAAGCTTTTTAGTTGAATTGTCTTGTTTGTTTTTGTTGCCTGTGCTTTTAAAGTCTTACTCATAGGTTTTTTGCCCAGACCAAAATCCTGAAGTATTTCTCATATGTTTTCTTCTAGTAGCTTTATCATCTTGGGTGTTATGTTTATGTCTTTAATCCATCTTGAGTTCATTTTTGTATATAGTGAGAGAGAGGGATCCAGTTTTATTCTTCTGCATGTGGATATTCAGTATTCCCAGCATCATTTACTATAAATGGTGATCTTTCCCCAATATAATTTTTTGCTGTATTTGTCAAAAATCAGTTGTCTGTAAGTAAGTGGATTTATTTCTGGGTTATCTATTCTGTTCCATTGGCCTATGTGTCTATTTTTATGCCAATACCATATGGTTTTGGTTACCATAACCTGGTAGTATATTTTGAAGTCAGGTCAGATGCCTCCATCTTTGTTCCTTTTGTTTAGGATTGCTTTGGCTATCCTAAACAACAAATGCTATGTTGTTCCACATGCATTTTAGAATTGTTTTTCTTAATTCTGTCAAAAATGACATTGGTGTTTTTATAGGAATTGCATTGCATCTGTAGATTGCTTTGGACAGCATGCTTTTTTTCGTATAAATTTATGGTGTGCAACTGAGGTTTTGTTACATGATTATATTGAATAGTGGTGAAATCTGGGCTTTTAGTATAACCATCACACAGACAATGTACATTGTAACCATTAAGAAATTAATTTGAATTATATTGATTCTTCTGATACGTGAGCATGGGATGTCTTTCCATTTACTTGTGTCCTCTTCAATTTCTTTCATCAATGCTTTGTACTTTTTCTTGGAAAGATCTTTCAGCTCCTTGGTTAAATTTTTTCCTTGGTATTCTGTTTTGTAGCTATTGTAAATGGGATAGCTTTCTTAATTTATTTCTTAGCTACATCATTGTTGGTATATAGAAATACTACTGATTTTCAAACATTGATTTTGTTTCCCGTAACTTTACCATATTCACTTATCAAATCTAAGAGTGTTTTGGTGGAGTCTTTAAGTTCTTCTAGGTATGAGATCATATCATAAACAAAAAGGAACAATTTGAATTTCTCTTTTCCAATTTGGATGCCTTTCATTTCTTTCTGTTGCCTAATTGCTGTGGATAAGACTTCCAGTACTAGGTTGAATTAGAATGTTGAAAGTGGGCATCCTTCTCTTCTTCCAGTTATTAGAGGAAAGACTTTCAGCTTTTCCCCGTTCAGTATGATGTTAGTTGTGGGTTTTTGTACATGGCCTTTATTATTTTGAAGTATGTTTCTTCTATGCCTAGTTTGTTGAGAGTTTTTATCATAAAGGAATGTTGAATTTTATCAAATGCTTTTTCTCCATCTGTTGAGATGATGATATGGTTTTTGTCCTTCATTCTGTTGATGTGATGTATTATATTTATTTATTTGCATATGTTGAACATTTCTTGCATCCTTCCTGTAAATCCCACTTGATCATGGTGTATTATCTTTTTGATGTGCTGTTAAATTCAGTTCACTAGTATTTTGCTGAGGATGTTTATATCTATTTTTATCAGAAATATTGACCAGTAGTTTTCCTTTCTTGTGTGTCTTTGTCTGGTTTTGGAATCAGGGTGATGCTTGCCTCATAGAATGTAACTCATTCTATGAAATCCCTCCTCATTGATTTTTAAGAATAGTTTCAGGAGGATTGGTATTAGTTCTTCTTTGTCTACTTTGTAGAATTTGGCTGTGAGTCCATCTGGTCCTGGGCTTTTCTCTGTTGGGAGACTTATTTTTAATTACTGCTTTCTATTGATCTGTTCAGGTTTTCTATTTCTTCCTGATTTAATTTTGGTCAGTTGTATATTTCCAGGAATTATTTTGGATGCCCATATTGTCTTATCTTTGGCCAGTAGGAGCCTATCAATTTTGCTTCTGTTGTTATGTTGACCTCGACCCAGTAATTGTTGAAAGCTTTCTTGCATTTTGATATCACAAGATGTTCCAACATCCTTTGCCACACTTTTTGCTGCAAAAATAGAATAAGCCATTTCTCTAATTAGCACTAGATTCTTTTCATGGAAAATGATTCTTAGAGTCAAAAATTTGGGCTATAATTGTCATTGTTAGAGAATTGGTCACTGCTAAGCTATTGAGTATGTGAAGCAAAAATAGATATATTTTTAAGAGAAAAATAAATCATTTTCACATGGCATTTTCAATTCAGATTTAAGGCTTTGGACTTCCCATGTAACCTCTTTGATTCTATGTGTGCATTTATTTGGTCTTAGGCTGAAAATTTTGTATCCTAATGCCATGAATTATTTATTTGGTTTATAAAATAAACAATATTTTATGTATGTTTTAGATAGTAGTTTCAAATATAACAGTGTTATTGCTCTCTTTCTCATTATTTTACTTCTTATTATTTCTTTTTCTTAATTAATTTCTTTTTTTTTTTGTAAAGACAAGGTGTCACTATGTTGCCCAGGCTGTTCTTGAACTCCTGGATTCAAGTGATCGTCCCACCTCAGTCTCCCAAAGTGTTGAGATTACAGGTGTGAGCCACTGCACCTAGCCTAATTAATATTTAATTCATTATTATTGTATTTCTATCTTAAAGGGCGGTAAATTATATACACAGTGATACACTTCTTTTTAGAATTTTGTTGGAATGCCAGCAACAAAAAAAATTCATGCTAATTTATACTTAATAGTGCATATTTATAAATGCAATTTATATACTTAAAATGGTATTATTATATTTGATGCTAACAATTCTTTTCTAATGACGTCAAACTTCTGACTTCTCTAGCCCTTTTCTAAGAATCAAACCATCTAATGTAATAAAAATTCACACATTTTTCAATTTATTGCTTATCAAATTATTCAAACATTTGATAAGCATTAATCATTATTCAAATGATTTGTTGCTTATCACTGAAGGGCATATGTGAAGAGACCTATGATATTAATCCTTTGTATTAGTCCGTTTTCACGCTGCTGATAAAGACCTACCAGAGACTGGGAAGAAAAAGAGGCTTAATTGGACTTAGAGTTCCACATGGCTGGGGAGGCCTCAGAATCATGGCAGGAGGAGAAAAGCACTTCTTAACCTGGTGGTGGCAAGGGAAAATGAGGAAGAAACAAAAGCAGAAACCCCTGATAAACCCATCGGATCTTATGAGACTTATTCACAATCACGAGAATAGCACGGGAAAGACCAGTCCCTATGATTCAGTTACCTCCCGCAGGGTCCCTCCCACAACACGTGGGAATTCTGGGAGATAAAATTCAAGTTGAGATTTGGTGGGGACACAGTCAAACCATATCACTCTTTTTATAGACGTTTACAATTACAAATTGAAGAAAAAACTACACATTTATATAAATTACAGAAAAATGCATTCTGAGAAATGGCTTATTCATTGATTGAAATATTTCTATGATGTAAAACTAAAGACTTAGGAAGATAGGTACTTGATTATAGCCAAAATGTTTGGTAAAATTATTGAAAATAAAATTTATAGGGGTGAGTAGTGAGGTGGTAAATTATTTATATCTGGCATTGCAAATCTCATGGTTGTCCAGGAGCTGGAAATTGGAACTATGGAAATCTTTCTGCAATATTATCTTGATATTTGGTAAAAGTAGATATGAAATTAACTACACCTGGAAATTTCAGAAAAATCACACTGATGTGTATGTAGATTGCTTTGCTTTGGATTGATTAGGTGCTGAACTGATTTCCTAACTTTCCTGCTTCCCCCAGTATAACAAAGACAATATAAAACATACGTAACAGCAAGAAAGTAACCTTGGTCCACAGGTTGCACTGCATATCTTCCCTTTTCATTGATAGTTAGGAAGTATAGAAAAGTAAGATTGGATTGTAGAAATATATGATACTTGTCAATTTTTGAGCTATGAACATTCATCATATTGGAAAATGGCCACAGATTCTTTTTCTGTTTTTAAGGGACATTCACCAAAAGTAAAAGCAAGAAGTGAGTCACAGAAAAACCAGAGGGTGAGTGAGATGAATGTATAAAAGCATGAACTTTTGACCTAAGCATTTTGGTGTTTAAGCTGGGCTAGAACTACATCCTCAGATGATGTATTCTATGTTTTTGCAATCTTACAATACGAGAATTTATTTATATTGAGATGATGCAGATGATATATGTACAAGGCTTAAATGAGTGCTCCAAAAATGAAAGAAAGAAGAAAATAAAAAAGGAAAGAAAAGGGAAAAAAGAAGAAAAGTGTTCTAAGCATTTCAAAGACTAAAAGAGTTGAATATATTATCACAATTTTGAGAAGCTTATGATATCAGAGAACATATGCGGTAAAAATGGCTCAATACAGGCAATGGAAATGTTATTCACTTTTCCGTGACTGTTTTTCAACATACGTATTTGGAAGCATTGGCAGCTTCATTACAAGATACACAAATGTGGAGGGGTTGCAGGGGTGCCTTCTGGTTGAGAAGTCTTCAGTTAGATGCTCACTGGGGTTACTCAGCCCTGGGCATACAGGATTCTGTTAGAATGCTAAGGTTTCTGTCTCCTTTGCAAAAGAGAACTTTGTGTGTGTGTTCGTGTGTGTGCTTGTTGCTTTTTAATGTTAATGATTGATATAATTTTCTAGGTTACTTTTCAGGAAGTTGGTTGAAAAACAAAATAAAATAAATAAGCTTTAAAAAATAAAAATAAATTTTCCCAGATTCTTTCTATTAGTGCACATCACACCTTTTTTCACTATTGCACATCATACCTTTTCTTACTATTGGACAGGTCTATTTCCACCAGACTTGCTTTCGGCTGAAGACTGATATCTCCAGTGCTAGAATCCAGGCCACACAAATTAATCTGCTTTCTAGTCACCCAGTAGTTTCTCAATATCTCTGACTCAAAACAAGAATATATACGCCATCCTGACCCATTCAATTTGACAACTTGTTTTGTTGTTTCAGACTGAATGGGTCAGGATGATGTATATATTCATCTAGGAAACTCATTTAGAAAAATATAAAATATAGAAGCAGAAACAATTTTTTAAATTATCGCTAATTTAAATAATTACCATTAGATATACACCATGGAATACCACACAGCTATAAAAAGTAAGAAGATCATGTCCTTTGCAGGGACATGGATGGAGCTTGAAGCCATTATCCTCAGCAAACTAACTCAGGAACAAAAAACCAAACACTGCATGTTTTCAATTATAAGTGGGAGATGAACCATGAGAACAAATGGACACATCTGGGGAACAACACATATTGGGGCCTGTGGGAAGATGGGAGTAGGGAGAACATTACAAAGAATAGCTAATGGATGCTGGGCTTAATGCCTAGGTAATGGGTTGGTCTGTGCAGCAAACCACCATGGTACATCTTTACCTATGTAACAAACCTGAACATCCTGAACATGTACCCTGGAACTTAAAATAAAAATTGAAGAAAAAAAATCACCATTAAGATTTTGGTGCAAAATAAGCGTGCATGCATGCATGCGTGTGTGTCTGTGTGTGTGTGTGTGTGTGTGTGTGTATCTGTATACTTTCATGTGCAGAAGCTATCAGTGCCTTTCTCTACCCCCTGGTTCTTTCCATTGAGGGCACTGTGCTGATTAGACCTGTCAGGACCCACCTATGGAGCTACGGTTGGGTGTGGGTTGAGTGATAAAGGAGGAAGTGGGCATGGCAACTTACAATGCCACTGCAGATGCAGTACTGTCCCTGATGGCATTCCAAATTTCACAGAAATGAGTCAGCTGGCCCACATCTTCTCTTTTTCACTGCTGCTTATTTCTAGTGTCATAAGCGGAATGTTCTTTTAAATTTTGTTGAGAACACAAATTGATATTTCAGAAAGAGTTAGCTAATATGAGTCTACAAAGCCAATTCCTCCCTTTAAACTTAGGAGTTTTATGTGGGACATCATATAATTTTTGAATTCATAATTACAAAGAAAAATGTAAAATGGCTCAATATTAATATTTAGCCTAGTTTCTGAGCTGGTTTCTCTTATAAGTTGGGTGTTCTATTTACAATTCCTAGAAGAAAGTTGAAAAAGCTGGAGCTACAAGTTGATACAATTTGGGAATGGGGTTAGAGAAGCCTCTCTTTCTACACCTCCAAAAATTATTTTTCTATTTGTTGTGGGCTCTGCCCAGATATACCCTGGTGCTCCTCTAATTACTGTAATCACATTACTAGGAAATGCCAATGGGCATTTTGAATACACAGTTAGGACTTTTTGTTGCTAGTTCTTGGGACAAGACAGAGTTCGAATTGTGTCCTTCTGATGGGCCCTTGGGCGACTGTCACTCTTAGTTCTCGTGGATCATGTTGGGCATGTAACAAGGTCTCCCGTCGACTTCTGAGTAGGATTATATTCTCAACAATGATTTTTGTCTGTCATTCTTCTATTGCTTTTTCAGTCTAGTCTCTTCAGCATTATTTTTATGTAACATTCTTGAAGTCTGTGGCATGCAGATAATACTCATTCCTACTTTTGGAGCTGATGTATTCTCTTCTCATGTATTATTGTTTATTAGGTACAGACATTTGGCAGCAGAAGGGAAAAGAACTAAATGTATAGACTATCCCTAACTCTTAGAGCTGACTTGAAAAGAGAATTCAAAGGGTAGAGGACAGAGGTTACGAATAGAAGGGTATAATGTATATTCTATGTTTGAAGGACAACTTAGAGATAATATTTGAGAAAACAGGCTCATAAAATTGGTTTTACTCAAGTTGGAAGATGTCTAGACTCAGTGGGATTTCATTATCAACACCAATCACCATTATTGCTCTTATCTTGAACAAAAAATAATATCTGGATTCCTGTTTATTTTGGGTTCTGTGCTAATTGCTGGAGATTTATGTCGTAATAAGTCATCCTTGAACACGGTAGTTTCAGCAGCTATTATTGTGAGGACTAATGATGATACAGCGAGTAGGGTTTCAGTATATTACCAACTACTGAGTTCATCCAAGAAGGGAAAGGATGAAATGCAGGTTGATTTAGAAAGTGTTTACCAAAGCGTTTAGGAGAAAAGGTTTAGGGCCAGGAGTAGTGATTCATGCCTGTCATCCCAGTGTTTTGGGAGGTCAAGGTAAGGAGATTGCTTGTGGCCAGGAGTTCAAGACCAGCCTGGGCAACACAGCAAGACTCTCATCTCCACATAAGAGACAGAGGGAGAGGGAGAGAGGAAATATTTGTGTTTCTGTGAACATTTATACAAATTCTAGTAGAAGCTCTCTTCTTAAATACAATTAGGCATAGCAGTTCGTTAATTATTTTGAAAGAGTTTGTCAAAAGCAGAGCATCATTATAGAACCAACCACATTTTAACATAGATATCCAAATTATTATAGATAAGACACTGGGGTTCCTTCTCATCTATCCTACATAAATCACATCTGTGACGTGGCTGATGGTCACACTGTATACTGTTCAGAGTGCACTGAGGAAGAAACTGTGGCTAACGTAAAGAGCTATGTGACAAGATCCCTTGCCATGCGTACCTTGTTTAGTTGGATATGCAATCCTTATGTAGTGGGAGGTCAAGTGGGATTTTTGCTCTTTTGAAAAATTGACAGCAAAGAATATCAAGTGACCACATATTATAAAGAGAAGGGTCAGACCCCCTATGCAGAACATGCTTTGGGTGACCATCTCTCAAAATACACAATGGTCTGGGGCCCTTAGCCATCATTGATCTTAGGTATAGAAAAGGAGGCAAGGAGATTACTTGGAAGGTGAAGGAGAGACAAGATTTCCTTGTAAAGAGTTGCTGAATGGCTCTTTGTCCTGTGCTCCAGAATGAGTACTGGAACTCTGTCTCCAAAGAATGTGTCCTGGGCTGCTGCCAAAAGCCAGGAAGAAAGGTATGAGAATACCCATGAGTCCTCAGAGCTTTAGAGACACAGGGAATGGAGAGTGCCTTTTGCCTGAAGAAGTCTCCAGGTGAGCAGCTCCTGGAGTCATCCTGCTTGCAGGACAGTTGGCAAGGACAAGGGTGTCTGAGTGCAGAAGGCAGGAGGGACAGCCAAAGTGACAAACAGTGAAGATATTGACACGTCTTCCCTTCCCTACTCCAGGCCTTTAAGGGACGCCTGAGCTAGGGGAAGGGAGAAGTCTGAAGATGAAAGAGATTGCAGTTGTAATTTTTTTTTTAAAGATAGAATAGAACTACTTGATACTGTTAGTGTCTGAAAGTGATGGGAAAGTCTATAGACCCTACCTGAGATACAGCCAGGAACAAGAACGGCAGGCACAGCACAGCACAGCATATTTGGCAGGCAGCAATGGGAACAAAGACTTTTGCCTACAGCCTATAAAACAGTGTGTGGGAACTGCCTAATGATTGGCCATTATTAAGTATTCAGGAAAAGTGATAATGGAGTGCAAACACAGAAATAACTTGAGATGGTTTCTAATCACTAGTTAGCCAACCTAAGGGATTTAAGACCACCTAAATTCTTAGAAAGTTAATAGAATTGGGTATTTTCTCATTAATTTTGCACCCTGTTGCAATTTGTGCCATTACTGTTAAACATAGCATTAATTAGAACAGCATCCAAGTTCCCCGATTGTCATATTTCTTAAACTTGACTGGTGTTCTTACTGCAATGTAACTTGAATTTTATAAAAAGTTCAATGCCCCTTGTTTGTTTGGTCTTGATATAAGCAAACATTTGAAACTTATTTAGCGCTATGGGAAAATCATATCTTGAGACAGATCTACTATTGAAAAAGGAAGAATTCATAGAAATCCATAAGCCCCTATTATCACCTTTGCTGCCCCCAAGTCTCATGCTTTTATATAACTCTTATGCATTTAGATGACCTAGTCCTGGATAAGTACAAAGTGACAGTTTGTTAATGGGTATCTTGATTAAAGTGCAATGAAATGGCCATTTTTACCATGGAGAAAATGTTTATTATTTACAGCAGGTCCAGAGAAGGTCAAGAGTCCATAAAGAAGGGAACAGCTTATCCTGAAAGACCCACTGGTGATAGACAGAAATGTTCTTGATGTGTTTCTAAATTCTGTAAAACTTTATGCCTTAGCACTGCAAGGAAAAGATTTTGAAATTTTTATTTATTTATTTATTTTTATTTTTATTTATTTTTTATAAATAAAGACAAGGTCTCACTATGTTCCTCAGGCTGGTCTCAAATCTCTGGCCTCAAGTGATTCTCCCACCGAGGCCTCCCAAAGTGTTGGGATTACAGGTGTAAATCACTAAGCCCAGCCAACAGAGAGATTTTATCTGAAAAGTGCAAATACAAGACTCTTCTGCTTTGAAGTTATTCTTCTTAGAACTTACAATATTAGGTTGATTTCTCAAGTCCAATCAAATATTTACTGTGACACTCATTTTGACCTTTGCTTATGTTTATGAATAGTTGACAATTTTTCCCCAGTCTTGAAAAAGCACCCATATTCCAAGATCTGCAGCCAATCCTGTGCTTCCTCATTGGGCATGTGGGTGGACAGTGCTTCCATGTCCTCACTGGCCCTTGTCTTGACCTGCTGTGCCCACTCACACTTCCAGAAAATGGAAGAGTCTTTCTCAGGGCTGATGGCTTTTTGTTGGTAGAGAGAAAGGAAATGTAAGGGAAAGAAGCTAAGGAGCAGTACATCTATAATTCAAAGGATTTAGACAAGTAAAAGAAATGCTTTTGGAGATAATTGCTGAATATATTGCTGATGAGATTCTAGGACCTCCGATAGGGTCTTATTGGTGGAGCCCTTTGAAGTTAGGAGCTGCTGAAATGAGGTTTTGCCACGGAAGCCACAGTGTGGCCCTTGGCCTTTGCTGGTGGCATGGCAAGCACAGCTCTCCGGTCATCTCTGGTTAGTCTATTTGAGGCCTCACAAGCTCCCTCGACTGACTGCATTGTCACCTCATTTGTTTTTACCATTAAGTGTTTGAGATGAGAAGTGAAGACCAAGAAAAGCAGCCTATCTGCAGGTCAGGAAAAGATTTCATTCATTGTGAAGAATAAACCCATATGAAAAGTTTTCTCCAAACACATCCTGGGGCCAGGGTACTCTTTAACAAAGAAGTCTGTGTGACAGAAATTATGCATCTGGTTCTATAAAACGCTTCAGCTTTGCCTGGTTGAGTTGCTGTGGAGTTAATCCCAAGAAAAGGAGAAAAGATGCTGACCTATTTTTGCTAGGATTAACTCCTCAAACAACTATTATAGGTGAACAAATGCCAGATCCATTTCCATGCATGAACACCCGTCTGGGCACTGATGAGGCCAGAAGACCTCCGCTGAGTTGTAGTCGGGGAGCAGCGAGGGGTTGTGTCTTTCAGAGGCCCATGGCACCACTACAAGGACCCATTCACCAGGCAAGGAGTCCCAGGAGTTGGTTTCAGATGCCTGTTAGGAATCTGTTCCAAGGTTATTTCTGCTTTCAGCACCTAGAGAGCAGCCAAAATCTTTGATCTGTATTTTGAAGCAAGCGTTCTTGTGGCACTGTGATTTTCCTCCATGTGCTGGTGCCCTGACTAGTTAAACATCTTGGAAAGAAAACTCAGCTCAGTGATGCTGCCTGCATCTCCTCAAGGAATTCCACAAGCCCGAATTTGCCAATGGTGTGATGCTGGCTCTTCACAGATCTGTGAGCCTATTGCCCAAGAATGGACAGCTCATTGACCCCAAGATGTTCAAATGCAGCCTATGTGTGGTTATATGGTGGATTCTGGTGCCTGATTACCTGGATTTGAATCCCAGGTTTCATGCTTACTCGCTGTGTGGCATTAGGCAAGATACTTGACTTTTTCCATCTGAAAAATGAGGATAATGATAGTTGCAGCTCACAGAGTGGACAGAATCCTAGATGAAGTAATGTATGTGAAGCATTTTGCATAGTGTCTGATTACTAATATCTCATAATAAATGTAATAATCATCTAATACATCTACTACAAAGAGGCATAAATAAATAAATAAAGATATCATAAAATCCCACAACAAAGCCACCTGATCTCTGTCAGGTCTTGACACCTTTTAAGGTGTCTGGATATTCCCAATAGTGAATATATAATAGTGAGTAGTGAGGGCAAACATATCCTAGGAAATGGAAATTTTTCATATTTTCCAAGGACCTACATGAATCAGCACCATTCAAATACATTCAGCCTTTCCCTGCGTCCTCTCTCTCACCAGGCTATTAGAGCTTGCTAAGTTGGCTTCTTCCTGAGAGATACAAATTTTGCCCTTTCAGATAATAAAGAAGGGAGATCTCTCCTGGTTTCAATTTGGGACAAAAAGTCATAACTGAGAGGTGGGGGCAACAGGAGACAGCATGAGGTACATGCTTCTTGAGAATAAACCCCTCCATCAGCAAAGAGTTGAGTGTGCTGCTTGGAGTATAACACAGTGACTCAGCAAGTCCAAGGCCTCTGAAAGGAGCTTCCCACTCTATCACTGATGCGGTTACTGGGTTCCCTACAGAATTTAGAAATAAGAGAAGAAATATGTTTGTTAAGTTGTATAACTGTTAATATGTTGTTTATTAAAATGATTTTTATTAATTTCTTTGTTCTACGTTTATATGTACTTTAGTCACAGTATGTCGATTTGAATTTTTTAATGTGCAGAGGGTCTAGTGAAAAGAGAGCAGGGGCTCCAGATACTTCGAGGTGGTCAGCACAGGATTTGTGCATGTGCATGTGTTTTGGGGAGTGTATTAGTCCATTCTCACACTGATGTGAAGAAATACCTAAGACTGGGTAATTTATAAAGGAAAGAGGTTTAATTTACTCACAGTTCCACATCTCTGGGGAGGCCTCAGGAAACTTGCAATCATGGTGGAAGGCAAAGGAGAAGCAGGTGCCTTCTTCACAAGGTGGCAGGATAGAGTGAGTACAAGCAGGGGAAATGCCAGATGCTTATAAAACCATCAGATCTCATGAGAACTAACTCACTGTCATGAGAACAGGATGGGAGAAACCACTCCAAGATCCAATTACCTCCCAACAGGTCCCTCCTATGACACATGGGGATTACTATAATTCAAGATGAGATTTGGGTGGGGACACAAAGCCAAACCATATCATTCCACTTCTGGCCCCTCCCAAATCTCATTTCTTCACATTTCAAAACCGATTATGCCTTCCCAACAGTGCCCCAAAGTCTTAACTCATTTCAGCATTAACTCAAAGTCCACAGTCCAAAGTCTCATCTGAGACAAGGCAAGTCCTTTCCACCTATAAGCCTGTAAAATCAAAAACAAGTTTGTTACTTCCTAGATACAATGGGGGTACAGGCATTGGATAAATGCTCCCATTCCAAATGGGAGAAATTGGCCAAAACAAAAGGGCTATAGGCCCCATGCAAACTCAAAATCTATTAGGGCAGTCATTAAACCTTAAAGTTCCAAAATGCTCTCCTTTGACTCCATGTCTCACATCCCGGTTATGCTGATGCAAGAGGTGGGCTCTCATGGCCTTGGGCAGCTCTGCCTCTGTGGCTTTGCAAGGTACAGCCCCCCTCCCAGATGCTTTCATAGGCTGGCATTTAGTGCCTGTGGCTTTTCCAGGTGCAGGTGCAAATGGTCAGTGGATCTACAATTCTGGGGCCTGGAGGATGGTGCCCCTCTTCTCACAGCTCCACTAGGCAGTGACGCAGTGGAAACTCTGTGTGGGGGCTCTGACCCATCATTTCCCTTCCATACCACCCTAACAGAGGTTACCCATGTGGGCTCCACCCATGCAGCAAACTTCTGCCTGGACATCCAGGTGTTTCTATACATCCTCTGAAGTCTAGGTGGAGGTTCTCAAACCTCAATTCTTAATTTCTGTGCACCCATAGGCCCAACACCATGTGTAAGCTGCCAAGGCTTGGGGCTTGCACCCTCTGGAGCAATGGCTTGATCTGTGTGTTATCCCCTTTTACCATGGCTGGGATGCAGGGCACCAAGTCCTAAGGTTTCACAAAGCAGCAAGGCCCTGGGCCCAGCCCATGGAACCATTTTTTCCTTCTAGGATACCAGTCCTGTGATGGGAGGGGCTGCCACGAATGTCTCTGACATCCCTGGAGACATTTTCCCCATTGTCTTGATTCCTTGTTACTTATGCAAATTTCTGCAGCTGGCTTGAATTTCTTCCCCCCAAAATGGGTTTTTCTTTACTACTGCATCATCATGCTGCAAATTTTCCAAACTCTTATGCTCTGCCACCTCTTGAACACTTTGCTGTTTAGAAATTTCTTCCACCAGATACCCTAAATCATCTCTCTCAAGTTCAAAGTTCCACAGATCTCCAGGGTTGGGGCAAAATGCTGCCAGTCTCTTTGCTAAAGCATAGCATGAGTCACTTTTATTCTAGTTACTAAAAAGTTCCTCATCTCTATCTGAGACCACCTCAGCCTGGACTTCATTGTCCATATCACTATTAGCATTTTGGTCAAAACTATTCAACAAGTCTCTAGGATGTTCCAAACTTTCCCACATCTTCCTGTGTTCTTCTGAGCCCTCCAAACTATTCCAACCTCTGCCTGTTACCCAGTTCCAAAGATGCTTCCACAATTTCGGGTATCCTTATAGCAGCACCCCACTCTCTGAGGTACCAATTTGTTGTATTAGTCTGAGACTGGGTAATTTGTAAAGGAAAGATCTTTAATTGACTCACAGTTCTGCATTGCTCGGAGGCCTCAGGAAACTTACAATCACGGCAGAAGGCAAAAGAAAAGCAGGCACTTTCTTCACAGGGCAGCAGGACAGAGTGATTGCAAGCAGGGAAAAAGCCAGGAGCATATAAAACCATCAGATCTTGTGAGAACTTACTCACTATCACAAGAACAGCATGGAGAACTGCCCCATGATCCAATTTCCTCTACCTGGTCCATCCTTGACACGTGGGGATTATGGGAATTACAATGTGAGGTGAGATTTGGGTGTGGACACAGAGCCAAACCATATCAGGGAGGTCTGAGAATGGTGAGCAAGTATATGACATTAAGAAAATGTGGTCTCAGCCTTTGAGATCCCTCAACATAGAACCTAGCACCTAGAAGGTCACCAACATCTGTCAAATATATTTTTTACATTTTGTTTTAGACACAAGGTTTCATTCTGTTGCCCAGGCTGGAGTGCAGTGGTGGATCATAGCTCACTGCAGCCTCAAACTCCTGAGCTCTGGCAATCCTTCCATCTCAGTCTCCTGAATAGCTGGGACTGCAGGTGCTTGCCACTATGCCTGACTAATTAAAAAAAAATGTGAAAATGGGGTTTTGCTATGTTACCTAGGCTGGTCTCTAACTCTTGACCTCTAGTGATTCTCCCAATCTTGGCCCCCTGAAGCACTGGGATTAGAGGCAAGAGCCACCACCATGCCTGACCCTTACTTTCTTGAGAAACCTCACATGTATGTGCAGTATCAAGTCAGCATGTGAATTTTGCTTCAGATTTAGCGTCTTGAAATATTACCAATTGCCATGTTCCTGCCTCCCTGCCCTCCCAGGTGTAGAGGTGGTGAGCATCCCAGCTGTGGCTGGCCCATGGGCAGGAGCTGGAAGGACTGATTCCTTTTGGGGGCCCTCTGTCTCCTCCCCTTTACTCATTAACCTCCTACGTGGCAGGACATCATCCCTGCCTTTGATTGCGTGGCCTTTTCTCCACAATTACACTGCTTTCCCGAGGCACTTCTCACACTGGTTAGCCACTACGTTAGTTAGCCATTCCTTATGGCTGGCAGTATCCAAATGACATAAACAACGGGACACTTACAGTGATATATAGGCAAGCCTGAGAAGGCACTGCTGATTTTCTCACCAGCTTCACTTCTTCATCTGTAAAAGAAAGAAGACATTTCAACACTCTTCTCTACAGTAATGAAACAAAAAACAACAACAAAGATGAATGCTCTATGTTGACCTTCTGCACATGAAAAGGCTTATTTATTTATCCAATCATTATCATTCAACATCTGGAAATACAGTACCGGGGAAGAACATTGACTATTGCTTATATCAGTTTCTCAAGCTTGCTCATGTCCTGGACTTTTCACCAAGATAGCTGCAAAATAGTTCAGTCAGACAACGCTTCCTGGGGGTTTACTTTTGAGCTGTTTTCTTGAAAAATAGCAGAAAGTGTATTCAAAGCACAGTATTTTCTAAGCAGCTATTTTATAATATCTTCGGGCATTTATCAGAAGGATGTAAACTGCATTTATGTAAAACTAATGACAGATTGAGGTGGACTCATTTAAATTTGTTCTGGAATATGTCACATGAACTGACTATAGTTCCATGGAAAACAATGCAGTTCACACCAAGTTTTACAGTTAAAGTCCTCTGTGACCTGGCTTCAACCGCTCTTCCAGATCTGTGTTGCCACTCTTCATATGTCCCAGAAATACCCAAAAATTCAATGTTCTCTTACATCCGTGTTTCTCTGCCTTTGTTTTTGCCAACCACTAGCATTTTACATCTGACAATAATGAGTTTGTTCTTTGAGTGCTTCTTAATGCACTTTTGTTGTTTCATACACTAGATTGTACAGAAATCTAATATGATAATGAGGTAGAAATATTCATTTATTATCCTTTCCAGACAGTCTTATTGGGAGAGTGCATCTGATTACCTAAAAATATTTTCTCTCTTTTTTGTATACAGACATTCATTGCTCTCCTTGTAATGTCTTTTGAAATGGTTTTATTTTTTATATAGGTATAGATAATGTATATATACATATACAAGATGTATAGATAATGGAGTCACATAGTTTGAATATCAAAAAAAGATGAAAAGGAACACAATGATGTTTCTCCTTCCCACCCCTATCTGTTTTGTTTTTTCTCTTCCATTTTATTCATTTTTCTCCATCTTTTCTGATAAATTTTGTGCATATAAAAGTCAACATTAATATTTCTTCCCCTCTCATGCTTTACACAAACGACATCACACTATGTGTACTATTCTGCAATTAAGTTTTTAACTGAACAATATATACTGGAGATTCTTTGCTACCAATCCACAATGAGATCCCTTGTTCTTTTTATTTTTTAATCTGACTAGCATCGTATCTTATGACTGTACTTTTATTTATCTAATCATTCACCTGTAGATTAACAGTTGAGTCCTTTTCAATCTTTTTCTTTTACAAACAACACCACCAAGAATAACCTTGTCTTACCACTATTTCTATGTGTTGAATGCATTCTGGGAAGAGGAATTGTAAAATTGAAGGTATATACTTTTGTAACTTGAGAGACAACGTCAATTTTCTCTTCATAGATCTTATATCATAAACACTCCCATTCAAATGTAGGGAAACAAATTTCCCCATAGCTTCACCCATTCTGTTGTGTTCAAATATGTGATATTTTGCTGGCCCAACAGCCAAAAATTGTTAAGGAATCTTTACACATTACAGTGATTCATTCTCTGTGTGTGTTCCATGTTTCAAATATATTTTCCCCTTTTGTCGGTTGTCTTTTAGATTCACTTAAGAGATTTTTGCTCCACAAAGCTTTTATAAAATGACATATTTGATATCTTTAACACTAATAATTTGTTTATGATTACTTCAGGATTTTGTGTTATACTTCCAGCTTTGTCTCAATGGTCAGAATCGTCCTGGGTTTCCCTTCCCTGCACCTTAGTCTGGAAACTCCCTGCAGGCAGTAAGGTAAAACAATTGTTGAACCATAGATGTGCATATGTTCACCTTTGACTGTCAAAAGTCTTCCCAAGTTGCCGTACCAACTTATACTCTCACTGGAAGTATCTCAGAGATGGGGCTGCCATATACCCTTGCCAACACTAGTTATGTCAGTCTTTAACTTTTTTCATTTGGTGGAAATTGACTTAAATTTACATTTCCTTGATAACTTATCATGTTCAAAAGAGGAAAAGATGGACTATTCCTTAGTCCTGGTTCCGAACTCTAAACAAGCAATCTTAGAGCTGTTTTTTTTTCTTTTTTCAACTTTTATTTTAGAATTAGGGGATGCATGTGTAGGTTTGTAATTAGGGTATATTGTGTGATGCTGAGGTTTGGAGTATGAATGAATTCATCACCTAGGTAGTGAACATAGTCCTCAGTTGGTAGTTTTTTCAACCATTACCCTCTCTTATATTCCCCCATACCTATTGTTCCCATTTATGACCATGTGCCCTCAATGTTTAGCTCCCACTTGTAAGTGATAACATGTAGTATTTGGTTTTCTGCTTTTGTGTTAATTTACTTAGGATAATGTTTTCCAGCTGCATCCATGTTGCTGAAAAGGGCATGATTTCATTCTTTTTTATGGCTGTGTAGTATTCCATGCTTATATCTGAATATATATATATATATATATATACACACACACACATGTATTTTACTTTAAGTTCCAGGATATATGTGCAGAATGTGCAGGTCTGTTATGTAGGAATACTTGTGCCATGGTGGTTTGCTGCACCTATAAACCCATAATCTAGGTTTTAATCCGTGCATGCATTAGTTATTTGACCCAATGTCCCTTTCTACCCACAACAGGCCCCGGTGTGTGATGTTCTCTTCCCTGTGTTCATGTGTTCTCATTGTTCAACTCCCACTTATGAATGAGAGCATGTGGTGTTTGATTTTCTGTTCCTGTGTTAGTTTGCTGAGAATGATGATTTCCAGCTTCATCCATGTCCCTGCAAAGGACATGATCTCATTTTTTTAATGGTTGCATAGTATTCCATGGTGTATATGTGTCACATTTTCTTTATCCTTTCTATAATTTAGGTTGGTTCTAAGTCTTTGCTATTGTAAATAGTGCTGCAATAAACATACATGTGCATATGTCTTTAAAGTAGAATGACTTGTAATACTTTGGGTATATACCCAGGAATGGGATTGCTGGGTCAAATGGTATTTCTGGTTCTAGATCATTGAGGAATCACCACGTTGTCTTCCACAATGGTTGAACTAATTTACAACCAGCATTAATTAGTCAATCCCCAAACACTGAAGGATTCAGTAACTTTGCTTTATTGTCTTGGTCTGAAAGTCAGCCAACCAGCATGACCCTCTCTGTGGCATGGATTTGTATCTTCTGAAGGATACATTTTGATAAACAGAAGTTTCTTATGTTAATTTGCTCCTATCTGATACTTTTTTCAATTATGAAGAATGCTTTAATGTACTGTGTAAAAAGTTCTTCTCTACCACAAGGTTATGAAAACTTTTTCCATGTCATAATTTAGAAACTTTATTGTTTTACCGTTCACATTTAGTTCTGCAGTCCCCCTGGAATTGAATTTTTTGTCTGGAGTGAGGTATGGGTTAGCTTAGTTTCTTACGTTATATATATCAATTTTACTATGGCTGTTTCCATTAAACTATTTGTTGAAAAAAAGATTTTTTCCCTTTTTCACTACTGCTCTGTAGTGTCACTTTTGAAAAAAATCAAGTGTTGTTAAATATGAGTCTGTTTCTGGACTCCAACTTGGAATTTTCTCTGCAGGAAGATCTGTAAATATAAAATCAATTTTTTTGGATAGAAAGTTAAACAGGTTTTTTATTTCCTCTTGTGTTTGATTTGGTAAGTTGTGTTTTTGCTAGAAATGTAGTTATTTTATTAAAATTTCAAATTATTGAGATAAACTTGTTCATTATGTTCTATTCTTTTCTGCATGCAAAAAAATTCAGAAACATACAGAAGTTAAAAAAAATTTACAGTGAACACCCGGATACACACTACCTAGATTCTACAATTTATATTTCAGAAACATACAAAAGTCAAAAAATTTTACAGTGAACACCCAGATACACACTACCTAAATTCTACAAGGTGTATTTACTATAATTTGTTATTTATTTATCCATCTACTCATTTTTTCATTCTTCAATTCATCTTTTTTAATGCTTTTTAAAGTAGGTTGCAAAAGTCAGTGCAATTTCCGACAAATACTTCAGAATGCATATGTTAACTTGTGTTCAATATTTGTTTTTACTTTTTTCCTTTTGGGATAAAATTTACGTACAATAAAATGCACATATCTTAGGTGTTCCATCTGGTGAGTTTCCAACTTTGCAAACCAAACCATTATCAAGATACACAACATTGTCATCATCCCAGAATGTCTTATCATACCTCTTCTCAGTAAATCACCTTTACAGTTTCCCTAGAGCCAATTCTTGTTTTGATTTTCTTCTTTTCCATATACTAATTTTTCCTGTTCTAGCATTTTAGGTATATGTAAGAATACAGTGTGTTCTTTTTAAAGTTTTAATATATTTAAGATCTTTAGCTATGTTGCTTTTCTCATTCCAGATATCAACAATGTGTACCTTCTTTCTTTCTCTCTTTTCTCTCTTTTTTGTGGCAGGGATGGAGCAGGGGTGTAGTCTTGACAGAATGATGACAGTTTGGAAAGACTTTCAATATATGAAATTAAACTTCATATTCAATGTATGAAGCATTTGAAAAGACATCAAAACGCTTTTCAAAAGTCTTTAATATGTGAAAAAATAAGTGTGAACTCATTTTCTATTTTGCTAATTTTTACTGTTTACTGTTTCTTTCCTTCCACTTTCTTTACATTGAAGTAGCTCCTCTTACACAAATGCATTGAAATGGATGCTTAAATATTTGATTTTCATGCTTTTTCTTTATCTAATCTATGCATTTTTGGCTATTAACTACCTTAGAGAGATGGGTTCTCAAATTTTGATGTTTCATTTTCATTAGCACTTGGTTGAATGCATTTTTTCTTTTCATTATGATTTATATACCGATTTGAACTCATGAGTTATATAGAAGGATATTGCTTATTTCTTCATAGGAGGGGAAGACATCTGTAGTCTTATGTTTTAAAAATTAATTTCTAGCTTAATTCCACTGTGGTTAGAGAAAATAGTACACATAATTTCAATTCATTGACATTTGTTGACATTTCATTTATTAACCAGCATATATCAATTTTGACAAATATATCTTATACACTTGAAAAAATGTATACTCTGCAATTGCTAGACTCAAATAGTATCTCATGTCTAAGTATAGATGTAAAATCTATACATCTTCCTTTTTTTGTTTTTTGATGTACGTCAGCTGTTTTTTGATGTATGTCAACACTTTTCATGATGTTTATTTCCATTTTATATAATTCCTTAATTTTAGCTTCATATATTTTAAAGGTCTACCATTTAATGCACAAAAATTTATTATTATTTTATTTTCCCTACTCAATTAACCCTGTCATTTGTGATCTTTTTTGTTTTCAGTACTTCTACTATGATACACACTGGAATAGATCAATTCTATTTATTCTACCTGGGTGCATAACATTTCTTGAGTCTGTGGTCTGATATCTTTTATCTACTTGGGAGTAGTCTAAGGCATTTTGTCCTTAATTCTTTATTTCTGCACGATTATCTCTCTACTTTCCTCCTCCTACTTCTGTTACATATATGCTATACTTTTAAACTACATTTCATATGTATTTTAAACTTTTTTCTCTAACTTCCATTCTTTTTCCTCCCTATAACTTAGACTGGATATTTTCTTCTTATCTAATTTCCAGTTCAAGAATTCACTCTCTAGCTTTGTCTAATCTGCCAGCAAAATGATTCTTAATGGTTGTTTCATTTTTCAGTTTAATAATTTCCTTTTAATTATTTTAAATTTCAGGTATTCTGCTAAACTTCTACTTCTTGTCATCTAATATCATCAATATAACAGCCAAAGTTAATTGTAAGATCCTGTCTCATCACTCCATCATCTAGGTCTCCATAACTCCTGTTTCATTGTCTGAAATTTTCCTTGGAATTTGGTCAGATAGTCCTATCTCCTGGTTTGTTAAATAATTCTTGATTGAGTACCTGCCATTATATTTGATGAATTAGAGAGAAAATTTGAGACTCTGAATATTATTATTTTCCCCTAGAGAGGATTTATTTTTGCAGCTTATAGGCAGATAGATCAGAGGCCATTCATCTTTATCTAATCACAGCTTCAGTGTCTTTAAGGTGTGGTCCATATCTTTTTTATCCCTATTCCCAGTGTGTAACCCTTTGATGGGGTGGGTTCAGCTAAAGTCCTGAAAGGTCACCAATATTTTTTCTTCTAAGCAAGCTTTAAACTCTAAGATTCAATATTTGTACACTAAATCTGTAAAGCTGTCAGTAGCTCAGATTAGCTTTTTCCCTCTCAATTGTCACTTTAACATTTTGTTATCTGCCTCCTCTCTATTCAGTCAGCAAATTTTTTAACAGAAAAAAATAATATCAGCCAACTTTTGAGTGATTCTCATTTTTTCTGGATCTTGGCTACTCAAGTCCTTGCTGCCTTAAAAAAGTTTTGTTTGTTTTCTTAACCTCTTTTTAAAGTGTTTCTAGTTCTCACAGTAAACTTGTTCTATAATCATTTAGTTCACCATTATTACAATATGCATTTTAGATTCCTTAAGATACTAAATATTATTTCAATTATCTTACTTTTTTATAAGATTCTTGAATCCCCGCTATTACAGATGAAGCAATTAGCATACATATTCTTTCCATTTCCAACTCTCTCTCCTTAATTTTATTTTATTATTTTATAATGTCAAGGCATAAAATATCTATTATATTTTGCCACTCAAATATTCTGGCTTTTCTTAGTGTTAGTTTTACTATCATATATGGCTAATGTGTACCCCAAGTCTTTCTGACACAGTTTACTTAACCATTAGTTGGCTGAAGTTCTTCCTCTAGCAGTCTTTTTATTCATTTATTATTATTATTATTATTATTATTATTTTGAGACAGAGTCTCACTCTGACGCCCAGGCTGGAATGCATGGTGTGATTTTGCCTCACTGCAACCTCTCCCTCCCAGGTTCAAGTGATTCTCCTGCCTCAGTCTCCCCAGTAACTGGTATTATAGGCACATGGCACCACACCCAGTTGATTTTTGTATTTTTAGTAGAGACAGGGTTTGACCACATTGGCCAGCCTGGTCTCAAACTCCTGACCTCAAGTGATCTACCCACTTCTGCCTCCCAAAGTGCTGGGATTACAGGTGTGAGCCACTGCTCTCGCCCACAGTAGTCATTTATTAAAGGTTTTTGGGAACAGTATTTCCTGAGTACTTGAATGCTCAAAACTGTCTACTGTAGCCTCTAGACTTGAAATAAAGTTGACCTTTTATGAAATTCTTACTACTCTCTATTTCTGTTTAACTCTTTCCTTATTTAGGAAAAAAAAAGTGCAGCTTGCTGCCAGTGCTCATTTAATTTTATATAAACACACTCTTTGAAGTTGAAGCAAATTTGACTGTTTCTCAATGTGGAAATTAAATATTAAAACTGTTCTTGGAATTATTTCTAAACAGAGCTAACATCAGTATCATCTGAATCATCAGAATGGTTTATTTTGGAAAAATCAGATTCCTCAATGAATCTTTGGCCAACAACTATTGGAGAATGATGTTAGCATCATGAGTAGGAATACTACCATCTTCTAGGATTTGACATTTTCAGCAATCGAGAATTACTATATTTCGTAAATGGAAATACCACTACTAAAACCAGAATACTTTAAATAGAATTATGTCTTTTGTTTCCAAAGTTGATATATTAGAGTGAAGTGAAAATAGTAATAAAAATGAGACATTTTGTGGCAAAGTTATCTCAGGGTAAATGCTGCAGCTGCAAGCGCTGCAGGCGAGTATTCTAGGGGCATATGGGAAAAGTATTAAGTATCTTGCAGATGTTTCTTTATGTTCTAGATCACTTTCTCTGACAAGTTATGCCAGTTCAATTTGCAGAGTAAAGTTTTCTTTTATATCAGGAAAGTGTTCTTAAATTATATCTTAAGCATTTGTTCTATTCCATTATTTTGTGTTATTTTTCTCCTGGGAGTATAATTCAACACATATTGTATGTCATCTGCGTTTCATTGTCATATGTACACATTAATAGAAGTTTTTTGTTTTATTCACTTCTCTTGTTTCTATTCTCCATGCCCATTTTATGTTTCCTGCTGTGTTTATTCATCTGTTTTCTCCTACTTTTACTTCATTTATTTAAAAGTGTTATATTTTCTACTTCCTTACTGAGCTCTGCTCACTTTATCCATTCCTGCCTTCTCACCATTTTCCCCTTAAGTTCTTGCATTTCTAGCTCATGGTCTCTTGTTATAGAGATCATTCTGCCATTAAGTTATATTATTTTCAACTGAAGGCAAAATATTTGTCCACATTTTTATTGTTCCATGGAACACTTTTGCTTATGAATACTCCTCACCTTTTTTTTTTTTTTGTGGGGGGATGGAATCTTGCTCTGTCACCAGGCTGGAGTACAGTGGTGCCTTCTCGGCTCACTGCAACCTCTGCCTCCCGGGTTCAAGTGATTCTCCTACCTCAGCCTCCCAAGTAGCTGAGACTACAGGCGTGCATCATCACACCCAGCTAATTTTTGTATTTTTAGTAGAAACAGGGTTTCACCATGTTGGCCAGGATGGTCTCGATCACTTGACCTTGTGATCCGCCTGCCTTGGCCCCAAAAAGTGCTGGGATTACAGGCGTGAGCCACCGCGCCTGGCCATATTCCTCACCTTTTAAGAAATCTTGCTACTCGTTCTTTCTGCCTTATAGTGTCTTTGTATGCTTGCTGAATAGTTCTTTTTATGACTTATGATCGAATGAATTCGGTTTTCTTTGACAAGCCATTTGCAAAAGTTTCCTATGTGCATGGAGGGTCCATGCATAAGGCATCTTCTCAGATACCAGAGTCTTACAGTTACTAAAAATAAGGCTTGTGTGATTAACTAGGGAGTCCTGTCTTCTCCGCTCCTCTGACCCAAACTAGATCTAGGAGTACTATCTGCTGTCATGTAGGAGGCCCTATTTCTATGATGCTGTTGCGGAAAAGAGCTGTGGCTCTGCCCTTCAAAATGCTACCCTCACCTTCAGTGAGTATATATTTGGTGGCAAGTTCTCTGATGTGGTGTTTCTCACTCATTGTGAGATCTTTCATTGGTTTCTATCAAGCTCCTTGTCTATGGGGCTATACATAAACTTGGCTACTTTTAGTTGTCTTTAACACATGTTTTTGAGCCTTGTTTCTATTTCACTGAAAATAAAGCTTGTGCTTTGGTGTTTTATTTTCGTTACTTTTGAGAAGTTTTAAAAATGAAAGGGGAAATGTCAAGTACCTGGGTCATACCTTGTACTGGGCATTTACTCATTTGCAGAAAGTGATTAGCATTAGATGTGCACATGCAGAAGTTTATGCACCCAGGCGAGTAAAGTCAACTTATTAAGGTGCAGGGCAATTGTCCGTGCAATAGAGAGAGAACACTGGAGACTCAAGGAAGGAAAAGTCAGGAGGGAATGAGGAGGGAATGGGGAGGACATAACTGCTGAAAGCCAAGAAGAAAGACTGAGGTGAAAATGCCTAAGAATGCATGGATGTATGTGTCTGTTGGGGATTATGGGGTGCTGTGCCCTGTACATTACAATCCAACTCTTTTTTCTCCCTGTGAAGTCATCGGTGAAGTATGCCTTCTCTCTTGTTCTAAGTGGAATTAATTTTATTTTGGAGAATGAAAAAGAAATCCTGCTCCAAAGTTGTTATCTGGTGATGATACAGACTGTTTGTGGCACCCAATCATATCTGGTTTACAATGTGGTCCAGGAATTTTAGCTGGTTGGTCAGGAACTTTGGCCCATTGAAGATGAGAAGTAAATCTCCAGAGATATATATGAGAGATAAAAGTTGTACATATCTAGGAAGAGATGGAAACAGAATAGATGTTAATCATTAGAAATATTTTTCAAATCCGCCTCTTCCCTGGCACGGGCACAGCAATGTGAAGCCAGAGTGGGCAGCTGGAAACACACACACAGATTATAAATACTTGGGATTGGCCAGGAGAGAGACAGAGAAATGAGGAGAGAGAGAATGAGAGAGAGAGAGAGAGAGAAAGATTACTTCTGCTAGGATGGGTCAGAGAGGATTTTGTGCTCAATTCCAAAATCTGTACACATTGCATGCAGGAGATCCCTGGGATCACCCCGACCGGGGAAGATGTGCCTTCATAGATCTGGGGTGCGTGGTGGATGAGAGTATGAACTACATCCCAGGGAAAGTGGAAAGACTAAAAACCATCTCAAAGACTCACATGCCAACTGAAACAAGGAATAACATTGACTCTCAGTGTAATCTACTTAATATTTTTGTTGTTAAGTATCTTATATATTTAAATGTTAATTATAGCTTTTTGATATTTTGGATATTAATAGGAATGGTCCTGGGGAAAATGCTATGAACCTGCTTACCTAAAAAATTGAATTTTAAAATGTAAGAATTGAACTGCAAGAATAAAGACGTTTTTGTAGACGCTTCACAGAAAACTGAGGGAGGAATGTTTGTTCTGAACCCTCACTTCAGAATCACAGGTGGTAATGAAAAGACACACTGTCCATTTTGCAATAATAGCTTTCAGTACATTATGTAATTCATGAAAGTTATATAACAAACCCAGTGTGGGAGTCTAATGATAAGTTATCACAAAGTAATAACAAAATGATAAAAGTGTGTGTGTGCACTTGTGTTCAGTGCTAGATCTTGTGAGAATGTGGGAAGTATAACTTTTAGAGGTGATGGATCAATTTCCTTATAACTTGGAGATTAATCCATATGAGGTTTGGAACAGAAGGCGGGGGCATTGTGGAGGCATTCTTAAATATCTTAAAACAATTTTTCTCTGGTGCAGAAGGAAGGATCAGGCTAACAAATTGCAATGTAAGACAATTGTGTAAACATTTAAAATAAAAATATATAAAATTAAAGTCCATATGGCATTAAGGAATGAAATGCCTTCAGTCACCCCTGGCAACCATATGCCAATCTGAATACCTATGAATCTGCAGTTCCAGTGGGAAGACCACCATGAGGACACTGTGATTCCTCAAATAATGAAGAGTGACTGGCTTAGAAGTTGAATTGCAATTGAAATTGATCACTAAGCAGAGTGATTTACATGATCAGAATCACTTCTCCATTCAAGTTTAGTATATACATAATTTAAGCATCTAGAAAGTCATTTGGATTTTAACCTGAGATCACCAATTTAAAACAAATGACACCAGCCTGGACAACATGGTGAAACCTCGTCTCTACTAAAGATACAAAAAATTAGCCAGGCCTGGTGATGCATACTTGTGATCCCAGCTACTCGGGAGGCTGAGGCAGGAGAATTGCTTGAACTCAGGAGGTGGAGATTGCAGTGAGACGAGATCGTGCCATTGCACTCCAGCCTGGGCAACAGGGAGAGACTCCTTCTCAAAAACAAAAAACAAAAAACACAAAAACAAAAACAAAAAACAAATGACAGATCAGTGAAATGTTACTTTCTCAGAGATCATTCTATATATGACCTCCTAGTTATATTGTGAGTTATTACCTGAGTGCTTTTGTTTATCTTTAACTGCAGGGTAATAATACTTAGTATCATTTATTTTAAAAACCTTTTCTGGTTTTTGGAATGGCAACACTCTAATATATTTAGGGTACTCACTCCAGAGCCTAAAGGTGAATTCACACCAATTTATAGGGTGAATAGGCTGGGACAGCAGTTTGAAATTTTGTAAATTCTGTGAACTCTTGAAGAAAAAAGTGGTACAAATAGAAGGTACGTATATTGTAATATGTGTGTGTATATTGATATACACCCATCACACACATACACACTCATAGACAGTCATCTGGTGGTATCCACAGGGGATTGGTTCTGGGATAGCTCCTTCCTTAAATACCAAAATCCGTGGATGCTCAAGTCCTGGAATGTGAAATGGTGTAGTATTTGCATAAAATCTATGCACATTGTTCTGTATGCTTTAAATCATCTCTGGATTCCTTGTGATACCTAACACAATGCCCACACATCGCTTCAGTTGCCTGGATTCAACATAGTATTCTGTGGGTGGCAAATTCAAATTTTGCTTTTTGGAACTTTGTGGAATATTTTTTCCCAATTATTTTAGAGCCACAGTTGGTTGAATCTATAGATACAGAACTCATAAATACAGAGGGCTGACTGTATATGTACACACATACACAGAAATAATATACATATATGCCTATATTATATATAGGTAATTATAATTCATATATAAGTATTATATATAGTGCGTGTGTATGCAAATATATATGTATCTATACACACATATTTTTATAGATATTATAAGAGTTACTAGATTTTGGTCAATTTCACTGACTGGTACCAAATCATTTTAAACATCATTGCTTTGCAGTTTTAAGTAAATTATCCCTAGCTTGGGGTAAGAGCAGCATTAAAATTACAGCATCAAAGTATAATTTATTTGACTGTGTTCTGACCCACAGAGATGATTTGCAGCCTCAAAGTTCCTTCTATATAAGGTCTGTGTTACAGTCTATGTTATTATCTTGGTGTGTACTCTGGCTCCTCTCAATATCCTCCCTCTTATAGAGGTAATGCTCAGAG
Source organism: Homo sapiens (assembly GCF_000001405.40). NCBI lineage: Eukaryota > Metazoa > Chordata > Mammalia > Primates > Hominidae > Homo > Homo sapiens. Next base: position 57,763,128 of record NC_000008.11, on the reverse strand, counting down.
GCTGCTCGTGTGTGTCTACAATGCAGTCCTCAAACCGTGCTCCTGTTCCAAAGGTCTGCCTTTCTCTCTGCCAATGCCCAGAACCTAGCCCTCCTGGTCTGGACACACAGCTGTCATTCCCCTCTCTGGCACTTCTTTGGTTCAATGACCCGCCCCCCTTGCCCCCTGGTAGTTGATCTCTGTTGCTTCTCGTCTGGTCCAGGTGTGGCTGAGGCTGGAATGTGCTCATCACATGTGATCTTCCTTCATCCTCTTCTCTCTACCTCCAGCTATTCCCCAATTCCCAACCTGTGAGCCTACTCTGCTTTATTGCTGTTCTCTTTTCTTTTTCTTTCTTGCTCTTTATTCCTATCTTCCAAGGCCTGTTCTTCTGCTTCTACATTTCAAAGTCAAGAAACTAGACCGGAAAAGACAGAAGTCTCGTTAGAAAGCAAAGGGGGAAGAGAAGTTAAGGGTGCAGATAAAATTTTTTCAGTGAAAATGTTGATGGGAAGGATGAAGCAGAGAACACTCACACGCAAATACATTTTGTCTGCAGCACACAAACATTTGTGAATATGAAATCCTTTCTCTTTAGTGTGTAAACATATTATAGATTCCTACATGTCTACATTTTAAGTTAATGTTTAAATTCGAGGCTTCCTACTAAGGAATAAAGTGAACAAAAAACAGTATTTCTCTAACTGTAATACACACAAGAATCACCTGGAGATCCTGTTGAAACAAAAATACAGATTTGGATTGAATAGGTCAGACGTGGGGCCTGACATTCTGCCTTTCTGACAATCTCCCTAGGGTGCTTATGTTACAGGCTCAAGTCCACACTTGCAGTAGCAAGGATATATAGAGTTTGGGGATCTGAGATACTTCATAACTTCTAATTTGAGAGATATTTTAAATTGGGGTTTTAAAAATTGTATTACGAATTGATACAGTGATACAGCACTTTCTTAGTTCAAATGTTGGAAAAGTCCATTGAGTTTCATCCCTCAGAGTGTCTACTGCATCATAATAAGGGTTCTTGATTAGAAGAGGTGGACAAGATTTTGAACTATAATTTTATGCAAGATAGAGAGAACACATTCACCTCTATGGTTGTCTTATCAACAGATCTTCTACAAGCAACAAAATAAAACAAGTAAAAGGCAGAGAGTGTAATGTCACATATCACAGTCCCATCGAGGATGGGGGAGAAAGCTTTTGTATGACACCCAGATGATGAGCACTAGTAGGCATGGTTGGGCCCAGGATGAGAACAGCATGGGAGCCAAGAGAAGCCACGCTTGGAGCCAGGTCAATGTGATGCATGAGAAGACAGGAACAGAGTCTTGGCATTAGTGTCAGGAAATCCAAGTTAAGAGAAAGACTGGGGCAGAAGAGAGATAAGCTGCATTGGAGTTAAACTTGTCTTGAGAGGTCCTTGTCAGATAAGCACACAAGAGTTGAGGACCCCATCTTTGCATTTAGAAGTCTTCCTCAGGTGAGATTCTAACTGTAATATTAGGACTCAAACTGGGCAAAAGGAAGACAATACGCAGAGGGTGGGCATAGTGCCCTGAGGTCTAGAATAGGCAGGGCCACCTGATGAGAGAAAATGAGAAACTGTTATGGTGGAATAGAATCTTGCTGTTTTCCGCTTCAAGAACCCACAGATATATCCATAGAAACCCAGGTTCAGAAGGTGCTCTTTACTCCATGTAATTGTACAATTGAGCAATTTTCTTAGTATTGATTTCTATTTTCATTGTGCTATGGTCCAAGGGTGTGGTTGGTATGACTTTGTGGGGCTTTTTTTTTTTTTAATTTTGAGAATTGTTTTATGGCCAATCATGTGGCTGATTTAGAGTGTATGCCATGTGCAGATTTCAAGAATGTATATTCTGTTGTTAGGGGTAGAGAGTTCTGTAGATGTTTGTTAGGTCCATTGAGTCAAGTGTTGAGTTCACATCCTGAATATCTTTAGTTTTCTGCCTCAGTGATCTGTCTAATATTGTTAGTGGGAGGTTGAAGTCTCTCACTATTATGGTATGGTTATCTAAGTCTCTTCATATGTCTCTAAGAACTTGCTTTATGAATCTGAGTGCTCCTGTGTTGAGTGCATATATATTTAGAATAGTTAGGTCTTGTTGAAGTAAACTCATTATCACTATGTAGTGCCCTTCTTTGTCTTTTTTTGATTATTGCTTGTTTAAAGTCTGTTTTGTCTGAAATTAGAATAGCAACCCCTGCTTGTTTTGTTTTCCATTTGCTTGGTAGATTTTTCTCCATCCTTTTACTTTGAGCATATGAGTGTTATTGCATGTGAGATGGGTCTTCGGAAGATAGTATACAGTTGGGTCTTGCTTCTTTATCTAACTTGCCATTGCATGTCTTTTAATTGGGGCATTTAGCCCATTTACATTCAAGGTTAATATTGATATGTGTGGATTTGATCCTGTCATTGTTTTGTTAGCTGATAATTAGGCAAACTTGTTGGTGTGGTTTCTTTATAGTGACAATGGTCTATATACCTAAGTGTGTTTTTGTAGTGGCCAGTAGCGGTCTTTCATTTCCATATTTGGCAATCCCTTCAGGACCTCTTCTAAGTCAGGTTTGGTGGTAATGAATTCTCTTAACATTTTCTTGTCTCAAAAGGATCCTATTTCTCCCTCACTTATAAGCTTAGTTTGGTGGGATGTAAAATTCCTAGTTGGAATTTCTTTTATTTAAGAAATCGGAATATAGGCCCCCAATCTGTTCTGGCTTGTAGGGTTTCTGCTGAAAGGTCCAGTTTTATTCTGATATAATTTCCTTTAGAGCTGACCTGCTCCTTCTGTCTAGCTGCCTGTAATATTTTTTTCTTCCACATTTGCCTTGGGGTCTCTGATGATAATGTGTCTTGGGGATTATCTTTTTGTGTCGTGTATTGTGCAAGGGTTCTCTGCATTTCCTAAATTTGAATGTTGGCCTCCCTAGCTGCATTGTGAGAATTTTAATGGAAAATATCCCAAAATTTGTTTTCCATGTTGCTTCCTCTCTTTCCATCTCTTTTAGAAATGCCAATGAGTCATAGATTTGGTCTCTTCACCTAATTCTATATATCTTGGGGTTTTGTTCATTCTTCATTGTTTTTTCTTTATTTTTGTCTGACTTAGTTATTTTGGAGACCTGGTCTTTGAGTTCTGAAACTTTTCCTCAGCTTCACCAATTCTGCTGTTAATACTTGTGATTATATTGTGAAATTCTTGAAGTGAGTTTTTTTAGTTCTGTCAGACCAGTTTGGTTCTTTCTTAAAATGGCCATTTTGTCTTTCATCTCCTGTATCATTTTATTTTATTCCTTAAAATCCTTGGATTGGGTTTCAACTTCTCTTGAATCTTCAGGATCTTTGTTCCTATCCATGTTGTGATGAGCCATCTCAGCCCAGTTAAGAACCCTTGCTGAGGAACTAGCGCAGTTGTTTGAAGGAAAGAAGACATTCTAGCTTTTTGAGTTTCCGAAGTTCTTATGCTGGTTCTTTCTCATCTGTGTTGGCTGATGTTCCCTCAGTCTTTGAAGCTGCTGTCCTTTGGATGTTTTTGTTTTTGCTTGTTTTTGTTTTTTTGCTTTTATCTTCTTTGATGCCCTTGGGTTTTGATTGTAAGGTGGCTCCAGTTGACTTGTGTGGCTTCTGGAAGATTTCAGGGGGCCAAGGCTCAGTTTAGTACTCCTAGGCTGCATGCTGTAACTCAGGGATGCTAATACTGGACTCCCAGCTTTGTTTTCTGGCCCCTCAAGGTCAGGAGCCTACTGCACTGGAGGGTCCAAAGTGTTCCCTGACTACTGGCCACAACACTCCAATGGGTGGTGCCTACTAAAGCACTTCATTGGATTGGTGGCAGTAGGAACTGTGCTAATTTGCTTATGCCAGCAACAGTGGCAGCATGGTGGGGTGCATGCTTCTTGGCCGTGGTGGGGCACTGGCAGACGTGTGACTGCTGGCTTCTGTGCCACCTTTACACAAGTAGTGGTGGTCTTGCGGTGCAGGGGGCATGGCCACTGGCCTCTGTGCATGCATTTGAACTGGCAGTGGTGTCAGCATAGTGGTGAAGTGTTAGTGGGTGGAGCCTACATGCACACATTTGTGCCCACGGTGGTGGTGGGATGGGACAGGGAGCGAGGCCACTGGTGTCCATGCATGCATTTGCACTGGGGGCAGTAATGATACAAGGTGGAGGGACAAGTGCTATTTTAAAAATCACTAAAAAACTAAAAATTATTAATTGAGGGCCATTATTGATAAATGTAGAACTGAATACTAGGTTTTTAGACTACACTTGTTCTGTTAGAAATAGGTATAGTAAGTTATAAGCACCTCAGTTTGTCAGTCTTTTAGGTGACATTTTAAACATATTTTCCCTTAGAAACTGTCAAAAAGACAAAGGGCAAAAATATGCAGCATGATGATTCAGTGAAACATATTGTCCACTCCTGTCTCAAATTTGGAGTTCCCATTATCCTATAAGTTTGCAAGGCCATTATGTTAATCATTCTTTCAATATGTGTGTTTTTTGTTGCTCTGAGATGTAGTCTTTTTCTAGAAAGTATTTGTATGTCTGCTTCCAACACTGTGAAGTACTATCAGGGGTTCAAATAAGACAGGTAATAAAATGTATTAAGCATTTTAAAATCAAACACTCTATGCCAGATACTACTCTGTCTTGCAAATATGAACTTATTTGATCCTCACAACTGTCTTGTGTCATAGGTGCTATTATTATCTGTCTTTTCATAGATGATGGAACCAAGGCATGAAGCCACCAGTCTCCCTTGCAGAGCTGGGCTTCGACCCCAGGAAGTCTGAATCCAGATTTCCTTCTCTTACCTGCTAGTCTATGCTGCCTTGGTTCCATATTGAAGATGGAAGCTTTTCAAAATTTAGTAGCTCTGTCCTCTGACTTTATTTTTTAACGTTGGGTGCATGGAATTGAGTTAACCATATGATAGATCTTTGTCATATGTTTCTGCAAGCACTTCTTTTGTTTGATTATATTTTGGTTTTCTCCACTCTTATATATTTAAGGTGACTCTCTCCAATCCATCTTCTATATATTTATGTCGATTCATGTAGGTGTATCCATGAAAACAGTCAGGATATTTGTGTGTGTGTTTAAATTACATAAATTGTGCTGTGCCATGGACCTATTCCTGCTTTTCACCCCCTTTCTCTTTTATTTCAAAAGCTTCTGATCAAGCCATGTTGCCTTAAGTAAAATAATAAGTTCATTATTTCTGACTCTTGCAGAATATGCTATTGACAGTATATATTACACTAATTATCTTTTTCTCCACCGATGAATACCTGTGTTCTTCCAACTCCTTGCTACCATTACTGATGCTACAGATATTAGTCTATATGTTTCATGGTAGATTTGGATGAGAATTTCTCTAGACTAGACCCAGGGATGGAATTGTTATATTATATTCATACTTAATTTCTCTAAGTATTTTTAGATTTCTCTTTTGCTGAGCTATACCAGTTTATACTTTCACCTTCAATTCCTAAATATTTTCTTTCCACACATCCTACCCAGCACTTGCTATTATTCATATCTCTAAATTTTGCCAATATGATAGCTACAAAGGCTAATATATTTATAATAAGATGCTAAACTCACTAAGAATCAGAGACAGACTCTCACCTGACACATTCCTACTATTATTTTCCCAAGAGAACTGCTGCTGAGGTGGTTGTGGGCAGCACTTCAAGTGCATGAGGGCAGGGAAGAGGACGGAGAGCTCTTCTCACCTCTATACACCTCTGAGGTTCTAGAGAACCAGCACAAAGCAATCATGATGGATCCTGTAATGTGGTAGACACTCTGAGGAAAGAAACTCAATTCGTTTTCAAAAGTCTTAAACTAAGAAAATGTAGCCTTGAACAGATCCATAAATAAATTTTTTTAAACTCATTTTGAAATATCTCTCAAATTAGAAGTTAAATATTTCAGATATTTAAAAATAATTTAAGTATTTTTCCTGTCTTCTTATTGTTCAATGGTGTTTAGATGTTTTTACCTTTTATATTCAGGTATTTTGTGAATTTGAAGTTCCTTTTGGGATGATTTCTGAGATAGGAATCAACTGATACTGTATATCAGCCATTGTTGCCAACACTATATTTTTAATGATCTATACTTTCCCAAGTGATTCATGATGACACACCTACTGTATACCAAGTTCGGAGTCTGTTTCTGGGATCACTATCTTTTTCCATTGTTTTACATGTTCCTATGCTTGAACTAACCTTGTTACTCTTATTTCTGAAAAAGTATCTTATTTGTGAAAATTTATTATTTCATGTATTTTTTAGAATCAATAGAAAAGTTTGCTGCAGAGTTCCACTGTGATATTTATTCTAATTGATTTAATCCAATTAAATAATTTATGGGGAATTGACAACTTTTATAGTTTCAAGCATCTTATCCATGAAACACATATATACTCCATTAGTTTAGATTTTCTGTTAATGTTCTTCAGTAGAGTTGGAAAGCTTTTCTCAATAAAGATCCAGCTGACTGTTATTGGTTGTAGAGAAATACTATTGATCCTGCATACAGCACCCATGATGATTTCTTTTTTTTTGAGACAGAGTCTTGCTCTGTCACTCAGGCTGGAGTGCAGTGGTGCTGTCTCGGCTCACTGCAACCTCCGCCTCCCGGGTTCAAGTGATTCTCCTGCCTCAGCCTCCTGAGCAGCTGGGATTACAGGTACATGCCACCACGACCGGCTAATTTTTTGTATTTTTTTTGCAGAGATGGGGTTTCACCGTGTTAGCCGGGATGGTCTTGATCTCCTGACCTCGTGATCCACCCGCCTCGGCCTCCCAAAGTGCTGGGATTACAGGAGTGAGCCACTGTGCCTGGCCGATGATCTTTATTCTATTATTATCCTTTCTAATCTTTATTCTGCCTATATTTTTATATATCTTTTATCTTTGGCTACCAGTTATACTGAAACTTATTAAAAATGCTTCTATGGTTTCTTCACTAAAAATGAGGTTTTGGTGTGGTTTTTAGTTCTCGGATTCTGAGTTTAAGAGGTTTTGGCCTAAATAGGTTTGCATTTTGAGTGTTTTTTCTATATTTATTAGGATTACCATGTGGTTTTCCTCCTTTAAAAGCCTTTTGTTGTAGTTAAATCTTTCTTGAACTCCTGGGATAAGATATAAGTCAGCGTGATGTATTTATTTTCATAAATGATTAGTTTGTGTAGTCTATTATTTAAATGTTTGCATTTATGTGCAATAGTCTAACAATATTTTTTTCTTATACTATTCTTATACAGTTTGGGCATCAAGATTATGATAGTGTCATAAAATGAGTTTGGCAGCTTTCTCTTTTTCCATTTTATGGGATGACTATAAGATAAAGGTGAGTTGTTCCTGGAAAGTTTGGTCCAACTTAGATGAAAAAAACCATCTAGTTTTAGCAGTTAGTTTGAGAATGGGAGAGGGAGTAGGAGTATGGTAGATAGCTTTTTGACCTGCATTTATGGTTACTGATTCATTTATTTCCTTAACCATTTTAAGATGTCTATAACATATATAAACACCCCCTTTCATGATTATTTTGTTTTTATGTATCTTCTCTTATTCTTTTCTTGAGAACAGACAGAAGTGTATCTAAATTATTAGTCTTTTTAAAAGAATCCCATTTGTGTTATGTTAATTATATCTATTGTTGTATCTTTGTTCTCTGTTTCAATTTTGGACTTTTTTTTTCTCTTCCTTGTTTTGCTTTATTTAGTTGCTCCTTGTCTGGCTAGTTTTGTTCCTGCAATTCTTTCTTGTTTTCTAAGTTAAGCTATAAATTTCCATACAAGTAGTTCTCTATTTCTTCACATATATATGTACAGTGATTTTATTATCATTCAGAGATAAATATTTTTAAAATTTTCATTATAATGCTTCATTAATTCAGTGTTTATTCTAATTTTTAATTATATGGTTTTTACGTGTTTTTAAATTTCAGGCACATAGTAAGTTTTTTAGCTTATCATTATTAATGATTTATATTATTTTTCAGATTATCAGAAGACATGGTTATTTGCTATTAATTCTTTTTAATTTACTGAGTTTTCTTTGTAGGTTAGTACATACTCAGTTTTTGTAATTGTTTTCTTTGCATCCAAAAAAGAATATATAGTCTCTGTTTATAGGATGTAAAATATTCTCTTTATCTATTAATTCAGGTACATTAACTTGTTCCCTTCTGTGTCTTTTAAAATTATTTTGACTATTGGCCAATTACTTTTCAAGAGGAATTTATTAAAAATCCCATCTTTTGTAAATACATTAATTTTTCCCCTGTAACCCCATCAATTGTGGAAACTATATTTCAGTAAGTGCATATAGTCTTAAGGTCATAAACTCTGATAGATTGTCCTTTTACTAACAGTTAACAGTCTTGTTTTTCTTTACTGATTTTTTTAAGCTTTAAATCTTATTTTGTCTTATGTTAAATTTCTTTCACTGGATATATTTGGGTTCGTATTTCATGGGTATATGTTTTTCTCCCCTGTTGTTTTTAAACTGCTTCTGGCTTTTTGTTTAAATTTGTTTCTATTAAATAATATCTTGATATTTTTCATTTGTATTCAATCTGAGTCTTTGTGTTTGTGAATTTAAGTGTTTTTGGGTAATAGCTGTCATTTAAAAACAATTTCTATTTTATTTTATATTTTCGTTTAAAACATAGCATCTCTTTCTTCTAGTTTTTAACTTTCAATTGAATCTATAAAGTTTTATTTTTTTAACATTTTATTATTATTATGGCAATTACGTCACTGCCACATTGTTTTTTTTTCTTGACATGTTCAAATGCCTCTCAGTAATTATGCCTTCCTCTCAACTAAGACAAATTCTTGATAGTATCTTTCTCCTAGTCTCTCCCACATTCATGTTAAAGTATTTTTAGCATTTTATATACACATGTTTTGATCATTGCCTATTTGAACAATAATGAAAGTCTTAAATTTCTAGTCATCTTATATTGTTTCACATTGCTTCTTCTTCTTTCTGAAGAACTTTGCCGAGAGTGCTCTCAGAGAATCTTTGCATGATTAACTGTGTGAGGCTGAGTATGTGTGATAATATCTTTATTTTATCTTCACATTTAGATAATAGCTTAGTTCTTTGCCTTGAATCCTTTGAAACTCTTACAACCTTGTTTTCTTCCAGTTAGTGTTGCAGTTGTGAAATCTGATGTTCCTTTGAAGTGACCTCTTATTCCCCCCAAGAAACTTTTAGAATTATCAATGTCACTGATTTTCTAAATATTACTCTAATGTGTCTAGTAGCTGATGTTTCTTATTGATCCTGTTCGAGTCTGGGACTTTTTAAGTATACATTTCTTAGATACCTGAACCCTACTTGTTAATGCTTTTCTTCTGAAGTTCCCATTAGATACCTATCAATGTGTCCACTCCTCTCCTCCCGTCTTCTGATGTTTCCCTCATGTTTTAAGTCACTTAATCCTTCCCTGTTGCCTGCCCTGAGAGTTCCTCAACTGTACCTTCCAGGGCAGTAAAATGTTATTTTTTTCAGTACATTCTGCTGCTCAATGCATCTTTTGCATTATTTACTTCAACAGTTACATTTTCACACTTAATATCCCCAGTTGAATGCCGTGTTACTTTGTGTACTTGCCTCTTGTTTCTAGTGTCCTTTCTTACATCCCTGAAGACATTTATTTATGTTTACTTAAAACTCCTATTATATCTGGTATATTCATTGTGTAACTCCTGCTAGGTTGTTTATTTTCTTGCCCTTTACAGTGCTAGCACTTCTCAAATGTTGTCATTTATTTCCCTTTGAGTTCTATTCCTCTTGGAATTCTTTGTTACTCCTGGCTCACAATATAGGTCTGGGAGAAGGAAAATGCTCTGAAGTCGCAGCTTGTTCTCTTCCATAGGAGGTTTAGCTTTGGTGCCTTAGGACATTGGAGCCTCTGGTCTTGCAATCAGAGCCCCAAAAATACTCATTTTCTTCCTTCCCCCTCTGGGGAGGCTCTGCTCCAGACAAACCTCACTAGCTCTCCCATCCCCTCTTCGCCATGATGCTATTCTCTGAGACTCTTTTAATCCACAGCGTGTGTATAGAGAGATGGAGAGAGTAGAGGATTCCCAGAGGTGACCAGACCTCATGCATCTCTTGCTTTTGTAGTTTTGTCCTGGGCCAGCTCCAGTGCCTCCTCAAGTGTTTCTCATGAGTGTTCTGTGATGTTCAGAATACTTAACCTCCTCACTTCTGCGGCTTTTCCAGGGTGGGTTCAGGGGAAGAAGCCAGTAGCGTGTGCAAGCTTACCATCTTTTCTGGAACTAGAAATCCTTATTGACAGTAGGAGGAAATTCCTGAGATAACATCTATTATTTATTCATGTTTGAGAGTAATGAAAGCAGGACTTTAGCACTAGTGAAATCAGGAGATACAGGTGCAATTTTCAGCACTACATCTTATTGTCTCTGCGTCCCTCTACCTTTAACTTCTCTAAGTTTCAGTTTGGTCATTTGCAAGTTGGGAAAAGAAAACTGACACACTGTTTTATTCATCAGATACTGTGTATCAGGCACTAATATGAGGCCTGGACTACTTCATAAGACTTCTTGGAGAAGCAAAGGAGATAATAAGTAAAACAGCTAGGAAGATCAAAGTACACCATACTGAAGAGGGAAAACTGCATCAAGCTTGAGGACTTCGGCTCTCGAGTGAGAAAGATGTGGGTTCAAATCTTGTTTTTGCCACTTTCCTCTGTTATTTTGAGAATGTTATATAATTTTTCTGTGCATTAGTTTGGTGAGTTGTAAAATAGAAATAACATCTACATCAAAAGATCGCTGTGGGTTGAAAAGAGGCAATCTGGTGGAGCACTCAGTGGTTACTCAATGCCTGACATCGATTCTGCATTCAATAAACATTAGCTATTATTAGTGAATATATTTTCTCCTTCCTGGAATGGCAGCATTCTAGTAGCTTTAATCACTTCTCAAAGGAAATTAAAGGGACATTGGCCTTAGATAATTTAATGTTGCAGAATCTAAATCTAGCCAGTCCATTATTAAATATTGAAGAATTATGATCACTTTTTTGCCTTAAGAGCATCTCTTAGATTTTTGAGTAATCAATATTGTGGTCTTTGAAGTAAAAGCTAAAGCCTGTGAATCACTGTTCAGAAACTTGGTCTTGGGTAACACTGAAGTGTTTTGAAAAGAAAATGTTTTCAATAATAACAATTCAAAACTTGAGAAAATGTGTATGGATTAGACTAGCTACATAGGGTGAGGAGAAGGGTAAGTGTGAAAATGAAGAAAGACAGAGACTACAGATGGAAGATCAAGAATGCCAGAAGACATGAGTCCCCAGTGATTCCAGCATGCGTCATAACTGAAGCTGTGGAAATGGGGAGTCTTATTCTAGAATAGTGTTAATCTCTATTGTCCATACTGTTGTTAGTAGCAGCATTAGCTATTAAACAGTTGAAATATGGTTAGTGTGGTTGAGCTGAAGTTAAATTTTATTTATTTTTAATTGATTTCAATTGAAATTGAAATAGCCACGTGTGGTTAATGGCTACTGTATTGCACGATGCAGTGCTAGGAAAGGAAATTGGCAGAAATTATGTCAAATTAAAAATGGGTAATGAAGGAGTGAGAAAAACAGGTCTCCACAAAGACCCTCAAGGGAAGACTTTAGGGAGCCAAGGGTCTATGGATATTTTCTGATTCCTTCAGGGGTTTTTAGACAACCATCTGTCACCACCACATTCAAAACCCTCTGCCTTCTGTAACGTTGTCATCACCTTGCAATGCTTGTTAATATTTTCCCTTGTCATAACCATAGCCCTATGCTCAGAGCCCAGGGGAGCAGCACACCGTATGGCATGGAGTTCTCCCAAGGCCAGGAGAGAGACATTGATGCCAGAGCACAGAGACCAGTGTTCGTAGCATCAAAGAGTCTCCTTTTGTACACACAGCACATACCACCCAGCACACTGGCATGCAAAGGGAAAAAGCTGCCTCGTGATGCAGCAACCTGATCTCCCTGGACTTAGTCATAGATAGCTAGAGCCTGTAATTTGCTAAAAAGAAACTTTAGCTCCATTTCTTGTGTGTTTGGGCAAGATGTATATTTAGATATGGGCAATATTTGTGTGCGTGTGGTAAAAAAACAAATAGTACAGCACTGTAATAGCCTGTTTAAAGAAAGAGAAAGAGATACTTTCTCTTTTAGAAGTAAAAAATTTGAAGATGACTTCATGCTTGTTTTGGCTTGTGTCTTCTCAGCCTTTCTCAGGATGTCTAGAGCTGTTCTGAGGCTTAAGCCCTGAGCTTCCCAGGTTTACGCAGCATGTGGAGTATCCTCCTAGGAGCATTCTCTAACTCACCTGAGCATGGGACAGGGTGCCTGGGCTCCCTTTAGCCCACCATTATTGAAGCCATGTAATGAAGAGGTCTTTTTTAAGCATCAGATATGTAGTGTGTTAGAGCTCTCCTGGGACCATTCTGGCTGCACCAGAGAAATCAGAAAATGTGGGTTAGAGAGAGATTGATATATGGATGGAGAACCTTCTTTGCAGGTCACAGGAGGAACTCCAAAGACAAGAACAATTAGCAGATGGCCTTTGCTGGGTCTCAGCAGGAGGGGGCAGAGGGGATGCTTCCATTGCTAAGGTGCATTGCATCGTGCCAACAGCTTTCAGCAGCTAGAAAGTTTCCGTGGTTTCAGAGAGACATAATGTATCTTCCGTGGTTATGGTAAAAAGCATTTCCCCCCACCTACAGAGTGATGCTCGGTTATTGACTATATATTATGAAGCTGCATATCACAATTTATAGGAATATGAAAAGTTGCTATTCAATGTATTATTCGCCTAAATCCTAAATTAATACAAAGTTCACAAAGAAAAAAATAATCTTACGAGGAAAAAATTCTCTTTTTATTATTGAACCAAGATAGTATATTTAGATCTGTGACCTTCCTCATTATTTATTTACACTCTGGGGCAGACTTCTATGTTATACAAAATATTGGCAGGAATAAAAATAGACAATGATTTCAAATAAAATGTATTTTTCTTCACCAAATGAATTTTAGGGATGATTACACATCCAACCCTAGCTACCCTACATACGCACAAACATGTACAATTGGCATGATAGGAGCTTGGCGCAGAACATTTGAATTTTTCCTCCACTGTATGATACTTTGGTGTCTCCTCTAGTTAAAACTTGATTGACTTCTGTTTTGTAAGTGTTTGATTTTCTTTTGCTGTTGTGGCTGCTATAACATAAATGCATCCAATTTGTCCATTTGCTCAAAAACCCTTTATTAGGAATCTATTATTCACTCAAGGTCCAGGTAAGCAGATAAGTAATTGAGTATTAATTCTGCATAAAGTGGAAATTGCCGCTGTGACATACTCTTGGGCACTGTGCACCTCATCCTTCAAATGCCTAACAACAAAAAAATACTCCAAAAATAGTAAATTACAGTTTACTCTTGTTCTTTTGTGATGATATAACTAACATCTTAAGGGATAACCCAAGCACAATACAAAACTTTTAAACTGTGACCTTTTGATGTGGACTGCTACTCCACAGAGTATACTTTTAAAAAGCACAGATTTTAGATCTGCAGAGCTGCACAGCTACATGCAAAGATTTACTTTTCAGTGGTTTTCTCCCTTGGCTTAAAAAAGGTTCCCCTTCTTCCAGGACATCCTCCTTTATCTACTGTGGCTACATTATCTCCTGTGAGAGCATATTCCTATGATTCCTTTAGTGCTCATTGAGTATATATGAATGCGACATCCTTAGTATTATTGCAAACGGGAATTAACTCCTGCACTGATGGCTCAGCTTCCCCGTGTGTGAGTGTTCTCTGCCAACCGGAGTAGAATGCCCTTTCATGACAGATAGCACTAACCCCAGCTGCCACTACGCCGCTCTGGGACAGTGCAATGGGAGCCAGGCATCATGGTGGAGTCTTCTGCATGCACGTGTCTCTCATGCACCCCTTATACCGGCCCTGGGGAGGACGGAGGGGTGGCTGGTACTGAAGGTGGCTGGCAGCCTGCAACAATTGGCTTCAGGAAAGTGTTTCAATTGAACAATCTGTTCTTTCTTTTTAAAGGGCAGTTTTCAGAACATTTGGTGTATTTTTGGTTTGTCATGAAGACAATGTATTTTCCTGGAAGAAATTCCTCTGTTTCTAATCAAAATCTTCTTCTGACTACCGGACTTGCCTGTCCATTCAAGACCCCACAACCATTGCTTTCAACTAGCTTCCCTTGTGTTCCCACCAAGAAAACTAAATCATCACTTCTACATGGCTTTTTCTCCTGACAGACACAGAACTAACACAACTGAACACACTGGATTGCCCCTAGCTGTTGAAAAAGGGATCGTCGTAAAAATGTTTTTGTTTTTACGTTGTATGTCCTTCCTTCCTTGTTTCCTTCCTTCCTTTTTCTTTCTTTCTTTCTGTTTAGAAACAGAGACTAAAACAGAGGCTTGATCAATTCTTTCTCAGCTATTAAAAAGAGAAAGGCACTCTCAGGGAATGAGATTCAGGCAACAGCTTCACACTCCCGAATCTATTAACACTCAGATGCACCATCAAAACTCCTCTTCGGAAGCTCTTTAGGGAGGCAGAAAAGGAGGGTGAAACAAAATAGGGGATTTTTTCAAATGCCAGCATTTGAAAAGAAAAGTGAGAGTGAGAAAGAGAGCTGCTGGCAGAAGGCATGTGTGTGTGTGTGTGTTGTGTATGTGCATGTGTGTGTGCGCATGTGCATGTGTGTGCCTGTGTGTGCTTGTGTGCTTGCTGGGAGTTTGGGGGAATGGGGCTGAGAGTAGAGAAGTGCAGTGACATAAATCAGGCTTGTGCTGAGTTTCCTGCTTTTTTATTGGTTTGTTCCCTGTGGTGCTTTCTCTAAAGCTGCTTCCTCTTTCACTACGCTCATTTTGTTCCCAGTCCAGGAGGTCTTAGGATATTGGGGAGATGCCAAACATCTGGAGTTTGTGAAGGAGAGGGAGGAATCTCCATGCTTGACTAACTTAATCTTCATGTGTCCAAGGGGAAGCTCAGCATCATGCGGCCAGAGGGGTCTGTAGTCTGTCCGCTTGGCAGACACCTGTTGAGTGCTATAGAATCATGCAGGATGCTCCACCTGTGTAATCAAGAGATAGGTAAGAGGTAGCCAAGTTTATAACATTTCCACAACAACTAGGGTTACAATAATTATGCCATAACCAAGTATGTAATTTTTTTGAGACAGGGCAACTCTACTATTTCAGTCTTTCATATGTAATTACCCTATGCATTATTATTAAATCTCTCACTTTCAGAGCATTTACCCTGTGCCAGGCCCTGAAATAAGTGCTTTACATATGTTAGCTCCCCTAATCCTCACAATAATTCAATAGATAATTAATGTGTTGTCATTTCTATTATGTGGATAAGAAAATGGATTCATAGAAGCTATGTTATTTACTCAATATTCCCTAGCCAGAAAATAGTATTCCTAATAGTTAATCTGGATTTTTCTGATTTAAGAATCCTGGATAAAGATTATTTTTGACATTTCAATTGATTATTGCAAATGTTAATGCAAACAATGTAACTAATAATGAAGCACTGGGATCTCCTGTTTCTGTTCCCTGATAAAATGAACAGAACCAATTAAAATATTGGTTTTAATTTTCTACAGTTTATTTCTTTTCCTATGTGTTCTCTTCAGTAGTTAAAGAAAGAGTTTTTTTATCAAAGACAAAATCTTAAATCAATAAATTTAAGACTCCATACTTGCTACAAATAATTAATTTAGGAAAAAATCAGGCATTATATTATAATTTATTAACCATGACTGTGAAAATGTTGCTTGGGCCAAGCACATTTCTTTCTTCTAAATTCTAAGAGGTTGAGCATAATTTCTGTGAATTACTTAATATTTTTATGTATGTCATTCAGTTACCTATTTCTGTGTAAGAAACTACTCCAAAACTTAATAGCTTAAAACAATACTGTTTTATTTTATCTCACAGATTCTGTGTGTCAAGAATTCAGAAACAGCTCAGCTGAATGGCTCAAGTAATACCGACTGAAATCACCGGGTTTTCAGCTGGTGGTTGGGATGGTTGAGAGCCGCGCTGTCCAATTATGCAAACATATATACATAGAGAAAGAGTAATTTTAAATTTTCTAATAACCAAATATAAAAATTTTAAGTGGAATTATTTTAATAGCCTATTTTAATACAATATATCTAAAATATTATTTAAACATAATATAAAATTCTTAATGAGATTTTTAAACATATTTTTAGAAATCCAATATGTGGCCAGGCATGGTGGCTCATGCCTGTAATCCCAGCACTTTGGGATGCTGAGGCGGGAGGATCAGTTGAGGTCCAGAGTTCAAGACCAGCCTGAGCAACATGGAGAAACCCTGTCTCTACTAAAAAATACAAAATTAGCCGGGGATATTTTGGGATTAGGTGGCACATGCCTGTAATCCCAGCTACTTGGGAGGCTGAGGCAGGAGAATCACTTGAACCTGGAAGGCAGAGGTTGCAGTGAGCTGAGATCGTGCCATTGCACTCCAGCCTGGGCAACAAGAGCAAAACTCCGTTTCAGAAATAAAAAAAAAAAAAAAAAAAAAAAAAAAAAAGAAAGAAAGAAAGAAAGAAAGAAAGAAAAGAAAAAAAGGAAATCCAGTATCTATTTTACTCTTATAGTATATCTCAATTTAAATTACTCACATTTTGAGTGCTCAGTAGTCACATGTGGCTGATAGCTATTGGATAGCACAGGTTGCTGAGGCTCCAAGATATCCTCACTCTCATACTTGCCACCCTGCTGGAGTTGGCTGGAAGGTTGGGCTCAACTGAGCCCCTCTCCTCTTCCAAGTATTTTTAGTTTCTGTGTGGTCTCTCCCATAGGAATAGTCAGCCTTCTTCTAAGACAGCTCAGGGCTCCAAGAGACTGAGCTGAAAGCTGCCAATCCTTTTAAAGGGTAAATCCTGAACTGGTGTGGCATCATTTCCTCTGTAATATATACAACAAAACAGTCACAGTTCAGCCTAGATTCAAGGGGATGAAAAACTGATCCATTCTTCAATGGAAGGATGGTGAAAGATGTGTTGCTATCTTTAAAATGCCAGAAAAACATATTAGTTTATGTCAAAATAGGATACAGCCTGAATATCCCTTATCCTAAATGCTTGGGACCAGAAGTGTTTCAGATTTCAGATGTTTTTTCAGATTTTGAAATATTTGCATTATACTTACCAGTTAAACATCCTTAATCTGAAAATCCAAAATCCGACCTGTTTCAGTGAGCATTTCCTTTGAGTATCACGTACACACTCAAAATACTATGGATTCTGGAGCAATTAGGATTTCAGATTTTCAAATGAGAGATGTTCAACCTGTAGAATAAAGCTGCACATTTTAAAGTCCATTTATATAGATGATAAACCATTGAGATACAGTATATAATGAAAGTGAAAGTAATCAGGAATGGAAAACCAAACGCCGTATGTTTTCACTCATAAGTGGGAGCTAAGCTATGAGGATGCAAAGGCATATGAATGATACAATGGATTTTGGGGAGTGGGGGAAAGGGTGGGAGGCAGGTGAGGGATAAAAGACTACACATTAGGTACAGTGTACCCTACTTGGGTGATGGGTGCACCAAAATCTCAGTAATCACCACTAAAGAACTTACTCACACAATCAAATACCACCTCTTCCCCAAAAGCCTGTGGAAATAGTTTTTTTAAAAAAGAAAACACCAGTATACGTTGCACATAGGAAACATAAACGTTATTTCCAAAGCTGTTAAAAAAAAGAAGGTGAAATAATAAGCCTAAATTTAGCAGATGCTGGAATATTATAGTAATACATGAATCAATTATGGATGATAAATATATGTGCATTTATAACCTAAACATCTATAATTGATCATATATGGTTTATTTTATATTAGATTCTTAGTGAACAACGCAACATCTAATACCAAATATTAACATTGTTCTTACAAGAAAATTTTAAAAAATTATTTTTCTGCCATGTTTCCTAATGCTACCAATATATAATGGTGAAAATTTCTTATTTTATTCTATCTGGGCTTTTTTTTTTTTTATTTTTAGGAACTGTTTTGCAATGGAGTTCCTGCCAGTGACTTTAAACCTTGTTTGGATGACTATTTAGCATGGAGATTTCTACTTGTTTGCAAATAATCTGCTTGAAATATCAAAGAGGAGACCACAGCAATTATGAAACAAACAGAATCTTACGGACTTCTTTTTATTTTTTTTCCCCAGATATTTGGATAGGTCAGATGAAATCTCACATATTGAAATCACTTATTTATAAGCACTAGCTACACAAAATGAAATCAAAGCACAGTGAATAAGGAATTCAAGGAACTACTGTCCTGGGGTAGTAATATCTTGAGATTCTGAAATTTATTATTTCTGTCACTAAGCTAGAGAATGGTAATTGAGCTAGACTAATATAACATTGCTGTTGAAAGTCTCTGACTATTCTCTCAAAGGATATGGTCTTTGTGACTAGTCACAGGTTTCACTTAAACTCATTGCTTTTGACAATAACAAGTCTCTCTTTTTTGGACTTGTCCACATTGTGCCAAGTGGAGCTGAGATTAGAGAGTTTATCAGTTGTAGTAGATATCCATAATGGACCAACAACAACAAACACAATTATGTGAACTGGAATTTAATTCCCAGCCATAGCAGCCAGGAAGAATTTACCAAATCTATCAGTCGTCAAATTCCATGACGTGCCTGAAAATATGTGGTAATTAAAAATGTAATCACTGAGGCTAGAAAGAAGATACTATGTTCTCATTTAAGGTCTTAATTGACTCATGCAGAAGATGCCTGTTAGTTTATTCTGCATGATTTGGTAATTTCAATTCTACATGGAACTGCAGAGTCTTACGTACTAGTATTGATGTGAGAGTTTGAAAGGGCAGAATGATCCATACATTTGCTGTTGACCTGCCACTTGGAGAATTTACTGTCTCAGAACTTCTGAATTGAATTAGAATTCTTCTCTGTGGTGTACACTCAATAAAGAAGGCATCCAGTTAAAATTAATCTGGTAGATTCAGACTCAACACACAGATAAGATGGAATAATCACTATATTAAAAGTCACTTAGCTTTCATTCATTTAACTTATTTATTTACTGTCTCACCATATTCTTTCTTTCAGTTTTATACTTAATGTCAAGAACATTCTATGGAGAGAAAGTGAACTAATATTTATTTAAAACATTTTAAAAGCCACTTAAGGAAATCTATTACTACTTGCTTGCTACTGTATAAGGCAGTTCACCTTTATGTTCCTATTTACTGCTCTCAGCAAACCCAGGAGATAAATACTATTATTAATGCCATTTCACAGACGGTGAAATTGAGTCTTAAGGTGATTAAGTCACTTGTCCACTATCCTGCAGCTAATAAATGGCATATAAGGGATGTGAGCCCAGGTTTGCCAGGCTGTAAAGGTCTAGTTTTTAACTACTCTGCAACAGTAGCAGGAGTACCAGTAGGAACCATAGTAGGAGCAAATAGCTAACATTTACCGAGTACTCATTGTATGCCAGCCCCAACCTTTTTCCCAGACAGCTAGCTCAGAGCCATCCTAAACCAAACCACGCAGAGTTCTGTGCCAGCCTGAAATAGCAGTGCCCAATGGCCAACAGCGTCTCCCAGCACCTAACAGGTTCTGAGGCATGTACATCCCTCTGTGGAAAGTCTCTCCAGCACTCCAGAGGAGAGACTTCCAGCAATTACCAACTGTGAGACACCTGAGTGATTTCTGAGCCATCAGTGAGTCACGGCCATGCATTCTCCACCATCTGGAGTTCAGCTACGATGGCCATGAGGAGATCTTCCCTGGGTGTTTCATGTCAGCCCTGGAAATCATGCCTGCTCCTTCCATCTGTGGCTCCTAGGTTCCTTAGTATTCTCTTTAATTCTCAACAGGCAACTCCTCATAAGCAAATCTTCTGTTAATAATTCCTTATATTACACTTTGTGGTTGTAAACATTGCATGTGTTCTGTCTCCCAACTGGGCCCTAACTCATATATTATTTTCATAAAAGCTCCATAAACAAAAACAATCATTAGCTCCTTTTTACAGGTGAAGCAACAGAAGTACAGAGCAGTGAACATGGTTTTCTCAAGTCTGCTAGCTCTGAGAGTTGATAGGTCTGGCTCTCCTTTATCCCCCTTGTCTTACAAAGGTTGGAGGCCCCCTGAGTCCCATTCTCAGTCAATTCTCAGTCTAGTCAACTTCCTAGTTCTTTAGGCTCCAACTAGCACTGAATTTATTTTCAGTTAAGACCTGAATTGTTTCTCCTATCTCCCAAAAGATTATATTTTGAAGCCATTCTCTCAATGTGACTGTATTTGGAGATAGTGAAGAAATTAATGTTAAATAAGATACTGAAAGAGTAATCGATCATGTTAAAAGTGATTGATGAGGGTCTTAACATGATAGGACTAGTGTCCTTACAAGAAGAGGAAGAGTCTTTTTCCACAAAAAAAGTCATGTGAGGACAAGTGAGCAGGTGATTGTTTGCAAGCCAAGGAGGTGGGTCTCACCAGGAACTGATGATGCTAACACCTTGATCTTGGACTTCCAGCCTCCAGAAATTTAAGAAAATAAATTTATGTTGTTTAAGCCATTTAGTCTGTGGTGTTTGGTTATGGCAGCCCAAGCCGACTAAGTCACAGCCCAAAGCTGGTAAATCCAAAATCCACACCTTTAGTGTTAGTTGTCTACCACACATCTCCATGTAGTTTTCAAACTTTAATCTTGCCTCCCCGAATTGTCCTCCTCATCAATTCTCCATCATCATTAAAGGCCTCACTAGCTGTGGAGTCACTTGAGCCAATGACCTTGGGATCTCCAACTTCTTTAGTGCCTCACAGCCTTCATAGTTATGACAATTCTAACTATTAGATAGTCTAGTTCATTTCCTCCTTTGTTTTCTATACAACTTGCTTATTTCATGATTTAATTATATTTCATTTGTTCTTTTGCAGAAGCAAAGTGATCTTGTTGTCTTAGTGCTCCTTTTCTCCATCCCTTTTTACTTCACGCCATAAATCCTGATCTGATTATGCTGCTCTACAAACCTTTGACAACCCCTTACTCACAGCAGCTTTTCCAAAGTCTGTCTCACAGAAGATACACCCGAGAGACAGTCTTATAAAAACAATTTTGTGGTTTGACTCACAACAGCCATTAATATAGTAAAGGCTCATAAAAGACCTGCAGAATGTCTTCGATTTAACTTTATTTAGTCCAGCATTTTTCAAATTCAGGAACTATCCATTCTCTCTGTCCCATTTTTCCCTCTTTGCACATGTTTGGCAGGATGTGCTGACATATTAGATAAAATAAAATCTCTTAATCTTGGTGTGGCAGAGTCTGGTTGTCACCCTGTAGTGAATACCGCTGTTGTCCTGCACATACCTCCTTAGATCTTACTGTTTCTATGGGACTGAGCTCAGCCTCCATCCTTTGGGGGCAGCCTGAGCCTCAGGCTGAAGGATGACAGAGAAGCAGGAAAGCCCAGCTGTCTTATCTCAGGTCAGGATTACCCTGAGAGCTCATTTTCCTTCCAGAGCTTCCCCCATGGTTCATGCTGACACTGCAATCCTGGGATCGTTGCCTGCAGTTATACAAGGCTAGCTTCTTTCTCTTTCCTGTCTTGTTGAGATAATTAATAAATCATGTGCATACAAATCTTTGTCTTGGGCAAGCATCTGAGAAAGCCAGCCTGAGACAGTACACCAATATTCTTTCAAAGCCTATGTTATTGCATAGCAGTAATGTAGTTCAGAGAGAGCAGTAACTCCATTCTTCCTACCACAGTGATTGGCTTAGGAGAAAGGAAGTTTATGCCAATTAATGCATAGAGCTACCCTAAAATAATCCAGAATTGGGATTAATTCTGGATTGGACATGAGGTCTACTCAGACCATTGACACATGAGGAGGGGATTTGCTGTATAAGTATATAAAGTTACATAAAAATTGGACCCAAAGGCATTTATTGTGAAATAATCATTCTTCTAGCTCTGATTCATCTCAGATGGAATGTTAGCTAATGGCGAATTGAGACTATTTGCAGTGACAGAGTTCTGTAGGAAGGCTTATTTGAGTAAAAATAAATAGCAAACAGCAATGTGAATCAGACCATGTTTGAAAAAGAAACAATGTGAAGGTAGTTTTAGTTTATTAGGAATTATATATTTTCATTTAGAAAAATCCTAAATGAGCATTTTTATAGCCACAGAAGCAGAGGAATCTGTTTCACCAAGCTTCATGATAGCCTGGTATCAACTTTGCTGAAATATTTCAAACCCTCCTACATCAATGTCTCTCAAAGTGTGAACCCTAAACCAACAGCGTCAGTGCCACCTGGGAACCTATTAAGAGTTCGAACTGTTGAGTTGCATCAGTAAACCCAATGAAGTAAAATCTTTGTGGCTGGAGTGGGGGTGCCTGGCAATGTGGGTTCTAACAAGCTATTTGTTGATTTCACTACATGCCAAAGTTTGAAAATCTCTGTCCTACATGAGGGCTCACACTTTACCTTTCCTGTCTTTTCCTTTATTCCATTAACACCATTCTCATTATGTCTCCTATCTATACTGTCTTTCATGTAAAATGAAAGACATATACATAAACCATCACTCTGATTCAAAATACAGTATATTATGAAAGGAATCAATTCAATTTCATACGTATCATAGATTTTTACCTCAGAAATAACTTGTTTCTCATTGCTACCATAGCAAATAATATCTCAGCAGCTAGAGTTTTCTTAATATTTCACAAGTTTGTATTTATGTTTCACGTGCTGCTTTCTCAAAGGGAGATGTTTTACATATATATCTACATATATAATGACTATGGTGATGAATCAACATGTAGATTCTTTTGAACAAAGCACTGCATACTTTTTATTTTATATAAATAAATTTTGTGCTTTTTTAAACCTCTAGTTGGTTAAAAATGACCCCATAATCTGGTCTAAATATTAAAAGCTTTCAAATTGATTCATACTTCCCATCTATCCCCAACAATACTTAATAATGCTTTAGGGAAGTTCAACTATTTCTACTTTTATGTTTTGAAACTGGGTTTTATTCTGCTTTGCTAAACTTTTAAAAGATAATTATCTCTAAGTATTCAAGTTAAGTAGATGAATCTCTGTCTAACTTATGAGCAGACTCCTAAAATTCTCAGAAAACTGGGTGAGTATAATGAATTATTTTTATAGAGCTATAAACTAATCATATTTTTATAATAATGTGAGTCTAGCAAACACAGATTGAGGTCAGGTAATTTTTCAGGTTAACATTCTACATTACTGTAACAATTTTTGTTATTCTTAAATGAAAATTCTTGATAAACATGAGCATGGCTCTTTAAAAGCTTCCTACACTGGAAGATCTGCTACCTGGATCTCTGCTTCTCCATGGGAGAAAACGCAAGCTTAAGAGGATATGAGAGAAGGCAAAACGGCCAGTGGGGGGAGGCATGGCACAGCTCAGCAGGTGTCAAGAGCATGAGGAAGTTTGCTTTTTTGCTCTTTGGAGGAATATACATGTAAAAACAAACATGAATTTATTATGAAGGAAATTGTGAAATTTATATGACCTTGATTTCAATGCTGAATTTAAAAATAAATGGAAATAAAAATCTCATTGCTGGGAGCCAAGCTGGCCAATGAGATGCAGCCAGGAAAAGCATCTCCCACTGAAAAAACAGACCATCAAGAAGACTAGCACACTCCGAGCAGATCTTTGGACAGATGAATTGAGAGGGGACAAAGAGCATATGCAGACCCTTGGCTGAAGAGGGAGGAATCTGGGAACTCTGCATGGGTTTGCCAAACACCAGGATTTGTTCCTGGCCCCCAACAACTTCAGGAGAAGGGATGAGTTAAATACGAGAGATATGGCTCACTCTCACCATAGACCTTCACAATCCTAGCTGCAGGAGACCCCATAACCCCCACAGACATTTGAGCTGACAGAGCGAGTTGCTTGGAGAGGTGGCAGGGACAAGACTCCAGCCTGTCTGGAGGCCAGGGGGTTTGGCATGAGAATGGCTACAGTGGGGCAAGACCAGGTGCTCCCATCCCCAAGTCTTGCCACACTCACACTTCTCTAGGTGGCTTTGGCTTTTGTTGACTGTTGGGCCTTGAAAGAGCAGGGTTGTCTTTTCCATAGCATGAAGCCAGTCTGACCTCAGCAGCCCACTGTCTGCTGGCCTCTCCTGGGGTCCCTGCCTGGCTGCGCCACCTTACAGCATAGCCTTGGATGGCCAAACAGGGTGCTTCCCAGGGGCCACTGCTATCGTTCCTTCACTGGCAGACCCTACCTAACCATTGGAGAGCTTCAGGAGAGAGGCCCTCACTGACACACACACACACACACACAAACACACACACACACAGCCTCCTTCTACCAGTTTGCTGGTGATTACTCATTCACAGCACCCCATCCACCACTTTCCTGGTGCATGAACATGTGCAGAACCCACTTCGCTGTTGCCACTGGTGTGCGTATGCACAGACTTTGCCACTGCAGCCCTGCACCTGCCAGCATGGTTGTGTGCACACCCTGCCACCACCCACCCCCACCAATGCATGTGCCCTACTGTGCTGCTGTCACTGCTGGCACACATGGGCAAGCATGGACCCCACTACCGCTGCCCTGATGAAGCACTTTGGCCAACATCCCCCAGGCAAAGTGGACGAGGAATGTCTCAATTCCACCAGTGCAAATTTGCTTAGCCTCAAGGGGCCACAGAACAAAGTTGTGGACCTAGTTCCAGTCCTCCAGAATTAGAGCTATAGGCCGGGAATACTGAGTTGAGTCTTGGCCCCCTAAAATGTTCCAGAAATGAAGCCAGTCAACTAAACCCAACTTATACCACAGTCAAACTCTCAAGCCATCAAAGAATATAAAAGCCAAAGCCCCATCCAAAAGACAGCAACTTCAAAGATTAAAGGAATATCAGCCAACACAGATGAAAAAGAAGCAGTGCAAGAACTCTGGCAACTCAAAAAACCAAAGTGTGTTTTTACTTACAAATGACTGCATTAGCTTTCCAGCAATGGTTCTTAACCAGGCTAAAGTGGCTGAAGTTACAGACATAGAATTTAGAATCTGGATACAAATGAAGATAACTGAGATTCAGGAGAAAGTCAAAACTGAATCAAAGCACTCTAAGGAATCCAATAAAATGATACAAGAACTAAAAGGTGAAATATCAATTTTAAGAAAAAAACAAACTGATCTGATAGAGCTGAAAAATTTACTACTAAAATTTCACAATACAATCTCAAGTATTAACAGCAGAATAGACCAAGCTGAGGAAAGAATCTCAGAGCTAGAAGACTGGTTCTCTGAATTAACTCAGTCAGACAAAGATAAGGAAAAAAGAATAAAAAAGAATGAATGAAACCTCTGAGAAATATGGGATTATGAAAGAGACCAAAACTCCAACTGATTGGCATTCTTGAAAGAGAGGGAGAGAGGGCAAGCAACTTGGAAAACATATTTGAGGATATTGACCACTAAAATTTCCACAATCTTGCTAGAGAGATTGACATTTAAATTCAGGAAATGCAGAGAACCCATGTGAGATACTATACAAGATGACCATCCCCAACACATATAGTCATCAGATTCTCAAAGGTTGAAATGAAAGAAAAAAATATTAAATGTAGCTAGAGAGAAGAGGCAGATCTTTCAGCAAAAAGCCTACAAGCTAGAAGAGATTTGGGGGCCTATATTCAGCATTCAAAGAAATGAAATTCCAGCTAAGAATTTCATATCCAGCCAAAATAAGCTTCATAAGCTAAAGAGAAATAAGATCCTTTTCAGAAAGCAAATGCTAAGGGAATTCATTATCACCAGACCTGCCTTACAAGAGGTTATGAAGGGAGTGCTAAACATGGAAATGACTACTGGCCACCACAAAAACACACTTAAGTATAGAGGCCATTGATACTATAAAGCAACTACACTATCAAGTCTGTATAATAAACAGTTAACAACATAATGACAGGATCAAATCCACATATATCAATATTAACCTTGAATGTAAATGTGCTAATGCCCCATTTAAAACTCACAGAGTGGCAAGTTGGATAAAAAAGCAAGACCCAACAGTGTGCTGTCTTTGACAGACCCATCTCACATGCAATGACACCCATAGGATCAAAGTAAAGAGATGGAGAAAAATCTACTAAGCGTTAGAAAACAAAAAAAGGCAGGGATTGTTATTCTAATTTCAGATAAAACAGATTTTAAACAGATCAAAAAAGACAAAGAAGAGCATTACATAGTGTTAAAGAGTCCAGTTCAACAAGAATACTTAATTATTCTAATGGGCCTAAGAGATACCTACAGAACACTCCACCCAACAACACAATATACATTTTTTTCTCATCTGCACATGGCACATACTCTAAAATCAGTCACACAATCAGCAATAAAATAATTTTTAACAAACTCAAAAAAACTGAAATCATACTAACCACATTCTTGAACTACAGCATAATAAAAATAGAAATCAATAATAAGAAGATCTCTCGAAAACCATACAATTACACGGAAATTAAACAACCCGCTACTGAATGACCTTTGGATAAACAATGAAATTAAGGTAGAAATCCAGAAATTCTTTGAAACTAATGACAACAAAGATACAACATACCAGAATCTCTGACGCACAGCTAAAGCAGTGTTAAGAGGAAAGTTTTCAGCAGTAAACACCCACATCAAAAAGAAACATCTCAAATTAACAACCTAACATCACACCTACAGAAGTTAGAAAAACAAGAGCAAACCAACATCAAAACTACCAGAAGAAAAGAAATAACCAAAACCATAGCCAAACTGAATGAAATTGGGATGCAAAAAACCATACAAAAGATCAATAAAACAAAAAGTTGGTTTTCTGAAAGACTGAATAAGATAGGTAGACTGCTAGCTAGACTATTAAAGAAAAAACCAGTTCGATTCAAATATACACAATAAGAAATGACAAAGGGGCCATTATCATCGACCCCATATAAATACAAAAAACCTCCTTTGAGACTATTATAAATACCTCTATGCACAAAAACTAGAAAACCTAGAAGAAATTAATAAATTCCTGTAAACATACACCCTCCCCAGACTGAACCAGGAAGCCAGTGAAATCCTGAACAGACCAATAAGGTGTTCCAAAGTTGAATCAGTAATAAAAAGCCTACTAACCAGAAAAAGCCCTGGACCAGAGAGATTTACAGTTGAATTCTACCAGACATACAGAGAAGAGCTGGTAGCATTGCTACTGAAACTATTCCAAAAAATTGAGAAGGAGAACTCTTCTGTAACTCCTTCTAGGCAGCCAGCATCATCCTGATACCAAAACCTGGCAGAGACAACACAAAAAGGAAACTTTGGGTCAATATTCCTTAAGAACATAGATTAAAAAATCCTCAACAAAATACAAGCAAATAGATTCCAGCAGTAGATCAAAAAGCTAATCCACCATGACCAAGTAGGCTTTATTTCTGGTATATAAGGTTGATTCTATATACACAAATCAATAAATACGATTCACCACATAAACAGAACTGAAAACAAAAACCACCTGGTCATCTCAATAGATGCAGAGAAAAGGCTTTTGATAAAGTTAAACATCCCTTTATGTTTAAAACCCTCAATGCACTAGGTATCCATAAAACATAATGCAAAATAATATGAGCCATCTATGACACCAACAGCCAACATCATACTGAAAGGGCAAAATCTGGAAGCATTCTTCTTGGGAACTGTAACAAGACCAGGATGCTCACTCTCACCACTCTTATTCAAAGTAGTACTGGAAGTCCAAGCAAGAATAATCTGGCAAAAGAAAGAAATAAAAGGCATCCAGATAAGAAGAGAGGAAGTCAAATTTTCTATCTTCTCAGATGATGTGATTTTATACCTATAAAACCCCATAGTCTCTATCCAAAGGCTCCTAGAACTGGGAAACAACTTCATCAAAGTTTCAGGATACAAAACCAATGTAGAAAAATCAGTAACTCTTCCATACATCAAGAACATCCAAGCTGAGAGCCAAACCAAGAACACAATACTATTTACAATAATCATGATAAGAATAAAATACCTAGGAATACAGCTAACAAGGGAGGTGAGATATCTGTACAATGAGAATGACACAATACTGCTTAAAGAAATTAGAGATTACCCAAATAAAAAAGTATTCCATGCTCATAGATAGGGAGAATCAACATTTTTAAAATGGACATACTAAAAAAACAATTTAGATTCAATGCTATTCCTGTCAAACTAACAAAGACATTTTTCACAGTTAGAAAAAGCTATTTTAAAATTAAGGTCAAACTAAAAAAGAGCCCAAATAGCCAAAGCAATTCTAAACAAAAAGAACAAAACTGAAGGTATCACACGACCTGACTCCAAACTATACTGCAAAGTTACAGTAACTGAAACAGCACAGTACTGATACAAAAACAGACATATTGACCAATGGTAATGGTTAGAGAACCCAGAAATAAATCTGCATACCTACAACTATCTGATCTTCAACAAAGTTGACAGAAACAAGCAATGGAGGAAGGACTCCTTGTTCAATAAATGGTGCTGTGATAACTGGCTAGCCTTATGCAGAAGATTGAAACTGGGCCCCTATCTTACACTATATAGCAAAATAAACTCAAGGTGGGTTAAAGACTTAAATGTAAAGCCTAAAACTATGAAAATCCTAAAAGAAAACTTAGGAAATACCACTCTGGACATAGGTTGCGGCAAAGATTTCACGATCCAGATGTCAAAAGCAATTAAAACAAAAACAAAAATTGACAAGTGGGACCTAACTAAAGAGCTTCTGCAGAGCAAAAGAAACTATCAACAGAGTAAATAGACAATCTGCAGAATGAGAAGAAATGTTTGTGAACTGCAGCTAACATAGCTCTAATATCTGGAGTCTATAAGATACTCATACAAATTAACACGCAAAAAACAAACAACCCCATTAAGAAGTGGGCAAAGGACATGAACAGAAAATTTTCAAAATAAAATGTAAATCAGCCAATAGGCATATGAAAAAATGCTCAACATCACTAATCATTAGAGAAACGCAAATCAAAACCACAATGAGATACCATCTCACACTAGTCAGAAAGGCTATTATTTAAAAGTGAAAAAATAACAGATGGTGGTGAGGTTGTGAGAAAAAAAGGGATCACTCATAAACTGCTGGTGGAAATGCAAATTAGTTCAGCCACTATGGAAAGCAGTTTGGAGATTTCTCAAAGAACTTAAAACAAACTACAATTAAACCCAGCAATCCCATTACTGGGTATATACCCAAAGGAACATAAATTATTCTATCATAAAGACACATGCATGTGTACATTCATTTGCAGCACTATTCACAATAGCAAAGACATGGAATCAACCTAAATGCCCATCAATGGTATACTGGATACAGAAAATGTGGTACATATATGCCATGGAATACTACACAGCCATAAGAAAGAACAAGGTTATGTTCTTTGTAGCAACATGGATGGACCTGGAAACCATATCCTAAGCAAATTAATGCAGGAACAGGAAACCAAATACTGCATGTCACATGTTCTCACTTGTAAGTGGGAGCTAAACATTGAGTATACATGAACACAAAAAAGGGAACAAAGACACAAGGGCCTACTTGAGGATGGAAAATGGGGAGATGGTGAAAACTGAAAAACTATCTATCATGTACTATGCTTATTGCCTGGGTGATGAAATCATTTGACACTAAACCCAAGTGACACACAATTTACTCACGTAACAAACCTGTACATGCACCCCCGAACCTAAAATTAAAGTTGAAAAGAAAAAATAAATAAAAACAATAAAAATAGAAATACCTATCCATTCAGAAAAAAAAAAATCTCAAGACCAAAAGGAGAAATGTTTCCTCCCACTCCCACAACTGGGGTAGAACTAATTGGCTAGACCATTGCAGAGTTGTTCTTGCTTTGCTATGTCCTTTCTTTCCTCTGCCTCTCTGAAATTTCCAAATTGCTTAGATGACAGCTCCCAAAGAAGTGTCCAGTTCTTCACCCTCCCCCAGAGAAGTAAGTGAAGAGGTAAGGACTGCAGGCTTGAGGTATAGAACAGTAGTAGAATTTATTCACAGTCATGTATAGCATAATGATGCCTTGGTCAAGGACAAACCACATACATGATGGTGTTCCCATAAGTTTATAATAGATCTGAAAAATCTGTATTGCCTAGCGATGTCATAGCCATTCTAATATTATAGCACGTTTGTGCTATGTGTTTGTGGTGATGCTGGTGTAAACAAACCTACTGCACTATGAGTTGTATAAAAGTATAACACATACAGTTATGTACAGTACATAATATTTCATAATGAAAAAAACAACTGTGCTACTGGTTTATCTATTTACTATACTTTCATCATCATTTTAAAGTGTACTCCATGTACTTATTTAAAAAAAAATTGTAAAACAATCTCAGGCAAGTCCTTCAGGAGGTATCCAAAAGAAGGCCTTGTTGTCACATGACATGACAGTCCCATGCCTGTTATTGCCCCTAAATGCCTTACAGCAGGACAAGATGTGGAGTGAAAGACGGTGATATTCATGACCCTAACCCTGTGTAGACTAGGCTAACATGTATTTGTGTCCTAAACTTTTAACAAAAAAAGTTTAAAATGTGAAAAGAAGGTAATTTTTTCAAATATAAAAAAGCTTATAGATTAAGGATATAAAGAAAGAAAATATTTTTGTACAGCTGTCCAATGTGTTTGTGTTTTAACATAAGTGCTATTACAAAAGAGTCGAAAAGTTAAAAAATTAAAAAGGTTATAATGTAAAAGGTTGCAGAAAGCTAAGATTAATTTATTATTGAAGGAAAATATTTATAACTTTAGTGTAGCCTAAGTGTACAGAGTTTATAAAGTCTCCAGTAGTGTATGGTAATGTCCTAAGCCTTCACATTCACTCACCACTCACTCAATAACTCACAGAGCAACTTTCAGTCCTGCAAACTCCACTCATGGTAAGTGCCCTATAGAGGTGTGCCATTTTTTATCTCTTATGCCACATTTTTCCTGTATCTTTTCTAGGTTTGGATATGTTTCTGTATGCAAATACCTATGGCTTACTGTATTCAGCACAGTGACCTGCTGTACAGGCTTATAGCCTAGGAGCAATAATCTAGACCATATAGCCTAGGTGTGTAGTAGGCTATGCCATCTAGGTTTGTGGAAGTGCACTCTATGATGTCTGCACAATGATGAAATAGACTATGACACATTTCTGAAAATATATCCCCATTGTTAAGTGTGAATATATATGTGTGTCACTTGAAAAAAATCTAAGAAGAAATGTTATAAATGCAAATATTTCTGAGTTGTAATTTTTTTAACCAGTAAAATTGGGATAATAAGTTCTTGCCACCTGTTTTCTTAGAAGATATAAACAAATAGAATCTATAAAGAATCTTTCATATTACTTGCCAGGACTCAATTAATGCTGATTTTCTCTGCCTATTCTACATCCATGAACCCTCAAACACCACTTTGTAAGTCAAAGACAACTCTTGGAATTTGGTGATGGGAGGCATATTAGATTGTCTCATGCACTAAAATACTGTACTTTTGTAAAACTGGGTTATGTGTGAACGTGTATATGTGTGGGTGTGTGTGAATGTGTATAATATTTATAAGCAAGCACCTAGACCTACAATCCTAGGGTTAATTATTTTGAAGGCAACTGTTAAGATTTTTTATTGGGCAATTTCAATTCAGCAAACTTAAGCTTTTGTTATAGGAAACTAGTAGCTGCCAGACGAATCACTCTTTGAATATTTTATTATGAAACTTTGTAAGAAAAATTAACTTATATATTTCCCCAAATAAACTCCTCTCCATTTTCACAGGCATCCAGGTATTGATGCTCTGGGCTTGCCGCCCAGCAACGTTTCCTGCCTGTGGACACCTCCTCCACTGATTCATATAGTTTCTCACTGTTCACAGGAGATTATTTCTCATAGTTATTTCACTGAAGGTATAGTCCTTTATGTATTCCTGGAGCAGTGTTCCCTTCAGAAAAGCTCATTTAAAGAATATTAAGCAGGGATCAGCTCTCACTTGAAAGTCAATTTGGGGCTTGAAATGTATTCTATAAAGACATATGGCGTTCTAAAGATGTGGTTCAGAAGAAGCCACTGGAAGATTTTGTTAAAATGTCTCAGTATTTTTCCAAACCCCTGAATTTGTGAATATTTCTTCAGTACACTATTTAATACTCTACCTACTTTATACTCTGCAGATATAAAATCAATATGTCTAATCTATCATAATTAAAACCAAGCAAAAGACAAAGATGATTGTGGTAAGTTAGAGCACTGCAGAGAGTCTTCTTTCTCAAGCTCGATGGCTGGACACCCTATCCCTATGGTGGCCTGAGGCTCTGTGGGCAGGACCAGAGCTCTTGGGGGGAAGCATTTGGGTGGAAATCCCAGCTCACCAAACTTGGTCAAGTTACTTTACGACTCTGTGTCTGATTTCCCAATCTAAAACTGGGATGATGCTGACAATAGTACTAACATCCAAGGGTGTTATAAGAATGAAATGCATGCATGTCAAACACTAGAAGGTGTGTCATAGAGAGTATGCTCCAATAAGCATTAGCTTTTATGACCAAACACATTTTGAAGATGTCATTTATCATAATTTAACCTTAAATTAATTCAAATTATGAAAATACATTGCTGATGGGCAAGGATTTCATGACTAAAACACCAAGAGCAATGGCAACAAAAGCCAAAATAAACAAATGGGATCTAATGGAACTAAAGAGCTTCTACACAGCAAAAGAAACTACCATCAGAGTGAACAGGCAACCTACAGAATGGGAGAAAATTTTTGCAATCTACCCATCTAACGAAGGGCTAATATCCAGAATCTACAAAGAACTTAAACAAATTTACAAGAAAAAATCAAACAACTCCATCGAAAAGTGGGCAAATGATATGAATAGACGCTTTTCAAAAGAAGACATTGATGCAGCCAGCAGACACATGAAAAAAATGCTCATCATCACTGGTCATTAGAGAAATGCAAATCAAAACCACAATGAGATACCATCTCATACCAGTTAGAATGGTGATCATTAAAAAGTCAGGAAACAACAGGTGCTGGAGAGGATGTGGAGAAATTGGAACACTTTTACACTGTTGGTGGGACTGTAAACTAGTTCAACCATTGTGGAAGTCAGTGTGGCGATTCCTCAAGGATCTAGAACCAGAAATACCATTTGACCCAGCCATCCCATTACTAGGTATATACCCAAAGGATTATAAATCATGCTGCTATAAAGACACATGCACACCTATGTTTATTGTAGCACTATTCATAATAACAAAGACTTGGAACCAACCCAAATGTCCATCAATGATAGACTGGATTAAGGAAATGTGGCACATATACATCATGGAATACTATGAAGCCATAAAAAAGGATGCGTTCATGTCCTTTGTAGCAACATGGATGAAGCTGGAAACCATCATTCTGAGCAAACTATCACAAGGACAGAAAACCAAACACCACATGTTCTCACTCATAGGTGGTAATTGAACAATGAGAACACTTGGACACAGGAAGGGGAACATCACACACCTGGGCCTGTCGTGGGGTGGGGGCATGGGGGAGGGATAACATTAGGAGAAATACCTAATGTAAATGACGAGTTAATGGGTGCAGCAAACCAACATGGCACATGTATACATATGTAACAAAACTGCACGTTGTGCACCAGTACCCTAGAACTTAAAGTATAATTTGAAAAAGATTTAAAAAATACATTGCTGAATATGCAGTGTAACAATTTCAAAGAATTGAACTTTGTTTTTTCTAGTAGTGCACAATTACATTTTGTTGATCTCCAGTTAAATAATAACTTCTCAAGATCATTACTTTCATTATATTAAATACTCCCGGTAATTAAGTTCTTTTCAACTAAATAGAATCTGACTATTTTCCTTGAAAAGTCTATTCCAATAAGCAGATATACAAAGCTTGAGATCATATAATAAGAGGTGTTAAATTTATATTTTATTTTAAAAAACAGAAAAAAATATATGGCAAAGCAGTAGGTGAAAGTTGTAAATAAGTAACAAAAATTCAAAATTACAAAAATGTTTAAAAGCAAAGAAAAATAGTAAGTATGCATTTAAATTTAATAAACATTTTCTGAACTTCAACCATGATCTGGGGCAAATGAATATTATTCAGTTTTTATCCTGGAGGTTTTCACGAGTTGCAGGGAGTCAAATGAATCAATAGTTAACTGAGTACAAAATTGTAAGTACTGTTATGAAGATACCTGTGAATTACTGTGGGAATCAAGGTGAGGATGGAGCCATGATGGAGGAAGAAGACATTTTTTAGAAAAAATGAATGTATTTTTTAAGGTTAAGCAACAGGGAAGAGTGCCTTATTACTTAGGGAAATGCAATTTAAAAATAACAAGTTATCATTTCACACACATTAGATTAGCAAAAATTAAAAAGATGACAATATTACATGATAGGGAAATTGTCTGGAAATAGAATTCCCATATGATGCTTGTTGGTGAGAGTGTGAATTGGTACAAACACTAGTGGAGCAATTTGGCACTATCTCTTGTCCAACTGAAAAAGCATATCCTTACTCAGTTCTATGCTATGTGTATATCCCAGAGAAACCTTAAGATAGGAGCACAGGAAATAGGAAAATGAACATTCACAGAAGCACTGTTCCCAGTAGTGAACAACTGGATACAACCTAAATACCCATCAGTAGGGAAATGGATAATAATCCATTGCTGTATATTATTCTATATTCATATGACATACATAAAATTCCCTTACATGCTAAAATTGCTTCAAGGCCATCACCCCACTAAAAAAATGCCCAGCATCCTCACCCTTGCTCTTGATGTTAACTGTGAACTGCTTGTGCCCACTTTAGAGCCTTTTTTCCAACTAACTCTTCCCACCTTTGTCTTCTTTTCTGCTCCCTTGATCCCACCTACCTTGCTATCTGCTCAAGGCTGCATCAGCTGTTCTCTTGGCCTGGAACAGTCCTTCCTCTCATCTTCAGACAGCTGCCTCCTTCTTGTGTTTCTGATCACACCTTAGCATTGGCTTCTTCGGAGAAGCCCACACTGACTTGTTTAAGGGAGACACCCTTTTATGTCTATCATCTTGCTATGTTTAAATTTTCTGCATAGTGGTTAACTATAGATATTTTTCTGTCTATTTCTTTATTGCCTTTCTCTGAATTGACCAGAGATGTAGTTTGCCTAAATTAAGCTGTATTATCATCATCTAGAACAGCCATTAAACATATTAAGGGAATCTTTGTTGAATAAACAAAGGAATAAAATTCTGCCTATAAATATGTAAATGTTAAAAAATTTATCTTCTAAATTGATTAGTCATTATTTTCTTTTCAAAACATAATTGCTCAAAATATAGTGTGTTTCAATAAACAAGTATTTAACATAAAAATCTAATGCTATTGGGAATACATTTTAGTTATAAGAATCAAACATTCTTTCCATTTTGTTCCTGTATCCATCCATGATTATTACTGATTGCTAGAATGATTTAGGGTTCAGTGTCATTTTTATTCCTATTTTTAAAATTTTTGGACATATAAATGCTGAGCTACTTTGTTCAAATTAATTCATGAAAGAGTATGAAAGGAGTTTTAATAGTAGTGCCACAATATCTTTTATCATATGCCAAAACTTACTGTATTCTACCATCAAAAACATTTTTTTAAATAATTTATGAGCAGAAACTGTTAAGTCTCATTCCATCTTTTTTTGACTCAGGGTCTTGCAATGTTGCCCAGGCTAGACTCAAAGTCCTAGGATCAAGTGATCTTCTCACCCAAGCCGCCTGAGTAGCTGGGACTACAGGCATGAGCCACTGTGCCAGGCTCTCACTCCATTTTATTGACAGTAAAGATTTTGGGATCAGCTGACTTGAAAAAGGGCATTTACCTTTTCAACACAAGTTCCAACTTTAGGACCTTAGGATGGACTAGGTTCTGTCATACAATTTACAAGGTGGGTGAGAGTTAAGAGGTTTGTTTTTACAAAGTGGGAGTATGGTGATTGTGAAAGAGGAATCACAAAGGAGAGCACATATGATGTCAGGAGTGTTTTTTGAAAGTCAGATTTCACCAAGAGTATACCTGGGGAAAATAAAGTCCCTACAGATGTAAAAGTGCTGCCTTTGTATACCAGAGGCAAGCATATCCAGTTTGAGGCTCACCTACCTAGTGCTATGGGGACTGAAGCCTTGAGAGGCAGGTGCCAGGAAGCAGAAGAGGAGACATGTAGAAAGGGAGGTGGAAGGATGCCAAAGGGAAGGATTGCTTTTTTAGGTTTTTGAATATTACTAGACCTGCCTGCATTAAAGGGCACAAAACACCTTCCCCTCTTTATCTTCCTACCTGCCATTCTCTCCCAGGCCTTCTATTTCCTCCCTGCTCCAGAATTCCTTCCCACAACAACTTTTTGAGTATGCCCTGTTTCAGAAACACTGTGGGTTAACACAATATTGATATTGCTCAGGGAGCAAAAATGAGCCCCATAACTATTTTCTCTATTAAAAAAATGAATCCAAGTTCCAAAACAAGACTTACACACATTTAAAGACAGTTTTGTGCTTTTAAAATGTTCACATATTTTGGAAACTTACAACAGATGAAAAGAGGATGGTTTAGGTAAAGAAGCAAGGCAACTCTTTTCTGGCAGTATGGAATAGATTGGTGGCTTCATTCCTCACCTTTGAAAATGATTCATAAGTTCACTCCTCTTCAGAGTTCTTGGGAAAACTAGTCAATAACCATATGGCTACCTGTGGTGAGGGGCCCTGATGGAAGCTCAGGTGCTCTGTAAACCACATTTCATCATGTTCTGTCTGCTGTCAGGTGATCCCAAACAGATAACCACAGTGAATGCTTTCCACTACCATGGTGAAACAGCCCCCATTATCTCTGAGATAGATCAGAGAACAGAAAGAAAGCAGGTTGAAAGCAATTTCAGTCAGTATAAAAGAAAGCAGTGTTAAGGGTTTTTTCCTTGCCTTTACTGTACTGATAAGTTATTTTTGTCTTTTCTGGAATAGAAAATATAGAACATGAGAATCATATTCATTATGAGAATGCACCAGCATGTTTCAGGACATAATAGGTGCAATGAGTCTTATGGTTATATGTTTGATTTCCCTTGAAAATTTTATTTCTGGCTTCCTGGAGATCATTTAAAATAGCTTTCCTTGTTAATAATGATAATGACATTTCTAGTTGGCACACTTTCTGTTCATGTCATTGAAGAAGATCTTTTTCTCCTGACGTCTCTTTTACCTGAATTCACTCTGTCATCCTGTCTGTCTCGTGGATCAGGAGTATAACTTTCTATACACAGTCACTGCTCTTCCAACACTCACTTTCCTGCTGTCTCTTTCTTCTGCGGTTTCTAGTTTCCTGTGTGCTCTCCTCCCAGTGGCTCCTTACTGGGTCTGAGCATCCCCCACTTTCTAGAGTGAAAGGGAAAAAATAACAATACCTGCTGCACCAATTACACCCTCTACTAGCAGCCTGTTTTATTTCTCTGCTTTACTCTGAGCACTTTGCCTTCAGCTTCCATCCCTTTTGTTCAGAAAAACTCTCCTGCCCAGGGCCGAAAGTGCATCCACAGCAGAACAGAAGCAAAGGCTCATGTGGGCACCTCCGTTCTCCTGGCTGCCCTGTGGTGTGCTGCCCTGATCACCGGGGACTTCCTGCATCCTTTGAGTTTTAATTTTTGTGGAAATTGCCTGCTCTGTGCCCACTGAGTTTCTTGTGTCAGTAGGGTCCTGCGAAACTGAGACCAAAGACTCAAACCATGAATCATGGTTTGAGTGGAATTTGGAGGGTCTTTGAAAGAGGGACTGGAGGCTTGCTGGGCCTCTAAATGTGAGCAGGGGAGGGATCACGGAAGCATTCAGAACAGGGCCTGCAGCTCCAGAGCACTGGAGACATTCGCCAGTACTTTCGCTTCTCCTGAAAGCCAGTTAGCCCTGTAAGCTGAGAACATGCATTTTTATTCAGAGAATTAGAACATCAACAGCTCTTGTCTAAAACTTTAAAAGTTTGATTTTATACATATGTGTGTGTATTTTATATATGTGTGTGTATATATATACACACACACATATATAAATAACTGAATGTATATATAAATGATTCTTCCATTTATATGTACATTATTTATACTTCCTGCGCTTGTTCCACTTTCCTAAAATAACCACAGTTTAGCCAAGTGAAATGAAGGCAAGCATGTATGCATATACTTCCAGGCTTTTCTACTGACATTTTATATAATGAGAGATAACTTTAAATAAAAACAGAATTACACCACACATACTACTATTCAATTTGATTTTTTCAACTTGATCATGAATATTTCACCATGTATACACTAAATTTATTCTTTAAATAGCTACATGGGATTCCAATGCATATGATATTTCCATGCCCAAAGTTAATTTTCTCTAGTGGGAAGGAGTGATATCATAAACCATTTGTCACTTTAAACCGAATTGCTGCTCATTTCAGTCAAAAAATTTATGTGCCTAATATCTTTTCCTTATAAGTTGAATGGCTGATTGAATCATCTGAAGCGGTTAAGAGCGTTTAATTTTAAATATGAGGCAAATATGAAATTTGAAACTAATATTTAAATAAGAAAAAAACATTTTCATAACATTCTAGAGTCTAAGGATCTGACTTGAAAGGTCACTTAAAGAGATATCTGTTTGTGTGTAAATCTTCTCTATGTCATTAAAGGTATAAGGTCCTTAAGCCTTAGCTTGTATATGACAATGACAGGGAATGCACCAGTTCCAGGAGCAGTAAATTCTTTTGAGACAGCATGCCACAGTGGGAAAAAGTGTGGGTTTGGGAGTCACCCACACCTGGGTTGAACTACTTGCTTTTAAGTCACTAGATGTGTAACATTGGACAATTTACTAAAATGCATGAATACCTGCCACATTGTGGCTTATGTTAAAATTATATGCTCAGCCTTCAAGCCCAGGTCTTCATATGAAAAGCTTTTGGAATTTAGAAAACCCTTGCTTCTCTCTGCAGAGCTGGGGTTCATGTCTATTGCCTTACTATGGATCAAAAAGTCTAATAGGAAACTCAGAGCCAATAAGTACACTTTTCTCTAGGTTGTATTGTCCCTCCCTTGAAGAAATGAATGATTTTTAATTAATGAGATGAGAGATTCAGGGCAATAGAATTTACAGGGACTGAAAAATACTTTGGAAAGTATTTTGTAATATGTTTTTCAAGACTATTATCCTCATTCTCTGTGCTTGGGTTAACTGTGTTATCCACACACTTCTAAGGACATCCATACACTGAATGATCCTGTATCTCTGTTGGCAGTTCTCACCTCTTTTTAGGGGTTAAGCCTTATATTATCAGTTGTTAATTAGTTATCTTTAACTGAATTCATTGGTTCTGCACATTTGCTGATCATCTTTTCTATGCCAGGTTGATAAGGGAGAGGGAAAGATGAGTAAGTTATTGTTCTTGTCCTCAAGGCCTTCCGGGGGAAGATAGGCAAGTGAACAGGGTACCACAAGATCATATGGGAAAGCCAGAGAATGCTAGAGTAGATGATGCTTAAACCAAGTCTTGATGGATTAGTTGGAGTTAGCAGTCAGGCCTAGCCAGAAGGCTGGGAGTCAGAGGTGAGTATTGGGGACTGTGTCTTGGAAAGAAGAGAATTAAAGAAAGAACATTCCAGGCATCATGATCAAACCCAAGATATTTGAGAGAACACCTGTTTCTAGGGCATCCCAGCTGGGCAATATAGAGTGTGCACAGTATAGGTAGGCAAAGATGAGACACGAAGGCAAATATTGTACCTGTGCATTAGGTTTTTGTTGTTGTTGTTGTTGCCATAATAAATTACCACAAACACAGAGTTTTCAAACAACGCAAGTTTCTTACCTCCTGGTGCTGTGGGTCAGAATTACAGTACAACCTGTCTCAGCTGTGTCTTCTGCTTACAGTCTCATAAGGCAGATATTAAGGGGTTGGCAGGACTGAATTAATTTCTGAGTGCTCTGGGGAAGAATCTGCTTCCAAGCACATTCAGGTGGTTGGTAGAATCCACTCCATGTGTATAGGACCCAGGTTGCTGTTTCCTTGCTGGCTGTCAGCCAGGGGCCACCTTTAGCAACAGAGCTCTCTTTCCGGTCCCTCCATGAGGCCCTGTACATCTCAGCAATGGAGCATGGAATCCTTATTGTGCTTGAAGTTTCTGTGGCTTTTCCTTCTGTTTCATCTCTTCTGATTCCAGCCCGACTCAGTTTTCTGCTTCAAGTGCTCATACGATTAAATTAGGCCCATCTACATAATCCAGGATAATCTTTCCATCTCAAGGTCTGTAACCTTAATCATGTTTGCAAAGCCTCTTTTGCCATGGGGATTAGGAGTTGAGCATCTTTGGGCACCATGATTCTGTCTATTATAATGTAGAGACACCCTCAAGGAGTGTGCAGATGTGTGTGTGTATGTGCATTTGTGTGTGTGCCTGTTCATATGTATGCATCAAGATTCTTTAGACAAATTTGTGAAACACTGAATAATGTATTTCTTTCTTGGATATTCAGAAAACTCATTTACATGTTGAAGAGTCTAATGAGAAAACCTGTGTAACTGGTTTTTTCCACAGTTCCCAAAATTATTTCACCATAAAATTTTTTCTCCTTGAAGATCCTTTATTAACTTCCAAGGAACTGCTGTTGTACAGACTAGGCTTTGGAAAGTTGAGTTAGAGAGGTAAACAGATGCCCACTCACTAAGATAGTCCTAAGTCGTCTGTAGATGTTTAGATAAGGTCTGGAAGACTGTGAGAATCAGTGGAGGAATTTTAGCAGGGAAATACATCATGTGGACTTCAATAAAATGCCTCCAGATAAAGAGAATGAATGGTAGGGAGGAAAGGGGTGTGGTAGGAGGAAAGAGCCTGGAAGGCAGGAGTAGAATTTTATGCAAGAAATGGTGGTAGCATGAATTAAAGTAGTGGCAACAAGTGAAAATGGGAACAAGTGAAAATATTTAAGGACACTGATGTAGTTTGGATGCGTGTCCCCTCCAAATCTCATACTGAAATGTGACCTCCAGCATGGAAGTTGGGGCCTGGTGAGAAGTGATTTGATCATGAATGGCTTAGTGCCATTCCCTTGGTGATGAATCAGTTCATGCAAGATCTAGTTGCTAAAAGTGTGGGACCTTCCCCTTCTCCATCTCTTACTCCTGCTCTTGCTATGTGATGTGCTGCTCCCCTTCACCTTCTGCCATGACTGGAAGCGTCCTGAGGCCTCACCAGAAGCAGATGCTGGCACCAACATTTCCTGTACAGCCTGCAGAACCATGATCCAAAATAAATCTATTTTCTTTATAAGTTACCCAACCTCAGGTATTTATTTACAGCAACACAAGAAGAGGAAACATACAGTGAAGTAGAATAAAAGAGATATGAAGACCAATTCAGGAAATGAGGAGGCTAAAAGGATGTGCTTTCAATACATCCGTTTACATAGGCTCATTGGCAAGGAGGCTTTAAACTTTAGAAGTTGGATTTGATTTTCAGAAACACCTAACATTTGAGACCAAGACTCCAGTCTCCCCATGTCCCAGACTGTTTTACAATCAATTTCCTTGTTTGTTCTCTCCTAGGATGTAAGTTACATAAGGGAAGAACCTTACATTAATTGTGCATTTCCATTCACAGCATACTTCCTGGTATAACAGATAGGCTCAGTAAATATTTACTGAATGAAGGAATGAGTATGTGATTGAATGAATAAAATATTTCCACTAGATAAGACGATTTGGGGTAAAACTAAATTGTGACTGTAAACATTCCCAATTTTTTTTTTTTAATGTAAGAAAGAGCCACTTACTTCCTTTCATAACGACACCATCACTGGGAAGAGTTGGTAGGAAGGATAACCTGGAAGTTTTCTCCTTTAACAAAGATCCAGACAGTTGGCAAAGGATAAAATGAAGGTTTACCACCATAGTTTCATTAGCCACAAAACCTCTGGCCCTTTGTCTGAAGTCTGCCGCATCTTAATCTCCTTCTGTGGCTCAGTATATAGTTTCCACTGGGCCAGAGATCACTTCTTGAGTGAGATTTCAATGCATTAAAATGGGGAAATGGTTGATGAAAAAAAAATTGAGAAACACTACTTTACCTTGTTAGCCATGCAAGGCTTGAAGAGTTTTTAATTCATTCCCGTAAACTGCTTGTGACCTAGTAAGTGAGACATTTTTTCTCTTCTAGTGTTATCCTTTGAAGGGCAGCATTTGAACTAAGTGTAGTGACAGTAGCTTCTTTAAAAGGGATGAAACTCACAGAAGTTTGCTTTTACATGTTAAATGTAGCTTTAATTTTAAATGGTGTCTTGCACATGATGTAACCCTGATATTTGAATGTTTTCTGGGAGGTTTGGAGATTAGCAAACCTAAAGCAGAGATTTGATTTGCAGTCAAATAGTCAAATAGAACATGGTCTCAAGGGATCTTCCAAAAACTTTCCCGCAAATAGACACACCTGTTTTGTCACTGTACTGTCCAATTCAATAAAATAACACATCCTTGGTTTCTTCTGATTAAACTGTGATACAAGATTGACCGAAGAAGTAATCGGTTCACATTTCACACATAGTTGTTGTTGATCCTGTTGTCACGTTGAGCTCAAGCTGCTTCAGTCACGGGGTGATAAGCTCCTCCCAAGGTCAAATTCTCTCCCACCCCATGGGTTGGCGTACACATGGAATCTTGCCCTGCCAGACCAAGCCCACAAGCTCTCTCATATGGTGTCATGTGTTTGTATGAGGACACCAAACTTGGCCATTTGTGACCCATGCAGCTGGTAGAAAAACAAGAAGTGGATTTGGTTACTTATTTTGATAAAAGCTAGAAATTTTTAGAATTCTTCATAAAAATGATGCCTAGACAAACACAGTAGCTGTCTTCATTTAATTTGCTCAGCTTTTGGCTGTCACTGTGAATCTTACTATCCACCACCTTGTTTTGTCTTTATATTAATATAACTCCTATCTTTTGGTTTAGAACGGCCTGAATTCTAATTTTTCACAGCAGAAAAACAAAAAGCCACCAAAACTTCATTTTAAAGGCACATTTCATATTTTGAAAGGAATGAATAACTACTTTTAAGTAGCAGTTTGCTGAAGCTAAGGAAAAAGCCTTGAAACAGCCTTGAAAAAGACAATATTTTCAACTAGCAGCAAATCCGAGGACAATCTTAATTAGTGCAAAAGGGGATGGAGGCTGCTGGTTTTTCACACTGCTTGGCTGTCAAAAGTGCATGTAGTCACAAAGAGTAACCATTGCCAGGAAGATTTCCAATGTGAGGACAGTAACATACTGTATCAAGTGGATACTCCTCTGTTGAACATTTCTTATTCTGGTTTCAGGGTAATCTTGAAAATCGTCAATCGAACCTTTCCCCAGATTTCATATTCATGCTTTAAGAGATGTTAAAATGATAGCCACAAAGCCAGAATGGTCTATACTGCCGAGTGTTCCACAAAGACACTTTCAGCACTTTTTTCTTTTACATTGAATGTGGAGATGAAAAGAAGTTTGGATGTCACAATTCAAGCTTAAGATGATAAGATAATGCTTTTTAATATCGCTGTGAGATCAGTACAGTCTGTGGGTGGCATCAGACAATGATGTCCTTTCTTTATTTTAAGGCCTCTCTCTAGTTTCTAACCCAATCAGGTTCCATTGATTTTGGAGGCATAATATCCTTCTAGGTTACCAGTTTTCTAAGGGCCAGCTTGATGTGGCTTTGTTCACAGATTCTCCCTGTGGAAGGGTTACATGTCCTACCTCCTTGACCATGGGTGTGGACAGATGACTTGTTATACGCTTGAATTGAGGTTTGGTCACATGACTTGCTTTGGCCAGTGAAATATAAATGGCAGCAATAGATGCTCCTTCCAAGTAGAAACTCC
This sequence comes from Homo sapiens, assembly GCF_000001405.40. NCBI lineage: Eukaryota > Metazoa > Chordata > Mammalia > Primates > Hominidae > Homo > Homo sapiens. The sequence continues at coordinate 57,718,901 of NC_000008.11, read as the reverse complement.
AAGAGCCATCTTGTGGCTCTAGCATCTTACTTTCTAGCGGATATTAGCCTGTCTCAGATATTCTGCTCTTGGAGTAGAGGTGCATCTGTTGACAGTCATGCAAATGAAACATAAACTTGCCCTTGGCCATTCTGAGCCACTGAGATTGGGATTGGCAGTTCCCAGAGTGTAACTGGGCCTAAACTTTCTGGTACAATTACTTATAACTGGATAGCGCCCTGTGGTAGAAACTTGAAAGCAGAAATTAGTCCAACTGTTGAGCTGGTCAGATACAATGGTGGAGGTGAAGAGGGCTGCAAGAATGCTGGCCCAGAGAGAAAACTTTTAATCAAAATATGAGACCTGAAGGGAAGAGTGAGTTAGGTAAGAAAAGGAAGAAGCTAAGTCACAGGGCCAAGGCAAAAGCCCAGTGGCTCATGCATTCATTCTTCATTAAACAAGTATTTATTGTAGCTACTACTTTCTAGGCAGTGGTCTAGGTGTTGGGGTGAAAGCAGTGAACAGAGGCATATATTTGTTTTGTTCATTGTTACACATCCAATGCCAGGAATAGTACTGAACCTATTTTAGGGATTCAAATACTCAGTAAGTAATTTCTTATTGAATGGAGGGGCACCTGGTATAAACTAGGTTTCCTGTGAAGGCAAAAACACGATATCCCAACTGAGACCTAAAATGCAGTATGGTTTGTTTGATATCAAATGTGAAATTATGAAGGTAGAGGAGCTTCCAGCTGGAGTCAGGACTGAGCCCCAGCTCTGATCTGGTGCTGGAGCTGCAGGTGTATGCAGGTGGTGACTGAAGGCAGGAGAGGCTGGGGCAAGACACCACTGGCACATAAGAGATGTGCAGGCAGAAGCTACTGATAAAACCAGGAGTGTACCCTATGCATAAATATTCAGTGGAAATGTGTAGTCAAACTGATTTAACATTGATCGGGTGGTTCTACCACAGGGGTAAATGTCAAGAGCAGGGGTTTTTGAGTTGGACAGGGTTGCATGCATTCATTAGTTTTGTGGCCATTGGTCTGGTTACTTACCAAATTTATTCTTTTTAAAAATAATACCTTTGACACAAGGTTGTTGTGAAGACCAAATTAAATACTGCATGTAAGACAGTTTATTATGTAGCAAGTAGTTGAACACTTCCTAAATGATGGTATTTGATACTACCAACCACCCTTGTTAGTATCACCATTATGATTATTTTCATCTGAGTGGCTTGGCATTTTTAAATTTTATTTGGCCTACTTGGTTTTAGCAATCCAACTATAATTACAATATATGTATAAATGCAATCCAACTCTAGCTTTCTCCTATCATTTAACTGAGATTTTCTTTCCTTAATGCATGCAAATTAATAGTGGTGATAGAAGAAAGGATTAAAGGTGCCCACTTTTATACTAAAACAGAGAAGCTTAGCTTTAGATGTCGTTTTCTCTCAGGTTTGACAAGCTCTGTGTCACAGGCTTTGGAAATTTAAGAATGAAGCCGAAATACACTGACTTCAAAAAATATGCATTGTAATAAAAGAAATGAGACATATCCATAAATAGACATAAAATAAACTAGAAGTGAAAAATCTCATAAAAATGGTAGTGACACAATCAGTACTTTAGGAGAAGCTGGATTACGCCTGACTGGCAGGTTCCCATGGAGAAAGTAGCATGTGAGGTGGGCCTTAATCTTGAACAAGTGAAGATGAAACTGCCTTTGTAAAATTATGACAGTAAGAGACTTCTGACATCGTTGACTCCATTTTGCTTATAACCGCTCAGTTGTCCTTGGTCATTCCTGGGCATGGGCCAAACTAACTTTGAGAGAAATTTAATTTATAGTTTAACTTTAAAGCAAGGATGATAGTAGCCCTTCCCCAAACCAAACTACCTTTGTAAAACTAATGAAAGGACACAAAGTTAGGATTATGAGAGGGGCTTGAACTCTGCTAAGATGTAGGTGTAATTTCTATAATCCCTTACTGCTCGAGAGTCGTGTGGCCAGAGGTTACAAATGTTTGGCCTTCCCAATTGCTGCTATAAATAACATAACTATTGCAGAATCTGATTGGTTTTTTGAGATATTTTTTTGACTGACCCCACCTGGACTCGTGACTCATGACTCAGCTGGTCCTGTGGCCCCACCCAGAGGCAAACTCAGTGCACCAGGACTGTTTTCCACACCACTATGATTTCATTCTCAACCAGTCAGCAGTACCAATTCCCTGGCCCCCTGCCCACCAAACTGTCTATAAAAACCCCAGCCTCTGAGACTTTGGAGAGACTGATTTGAGTGATTACTCCAGTTCAAGTTCAAGATCAAGATGTCAGCAGCTTTGGTTTTTCCTGAGGCCTCTCTCTTTGGCTTGCAAATGACCATCTTCTCCTTGTGCTTCACATGAGCTTTCTTCTGTGCTTGTCTGTGTCCTAATCTCCTTCTTATAAGGACACCAGTCATGTTGGATTAGGACCCATCCTAATTATTTCATTTAACCTTAGTTACCTTTATAAAGGCCCTGTCTCCAAAACAGTCACATTCAGAGACACTGGGGGTTAGGACTTCAGCACGTGAGTTTAGGGGAGATGTACTTAAGCCCTTTGGGAAAGAAAAAATATTAGAGACTTTCACTGGGGAATCCTCATCAAGATATGTACTTCAGAAAGATTAATCTAGAGGCCATGGATAACATGGATGGCCAGGAGAGAAGAGTAGAGGCCAGCTGGAAGGTCACTGCTCCAACCCTGGGAAGAAATAAAGAGATCTGAAACACAATCATGCCATTGATGACAAAAAGACAGAGTAGAGGAAAAGTATTTCTCCAAGTAAGAATAGTTGGAACTCTCCAGTGGGTTGGATGTGGGGAGCATGGAAGTGACAGGAGTTGATTATCAGCTCAGATAAATGTCTTCAACACAAACAGAAGCATAGCAGGAAGAACCGTTTGAAAGTTTTTTAAAAAGGTGATTATTTGCAACACATCGAGATTGAACTACCAACATCTCCAGATGGAAGTGTCTGCTGTAAACTGGAAATGAGGGGCTTGAATATTGGAGAGGGGCCAGGCTTAGACATATGGTTGTGGGAGTCATTTATTGATCAGCAGAATCTTTAGAGTTAATGAGATTCCCAATGGAGACTGTCAAGAGAGGCACGTGTGTACAGGACTGGTCAGTTGGGAGTGTCTGCATTTAAGGGATGCACCAAGAAAGGCCATCAAAAGAAGGGACAGAAAGAGGTAAAGGAAGAACAAGAGAATGTTATTTAAGCCAATGGAGGGGTTTCCAGAGGCAAACATGGCTGCTCCACAGATATTTGTTAGATAAGTGACCAGTGAATAAATGACTAAATAAACAAATAAAAATGTTTTTGGTCACATACCTTTTGCTTACCAAAGTCTAATATATCTGAGTTTATTTGCTCCATAAATTGGCTCACTGAGAACAAAGCAATAGAGTTTTCCTAGGTGTCAAGTTCTAAAAAACAGAATTCTTTATTATTATTATTATTATTATACTTTAAGTTCTAGGGTACAAGTGCACAACGTGCAGGTTTGTTACATATGTATACATGTGTTATGTTGGTGTGCTGCACCCATTAACTCATCATTTACATTAGGTATATCTCCTAATGCTATCCCTCCCCTCTCCCCCTACCCCACGACAGGCCCCAGTGTGTGATGTTCCCGATCCTGTGTCCAAGTGTTCTCATTGTTCAATTCCCACCTATGAGTGAGGAGATGCAGTGTTTAGTTTTCTGTCCTTGCACTAGTTTGCTGAGAATGATTGTTTCCAGCTTCATCCATGTCCCTGCAAAGGACATGAACTCATCATTTTTTATAGCTGCATAGTATTCCATGGTGTATATGTGCCACATTTTCTTAATCCAGTCTATCATTGTTGGACATTTGTGTTGGTTCCAAGACTTTGCTATTGTGAATAATGCTGCAGTAAACATACGTGTGCATGTGTCTTTATAGCAGCATGATTTATAATCCTTTGGGTATATACCCAGTAATAGGATGGCTGGATCAAATGGTATTTCTAGTTCTAGATCCTTGAGGAATCACCACACTGTTTTCCACAATGGTTGAGCTGGTTTACAGTCCCACCAACAGTGTAAAAGTGTTCCTATTTCTCCACATCCTCTCCAGCACCTGTTGTTTCCTGACTTTTTAATGATCACCATTCTAACTGGTGTGAGATGGTATCTCATTGTGGTTTTGATTTGCATTTCTCTGATGGCCAGTGATGATGAGCATTTTTTCATGTGTCTGTTGGCTGCATAAATGTCTTCTTTTGAGAAGTGTCTGTTTATATCCTTTGCCCACTTTTTGATGGGGTTGTTTGATTTTTTCTTGTAAATTTGTTTAAGTTCTTTGTAAATTCTGGATATTAGCCCTTTGTCAGATGAGTAGATTGTAAACATTTTCTCCCATTCTGTAGGTTGCCTGTTCACTCTGATGGTGGTTTCTTTTGCTGTGCAGAAGCTCTTTAGTTTAATTAGATCCCATTTGTCAATTTTGGCTTTTGTTGCCATTGCTTTTGGTGTTTTAGTCGTGAAATCCTTCCCCATGCCTATGTCCTGAATGGTATTGCCTAAGTTTTCTTCTAGGGTTTTTATGGTTTTAGGTCTAACATTTAAGTCTTTAATCCATCTTGAGTTAATTTTTGTATAAAGTATAAGGAAGGGATCCAGTTTCAGCTTTCTACATGTGGCTAGCCAGTTTTCCCAGCACCATTTATTGATGGGGAAAGGATTCCCTATTTAATAAAAACCAGAATTGTTTATTAATATCTCACCCATCTATCCTCTCATGTAAATATGAAAATGGGAACTCTATCCAGCACTCTTTTGGAATTCACAAAATAGCAGGAAGTGTACTAGGAAATGGGTGTTTAAGGACCTTCCTGACCCTGTCTTTCAGCCTGGGTCGTATTAAGGTGCCACCATGCTTGGGGCTTCCTGGGGGTAGGGACCATGCTGACTTGTGGCCAAAGGATCTGGAACTCTTCCAGGCACACACAAAAAAATGAATCTCTGTCCCTCTGAACCTTGCCATCTGTGGTGTGAGAGACATAGCTTCAGATACACGAGCTGCTCCAGAGCCCCAGCTAAATACATTGGCCCCTAAAGTTTTGGGCATTTCTGTCTAGATGTGAAGCTTCAGAGAATCTATGAAATTTTATCATGTAAATCATTTATTTACAATTTTAAACAATTGGATGAAGAAGATTACTCAAGACTGCAACAGTCCACTTGGCAGACTCACCAAAAAAGATAGGTGACTATCTGCCTTGTTAGAATCCTGACTTGTTTCTCTTTTTGAATCTGGAATGCTAGAAAATATAGGAACTACTACCCTCAAAATATTTGCTGAATTAGTGAACTAACATAGATCCTGGAAATTCAGCCAGGAAGGCTACAGTTTGACTTTTTTCTTTCCTATCCCTCTCAAGAAATCAATATCCCTAATATGGTCTTTGTGAAGATACTGGAAAATCACCACAATAGCGTACAAATTGATTAACCTCTTGATTTGATTCCCTCTGCTACCTGCTAAGAGATTGACTAGGAAGCTATTGTGAAAGATGAATCTCCACCTGTCTATTTTTAGATAAAATAATAAGTATTCTAGAATATCTAAAGATAACAGAAAGTACGGTTTAATAAAGGATAATGACTTTAAGACAGTATCTTAACAAGTTAGCTCCATAAGAACAAAGCAGTGGAGCTTTCCTAGGTCTCAAAATCTGAAGAATGAAATTCTTTTTTTTTTTTTGAGATGGAGTTTCACTCCTGTTGTCCTGGCTGGAGTGCAATGGCACCGTCTCGGCTCACTGCAACCTCTGCTTCCCGGGTACAAGCGATTTTCCTGCCTCAGCCTCCCAAGTAGCTGGGATTACAGGCACCTGCCACCATGCCCAGCTAATTTTTTTATATTTTTAGTAGAGACGGGGTTTCACCATGTTGGCCCGGCTGGTCTCGAACTCCTGACCTCAGGTGATCTGCCCGCCTTGGCCTCCCAAACTGCTGGGATTACAGGCATCAGCCATCGCGCCCGGCTTTATTCATCTCTGACCCATCTACCCTTCTCAGGTTAATATTAAAATAGGAACTCTATCCAGCACTCTGTTGGAATTTGTAAAATAGCAGAGAACTTACCGGAAGCTGGAATGGTCTGGTTCAATATTCTGGGTGTGGATGGTTGAGGGGGTGGTTTGTACTGAAGGGTCTTTTTTTTTTTTGGTCATTCGTGTAGAATAGGTCTCTATTGATCTTCTCAAGTGAAATTGACCCTCTTATTTTAAAGTAGATATTGAGAGAAACCTCTTGTTCTTTTACATTATCCAGCCAGTTTCTCTTAGAGTGCTGAGGAGCTACTGATCGAGCATCCCTAATTGAAAAATCCTTAACCCAAAATTTGAAACTTTTTGAGCTTCACTATGATGCCACAAGTAGACAAGGAAGATGATGTTGTTAACACTGCAGAAAAAGTGGCCGTAGATGACATGGGAAAAAAGTGTGATGGGGCTTATTGAAGAATTAGAGCAATGTCCATTCATAGCAGAGCAAGAAATCATGCTCGTTTATAAAATCAGAGAGACTTCAAGAAAAATACATGTTGTCAATGAGGCAGATGACCCTGGAGGAAATGTTTTTAAAAGCCATTTAGCCATCTAGCCTGGTGGTGTCTGTTGTTGCTGTTGCGGAACAGCTGACACAGATATTCTGGTGACGCTACTGAGCTGGTTAGTTACCCTCAACATGTTATTTTTTCACTGTATGAATGGCATATCATTTTTTTACTATGATGTACTTATGTGTGAATAAGTGTGAGAAAATAATTGCTTATTGGCAGCATTTAAATTCAGCCAGGAATGATGGTGATGCCAAACAACCACAGATTGTCCACATGGGTCACACAGTGACACCTTTCCTTGCTGATGGTTCAATGCACACAAGCTTTACTTCAGTCACAGAATTATTGAAAATATTGTACAAAATTAGGGTATGAGTAGAAGGTATATATTAAACATAAATACATTTTGTGTTTAGACTTGGGTTCAATCCCCAAGATATCCATTATGTTTATGCAAATATTCAAAAATCTTAAAAAATCTCAAATCCAAAACATCTCTGGTCTCAAGCATTTCAAATGAGGGATCTTCGACCTGTGTAAGTTGATGTTGCCACTGTTCCTTGCAGAGATTGCATGTGGCGGCATATGGCCTGATTGGGCCTATAACTGTTAGTATAAAAAAGAGGAGAATCCACGTTAAAATCTCATTTAGCTTGTCTTTGAAAACAAGCTCTGGAAACTGGGCTGCATTGCTGTGTGGTTGTATCTCTTGAAGCTGAGTAAATTGCTTCTTCTTTAGCTGAATAGACAGTCACAGGACTGGTTGATGTTTCTCTTATTCCCACCTGTCAGTCATCTGCACTACCTGTCCACCCCTGTAGGCTTCTGAGTTTTCCAACCCCTGCAGCATTTGGAATTCAGGAAGGAAGTGGTTGTGATCCATATGGCATTGTTCTATTTTCTACATGTGACTCTGCTCTGGAATCTTATCTGTTGCAAGGCTGTGTATGTTACAGCACCAACACTTTATTAGAGAGTGGGTTTCTTAATAATAACTAATAGAGTTCCGTTTTTTCACTTTAAGGGAATTGACAGCCTTTCTCAACCATAGGACCTCCTTAGGTCTCTGTTCCAAAGAGATCATCCTAACAAAAGTCACAACACTGTTCATTTTGAGGCTGCATGAACCTCTGAGGTATAAAGCAGCATTAAATCAGAGAGAGAGCTGAGGTGTCAGTACAGAGCAAGAAAATGTGATTCTTTTATGCGTGACTGCCAAAATTATATTCCATACCACTATAAGTTTCCCAATCTGAAAAGAAATTCAAATTTAGGAACTTATTTTGGGAAACAATATTTCTATACTAGCTTCACAGTTTTACTCTCTGTTCTGGAACAGAAATTTGCTATTCTGGGGCCAAGGCAGGTCTATCATTTAGAGGAGGGTTGAGGATATGGACAATTTAGGTGAAATCAAATTTTTCTATTTTCATTGCATTGTTAATCCATCAAAGATGTACACATTTTATTCTAAAGGGACAATATCTGCACTTACTTTCCTTTGCTCTCTTTTATTTTTCCTCTTTAACCCTTCCTGTACCTCCCCTCAATCCCCTGAGAAACATTATATCCTCAGGAAGCCTCTTAACTAACTAAGACTAGAGGCAGTGCAGTCATGAAACTCTGGGACTGCTTCTAAAGTAGCATATTTCGCACTATTTATCAAGTGCTTGCTTTCCTATCTATCTTCATCAGACACTTGCAATTCTTGCAGGCAGGGACCTTGCCCTTCATGCCTGTGTCCAACTATTATATACAAGGAATCCTGCTTAATGACTAAGACTCAAATTATTCACTGGACACGAGATGCAGTAACCTTGATCAAACTTTTATACCAAAATACAGTTCTCTGAACTTATCATTTTAAAACGAAGTCCAATTTGTCCATTATTTATAAATCCACGTTGTATTATAAATTATGTTATATTATTTATATATTACACAAATATAAATATATAATTCCACAATGTGGGAATAGATGAAACAATTTTCAACTTTGTTTTTACTTACAATATTAACTTTCACTCCCAATCTGTTCTTCCATTATTGCTCCTTAGGGAAACTACTGTAAAAATTCAGTATGTGATCTGTATCACTGTGTATAATACTGTCCTAAGCAATGATAACATCTACAAGACTTTCAAAATTATACTAGCTTAAGTGAGACAGAAATATATTTCACTAGCACATAAAAGGAATCTGGAGCTGGTCATAGAGGACTGAAGATAACTTCACAATTTTTAGGGACTCTGGACATGTTTATCCATGGCACCTTTAGTCTAGCCGGCTCCTCTTCATTCCAGCCAATAGAAAGAGAAGAAGGAAGAGGAAGAGTCCGCCACTTCCATTTTGGAAAGACTTCTTAACAGTTCGCCATGCTGCTACTCACAGCATTAGCCAGAACTTGGACAAGTGGCTGTACATGTCAAGCAGGGAGACAGAGAATGTGCTTTTAGCACTGGTAGCAATGTGCCTTGGAAAACAAATATAGCATTTTTTCTTCGTTTCAGTTTTCTGTTTGTTTTCTGAAGAAGGAGAACAAAGAAGTAAATGGATGGTGCAGGGTGGCACTCTGTTATATTCCTCCAATTATTTTGTATTAACAGACATAATTTAATGTGGAAATATATTTATTTTAATAAAATCAGGTCATATATATTATTGTGATTATAATGTTATCACTCAAAATTTTGTGTGTGTGTGTGTAACTTTCTTTGATTTTTTAAAATTTACTTTAAGTTCAGGAATACATTTGCAGAATGTGCAGGTTTATTACATTGGTATACATGTGCCATGGTGGTTTGCTGCACACATCAACCCGACATCTAGTTTTAAGTCCCACATAAATTAGGTATTTGTCCTAATGCTCTCCCTCCCCTTATTGCCCACCCGCTGAAAGGCCCTGGTGTGCGATGTTCCCCCCCACGTCCATGTGTTCTCATTGTTAGACTGCCACTTGTGAGTGAGAGCATGCGGTGTTTGGTTTTCTGTTCCTGTGTTAGTTTGCTGAGAATGATGGCTTCCAGCTTCACCCATGACCCTACAAAGGACATGAACTCATTCTTTTTTTTATGGCTGCATAGTATTACATGGTGTATATGTGTCACATTTTCTTTATCCAGTCTATCATTCTTGGCCATTTGGGCTGGTTCCAAATCTTTGTTATTGTAAAAAGTGTTGCAACAAACACATGTGTGCATGTGTCTTTATAGTAGAACGATTTATAATCCTTTGAGTATATAGCCAGTAATGGGATTGCTGGGTCAAATGGTATTTCTGATTCTAGGTCCTTGAAGAATTGCCACACACTCTTCCACAATGGTTGAACTAATTTACATGCCACCAACAGTGTAAAAGTGTTCCTATTTCTCTATAGCTTCACCAACATCTATTGTTTCCTGACTTTTTAATGATCACCATTCTAACTGGTGCGAGATAGTATGTCATTGTGGCTTTGATTTACATTTCTCTAATGACCAGTGATGACGAGCTTTTTTTCATATGTTTGTTGGCCGCATAAATGTCTTCTTTTGAGAAGTGTCTGTTCATATCTTTCACCCACTTTTTAATGGGGTTGTTTGTTTTCTTGTAAATTTCTTTAAGTTTCTTGTAGATTCTGGATATTAGACCTTTGTCAGATGGGTAGCTTGCAAAAATTTTCTCCCATTCTGTAGGTTGCCTGTTCACACTGATGATAGTTTATTTTGCTGTGCAGAAGCTCTTTAGTTAGGTTAGATCCCATGTGTCAATCTTGGCTTTTGTTGCCATTGCTTTTGGTGTTTTAGTCATGAAGTATTTGCCCATTCCTATGTCCCGAATGGTATTGCCTAGGTTTTCTTCTAGGGTTTTTATGGTTTTGGGTTTTACATTTAAGTCTTTAATCCATCTCGAGTTAATTTTTGTATAAGGTGTAAGGAAGGCATCCAGTTTCTGTTTTCTGCATATGGCTAGCCAGTTTTCTCAGCACCATTTATTAAATAAGGAATTCTTTTCCCATTGCTTGTTTTTGTCAGGTTTGTCAAAGATCAGATGGTTGTAGATGTGTGTGTTATTTCTGAGGCCTCTGTTCTATTCCATTGGTTTATATATATGTTTTGGTACCAGTACCTTGCTATTTTGGTTACTGTAGCCTTGTAGTTTGAAGTTAGGTAGCATGATACTTCCAGCTGTGTTCTTTTTGCTTGGGATTGTCTTGGCTATGCGGCCTCTTTTTTGGTTCCATATGAAATTTAAAGCAGTTTTTTATATTTCTGCGAAGAAAGTCACTGGTAGCTTGATGTGAATAGCATTGCATCTTTAAGTTACTTTGGGCAGCATGGCCATTTTCATGATATTGATTCTTCCTATCCATGAGCATGGAATGTTTTTCTATCTGTTTGTGTCCTCTCTTATTTCCTTGAGTAGTGGTTTGCAGTTCTCCTTGAAGAAGTCCTTCATGTCCCTTGTAAGTTGGATTCCTAGGTATTTTATTCTCTTTGTAGCAATTGTGAATGGGAGTTCACTCATGATTTGGCTCTCTGCATGTCTACTGTTGGAGTATAAGAATGCTTGTGATTTTTGTGTATTGATTTTGTATCCTGAGACTGATTTTGTACCCTGAAATTGCTTATCAGCTTAAGGAGATTTTGGCCTGAAATGCTGGGGTTTTCTAAACACACAATCATGTTGTCTGCAAATAGAGACAGTTTGACTTCCTCTCTTCTTATTCGAATACCCTTTATTTCTTTCTCTTGCCTGATTGCCCTTGCTAGAACTTCCAATACTATGTTGAATAGGTGTGGTGAGAGAGGGCAGCCTTTTCTTGTGCCAGTTTTCAAAGGGAATGCTTCCAGCTTTTGCCCATTTAGTATGATATTGGCTATGGGTTTGTCATAAATTGCTCTTATCATTTTGAGATACTTTCCATCAATAACTACTTTATTGAGAGTTTTTAGCATAAAGGGATGTTGAATTTTATCAAAGGCCTTTTCTGCATCTATTGAGATAATCATATGGTTTTCGTCATTGGTTCTGTTTATGCGATGGATTACATTTCTTGATTTGCATATGTTGGACCAGCCTTGCATCCCAGGAATAAAGCCAACTTGATCGTGGTGGATAAGCTTTTTGATGTGCTGCTGAATTCTGTTTGCCAGTATTTTATTGAGGATTTTCACATTGATGTTCATCAGGGATATTGGCCTGAGATTTTCTTTTTTTGTTGTGTCTCTGCCGGGTTTTGGTATCAGGATGATGCTGGCCTCATCAAATGAGTTAGGGAGAAGTCCCTCTTCTTCTATTGTTTGGAATAGTTTCAGAAGGAATGGTACCAGCTCCTCTTTGTACCTCTGGTAAAATTTGGCTGTGACTCAAAGGCTGAATAAGTTTCCACAGGATGCAGGCACCTTCAGTCAGTTAACTATCTGTTCACTATCTGCCCTTCTTGAGTTAATAGCTCCACGTTTTCTTCTGGGGATCCACTTGTGGTTCCAGTAGAGTGGACTCACCTCTCTGGTCCCATACCCCAGGTCCAAAAGGTCCAAAAGTTGTAAGGGCCTCGTCAATTAGATTCTTGGTTTCCTCTGGCCTAAATGGAGGGTTGGAGAATGGGCCTGTGTCACCATCAAAGTCAGTGAGCAAGAAAGAAATATTTGCTGCAGCTTCTGGAAGTGAAAGGGGTAATCCTTTCTCCCTGTAGTGTAGCTGGAAACACATCTCTGAAGCCCCTACCTCCATCTCACCATGGTATGAGACCCATGAGAATGAAATCCCATACAGAGGCCAGCAGGAGTGAAAGGCAGAAGAAAACATGTAAATTCTGATCAAGACTTTTCTGAATTCTGTCCTAACTCTGGAGTTTTCAGATACATGGAATTTCATTATGATTAAGCCAATTTGGATGGGAAATTTTGTCACTTATGAAATTTAGTGGCAGGGAACTGATTTGAAATTCTCCTTAGAAGAAGATGGTGAAGAGTGACTAATGATGTCTTTCCCACAGTTTCTGAGTTGATAGGAGAATGGTATCTCTTTCATTAGAAAACCTGTCTATGTCTATGAATTTGTTCTCTGAATTAGAGAAGAAAAATCTTTTGCCTAGGTGAAAAAATGAGAAGTTTTACAAATAACGTGAAAAGCAGTAATAGTGTTGGAAATGTTCGCAGGACTGGAATGGCTGCATCTTATACTCCTAAGTAACCCAACGGGCACTTTAAAATCAGACATGATTAGGAGGACTCCATAATTAGTAAAGTACGATGACCTTCTGCTTTTCAAGCATAAGAAGTGTGTAGTCTTCCCTCCACCCTCGGCTCTTTCGTCCTTCTGACAAAGAATACCCTTGTTCTCAGCACAGGCAGATTCGGAGGCTTGGCTTTCTTCACACACTGACAGGATTTTGTTTATCTTAAGTGAGATATGGACAAAAGGAAACACAAAACAGATGAATGGGCAAAAGTATGAATAAACAACTCCTGCAGCTGAGTAACAGATGGCTGCTGAGCCCTCATGACTAAACAAATTGATCTGCAAGATTTCTGGAAGGAGATACTTGTTAATGTTTTTCTCAAGCAAAAGCTATAGTGATAGAATAAAAATGATCTCATCGCCTTCTGTAAAAACAAAGAAAAGGTTGTTTTAGAGAAGCAAATAAAGGCTTTATTATAAAGTTATCCTTTATTCTCTCATTTGTCATATATTCAACAAACCATTCCTGGGTGCCTTGTATTTGTCAGAAACAGTGGGGTGCTGGGGTTGCCCAGAAAGACAAAATGACCCTCACCTCCCACCCTTGACCCCCATCCTGAAGAATGCTCCCAGGTGAATTGAAGAGAATGCCTTGCAAATACATCAATAATAATATATGCTAGAACAATTCTATAGCAAAGGTATGCGCACATGTTGCAGACAGGAGTATTTGTTGTGAGGCAGGTTAAACATCACAGATGTTAGAAGCACCGTGGCCCGAGATTGAATCTTGAGTGGTTCTGCCCTGACTGACTTAGCTTTTCAGAGCTAATTTTTCTTACAAAATTAGAATAATTATACCTACCCACACCTTCATTGACTCAGGCAACTTTTATGAAATGTAGTCTGTGGTTTTCAGGCACGTGGCACAGAATGAGAGGGCAAAGGAAGAAGTGAGTCCCTCTGTGGGAAGTCCTGAAGGCCCCTACCTTTGCCAGAGGCTGTGCTGGGAACTTCTTAGTGTAGGCAGCTGCAGTTGGAGCTTATATACCTGGGAGCCAGGCTCCTGTGTGAAAATCCCAGCTCTGAGTCGACTATGTGAACTTGGGCAAGTTACTGAACTTCTCTGTGCCTAAAGTTCCTCATTTGACAAATGAGGATAACAATACAGGTTGAGTATTCCTTATCCAAAATGCTTGGGACCATCAGTGCCTCAGGTTTCAGAATTTTTTTAATTTTGGAATATTTGAATATACATAACAAGATCTCTTGGGGAAGAGACCCAAGTTTAAACACAAAATTGATTTATGTTTCATATACGTCTTATAAACATAGCCTGAATGCAATTTTATATAACACTTTAAATAATTTTGTGCATGAAACAAAGTTTGTGTATGTTGACCCATCACATGATATTAGGTGTGGAATTTTACGCATGTCATGTCAGTGCTCAGAAAGTTTCAAATTTTGGATTTTGAGATTAGGGATGCTCATTCTGTAGTAAGAGTTTTACTGAGTTATGACAATAAAATGAACTAATAATACATGTAGAGACGTCAGTACAGGGCCTGACACATAGTATTCTCTAAAGAACAGTATTTGTGATATCATGATTTATTTATGATGATAAAATGAAATAACATGTAAAGTACAGAATAAGGCTCCTGACACATTAAACAAACGGTTAGTAAATATTTGTTTTATTTGTTTTGGTGGAGTAAATCAGCACAGCATATCATCTTAAACAGCTTTTAATTAAGATGTATTTCTTTAATGAGAAGATAAGCTAAGTATCACATGTGAAAATTAATAAAATTGTCTCACTTTTTATTTGATACTTTTAATATGGAATGAAATAACTGGACTGAATTTTGTCAACCCTAGTCTCTAGTATCTTCTTCCTGGACTTTGCAACAGGATTCATTTTGCGATAGGACAACCCAAGTCTCTCTGCTGCAGATTTACAAAACTAAGTAGCTGACTACACGATTGCATGGGAGACCGTGCAGTGATTTGCAGAACATAAGGTCAATACCCCGCGCTTCTAAGAAATACTCTGCGTGGCTTTGTAGATAGGGGATGGAGCACACGGCATCTTTGGGACACCCATTTTGCTGGAGCCACAGAGAGGGATGGGCCTTGCTGTGTTCTTGTTTTCAGGTTGGCTTTGGAGGGCTGCCCACCAGGGTACTGGTGCATACTTTTCAAAAGACCCCTGTCACTTGAGTTTAGATAATGTTCAAGCAGTTGCTCTGCTGTGGTCAGCAACACTATGTGATAGATTCAACTCCAGAATTGAAGGAATCACCAATTTGCAGGAGTCTCAGGATGAGAGACTTCATAAAGGGAAGGCCTGTGACATTTCAGGAGCACCTCAAGCAGGGCCCCTCACACTGGGAGCATGGTAGGGCTGAGATGCCCAGGCCCAGCTTTTGAGGCAACTAAGCACTTAATTGCTCCTTTAGATTTCATAGCATGAGAAAGACCAGCACACAGGGAGCAACTTGAACTCTTGTGAGGTGTTTAGGACCCCTCCTTTGGATATTGCCATTTTTTTAAGTTCTTTTAAGAAGAGGAGGAAGCACTATGGTCCCCTGCTGCCTCTGTGCCCTTGGCCAAGGACTTGGCACAGTGGGACTACGATAGAGATAGGCTGGATGTAGAGGTGCTACTGAGGACAGTGGAGTAATACTTTTATGGGGTGCCATTCACTTAGCGCTGGGAAAGAAATGTGTCACCCAAAGGAATAAACATGGTTTGGGCAGTGGGAATCCTTAAGACAGCATAGAAATGGCACTGGACTATGAGGCAGGAATTGCTCCAGCTCTGGCTTCATTGGCTAACAGACTCAGGCCCTGAGTGACCCTGGGTGAGCTGTCTTGGCTCCTTTCCTCCTGGCAGGAAATGAAATCCAACTGCCTGTGCTCCCTCGTGTCTCACCAATACACATGGTTCTCAGTGTGATAACAGGTATTGTCTCTCTGCCAAGCTTTTTCTCATATTCCCCTTCCAACACAATCCTAACGCTTTGTTTACTGTTCTCATTTTTTTTTTTTTTTGATAAGAAAAATGAGACTCAGAAAGGATAAGTTCTGGGTCACAGCCATGAATCTAGTGAAGGGGAAAGCTGAGGTTCTCATGGCAGCCCTGAGAACCTCCATGTACTCCTCATGTCTCCCCAGACTGAGCGCAGTAAAAGGAGCTGAATGAGGCTAACTCAAAGGTAATTCACAGTAGATAATGTTTTCCAAAGTCAATTTGATTTTTTCATTTATTTATTTTTGGTGGTGTTGTTTAACAGCTGGCTTAACAAAAGATCTGAGGAAAGGGTCCAGAGAAATCCCCACGATGAGAAACAGTGGGAGTTGCTCTCTGTGAACTGGCAGCTGGTGTCCTTGCCCAGCGACAGAGAGGATAGCCCAGCTGTACCTCATGGCACTGCACTCCCTGCCAGGCAGTGCTCGTCTTCCTTCTGGCCTGCAAGAGCAAGCCCACAGGAAGTGAAATTGGAGAGGCCCCCAGTGCTTTGCTTGGGAAGTCACAGTGAAGACTCACTGTGGGGGCACAGGAATGCAGGCTCCCTCAGGTTTGGCAGCTTCCAGCCTCACAAGTGTTTCACATTGACAGTGAAGCAGAGGTGATGAGAGTGGTCCCTTGACATGATCCCTGATGGCAGACGAAGAACAGTGTTTATTTGTGTACAAAGAACCTCTGCACAGAAGACAAATGTTTCCTTCCCTCATGGTTACAATTAGAGAGGAGGAAGGTGATTTTGGAAAACAAAGTTATATATTTTTACTTATTTCAAAACACTATGTTGATACCATAAATATATGCAATTTTTATTAATTTTTTAAAAAGCCAAAAACTATTCAGTGTTATTATCAACAACCCCCTTTAACTGTGGACACAAAACATGTGGTAAAGATTTGTGTTTTAAAGATACCAGATGTTGCATACCATAAATACATGCAATTTTTATTAATTTTTTAAAAAGCTAAAAACTATCCAGTGTTATTATCAACAACCCCGTTTAAATGTGGACACAAAACATGCAGTAAAGATTTGTGTTTTAAAGATACCAGATGGAAATGCATATTTCATTGTATTTGGAAGTTTTTCTTTTCTCTCTCCATGTTCACTCATTCATTCATTTATAAACATGTAATGAGAATCTACTCTGTACCAAGCTCTGTGCTATATGCTACGGATGTAAGAATGGAATTGTTCTTCCTACCACTGCTGGGCAAGTAAATAAATACAATGTAGAAGACATTTGCTAAAATGGGGTATATTCTTTGGAACAGCCTAACGGGTGTGAACAACCTCAGAATTTCAATGCCTTGTTGTGTGCCTGGCCCGTCAGCCTGAGGTAGCTAATAGCAGGGTCCAGGGCTTTGCAGGGCACTACCATTCTGGGCCTAAGCTCTTTCCACCTCCAGGTTTCCCCTTCCTCTGTGTCCTCAGAACCCTCTCCTCCCTGTTAGCGGATAGACAGAGAGAGGGAGAATTGCTTTAAGGAGATTTTTAAGGGCCTTTCCTAGAAATGGCACAGATGACATCTACTCCCTTTCCTTTAGCCAGATTTCAGTTATGTGGCCACACCGAGATGCCAGGAAGAGTAGAAAATATAAATGGGATGTATGTTCAGGAGAACTTGGATATTGGTGTGCACTAGGGACACAGACATAGAGTTATGTTCAAGGACAGAAGTCTTAATTAACAATTCCCCTGTTTTAAAAAGATGAATGGTTACATTGACTGATGCCTACACAGTGAGTTATGGACCTGATAACCATAGCTGATATGATGATCTTATGAATATTATATATATATTTTTAATTTAATTTAACTTTTTATTATACTTTAAGTTCTGGGGTACATGTGCAGAACATGCAGATCTGTTACATAGGTATACATGTGCCATGGTGGTTTGCTGCACCCATCAACCCGTCATCTACATTAGATATTTCTCCGAATGCTATCACTCCCCCAGCCCCTCACCCCCTGACAGACCCCAGTGTGTGGTGCCCCCTCTTCGTGTCCATGTGTTCTCATTGTTCAGCTCTCACTTATGAGTGAGAACATGTGGTGTTTGGTTTCCTGTTCTTGTGTTAGTTTGCTGAGAATGATGGTTTCCAGCTTCATCCATGTCCCTGCAAAGGACAGGAACTCATCCTTTTTTATTGCTGTATAGTATTCCATGTGTATATGTGCCACATTTTCTTTACCCAGTCTATCATTGATGGGCATTTGGGTTGGATCCAAGTCTTTGCCATTGTAAATAGTGTTATAGTAATCACACGTGTGCATATGTCTTTATAGTAAAATGATCTCTAATCCTTTGGGTATATACCCAGTAATGGGATTGCTGTGTCAAATGGCATTTCTAATTCTAGATCCTTGAGGAATTGCCACACTGTCTTCCACAATGATTGAACTAATTTACACTCCCACCAACAGTGTAAAAGTGTTCCTGTTTCTCCATATCCTCTCCAGCATCTGTTGTTTCCTGACTTTTTATTGATTGCCAAACTAATTGGCATGAGATGGTATCTCATTGTGGTTTTGATTTGTATTTCTCTAATGACCAGTGATGATGAGCTTTTTTTCATATGTTTGTTGGCTGCATAAATATCTTCTTTTGAGAAGTGTCTGTTCATATTCTTTGCCCACTTTTTGATAGGGTTTTTTTTTTCTTGTAAATTTGTTTAAGTTCCTTGTAGATTCTGGATATTAAACTTTTGTCAGATGGATAGATTACAAAAATTTTCTCCCATTCTGTAGGTTGCCTGTTCACTGTGATGATCATTTCTTTTGCTGTGCAGAAGCTCTGTAGTTCGATTAGATCCTATTTGTAAATTTTGGCTGTTGTTGTAATTGCTTTTGGTGGTTTAGTCATGAAATATTTGCCCATGCCTATGTCCTGAATGGTATTGCCTAGGTTTTCTTCTAGGGTTTTTATGGTTTTAGGCCTTATGTTTAAGTCTTTAATCCATCAGTAGTTAAGTTTTGTACAAGGTGTAAGGAAGGGATCCAGTTTCTGTTTTCTGCATATGGCTAGCCAGTTTTCCCAACACCATTTATTAAATAGGGAATCCTTTCCCCATTGCTTGTTTTTGTCAGGTTTGTCAAAGATCAGATGGTTGTAGATGTGTGGTGTTATTTCTGAGGCCTCTGTTCTATTCCATTGGTCTCTATATCTGTTTTGATACCAGTACCATGCTGTTTTTGTTACTGTAGCCTTGTAGTATCGTTTTGAAGCCAGGTAGCGTGATGCCTCCAGCTTTGTTCTTTTTGCTTAGGATTGTCTTGGTTATATGGGCTGTTTTTTGGTTCCATATGAAATTTAAAGTAGTTTTTTCCAGTTCTGTGAAGAAAGTCACTGGTAGCTTGATGGGAATAGCATTAAATCTATAAATTACTTTGGGCAGTATGGCCATTTTCATGGTGTTGATTCTTCGTATCCATGAGCAAGGAATGATTTTCCATTTGTTTGTGTCATCTCCTATTTCCTTGAACAGTGGTTTGTAGTTCTCCTTGAAGAGGTCCTTCACATCACTTGTAAGTTGTATCCCTAGGTATTTTATTCTCTTTGTAGCAATTGTGAATGGGAGTTCACTCATGATTTGACTCTCTGTCTATTATTGGTGTATAGCAATGCTTGTGATTTTTGCACATTGATTTTGTATCCTGAGATTTTGCTGAAGCTGCTTATCAGCTTAAGGAGATTTCGGGCTGAGACGATGGTGTTTTCTAAATATACAATCATGTCATCTGCAAACAGAGACAATTTCATTTCCTCTTTTCATAACTGAATACCCTTTATTTCTTTCTCTTGCCTGATTGCTCTTGCCAGAACTTCCAATATTCTGTTAAATAGGAGTGGTGAGAGAGGGCTTGTGCTGGTTTTCAAAGGGAATGCTTTAAGTTTTGGCCCATTCAGTATGATACTGGCTGTGGGTTTGTCATAAATAGCTCTTATTATTTTGAAATACGTTCCATCAATACCTAGTTTATTGAGAGTTTTTAGTATGAAGGGATGTTAAATTTTGTTGAAGGTCTGTTCTGCATCTATTGAGATAATCATGTGTTTTTTATCATTGGTTCTGTTTATGTCATGGATTATGTTTATTGATTTGTGTATGTTGAACCAGCCTTGCATCCCAGGGTTGAAGCCAACTTGATCATGGTGGATAAGCTTTTTGATGTGCTGCTGGATTCTGTTTGCCAGTATTTTATTGAGGATTTTTGCATCAAAGTTCATCTTGGATGTTGGCCTGAAATTTTCTTTTTTGGTTGTGTCTCTGCCAGGTTTTGGTATCAGGATGAGTTAGGAAGGAGTCCCTCTTTTTCTATTGCTGAAAGAGTTTTAGAAGGAATGGTACCAGCTCCTCTTTGTACCTACGGTAGAATTCGGCTGTGAATCTGTCTAGTCCTGGGCTTTGTTGGTTGGTAGGCTATTAATTACTGCCTCAGTTCTATTCAGGGATTCGACTTCTTCCTGGTTTAGTCTTGGGAGGGTGTATGTGTCCAGGAATTTATCCATTTCTTCTAGATTTTCTAGTTTATTTGTGTAGAGGTACTTTATTCTCTGATGGTTGTTTGTATTTCTGTGGTATCTATGGTGATATCCCCTTCATTATTTTTATTGCATCTATTTGATTCTTCTCTGTTTTCTTTTTTATTAATCTGGTAAGCAGTCTATCTATTTTGTTGATCTTTTCAAAAAACCAGCTCCTGGATTCATTGATGTTTTTGAAGAGTTTTCCGTGTCTCTATCTCCTTCAGTTCTTCTCTGATCTTAGTTATTTCTTGTCTTCTGCTAGCTTTTGAATTCGTTTCTTCTTGTTTCTTTAGTTCTTTTAATTGTGATGTTAGGGTGTCAATTTTCAATCTTTCCTGCTTTCTTGTGGGCATTTAGTGCTATAAATTTCCCTCTACACACTGCTTTAAACGTGTCCCAGAGATTCTGATACATTGTGTCTTTGTTCTTTGTTCTTTGGTTTCAAAGAACATCTTTATTTCTGCCTTCATTTCTTTAATTACCCAGTAGTCACTCAGGAGCAGGTTGTTCAGTTTCCATGTAGTTGTGCAGTTTTGAGTGAGTTTCTTAATTCTGAGTTCTAATTTGATTGCTATGTGGTCTGAGAGACTGTTTGTTATGATTTCTGTTCTGTTGCATTTGTGGTCAATTTTAGAATAAGCGAGATGTGGAGCAGAGAAGAATGTATATTCTGTTGATTTGGGGTGGAGAGTTCTGTAGATGTCTATTAGATCTGCTTGATCCAGAGCTGAGTTCAAGTCCTGGATTATCCTTGTTAATTTTCTGCCTCATTGATATGTCTAACATTGACAGTGGTGTGTTAAAGTCTCCCATTTTTATTGTGTGGGAGTCTAAGTTTCTTTGTAGGTCTCTAAGAATTTGCTTTATGAATCTGGGTGCTCCTGTATTGGGTGCATATATATTTAGAATAGTTAGCTGTTCTTGTTGCATTGATCTCTTTACCATCATGTAATGGCCTTCTTTGTCTCTTTTGATCTTTGTTGATTTAAAGTTTGTTTTACCAGAGACTAGGATTGCAACCTCTGCTTTTTTCTGCTTTCCATTTGCTGGGTAAATCTTCCTCCATCCCTTTATTTTGAGTCTATATGTGTCTTTGCACGTGACATGGGTCTCCTGAATACAGCACACTGATGGGTCTTGACTCTTTATCCAATTTGCCAGTCTGTGTCTATTAATTGGGGCATTTAGCCCATTTACATGTAAGGTTAATATTGTTATTTGTGAATTTGATCCTGTCATTATGACACTAGTTGGTTATTTTGTCCATTAGTTGATACAGTTTCTTCATTGTGTTGATGGTCTTTACAATTTGGTGTGTTTTTGCAGTGGCTGGTACCGGTTGTTCCTTTCCATGTTTAGTGCTTCCTTCAAGATCTCTTGTAAGGAAGGCCTGATGGTGACAAAATCTCCCAGCATTTGCTTGTCTGTAAAGAATTTTATTTCTCCTTTGCCTATGAAGTTTAGTATGGCTGGATATGAAATTCTGGGTTGAAAATTATTTCCTTTAAGAATGTTGAATATTGGCCCCCACTCTCTTCTGGTTTGTATGGTTTTTGCATAGAGATCTGCTGTTAGTCTGATGGGCTTCCCTCTGTGGGTAACCCAACCTTTCTGTGTGGCTGCCCTTAACATTTTTTCCCTCATTTCAACCTTGGTGAATGTGACAATTATGTGTCCTGGTTGCTCTTCTGGAGGAGTATCTTTGTGGTGTTGTCTGTATTTCCTGAACTTGAATGTTGGCCTGCCTTACTAGGTTGGGGAAGTTCTCCTTGATAATATCCTGAAGTGTGTTTTCCAACTTGGTTCCATTCTCCCCGTCACTTTCAGGTACACCAATCAAACATATATTTGGTCTTTTCACATAGGCCCATATTTCTTGGAGGCTTTGTTCATTTCTTTCCTCTATTTTCTCTAATTTTGTCTTCTAGCCTTATTTCATTGAATTGATCTTCAATCTCTGATGTCCTTTCTTCCGCTTTTTCACTTTGGCTATTGATACTTGTGTATGCTTCACGAAGTTCTTGTGCTGTGTTTTTCAGTTCGATCAGGTCATTTATGTTCTTCTCTGAACTGGTTATTCTAGTTAGCAATTCATCTAACCTTTTTTCAAGGTTCTTAGCTTCCTTGCATTGGCTTAGATCATGCTCCTTTAGCTCAGAGGAGCTTGTTACTACCTACCTTCTGAAGCCTACTTCTGTCAATTCATCAAACTCATTGTCCGTCCATTTTTTTTTCCCTTGCTGGCATGGAACTGTGATCCTTTGGATGAGAAAAGGCATTCTGGTTCTTGGAATTTTCAGCCTTTTTGCAATGGTTTCTCATTGTGGATTTATCTACCTTTATTCTTTGATGTTGGTGACCTTCTGATGGGGCCTTTGAGTGGACGTCCTTTTTGTTGTTGTTGATACTCTTCCTTTCTGTTTCTTAGTTTTCCTTCTAAAAGTCAGGCCCCCTTGCTGCAGGTCTGCTGGAGTTTGCTGGAGGTCCACTCCAGACCCTGTTAACCTGGGTATCACCAGTGGAGGCTGCAGAACAGCAAAGATTGCTGCCTATTCCTTCCTCTGGAAGCTTCGTCTTAGAAGGGCACCTGCCAGATGCCAGACAGAGCTCTCCTGTATGAGGTGTCTGTTGGCCCCTACTGGGAGGTGTCTCCCAGTCAGGATACATGGGGGTCAGGGACCCACTTGAGGAGGCAGTCTGTCCCTTATCAGTGGGACACTTGAACACTGTGCTGGGAGATCTGCTGCTCTCTTCAGAGCTTTCAGGCAGGGACATTTAAGTCTGCTGAAGCTGTGCTCACAGCACTCTTTCCACTAGGTGCTCTGTCTCAGGGAGATGGGGTTTTTTTCTATAAGTCCCTGATGGGACTGCTGCCTTTCTTTCGGAGGTATCTTGCCCAGAGAGGAGGAATCTAAAGACGCAGCCTGGCTGCAGTGGCCTTGCTGAGCTGCGGTGGGCTCCACCCAGTTTGAACTTCCCAGCAGCTTTGTTTACACTGTGAGGGTAAAACTGCCTACTCAAGCCTCATCAATGGTGGACGCCCCTCTGGCACCAAGCTCGATCGTCCCAGATTGACCTCACACTGTTGTGCTAGCAGCAAGAATTTCAAGCCAGTGAATCTTAGCTTGCTTGGCTCCATGGGGGTAGAGGCTCCCTGGCTTCAGCCCCCTTTCCACAGGAGTGAACGGTTCTGTCTCACTGGCGTTCCAGGTGCCACTGGTGTGTGTGTGTATATATCTATAGAACTCCTGCAGCTAGCTCAGTGTCTGCCCAAATGGCTGCCCAGTTTTGTGCTTGAAACCCAGGGCCCTGGTGGCATAGGTACCAGAGGCAATCTCCTGGTCTGTCAGTTGTGAATCTCCTGGTCTGTCAGTTATGAAGACCATGGGAAAAGCACAGTATCTGGGCCAGAGTGCACTGTTCCTCTCAGTACAGTCCCTCACAACTTCCCTTGGCTAGGAGAGGGAGATCCCCCGACCCTTATGCTTCCTGGGTGTGGTGACACCCGACCCTGCTTTGGCTCACCCTCCATGGGCTGCACCCTCTGTCCAACCTATCCCCATGAGATGAACCTGGTACCTCAGTTGAAAATGCAGAAATTCCCTGCCTTCTGTGTTGGATCTTGCTGAAAGCTGTAGACCGGAGCTATTCCTATTGTCATCTTGCCAGCACCCTCTGGGCTATTATATATTTTGTGGTTATTATAATCCAGTAACCAAGCTGATCATGACAATTCTGCTTCTAGTGGGCACACTCACACTCTCAGCTTTTCTTGCAGCTACAGCAATGAGATGTAAGTGGCTATCTAATGAGGTTGCCTGAGAAAAGAATTTCTTTCTAATAAAGTGGCAGGTCTGGGAAGCAAGCTTGCTGGTGTGGCCTCTTCCCTTGCTTCTTGCATTTGAATATGGTGTGAGGATCAACAGTTGGAACCATGGCAGCCATTTTGAGATAACAGAGCAACAGCATGAGAAAAAAATTAGATAACCACATGAACTGGTTTGTCCAGCACAGTCCCAGTGACCCCTGCTGCCCCAGTATAATTATTAACAATGGCCCCTCTCTAAATTCAAAAGTGTCCTGGATTAGACAATAAACTGTATGGTCAGTTTAGGAAAAAGCTTCAGATTCTGAAGCTGATAGAGAAGGAAGAGTGATAGTATCAACCTGTAGAGTGACTGACCCAGCCCCAGAGGCCAAACTTCCAGTTTCTATTTTAAGTAACACCAAATACCTCATGTTTAAGCTTATGTTAGCCCAATTTTGGGTACTTTCATCTAAAATCTTTCCTTACTGATACCCTTATCTTTAACTTAGGGATTTTGGAGTCGGATTAGAGCTTGACCATTACTTTCAAATGAAAGCCTTTTAAAGTTCTGAAAATTTTGGGTAAGTTTTCTCTCACTCTCTCTCTCTCTCTCTCTTTTTTTGTAATTCATAAATTGGCACGGTACTTACTAAAATGCTGCACAGAAGGCTTGTTTTGTGATATTTCCAATAGGGACCAGAAGTGGGAGTGTCAAAACTCTCACCAGAAAGCCTGCTATGGATGTGCTCCCCAAGCTGCCAGCCCCAGGTGGTTTGGAAAGTGTAAGAGGTATAAAAACACTTCCCTCCATTTATCTGATTCACTCAACTTAACAACCCAACTTTTAGGGTTTCACCTTTTCCCAGCAACAGTATGCTTTTTAGAAATCTTTAATGGCTTAAATTGTAACTTTCCCTTTCATTTCGTTGTAAATACAGACTAAATTGTCAGAGAAATTAGGACCAGAATCCTAGAGGAAAATGTAACACTCCTGTCTGTCAAATATGAAAAGATTTATTGGTCAGGACCATATATGATGAAAAAGGAGTGCCAAACATCACATTAAGGCTTTCCGGAAAAATGAAATTTCAGGAGAGCTAAAAGTATGCTATTAAAAGCATTTAAAGTTAAGGGACCAATTTGTAGAATTAATTGCATTATAAATTTTATCTCTGCACTCTGGCACAGTGTCATATTACAAAGGGCCCCCCTCACACTCCACCTCCTTCCACAGGACAGCTGGGCCACAGAATGATCCCATTATGACCTGATTCATTAAAACTAATTGCCGACTTCTAGACAACTTGCTATATGTAGTTACAATATTTTGGATAAATTTTAGATAAATTTCTAACATGATCAACAGGTATTTTTCAAACATGTTTTCCTCAGATGTTTCATTTTCCGAATACTCATCTTCGGGTACTTAATTCCACATGTTTGTTATTGCTTCTTTCAATAATCAACAGCTCTCAGATCTGAACACATCCTAGAAATGCTGGTCCCTTCCCCAACAATATTTATCCTTGGACTTCCCATGGGGCTTCTACAATGCTATGCTAATGGATCTTCTTTTACTTTTACCCACTTAGGTCACTAATAAGATGTTCCATCAGACCTTCTTATAATCAACTCTCCACAGAGCAGCCAGAATGATTTTTCTCAAAGACCAACTAAATCCAAACCTGCCCTGGGCTAGAATCCTCCAGCTTCTTCATGGCTAGTAAGGCAGGGCCTGAACCCCACTTCCCACTTGTCAAGGCTGGCAAATCTCCTCCTGATCTGGCCCTTTTCTATTAATCCAGCCTCCATGCCTCCGACCCCACACCTGAGCCTTGCCCCAGCTATAAGAAACTCCTTTTACTCCCTGACTTGAGTGATGCTCCCTCTCCCCTCCATGACCTCTGGGACCCTGTACTTCATATTCCTTCCGTATGAAATATTGTTCTCTGCCTCTCACCCCACCACCCCACAACCACTGCTTGCATTGACTATGCCTATTTAACCTCCGGATCTCAGTGTTAATGTCACTTTACCTGGAAAGCCTTCTTTAACCTGGAATTCTGTTAGGTGACCCTTGTAGGCACTTCTAGCCTTCCCCCATCAGCACTTAGTACACTGTATGGAGATTTCCCACTTACCTGTTTAGATTTTCCACTAAACTGTGAGATCTATGAGGATACACAATGGGCATCATGACAACCACCCCTGGCCCCTGCCTAAGATGCCCATATTCTAATTCTAAAAACTGGGAGTATGTTACGTTACATGACAAAGGGAAAGTAAGGTTGCAGATAGAATCAAGGCTGCTAATGAGTTAATTTTAAGATAGGGAAATTATTCTAGATTGTCCAGGTGGGCCCAATGTAAGAAGAGAGGGATAGAAGAGGAGATTCAGAGAGAGATGTGACTACGGAATAATGGTCAGGGAGAGGCAATGTTGCTGGCTTTGAAGATGGAGGAAAGGGCCACAAGATAGAACATGTGGACAGCCTGTAGAAGCCGGAAAAGATGAAGAAGTGGGTTCTCCCCTACTTTCTCCCCTACTCTCTAGAAAAGGGCATGGCCCTGCCAACACCAGATACAAGCCCAGCGATGCACATGTCAGACTTCTAACCTACAGAACGGTCAAGTCATAAATTTATGTTATTTTCAGTAACTAAGTTTGTGGTAATTTTTGTTACAGCAACAGAAAACAAATACACATAGAAAAGTTTTCTCTCTTGTTCACAGCTATAGTGTAAGTTCTATAAGAGTCCCAGAAACGTGACAAGTGCTTGATAGCCATTTGTTGAGTGGAAGAACGGGAAGTCAGGCCCGGGAATAGCTCTTGAGGAATACTCTGCCTGGGTAAATGTCACTGCCTTCCTCCAGTCATCCTGCCCACAAAAGAGGATTTTCTATTGTCCACTTATTTCCCTCTTCTCTTTCTTGCTAAAGTGGAGTGTATTTTTCTAATTGGAAAATAGATTAGGACTATCCATACCCTAAATGTAGTAAGACAGAGAAAGATAAGAGACTGTGCCAGGTGAATTTTGGAATCCAAAAGAGTATAGAACAGCAGAAAGGTATAACAGTACTGAAACATCAGATAAGGACTTTTGATAGGTGTTATTTGGAGTTATGAATTAGATCCACTTTAATGTTCTTTGTAAGAAAAAAAGCCAAAATAGTATTATTTAAAAATCATTATGGCTACTAAATAGCATATTTTTAAATGCAGCTCTCTGTAAAGACTGTTATTTGGGTGTTCTACATTTATTAGGGTTACATTTCTTCGGACATCAGAGCATTCTGATACAGACTTACTGTTAAATCTATTTTGGGTGCATGAAGATTAAGCAAAATATATATGTCTCTGTCAACTGAACGGTATGTTTTTCACCAGGTAATTGAACTAATGGGATACAAATAAATACATATGTTCTTGGCTTATCAAATTCAAAATAATGTGTAGCCATGCTGGGATCTATCTGGATAACTATGGAATTCTTCATTATAGCAGAAGAGTTCTCAGAAATATTATATCCCAGGGTATCAAAAAACCCTGGAGAAGTTTAGCTTGATTGCTGTTACAATTGTCTTACATGTTTGTTGGTGGCTTTTTTTCCTTCTGCAAAGTTTAATTCAAGTAAAAAGAAGCTTTATTTAATTAGCAGCATTTCAATAAGAAGATATTTTGTATACTACATTTATAACCAGTCAAAATCTAGCTGCAAATAAGCTAAAAATAAAAAGAAATGCTTAAAAAATTTCCTAGTATTTTGGAACTTAAGAAAAATGAGAGGAAAAAAGTTGCCTTGGATTCTAAAGAGGAAACAGTAGATATTTCCCCCAAATTCCTAGATCATAGAAAAACAACAACAACTAATAATATTAAATTGTAAGCCTGGAGAAAATTTATAACATCCATTTTTGTACATCATTTGCTAAATTGGACAAGAGTGCTAAAATGCCGACACTGAAGGTTTTTTTTTTTTTTTTTTTTGAGATCAAAGTCTCTATCTGTTGCCAAGGCTGGCGTGCAGTGGCGATCTTGGCTTACTGAAGCCTCTGCCTCCCGGGTTCAAGCGATTCCCCTGCTTCAGCCTCCCGAGTAGTTGGGACTATAGGCATGTGCCACCATGCCTGGCTAATTTTTTTTGTACTTTTAGTAGAGATGGTGTTTGATGATGTTAGCCAGGACTGTCTCTATCTCCTGACCTCATGAGCTGCCCGCCTCGGCCACCCGAAATGCTGGGATTATAGGTGTGGGCCACCGCAGCTGGCCAAAGGTTGGTTTTAAAAGACAAAATTAACTGTCATCATCATAACAAGGCTGACTGAATAGTTATATTTCATGTGGGAAAGGCACCAGGTGCCAGGAGCAAAGCTAAGGCCATGTCTGCAATGCCTCACACCAATGACACAAAGTGATATGAATATGTAAATAAGTTTCCTGAAATTTATCTTCCAAGAAACGTTGGGCCTTATTAATGCATTAACCACTGAAAATACAGAGTTTATAATACACATTTTAAAGTTCACAGAACTTAATTTAGTAGCTAAATCCACTTTTTATCTCTCTTCCTTAAATCTGCACTAAGGAGTAAATTGGGAATAACTTAAGCTTGTTTGATAATTTGCAAATGCCTGTTTTCAAAGCTGCATTTATTACTGTGAAAATATAGTATGTACATGATAAAAACACAAAATAGCAAAGAAAAGTATATAATAAAAATGCATTATCAAAATTATAATTTATTATTATTATTTATTAATGCTTGACACCATCACAAAACTATCCAAAAGGGGATTGTCGTATTTAATTAACAACTCAGACAGCTGTTTCCTTAGTGTCCAACATAGAGCTTGGCATATTATGGCCTCTGCTATGGCCTGAACATTGGTGTCCTTTTTTTTTTTTTTTTTTTGAGGCAGAGTCTCGCTCTGTCCCCCAGCCTGGAGGGCAATTACCCGAGCTTGGCTCACTGCAACCTCTGCCTTCCAGGTTCAAGTGATTCTTCTGCCTCAGCCTCCCGTGTAGCTGGGATTACAGGCGCCTGCCACACACTCAGCTAATTTTTGTACTTTTAGTAGAGACGATTGGGTTTCACCAGGTTGGCTGGGCTGGTCTCGAACTCCTGACCTCTGATGATCCACTAGCTTCAGACTCCCAAAGTGCTGGGATTTTACAGGCATGAACCTCCGTGCCCGGACTGGTGTCCTTCAAAATTCATGCTAGAACCTAATACCCAGTGTGATAGGGTTAAGAAGTGGGGCCTTTGGGAAGTGATTAAGTCATCATTTAATGAAGCTCCTCCCTTATGAATGGGATTCTTGCTCTTATAAGAGATGCTTCAGCAAAATCCCTTGCTCCTTCTGCCATGTGAGGATGCAGCAAGGCACCATCTATGAAACAGAAGGCAAGCCCTCACCAGACACAAAATTTGCTGGTGCCTTAGTCTTGGACTTTCCAGCCTCCAGAACTCTGAGCAATACATTTCTGTTGCTTAGAATTATCCAGTTTAAGGTATTTTGTTATAGCAGCTTAAACTGACTAAGACAGGCTCTCAATAAATAATTATTGATTTAAAACATTAAAGGAAATGTAAATCAGCCTGACATAGGTTCGAGTCTACAGATAAGACATTTTGTTAAATGAGCATCATGGCTAAGAAAATGCCATGAATTGCAGCAGAAACTTCACTAGAATTCAGAGTGGTACCCAGGCTGCATAACCTCAGTCTAGTTTTCCTTAATTTAATTTAAATTATTTCCCTAATAACCTCCAAAGCAAGATTCCCTCATGACATCCAGATTAAAGAGCTCTGCAGGGCTTCATATCTCCTACCCCAAACTAAATGCATCCAACATTCCCAACTCAATCACCAGTTTCAGGTGTAGAGAGGAAATAATAAAGGACCAAATATAAAGACAGGATAAGAATAGTTTCTTTCTCTTCTCCACAACTTCCATTTCTGTTTCTTTCACTCATTCTTTCAGTTCAACATTGAGTTTCTGCTATGGACCAAGCATTGTTCTTGGGACTAGGAGCAAAATGGTGGCTATCACATTGCCCCTTCTATGAAAATGTTCTTCATATCAATTCAGCATGGCCAGTTGAAAACAGAAACAGCTGAAATGCAGTGAGTAACTGAGAACACAGAGCAGATTAATTGATTTTTTGCTCCAGAAGGAGAAGAGTTAGGAATTCTCTTTTACATTGTCTTATGATTTATCATTCCTTCTGTTGGAGATTTTATGCTAAAAATAAAAATAATCTTCTCCCATTTTCCATATACAAGGCAATATTAATACTATTTGCAATCCAAACTTTGACCTTTGTTTCTTATAATCTTGTGCACATGGCTCCAAGCCTCTATAAATAGTGAATTCAAAGCCCAGATGTTGCTGGGTATCCTTTGCACAGCCTTATCCTGAGCAGATAAATTTTGCATTAGATTTCTTATAGCATCTCTACATTGTCCTGCCTTTTGTCTCTTAAATCACGTCTCTTAATTAACATTACCATTGCCTTATGTATATAAGTTTTTCTTATAAGTAAAATCCTTCCTTGAAATTTTTTGTCTAGAATGTTATTTGTTCCAAGTTTTTTTGTACTAAACCCTACTTTGTTATTTTTGAATGCCTTTTCTCTTTGGCTTCTTTAAAAAGTTGTCACATTATAAGAAACACATTAAGATGAAATTTGAAACTTTTCTTCTTGCACAAAAATATTGTACTATTGCTTTCTTCTTGTTGAGGATTGGCCTTTGACAAAAGAAAATAAAATGAATAATTTCTGGTCACTAGAACAGCTACAGAAAAATCATAAATCACTGAAGTTTTATTTTTTAATTAACTGGGCAAGTATTATTTTGTGCCTTTTCTGTGCAAGAATGAAGTATTCCCAGCCCCACTTCTCAGAGTTCTGTTTGTCTCCCATGGCTTTATAAAATTCTTCAAGCAATCTACTTCCTCATATTTTATTCCCTTCTTCCTATCAAAAGCTGCTAAAAGCAACTAAAAATTGCCTCTACTAAGATGTCAGTGAGTGATAACAGCTTGAATTTATAATCCATCTCACATGTATTTTAATTTCAAAATGGATAAAAGCCATAAGCAAAAGTGACAAAGCCAAGACAATATTATTTCAGACATTATCAGATAGAGAAGGCTTTCTGTGAAGGAGGAGGGCAAATCATCTCAACACCCTTGCAATGACGCTGTGTGGATATCATCAGTTCTTTCTAGTTGTCTTGACTCCTCAGTGGATAACTTCCAATGTGCAAATTGGATTTACTTGATGTGTACAACTTGCTCAAATTTTTCTGACATCATTGGGTGACCTCTACTGCATGCTTCCTGCATGCATGTATGTAAATGATAGCCAAATGAGAACTTGTGAAAAGATGATAAGAGAAAAAGATCAATAACACACTAGAGTGTTACGAAAACAGCCCAACTTTGCTCATCTTTTTAAATTCTCTTGCCCCTGTCTGGAATGTCATTATTTGCTTCATTTTTAAAATCATCTCCTTCTTCATGTCTCAAGTCTTGACCCTTTATAAAAGTCTTCTGTCTCCACCAGTCTATTAAGTTTGGTGCTCTCTGCTCCTTGTTTGAGCTCCCAGAACCACGCTGTGCATATCTTTATTTTAGTATCTGTAACATTGCATCCTATCAACCATTTTCTTATTTACCTCTGCCACTTCATTCTTTCTGTACATTCATAATCTTGTAAAACATCCTTGGAACCTAGTGGTTTAAGACATCTTTATTAAATAAATGCTAGGATGGAATTAGGAAAAGGGGACTTTGAGAATTGTCATTAGGGAATATTCTACATGAAGTTGATCTAATCAACTGTTTTGATAATCAGCTTACATTCCAAAGGTTATTATGAATTCTACAAACTGCAGATAAGTTTCACAGAATGGAGGAGTTCTTCAAAAACCATTTGCTTGTCAGGTGTTTTGAAAACTAAAGAAATTCAAAATAAATGAAAACTTGTAGAAATTTTGGATAATTCTAAGGTTCTATACAAATTGCCTGTTAGCAGGCAATTAACTTGTTCTATTGTCATAGAACAATACCAAAGGGCAACAAGTGAAAAATGTACTTTGTCACTGATATGGTGTGGCTCTTTGTCCCCACCCAAATCTCATCTGGAATTATAATCCCCACATGTCAAGGGAGGGACCTGGTGGGAGGTGATTGGATCATGGTGCCAGTTTCCCCCATACTGTTCTTGTGATAGCCAGGGAGTTCTCATGAGACATGATGATTTTAAAAGTGGCAGTTTCTCCTGAGCTTTCTCTCTCTCTTTCCTGCCGCAATGTAAGACGTACCTTGCTTCCCCTTCACCTTCTGCCATGATTGTAAGTTTCCTCAGGCTTCCTCAGCCATGTGGAACTGTGAGTCAATTAAACCTCCTTTCTTTATAAATTACTCAGTCTCAAGTAGTATTTTTATAGCAGAGTGAAAACAAACTAATATGGTCACTGGGTAAGTTCCTGGACATTCTGGCAAGAGATAAATTGATTAAATAAAATACTGTGCATTTTTAGTTATATTGACCGGAAAAATGGCTGTTCAAGCTTGACATGAAGGCTACACTAATGAATCTCCTTAAATTCTTTGATACAGATAATAACATTTTTGCACAGTTTATATAGAGCATACCTTCTGTGAACATGAAATATATTGCAATTGGGTCAACAATCTTATGTTCTAGAGTAAAAACAAACTACCTTTGCCTTTTGATTTATAACACTCAAAATTTCAGAAACCATGAACTTGTGAAGACTTCAATATAAGTTTTAAAGTCTCATGTTTTAAAAGCTAAGGTTGTGGAGAACTCTATCTTATCTATGTATACCAGACTGCTCTCCAGGTATGTTTGTATCTCTTCATTTTGCTCAGTATATGCTAATACTGGCTTGATGTTGGCTTGATATCCACTGAGTATTTTCTCCCTACATCAGTGCTCAAACATTGTCCATAGTATTAAAACTCCTGGTTATTCATGTAGAATCCCTTCATTTTTAACTGTTCTCATCTTTTACTCAGCTGCTACTTATTATATTTTGTCTTCTTATATATAATTATATTATATATAATAAATATGATATGTATATTATATAACTATATTAACATTATAATTATTTTTAATATTCTTATATATTATATATTCATATTCATAAATAAATATATGAAGAAGTTTATTATAAGGAATTAGCTTATGTGATTATGGAGGCTGACAAGTCCAAGATCTGCAGGGTGAGTTGGCAAGCTGGACACCAGGAGAGCTCAGAGTACAGTTCCCATTAGAGGGCCAGCAGGCTCAAGACAAAGAAAGGGCCTATGTTTCAGTTTGAATGTGAAGGCAAGATAAAAAGATGTCCCAGTTTGAAGACAATAAGACAGAGGAATTATCTCTTACTCAGGAGAGGGGCAGCCTTTTTGTTTGATTTAGGCTTTTAACTGATTGGATGAGGCCCACACACATTAGGGAGGGCAATCTGCTTTTCCCAGTCTATTGACTTGAATGCTAATATCACCCAAAAAGCAACCTCACAAAAACACCCAGAATAACGCTGAACCAAATAGCTGGACACCTAATGGCCCAATCAAATTGATACATACAATTAATCATCATAATCATCATCATTACTTAATCATCAGCAGAATGTATGCCTTGTTAATTCCATAAGATACATTGTCACTACCAAGGAAACCATGGACTGTCCAGGAAATAATAATCTAAAATAACATCACCCTGTTAATGTGATATATTGTGTTTATTGATTTTTGTATGTTTAACCATCTTTGCATTCCTGGGATAGGTCCCACTTGATCAGGGTGAACAATCTGCTTAATGTGTTGTTGAATTTGGTATGCTAGAATTTTGCTGAGGATTTTCACATCTATGTTCATCAGAGATATCGGGCTATATTTCATTTTCTTGTGTTCTTGTCTGGTTTTGGTAACAAGGTAATGCTGGCCTCATAGAATAAGTTTGAAAGTACTGTATTCTCTCCTTTTGCATTTTTTGAAATACTTTGAGTAAAATTGGTATTAGTTCTTTAAATATTTGGGAGAATTCAGCAGTGATGTCATCTGGTCCTGGGCTTTCTTTGATGGGAAACTTTTTATTATGGATTCAATAGCATTACTTGTTCTTGATCTGTTTGGATTTTGTAATTCTTCATAATTCCACGTTGGTAGGTTGTATATGTCCAGGAATGTATTTCTTTCCTCTAGGTTGTCCAATTTGTTGGTGTATAATAGTTCCTAATAGTGTCTTATGACCCTTTGCATTTCTGAGGTATCAGTTATAGTATCTCCTTTTTCACCTCTGATTGTATTTATTTGAGTCTTCTCTCCTTTTTTCTCAGTATGGTTAAAGTTTTATTGAACTTTTTCATCTTTTCAAAAAACAACTCTCATCAACAAAATAATCTTATCATTTGGGGAGAAACAAGTTTGAGGAAAAATATATATTCATGTGACAGATGAGAGACTATATTCCTGAACTAAATGAGAAAAAATCTTGCTAAATATTGAAGAAAGTGGTGTTTGATAATGGGAAGATATATTCAAAATTAAATCTGAAGTCTGTTGAATATTATTTGCTTTCAAAATATTTACTTTAGAAAATTCTTACTCTGTATTATGTCTATTTCTTTGTCTAGAAGTATGAGATATCAAACTTCCTGCAAATTCCAATGGCAAAAATATAACAATATTAAAATAATAGTATTTTAGTTAGAGCTGTATCATAAGTTCACATTTTAATTTAGTGCAAAGAGAAGATGTTTACCCATGAAATGTTTTCTTCTAATGGCAGTTTTTTGTCCTCCTCCCTTTTTTCTTTGGGTCCAATGGCAGAGGGGAAACACTAATTTAAGAAAGGAACTGTGAAGAACTAAAGCCTACTTTGTAAAAGTACAGTGACTTTTGCTTTATAAAATAGAACGCAGACATAAGATTCCAGAGATGTAACGACCTACTTAAATCTGGAGGTAATGTGGCTCTTATGGAGTGGTTATGCTGTTTCATCTGGATCACAGTATTGAAGAGCAGCTATTGAGACAGACAGAAGAGGACTCAAAATGAGGCTTTGACATTTAATTGCTGCAAAATCTTAAGAAGGTGATTTAAGCTCAGTTTTTCTATCTATAAAATGGGGATAATGACCCACAGCTTTCATAAGTGCCTGGAGTAACACGTGCAAACATGGCACTCAATGTCGTGCCTAACAGGGGCTCGGTCATTGGCAATTGTTATTGTATGGACTATATGCTGCTTGAGTGCAGAAATAATTTCAATATTGTTCATTATTTATCTCCATAATCCAGCACATCATATGCATATGGTAAACATTTACTGTTTAAATTAATAAATAATGTTGCAGACCTATAGGAGATTTGAGAAAAGGAAGGAAGAATAACTCTTCATCAGAGCCACACACGAAAATAAAAACTTTTTAGCACAGAAGTCTTGTACAAGATTATCTAAAGAAGGGTTAGCTGAAGGAGTTATGTGTGATAAAGACTGGGCTACATTTATCTCTAGCCAGAGACAAATTCTATCCACTAGTAATGCATCTGAGATTTTATTTATTTTGGAAACACTTATTGAACACCTATAATGTCATGCTGGACCATACTTTGGTGGACATATTTTGATGTCACAAATGTGCCACCAAATCTTGCATGTGTTACTTGAAATTTAATGAATGAACAGAAGTTGGGTTGATTGTTTATGTAAGGTAGTGCCAGCACACTGGGAGGAAGAAGAATGGATTTTGTTCCCTGGAAATCTTTTTAAAACAGGATCTAAATTTGTTTCACTGGAATGACTTAACTCAATCTACTCAAGCTTAGCTAGAAAAATTGGATCTACTTTTGCCTCCGTTACCTGAAAATTGAAATTAGAGTTCAATTTTATGGTCTACACTTTCTACAAGGACTGTTGCCATTATCCAATTCCATTTTCACAATGAAAACACAGGTACCATGTATAATCCCACCTAGAAACAGAGTTTCGTTCACATGTGATTTCTCACACTCCCCTCTGGGAGGGTTGGCAGACTTCTGGTAAATGCCATTTTACTACAACACTAGTGCAGCTGAAATCCAGGCTTTAATACTATTCAGTTTTATTGGGCACAAATTGAAATCCTGCAGTAATTAGGTCAAGGCAACACCAATACTTTACTTGCCTTGGGCTCCATAAGTTAATGGGAAATCTGCCAAAATTTCTGACTGGTAAAGTGTAAAAGGACCATAAAGCTTCCCAGACCAATGTTTTTCAAAGTAGACTTTTTAAAAACGACTTTAAAGGCCTCTTGGGTGTCTTGGTTGGGTATAATGGAAATATTTCATGCTGGATAAAGAAATGAATTTAATTGTGGAGAAAATGTTGCACAGGTGGCTTCTTTGTATAAGTCCCCTGACAAGGTAACAAGTGGATTTAACACTATCTCAATGGTGTTCTAACCAGGCAATAAAGGAGAAGTGGGTTAGATTCTGGAATAGACTGCAAAGTGCGTCTTTTCCATATGAACTAATCATGAAGCAAATGTGTTTGTGTAATGAGAGTGATGAGTATTTGGGGAATAGCCCATTAAAGAATGAGGAGGGAGAAAGTTTGGAAGAGATTTTTGGTGGAAACAGACTTTCTAGACTCTGATTTAGGGTTAGAAACAGAAGGGAGAGCATGAAAGGGAAGGAATGGGTAAGAGAATGCATGTCATAGGAGAAACCCAAGATAACTCTTGCAGGTGGGAAGGATAAGCCAGGCTCAGTTTATTTTTTAAAAAAACCTTTGTTTTTTAGGCATTCACTTGTATACACTATTTACTTAAATTATTTATTAAATTGAGTTATAAGTAATTAAATATAATATCTGATTTTAGAGTGATTGTATCACTTAGATGGCACTGGTAATGTGGGCGCATTCTTACAGGCATTTTGTTCACTGAAAGAGATGAGGCTTCCATCACATAATTGGGGAGGCTGAGGAAAACGGCACCCAAGGAAGCCTGGCAGCAAGGCTGGCCGCCCACTACTACCCGCAGGGCATGTGAATGGGTTAACACAAAACAGGGACAGCTGACTCACTGGCATAGTGAAGAGACTGGAAATGTTTTTTTACAATTTTTCTGCCTTTTGTCTAAACATTTCATATTTTTATCAGGGACTCCCAACTTCTCATGGGCATCTTAGTTCATATACCAACAATATTTAACAACTCACAATCATACTCAAATAGATATAATTTAACAACAGAAAACCCCACAAAGCACATCATAGACTACAGTTCAACATATAAAAATATTTTTTACTGTACAAAAACAGCTCTGTAAGGTTTTGCAGAACACCCTTCTGAGTTGCTCCACTGAGCGAGCTGTCCTCAGAAGCAAGTGTATCAGCAGTAGCTCTGGTCGTCTCTCCACTAACCAAGCTGCAGATCCGGAAGCTGACTTAGTGCCTAGGGCTCTCATGGAGGGTAAGAAAAGCTGCCTCACAATTTTCATAGTCAGGATAAGAAGGCTTTCTGGAACGTGGCTCCTCAGGGTATCTGCCACCTGCTTATATCCCTAAAAAGTTTACATATTGTTCCCTTGGTGACTTTTCCAGATAATATTATATATCCTGGACAATTCTATGGGAATAATGCTTCAAGTCTGTAAAGCAATACAGTATTTATATTTTTGATGACTAGTAATGTGATAGAGTGTTCTTTCTCAGAGTAAGTATAGGTAAGAATCAAATTCTGTACCTTCTTAGCAACTATAGTAGGTAATTTAAATGCCTGACTTTTCAGTGAACTAATTATCGAGGCCTTTTTTTTTGTTGCTGTTGTTTTATAGGTACAAAAAAGGCAAAATTCTTCATAGGTGTTAATTATGTCTTTAATTCTTCTCTAAATTACTGACACCGAGTAATATTGGTCAATAGTCCTTTTTCTGCAAAGTTTTGTTTGTTAATGAAATATAACTTTGAATCAAGTTTCTGTGGTTTATAAGAATTATTAATTTAACCAGTATGGGCAAGGAAAGTTCTA
Organism: Homo sapiens; assembly: GCF_000001405.40. Classification (NCBI taxonomy): domain Eukaryota; kingdom Metazoa; phylum Chordata; class Mammalia; order Primates; family Hominidae; genus Homo; species Homo sapiens. The sequence continues at coordinate 57,680,667 of NC_000008.11, read as the reverse complement.
AGCTAAAGATTTTATAAAGAGGAAAGATTTTATAAAGAGGAAAGATTTTATTACATAGGTATCGGCATTGATCCTTAATTTGTTTTTATTTTTAATCCAGTGCAAAAAAGTGATTTAAGCAGTTACAATCTGACTTTTAAAGTTCCAGATGAGAGATTAGACGTGGTAAATGTGGCTCAACTTTCTTTTTCAATTATATTCTCTCTTGAGGAAAAAAAATCTATTGGAAAAGAAATCATCTCAGGATAAAGTTAATCAAAACCCTACACATGCAAAACAAAGCATTGCATATTTATCATGAGAAAATAATATTAAACTGTATTGAAAAAAATTGCTTTGACTCATTTATTGCTTTATTTTATTTCATTTTATTTCATATTTTGAGACAGGATCTCAATCTGTGAGTGAGTGCACAGGCACCTTCATGGCTCACTATAGCCCTGACCTCCTGGCCTTAAGGGAACCTCCACCTAACCCTTCCCCTTCACTCCCCAGCCCTACAAGTAGCTGGGACCACAGACACACACCACCACGTCCAGCTAATTAAGAAAAAGTTTGTTGTTGCTAGAGGCAGGGTCTCAAACTCCTGGGCTCAAGCTCCAGGCTGGTCTCAAACTCCTGGGCTCAAGCAATCCTCCTGCCTCGGCCTCCCAAAGTGCTAGAATTACAAGAGTGAGTCACTATGCCTGGCCTGTTTTGACTCATTTAACATGTATATATAAGTATTGCTACCCACAATAATTTATGTTTATGGTTGAATTTAAATGTCACCGTTAAGTTGTAAAGAAATTATAGAAAACGGCTAAAAGATGTTCAAGGATACTCACTGAGCCTTGTTATAATAACAAGAATAGAAACATATTCAACTTCAATCAACAGGAGTTTGATTAAATATTAAATGCATCTATATGACAAAGTACCATGTAGTTATAAAGAGGTATCTGGTGAATCGATATTTATTGACAAATTATCTGTATATATTGTTGAGGGGATACATCTGGATATATCACAAAAAAAGGTAAAACAATTACATTTATGATAGCATGTATGTGTTTGTAGAGAAGATGGGGCTTGTGAGTAGAGAATGGAGAAGTGTGGGTGGGGAGGCAGAGTAGGTAGAATGGAAGTGTGGGTGGGGAGGTGAAATTTTCTATTCCAGAATGCTTTGAAATCGTTGCATCTCCCAGGGCAGGAGTACTCTAAGATACAGAACAATAAGGTTTGTTCCAACTCATTTTGTTTCCTTGGCGCTGGAATTTAAGGATATGAGTAGTTTCCGTTTGCGATGTGAAATAGAACACGTTGAGCATTCCTCTTTGTCAGCTAAATGATAAAAATGGCAAGTCTATCTTCATAAGAACTATTTTTCTCAAAATAATGTAAAATTTTTCTCTTCACTGAAGTATTTATCCGCACAACACAATTATATTTCTTAACTCAAAGTGAGTGACTCTAATTAAGAAAGTTACTTTCAATTTTTAGATATCTTCATATTTATCTGTTGGGAGATAACTCTCCATGGATTTTGTTTGTTTGTTTGTGTTTCTGCATGTCTTCCAAGCAGAGACACTGACTGCATTTGTTCCAGATTATCTTTTAAATTACATTTATGAGGTGAACAGTCTTGGAATATAGAGATTGTGCCTCCCTGCAGTCAAAGGGCATGTTTATTTACTATTTAGTATAAGATTAAAGTCTCTCTAGTGTAAAGTTCAAGCAGGCCTATTCCCCATTATAGAAAGTTTGGGTTTCCTGAGCTTGGAGTTCTTCTCCCATAACACATCCTACTGGGTGGGAGTATCAGTTGGCCATTTTCACAGCTAGGAAACTGGTAAAAAATACTGACACTTTATCTATTGCTTTTACTGTAATATTTGTTTTGTCTGTGATGCAGGAGTCACCTTGTGTCATCTTCCAGCATTTATAAAATTGGTAGACTAACTTGTTAGCTTGCAAATAGGGTAAAAATTCAGATTCTTTAGAGTTATTGACTGGACACTCTCATGCCTTAAAGTTATCTAAAATACAAGTAATTCATTAGGACCTAACATATTTTTGCAGAAATAAGAAGGCTTTATTTGATGTCAAACTCTAATAATCTTGAGATTTATTAATTTCTGACATTTCTTAAAGGAAGCAATTTTGACTGTTCACAAATTGATTTAAGATACTTATCATAGTATAACTTTTAAAATGCATCAAGAAACCATCGTCCTTTAAAAGTTATTTTGATTACAATGAGAATTTATCAGAACACCTCTCTGACAAATCAATAGAAACAGAAACTCTTTGTATTGATGGATTTTCCAAGGTTCATATTATCAGTAAATTCAAAACAAAGTAAACAGAAAAAAGAACTAGGTCAACATTAGCGGTCAAGTAAGGTTACATTTTATAAGCAATGCAATTATATTAATTTGTTTTTAAGCAAATAATAAACTGTCAGAGGGTATTTTCCAAAGAATATTTTAGGCTTGAATGGACTTTGGTTACTCACATTGTTTTCTTCCTAAGTTTTATATAACTTTGAGAAATCAATTTTCCTATGATTATATATAATCCAGAGTAAATATCTCACTCAACTAAATGCTTGTGTTTGTACCTGATGCCAAGCTAGCACAGAAGCTTAGCCATTTTCCATTCAAAGTCTCTGCACCACAGATTTAATACAGAAGGAAGCTGTTATAACAGCAGCATAGGCTACTCAAGCATGGGGTGCAGGAAGGGATGCTAGAAGCAAGAACCCCTGAGAAGTCTTTCTGGAAAAAGTAAGATTTTACCTGGACAGGGTCTAGGTAAAACTTCAACAAGTGTGATGTGGAGAAAAATTTACCAGAGTAAAGGCACAGAGCAAAGCTGTAGAGGTTATAATTGTGCCAGTCGTCATGGAAATGATGATAAATATGTAACAGTCAGAGTGTATAGGGCTCTAGTGGTATGTCTGACTGAAAGATGTTTAGTAGAGTTCAGGCCAGAAACAAGAGCATTTGGGGGAATGTTTGCACTGAGAAAATCTTTGAAACTAAGGGAGTGGAAGAGATCACAAAGGAAGTGGGTAGAGTAACAAATGAACTCATGGTTTAATTTTGAATAATGCCGAAGAAAGAAGAACCCACCCAATGGACTGGGAAGACCCAAAAGCAGAAGCAGGTCAGTTACTCATGTGCAAGTAGCCCTGGGGGAATGAGCATTGGAATGCAATTCAGTCTGTCTTTACAAGCTGTGCAACCTCAGGCAAAACATTTGCTTCTCCTTTGCCTCAGTTTCCCCAACTTTCCAGTGATGAATGAGTCCCTGAGAACATCATGATCCCTTCCAACTTTAAATCTCTAATTTTATTTTCTCATTGGTAGTGGGTAGATAATCTGAGGCAAGATCATTGATTGGACAACCCATCAAGGAAGCACTGGAGCATAGATAGTAGGCACCACGAACCCCGGGAACTTATGCAAAATCTTTTTGTCTCCGGGGTCAATTCATTAATCTTATCTTGACACAGAATCATAGCCTTAGATATGTCCAACAGTTAAGTGTTGGTGTTCACTTAAAAAGCAATAGCCATTGGGACATGCTAAAAATAGCAAAGCACAATCTATAGTCATAAACTCTATGTGTTCTTCAAAATGTTTGAAGTTCATTTGCTTTTCTGTGTAATATCATCTCCTAGAATGTGTATTAAAGTCACCAGTAGGATTGATATCGATAGTGTATCCACTAATAAAGTCAACCGGAGAAACAATGATTGGATGCCTGTAAACAGTACAAGAAATCCTATTTGTATCCAACCTGAATCCATTAATTCATGAGTTCTAGAGCTAAGATAGTAGGCTGGAGAATTTCAGGTCTGCTTTTGCAGATGAAAAATTTGCTGGAATGGCTTTAAAAAATTCGGAGCCCATGTCTGTGTGCCTGGCAGGATTTCTCACGTTATAAAAACAATGTTTATGCCAAACTGTCTTATTCCTAGAAGTCAAACAAACTTAAAATTCAACAATGAAATCTTAATCAAGAGGAAAGTATAGCACAATTAAGGCCAGTCTTCTAGGATGACCTAATATTTTTATCCAAATAAATTGTTTTTTCTCATCCCAGTAGTTTAAGGCCTGGGTTTATACATTTGTCAATAGTCTATTAAATGGGATATTTTCTCTCTCTGAAAACATGCTATAGCTGATAGGAAGTATTTGCCCTTTAAGCAGACTACTTTTGGGGAGGACATGTGTGCATTGAGGATAGGCTATGAGCCAAGCACTGTGGTATATGCTCCATAAACATCTGACTGAGTCCTCACAGAACTCTGTAAGGAAGATATTCCTTTTTCCTATGAGGAAGTTAAGGATAAAATTTTTAAGTAAATCAGCAAGCTACTCAGCAGTGAAATTTAAGTATCTTCTTCTTTGACTCAAAGGGAATCATTTTCTTTGAGGGAGAAGCATCTGAACACAGCATAAATAAGCTTCAAATGACTTTTTTTTTTTTCTGATGGCCATATTAACAGAAAGGCTTTCCTGCTTGCAATAGTCAATAGCATGACAGGGGAGAGTGCTTTGGATGGGAGAGGAGAGGACCTGATTCATTTTCTGCAGATGCACTTCCTAACCTCACCTGAGCATGAGGTTTAGGAGAACCTCACGCTCCTCCTAAATGAAAAGTCATAGCCCTTCCAGTGACTACATCCTATGATTATATTTTGTTTATTTATATCTAAATTTACTTATCAATCTCAAATGCTAACAATTGTCCAATTATGATAATTATTAGAGGATAACAGATTTTTTTCTTTCTTTCATTCTACTTTTGTAAACAAATAATTTTGAAGCCCCAACCTGAATCCGTTTCAATTAACCTGATTACTTGAAAGTTGTTAATCAGATATTATAGTTTCAAGGTTAGACAAAAATGAGAATCAAGTACAGCTTCAACTTAATCCCTTCCTTGTTGGTTTCTGGCTGAAGTGACCTAAGAATGTATCTCACTGTTTGTGACATCAAGGTTCCATCACACTTTTTTTTAATCCACAAATTCAATAGAATTTACATGCATTCAGATTTCTTGGATGCCACAGTGGAATCTCTTTCCAATTTCTGTGGAGATTAGTGGAATAAGAATTACAAATGTGTAAAATCTCACCAGTTTAAATTAGGAATAGTGATGATTGTCTTCCCCAGGGGTAAAGTTATGACACTTTGGTCGCCAATCTTGAACGAACTTATTTAAGAGGGGAGAAACTCAAACCTTGGATATGATATTACTAACTGAAGGCAGGGATGATTATTTTTCCATATTTAATCAAAATAACAGCACTGTTGATGGTCCAAATGGTTTCCTGGTTAGAATTTGAAGCAATTGAGTTATGAAGAGAATGGCTTTTTAACGAACCAGAAATGGCCCACCAGAGACTAGCCTCTGAGGGTAACGCCAAAACAGCCATGCCAGGAGGGATGTTCTTGCCTGAGGTATCCTGTCAAGAAGCCCCTTATACCTGCTTATGGATTCATGTTACCTCACCCAATATCTCTGATAAATTTCACTTCAAAGCGCCTTTTTAGTAGCCATTGATCTGTTCATACATTCGTTCTCTCAAATCCCTCTCATATTTCCCCACCTTTCCAGCCACTGACTTCCTTTTCAATCTCACTTTTGCTTGAATTGATCTCAGGCTCCCATTTGTCTGAAATGGAAACTCATGAGTGGAGAGCAGACATTTTTGTTCAATCAAAGTCGAACCCTCTTTATTGATTTGGCTCCCGTTCACTTTTCTATACCAGTTCTCTCCAGACTGAGAAGCAGTCTAATAATCTGTGAAATGCTCACTTCCTCAAAAGATAGCCTCCGCCACCAAGTAGATGATTTGGTTACTTAACAACATGTGGTTTGATATCACACTTACAAGAGAGCTATCCATACTTGAAGAATGCACCACCGTGGTTTTCTGTGACAAGTACACGTATGTGTTAATTACTCAAGGACATAAAAAAATACAGGAACAACAATTTTATTCAAGTTATGGATTAGATCATAACTTGATCTAATAAACTTGATCTAATAACTTGTTCTAATAAAATAACTTGGGCCATAGTTATTTTATGTGTTCAGTCTTATGGTCCAGTGAACCATTCAAAAAAGTACATTAACCACTACCTCTTTGACTATTTAAACCTGAGAAGTGTTTTGTCTAGAATTGCTTGAAGTCTGAGAAACCAAATGAATAAAGAATAAGATTTATTTCTAAATTTTAAAAGTTTTCATTATCCAGTGACTTTAATTTGGCCATAGTTTAGACGGACTTTCTTCACTTCAAGCCTGTGTTTATTTCATTACAACCAAATCGCTAATAAAACTGGTTAATGAGACCTATTTTTTCTAAAGATGGGTTCTCGGGCACCACAACCTTCTCTAACTCCAAGCTATCTCTGTCCCTGCAAGATATATCTAAAGTAGGTACAGATCCACTGGACTGGATTTCACAGATGCAGTGTCTAGAAGGCACATTTATTTTCCAAATGGTATAGATAATAAAAATGACTGTGGTAGACTACCTTAGTTGAACAGTTTTTCACAGGGGGATCAGGAAGGAACATTCTAGGAAAGCATCATGAAGGTGAAAAGCAAGGGGCTTTGCATGTGATCAGACACACAGGGCAGCAAGGTGGAGGGAGGCCTAGCATGGGTGCAACTAGCAGAAGAGAAAGCAGGTAAGAGTAGCCATAGAAACATCTTGACAGGCAAATGTGTCAATTAAAGTATATTCTATAATCATATCATTTTGATGAATGTTGGGTGAAGAGGCCATAGAGATTTTAAGTTAATGAAGGTGATTTCAAGAAAAGAACAGGCAGAATGCTTTAATTTCAGATGCCCACACATGGAAAACTGCACAAATTATAAGGTATGTAGGAGGCTCATCGGCATATGTATTACTAAGGCAAGTGCTTCATCTGGAGATATCTATTTAAACTCATTAAAAAAAGAAATCAGCAATATTGTCAGAGCATGTATAAATAAGGCCCATACTGAGGAGGCTGGATGGAATCATTCCTATGAGAGTAGGAGGTACTCAGTATTTGAGAAATGAGTCAGTTTCATGAGACACAGTATTTGATAGTCATCAGAGTATAAAGAAATCTGCATATCAAGAGGAGAGGCTTCACTGCTAAAGCGCCTGAGAGTAAAACAGGAGGCTCCACAAGAATGAGGCCTCCATCCTCCTTCTCCAGGGTGTTCCAGCCCAACCTTGATTTAGGAAACCAGGCTTGAACTTGCTTAGTTCATTCCATGGACTCATCCTAGTTGTGTGTGAGGCACAGGATAGCCAAGTGCTTTCAGATTCTTAGGTCATACACTGACTGTGAAGTAGAACAAAGTGAAACAGGTGTCTGCACTGTGTCTTGACTTGGATAGTAAATAGTTGTTGGAAAGGGGCATTGATTAGGGAGCCACCCTGCTTCTGAGTGATTGCCAGCTTCAGAAATCTGTGCTTCTCCACAATGGGTAGTATGTGGCAGCACCGATATTATCAGATAACCCCACTGCCAGAATGCTTTGGCTGGAGCCTCTGTGAATAAAGCTTCTAAGGTGATTACATTCATTGAATAGTCTCTATATAACCATCCACAAAGTGCAAACAAACACAAAACTGTACAATACTTGTCAAATCACAATTTGACAAGTGGAACCCGTTAGTTACTCCAGAACCCGTTAGTTACTCCAGTGACCTGTGGAACCCGTTAGTTACTCCAGAAAAGAAAGGTTTATTAATCAAATAAATTCAGGAAACAGGGCACACTAACATCCCTTCTTTGACATTTATTAACTGTCACAGTGAGCATAAGTATATTCAAAGCTCAGGCATATGTTATAGCAAAGAAACCCACTTAACCATGAGTTTCCCATCTACTTTTTTGTTTGTTTGTTTTAGACAGAGTCTCACTCTGTCGCCCAGGCTGGAGTGCAGTGCTGCGATCTCGGCTTACTGCAACCTCCACCTCCTGGGTTCAAGTGATTCTCCTACTTCAGCCTCTCAAGTAGCTGGGATTTTACAGGCGCCCACCACCATGTCCGGCTAATTTTTGTATTTTTAGTAGAGACAGGGGTTTCACCATGTTGGCCAGGCTGGTCTTGAACTCCTGATTTCAAGTGATCTGCCCACCTTGGCCTCCCAAAGTGCTGGGATTACAGGCGTGAACCACCATGCCCGGCATTATAACTTCTTTTTACTTTTGCTTATTGAAAGAATTCTTTACGACTTGAAGTTTTTATCACATGTCACATTTCACATATGTAAAAAAATACTTATAAGCAAAACTAATTGGCTAAGGTGTTACTAAAAGTATTTCACATTCAGAGCTGCTGCCTTTTTTTTTTTTTTTTTTTTTTTTGCTTTGCTTTTTTTAAAGATGGAGTCTCTCTCTGTCACCCAGGTTGGAGTGCAGTGGCATGACCTCAGCTCACTGCAACCTCTATCTCCCAGGTTCAAGTGATTCTCCTGCCCCAGCCTCCCAAGTAGCTGGGATTACAGGCACCCACCACCATGCCCATTTATTTTTTTATTTTTTTATTTTTAGTAGAGATGGGGTTTTACTATGTTGGCCAGGCTAGTCTCAAACTCCTGACCTCAGGTGATCCACATGCCTCAGCCTCCCAAAGTGTGAAGATTACAGGCGTGAGCCACTATGCCTGGCCTCTCATCTGCTTTTATTATAGAAGAATTTTAAAATAACCCCTTCAATTAGGTCCTCTTGGTTTGTCCCCTGAGGTCTATGTATCTCAGAATCCACCCACAGCAACACACACACCACACAAACATACACTTAATCCTAAGAGTGGGCATCTGACACCTGTGTTTATATAATGGAACTAAGGAATGTGTTGAGACATGAGTCAGATAAGAGGGCAATGCTCACACTCAGAAGTTTGTGCTTCCAGACTCCCTCCAAGCTGCTTCTCCACCCCCTGTCCTCCTGCACTTCCAGGGTCCCCTACTAATAAGAATGATTGAGAGGGAGTAAAAAATTAACTTATTGATACTATTTGCCAGAGATGACTTATGATCACTCTTGGGTGCGCAGATATATGGCTACTGGGACCTGTTCATCCAGAGGATGAAGCCAGACACAGAGGCATGCACAACTTTTGGACCTGTCGTCTCCAGAACTCTAGATTCTTAGTTTTTCCAGTTATCTAGTACCTCCCATAGCTGCCACTATATAGGAACAATGTAAGCATGAGTTTTCCCCAAATGAAGAGCCTCGCCTCTCCTCTTTGGTCTCAAAGGCTTTGTGGTTCTTTCTGCTAGTCACACGGCTATTGGAGCAAAGTTTGGCCATGGCTATGGCTGCAGAAATGAACTGGGCTCGTGCAGCCTGGAAGAATACTCTCAGTAAAAAATTAGAGAAGCACTAGAGCTGTGGGATTGTCACATTTTCTAGGACATGGCTGGGGAAAAGAGAAAGCTGGCCACAGAGAAAGGAGGGAAAGCAGAAACACCATGAGGAGCTGAGACAAGAGACACAGAGAGAGAGGAACCCAACATTTGGTTCCAGACCTTTCCTAAAGCTGTTTTCAGGTCCATGGGTTCCTGCAACACCTCACGGTTTTTTTGGTGAGTCTAAACAAACACACTGGTTTTTGTTTTTGTTTCATGGGGCAATGATCTTACCCAGTGCAACAGCAACAAACATCATGAAGATCAGCGCTCAATTTGAACTTTGTCCACCAGAGGCCCTGAAACCTTCCAGAGAATATAAGTGACAAGTACAAAGATGGCTGCCTGTATCACTGCACACTTAATTTTCACTATTATTCAAAATCCAGCTCAAAACTACCACTTTACATCAATAGTAATCTATTAAACCCATACAAATAAGGTGTAAGGATATAAACAAAGTAAGACATGTTTTCAAAGGCAAGGGGCTCACACAGAAGTTAAGATGGATGCTAGATGAAGTAAATAACGAAGTCAGCGAGGAGAGCCTAAGAAAAAGTGAAAAGCCCAAGATGTCAGAATTAAAATTAATTGCCCAATTCTAAAATCTTTTTGCAAACTATTTTACCTAGATCTAGGTGAAACTAATATATTTTTAAGTGGATAAATATAAAGAATGCTAGGCCTAAAAATATCCACTGTGCTTCTCACAACTGTACTCACTGTTGTACGCAGGCACATTCCTTCACTGCACTGAGCATTTTTATAAGAAATAAACAGCTGTTGATGCAGCAGTGATCTTTCTGGAAAATTTCAGTCTTGGCCTCTGGCGAAAATCCTAGATGAAACCAGAACAACCAAGCAACTCAAACTGAGAAGACATACAACAACATGGATCATTGCTGAGGGGATTAACGTCAGACATAACCTGTAGAACAGGCCAAGAATCAAAAGCAAAAGGTTTCAGTACTAATAGAAATCTGAACATATTTATTTTTTAAATATCATATTAAATTATTGTCGTTGTGTCTCTAGCAAGAACCTGTGTGGATAAAATAAAATCTAGGGCTGATAAGTGCTATTTGTCTCAAGACCCTGTTCTATCTCTGTATATTAAATTTGCCACAGTTGTTTATTTTTCCACTTATATAGTGCCGTGTAACAAATCACCTCAAAACAATGGGCTAAACAATTACAATTACAATCAGTCATCATTATTATTATTCTCAAGGCTTCTCACAAACTTGTAATTAGATGGTGGTTGAAGCAGTAGTGATTCCAAAAGCTTTCCTGCTCACGTGTGTGTTACCATGGCTGAGAGGCCAGGAGGGGAGAGCGGAGGCTTCATTCAGAGACTGATAAAGAGACTGGCAGAAGCTGCATGGCTTTCTTCAGCCCAGCCTTGGAAGTCACACAATGTCACTTCCACCATATTATGCTGATAGTGTCACCAAGGCCCACCAGGTTCAAGGGGAGGGGACAAATATTTAATGTCTTAATGGGAAGAGGGTCAGCAAATTTGCAGATATATTTAAAAATTATCACAGTCCTACTGCATGAAAAATACTTAGTCCCAGGAAATATCTTTTTTAAAAAATATTCTGTAATCATGAAGTCCTTTGGAGCAATTTAATTTTGCTTAAAACTGCTGTTTCACATCTATCTACCTGCAGGAACAGGAATAAGTTTATATAATTTTTCTGAGCCTCTGTTTTCTTAGCACCAAAATCAGAATAATTTTGAGGGCTGTTAGAATAATTAAATAGTAATCCAAATAAAAGGCTTAGTGTAACACATGTCTTATATTAATAGTAAGTATTTAATTAAGTAATAATAACAAATCTCAGTTTCAAGCTTTCTACTTTCAAATCATCACCTATTAGCTTTCTTCCTTATTCTAGGGCACAGTGATACCAAAACTTGTTGCAATCCAAGATTCTGCCACCTTTTTGCCTATGTGTGTAGATAAAATTAGTGCTGCACTGTTGACCAGGGCACTGGTGGGTAAAGGGCGGGAAAAGTGGGAGACTCCTTTATCATCCTATAATTTTATGGACACAGTGAATTTTTAACATATGCATGCATTAACTATTTTAAAAAGCAAAGAAGAAAACATTTATAAAATTTTAAATTACAAAATAAAACATTAGCCTAATTAATAAAATAGAAACCCCTATTTTGTAGTCATAATAAATATCTTTAGTTTCAGGAAAAATAACTGGTATTAGACTAATTTTGCCAATACTATAGTCTATTCGAATAGTTATTTTATAAGCTTGCTTTTCCTTTTCATAACTGACTAATGTCTGTAACCAACAATGATTGCTTCTTAATTATTTACTTTTTAGCCTCAATTATCCTCAACAAGCTCCTTATATTCTTTTCAAGTAAACACAATTACAGAAAATAAAGCTTCTTAAAATTCTTAGACTTCCCTTAGTAGATCATCAATTCCTGGTAGATATTCACAGATAAGCTGTAGAGGTTTCCTATTAAAAGTCTTTTTTAGTACCATGAAAGAAAAAGGTGCTGATCAATAAAGTGATTTAAATTATCCACCAGTGTTTTGCTTTGAATGTCTGTTTCTTTGTTCTTTGAACTTCAATAAACCCTTTGCTGCAGACTCAGTTAGCTGGCTTATCAGGCAATTTCACATGCCAGAAGGAGCTGCAGGGCATGACAAAAACACTTTCACAGCTCCCTCCCAACCATGCCACAGACCAGAGTCAGGACCCTGTCCTTCCTGGGAATATGCATGCAAGCCTTGTCAGGGGCTCTGTGGATGGAGCTGGCAAAAGCATATTCATTAATCTAATTGTATATTGGAAAATCAAAAAAAGGTTTGGCTTACAGTAAAAACCATCAAGAATAAAGTTATACAAAATCCCATTGACTAATTTCAAAGGGCTAAAGAGCACTGCACTAAGAACTTAGACATTTCCCCTCACTGTTTCCTTCCAAATAAGAAAGCTGGATGGATGGCCTCTCCAGACCTTTCCAAATAAACAATTATCTGGTTCAAAGATCCCTTTATTCATGTAGGCTTATTCTTGCTTTTGCCACCTATAGGATCTAGAATAGTTTGAGACTTGAAGCTCTCATGCTTGTGAAAAGGGTCTCCACTTTCTCTGGCATACTGGAGATTATGTAAACCTTCCTCGGGGCTGAGGCAGTGGCTGGGGCATTAGGGAGGTGTATTTACACATTCCCTGAAAGGATGTGTGGATCGGAGGCTAAAGATAAGTCATAAGAGGTGTGTGCCAGGGTGACATTCAACACTGGTGACCCTGTTTCACTACTGACACTGCAAAGCTGCAGTGGTGCAGTGCTCAGCATGGTAGACACCTCCAGAGCCTCCAAGTCCTGCCTACTGGAGCTCTTTTCCCGGAGCATCTTGTGCTTCTTGTATCTGCGGTCCCAAAGGTTGGGAGACAGGAGACTTCTGTAGCATTCAACACCAGAATTCAAAGAATGCCATTGTTGATGCTGATTTGTGTTGACTAATTCCCCATCTGTTCTCTAAGCAGGATTTTGCTCCAATAGGGAATGGGTGGGCACAGTTGTCCTGATTTTCTGATTTTCTTGATCACTGTGGGGATTGCAGGAGGAACCTGATGATGCTTCTCCAGGAAATGGCCTGGGCTTTTTAGACACACATTTAAAGTTTCTTGTGGCCCTCCTGCCTGCTCTCCACACCCAGCAAGGGAGGCTCCACTTGTCCATAACTTAGGCCTTGGAGAGCCTCAAAGCTGCCACCTGGGCCAGTGTCAAGAGAATGGAGCTCTTGTTCCCCAGCCCTTTCTTGGTGAAGGGTGAAAAGAAAATGCCATACAAAGTTCTTCTTGTCACCTAATGCATCCCCCATTCTTTCTCTCACCCTCTTGATGCCCAGATACATAGATCTTATTTGTTCATTCATTTTATACATTTATTGAACAAGCAATTGAGAATAGTAATGGAGAATCAACCATGTATCAGGCATTGAGAATGTAGTAAGAAGCCAATGGGCCTATCTGGAGCCCCTCTTAAAGAGGGAGGGCATTTTGTGGTCAGCTTTTCTAGATGTCATAGGCATATTCCAACTATTTGAATGAAGTATCATTTTTCCAGCAGCTAATAGAAAATTCTGTGAAGGACCTAGCCTTGGTTGAAGAGATGCTTTGCTAAGCTTTGCCCTGGGGAAGCATGAGCCTGTGGGATCTGGCCCTGGGATGGCACTGGGAGATGAAGCTGTTCTGCCCAAGCAAAGTGGAGGGGAAGCAGAGGGGAAGGAGGCACTGGCATGCCACTGTGCTGTGGGATTATTTGAAAGGACAAATATATAGATGGGCAATCCAGGTGTGTTTTTGGGAGAGGCACTAGTGGGAAGGTAATGATGGGGCCGCCCAGTCCTGAGGTCAAAGCTGTGGGGGAATTCTCTTCATGGGCATGGCCAGAGGAGCAGACATAATTTGGGGGTGCCATTGCTAACTGGAAACATGGGGTCTGGTGGGTGACAAAGCCCAAAAGCTGTACTGAGTCCAGTAACAGCCACCACCTCATCGGTTGAGACTGAGCAGAGGGGCAACTTGGCATCAACCCTCCTGTGTCTGCAGCACCCAAGCCCACTTATGCACTCTTCCTTGAACAGGTAAGAAAGGAAGAAAAGGGGGCCTCAGGCCAAGCTACCTTAAAGGAAGAGATTAAGGATAGAACCCGAGGAACAGGTTGTTCATTTCTATAAAAACCCAAGTGGGGCACCAATAAGGGAGAATAAGGCTTACAAGATGTGCTGGCCAGAAAGTGCCCTCCCTGGGAGCAGGGAGAGTGAAGGATGGAACCCTCCCTGGGCTCCACTAGCCAAGTTTCTGCCTGGAAAAAAAGATTTCATTTTCCTTATTTTCTTTTTTTTTATTTTATTTTTTGAGACACAGTCTTTCTCTGTCACCCAGGCTAGAGTGCAGTGGTGTGATCTCAGCTCACTGCAGCCCCCCACTCCCAGGTTCAAGCAATTCTCTTGCCTCAGCCTCAAAAGTAGCTGGGACTACAGGCGTGCACCATGACACCGGGAGAACTTTTTTGTATTTTTAGTAGAGACGGGGTTTCACCATGTTGGCCAGGCTGGGCTCCAAGTCCCGAGCTCAGGCAATCCATACTCCACTGCCTTCCAAAGTGCTGGGATTACAGGCTTGAGCCACCGAGTCTGGCCAGGTTTCATTTCCTAATTAGCTTAAAATACCTTCTGGACCAACAGCCTTATGGCAACATCTTTTACATTGCTTGATTTGTTTTGATTGCAGCTATAGTTTTAATTCTGCTATAAAGACCTATTAACTTCCTGTTCCACACTTGGTTACCATTTAGTAACTAGTTTTTCTGCCCTACCAAGCAATGCCCTGGGATTCCCAAGTTTCTATAAATGAGAAGTTTCTTTCCACACTTTGGCAGCATACCTTGCCTTTACGTAAAAATTCATACTCTCCTCCCACAAAAAAGTTTTCTTAAAAAATATTCACACTGGCCGGGCGAGGTGGCTCACACCTGTAATCCCAGCACTTTGGGAGGCCGAGGTGGGCGGATCACGACGTCAGGAGATGGAGCCTATCCTGGCTAACATGGTGAAACCCCATCTCTAATAAAAGTACAAAAAATTTTATAGCACCAAATGCCCACAAGAGAGAGCAGAAAAGATCCAAAATTGACACCCTAACATCACAATTAAAAGAACAAGAAAAGCAAGAGAAAACACATTCAAAAGCTAGCAGAAGGCAAGAAATAACTACAATCAGAGCAGAACTGAAGGAAATAGAGACAAAAAAAAACCCTTCAAAAAATTAATGAATCCAGGAGCTGGTTTTTTGAAAGGATCAACAAAATTGATAGATCGCTAGCAAGACTAATACAGAAAAAAAGAGAGAAAAATCAAATAGACGCAATAAAAAATGATAAAGGGGATATCACCACCGATCCCACAGAAATACAAACTACCATCAGAGATTACTACAAACACCTCTATGCAAATAAACTAGAAAATCTAGAAGAAATGGATAAATTCCTCAACACATACACTCTCCCAAGACTAAACCAGGAAGAATTTGAATCTCTGAATAGACCAATAACAGAAGCTGAAATTGTGGCAATAATCAATAACTTACCAACCAAAAAGAGTCCAGGACTAGATGGATTCACAGCCGAATTCTACCAGAGGTACAAGGAGGAATTGATACTATTCCTTCTGAAACTATTCCAATCAATAGAAAAAGAGGGAATCCTCCCTAACTCCTTTTATGAGGCCAGCATCATCCTGATACCAAAGCCAGGCAGAGACACAACCAAAAAAGATAATTTTAGACCAATATCCTTGATGAACATTGATGCAAAAATCCTCAATAAAATACTGGCAAACCGAATCCAGCAGCACATCAAAAAGCTTATCCACCATGATCAAGTGGGCTTCATCCCTGGGATGCAAGGCTGGTTCAACATATGCAAATCAATAAATGTAATCCAGCATATAAACAGAACCAAAGACAAAAACCACATGATTATCTCAATAGATGCAGAAAAGGACTTTGAGAAAAGTCAACAACCCTTCATGCCAAAAACTCTCAATAAATTAGGTATTGATGGGACGTATCTCAAAATAATAAGAGCTATCTATGACAAACCCAGAGCCAATATCATACTGAATGGGCAAAAACTGGAAGCATTCCCTTTGAAAACTGGCATAAGACAAGTATGCCCTCTCTCACCACTCCTATTCAACATAGCGTTGGAAGTTCTGGCCAGGGCAATTAGGCAGGAGAAGGAAATAAAGGGTATTCAATTAGGAAAAGAGGAAGTCAAAGTGTCCCTGTTTGCAGACGACATGATTGTATATCTAGAAAACCCCATTGTCTCAGCCCAAAATCTCCTTAAGCTGATAAGCAACTTCAGCAAAGTCTCAGGATACAAAATCAATGTACAAAAATCACAAGCATTCTTATACACCAATAACAGACAAACAGAGAGCCAAATCACGAGTGAACTCCCATTCACAGTTGTTTCAAAGAGAATAAAATACCTAGGAATCCACCTTACAAGGGACGTGAAGGACCTCTTCAAGGAGAACTACAAACCACTGCTCCATGAAATAAAAGAGGATGCAAACAAATGGAAGAACATTCCATGCTCATGGGTAGGAAGAATCAATATCGTGAAAATGGCCACACTGCCCAAGGTAATTTATAGATTCAATGCCATGCCCATCAAGCTACCAATGACTTTCCTCACAGAATTGGAAAAACCTACTTTCAAGTTCATTTGGAACCAAAAAAGAGCCCGCATCGCCAAGTCAATCCTAAGCCAAAAGAACAAAGTTGGAGGCATCACGCTACCTGACTTCAAACTATACTACAAGGCTACAGTAACCAAAACAGCATGGTACTGGTACCAAAACAGAGATATATAGATAAATGGAACAGAACAGAGCCCTCAGAAATAATGCTGCATATCTACAACTATCTGATCTTTGACAAACCTGAGAAAAACAAGCAATGGGGAAAGGATTCCCTACTTAATAAATAGTGCTGGGAAAACTGGCTAGCCATATGTAAAAAGCTGAAACTGGATCCCTTCCTTACACCTTAAACAAAAATCAATTCAAGATGGATTAAAGATTTAAACGTTAGACCCAAAACCATAAAAATCCTAGAAGAAAACCTAGGCATTATCATTCAGGACATAGGCATGGGTGAGGACTTCATGTCTAAAACACCAAAAGCAATGGCAACAAAAGCCAAAATTGACAAATGGGATCTAAATAAACTAAAGAGCTTCTGCACAGCAAAAGAAACTACCATCAGAGTGAACAGGCAACCCACACAATTGGAGAAAATTTTCGCAACCTACTCATCTGACAAAGGGCTAATATCCAGAATCTACAATGAACTCAAACAAATTTACAAGAAAAAAACAAACAACTCCATCAAAAAGTGGGCGAAGGACATGAACAGACACTTCTCAAAAGAAGACATTTATGCAGCCAAAAAACACGTGAAAAAATGCTCACCATCACTGGCCATCAGAGAAATGCAAATCAAAACCACAATGAGATATCATCTCACACCAGTTAGAATGGCAATCATTAAAAAGTCAGGAAACAACAGGTGTTGGAGAGGATGTGGAGAAATAGGAACACTTTTACACTGTTGGTGGGACTGTAAACTAGTTCAACCATTGTGGAAATCAGTGTGGTGATTCCTCAGGGATCTAGAACTAGAAATACCATTTGACCCAGCCATCCCATTACTGGATATTTACCCAAAGGACTATAAATCATGCTGCTATAAAGACACATGCACACGTATGTTTATTGTGGCACTATTCACAATAGCAAAGACTTGGAACCAACCCAAATATCCAAAAATGATAGACTGGATTAAGAAAATGTGGCACATATACACCATGGAACACTATGCAGCCATAAAAAATGATGAGTTCATGTCCTTTGTAGGGACATGGATGAAATTGGAAATCATCATTCTCAGTAAACTATTTCAAGAACAAAAAACCAAACACTGGATATTATCACTCATAGGTGGGAACTGAACAATGAGAACACATGGACACAGGAAGGGGAACATCACACTCTGGGGACTGTTGTGGGGTGGGGGGAGGGGGGAGGGATAGCATTGGGAGATATACCTAATGTTAGATGACGAGTTAGTGGGTGCAGCGCACCAGCATGGCACATGTATACATATGTAACTAATCTGCACATTGTGCACATGTACCCTAAAACTTAAAGTATAATAATAATTAAAAAAAAAAATTAGCCAGGCGCAGTGGCGGGTGCCTGTAGTCCCAGTTACTTGGGAGGTTGAGGCAGGAGAAAGGCGTGAACCCGGGAGGCGGAGTTTGCAGGGAGCCAAGATCGTGCCACTGCACTCCAGCCTGGGCGATAGTGTGAGACTCCGTCTCAAAAAAAAAAAAAAAAAAAAAAATCACACTCTATCCCTTTGACAAATTCTTAATTTCCCAACTAAAGGAGCACTTATGCATTTGTGTCTCCTGTGGCATTTCTTGTACTGCCCTACTCCAGGGTGGATGAGTTTTGGCAGAAATCTCTATCTTTGGTACAATGTCTTTAGAGGATGAATCCTCCAAAGGGATTTATTCCAAAGGATTTTTTTTTTTAAATTCACTAATGTTTTATCCATATGTCTAAATTGATTCAAATAATTCTCAAAACTTAAATAAGTCTCTCTCCTTCCTACACTTCCACGTTGACTTTAATCTTATTCTGTTTTATGGTAAACAATTGAAGTGTTTATCAAGAGCCTCAAAACATGCTCATTTCCAGGGTATTATAATATGAAACATTTAATACTAAGGAGTGTTTGGTTACTCCTTGCTGCCCTGATCTTTGAAACAGAAATAAAATTCAAAAATTAATTGATCTCATTATCCAGTAGTTCTTCTGAATGAAGATATATATATCTTAACATACATAAGCCAGCCCACTTGAAAATTAATTGCACATAGGCGAAGTCAACAACTACCATCACCAGCGATACCAGAAGTGTCCGTGAAGTGCGTAACAAGGGATGAAAAAATGGTAGCACTCATTTGGAAACTGCTTTGGACAATTCAACTCTGACACTGGAGAAGTATTCACTGCTTTGTCCATATGCTACTCAAGTTTTAATAAAGTAACATCCAAGCTTCCAGAGAGAGTTAAAAAAAAATTTCCCTTACAACTGAACATTTGAAAATATGTTGATAAAGTTGAATGTAAAAAAAAATGTAATAAACAACTAATAGGAAAGTTTTATAGGCAGTGCCAACTCACATACGTCCCTCAGGTAGAAGCAGCCAGGTATTGGCAAATATTCAGCATTAACTGGGACTTGAAGGAAGTTCCCTTTCCTTCATGCTGCCTTCACTTCCCCTTTCTCTCGCAATGCCATGGGAACAACTCTCTGCTGCTGGTCACTGGTAGTGTTCTGCCACTCATGCACCTCCCTTTAGTCTCCTTTATTCTCTAAGGCCAATAACTCCCAACAACTTGAGGAAGCATTAGCTTCACTTCTATGTTCAGTTTCCTGGGCTCCAGGAGTTTAGCCTGAGATTCGGAACCCTTGCCCTCCTCCCCCTCTGTCTTCCTTTCAATGGGAGGAGCACTTCCTTGATATCTCAGAGTCAGCAAGTTGTACCCAAGAGCACCTTCCAACTGAGCAGCACTGGGCTACTTTCCCTGACCAGCAGTGACTCTGCCTCAAGGTTTCTTATTACAACAACTTATTTCAGAAAATAAGATAATAGGTGTGGCCCTAAGTGAGTACTGAGCCACATTACTGAGGTTTGAGTTCCAGTCCTGGCCAGTTAAAAAATAAGGGTGTATTAAAAAACAGATGGAGAAGAAGCACTTCTGAAACATTGCCATAAGAGCCTTTGAAAATCTGCTCTTCTACAACAGTGATGAGAATGCTCACCACAAACATGCACATGCATGCGCACACACACACACACACACACACACACACACAGCCAAACCAACTTATTCAGAGCTCTGGAAATTAATGAAAGGCTCACAATAATTTAAGGAATATTTATTCAAGGAAAATTACTGAATTGTGGTGAAAACTGGGAGTTTGTGGTATTTTAACTTGCCCTGTTCTATCCTCCTCTTTTAATTCTGCAGCTGTCTTGAAACCAACAGCCTTACCACCATGGTAGCAATAAAAACCAGCAGCCTAGGAGCCTCTAAAGAAGACGAGAAAGGGTTTGGGGTTCCCCAAAAGTCCCATCTGCAGAGAGTTGCCACTATTTGACCTGTCTGGAAGATCACTGGATGTTATGAACTGAATGTTTGTGTCCCCTCTCCAAATTCATATGTTGAAATCCTAATACCTAAAGTGATGGTATTAGGAGGTGGAACTTTTGGGACATTAGGTCATGAGAGTAAAGCCATCATGAGTGAGATTAGTGACCTTATGAAAGAGACCCCAGAGAGTTCCTTCACCCCTTTTACAATGTGAGGATACAGTGAGAGCACAGCTATCTATGAACCAGGAAGTAGGCCCTCACCAGATACTGATTCTTCCAGTATCTTGGACATGGACTTCCTAGCTTTAAGAATTGTGAGAAATAAATGTTTGCTGTGGAAGCCACATAGTATATTGTATTCTGTTACAGAAGCCTGAACTGACTAAGACACTGGAAAAGCCCCCATTCCCAGGGCTTATCTTTATTTGATTTAATTCAGGATGCACACAGTATGAACAACCCAATCTCCAGGACATTAGTCTAAAATAATCAGCAGCAATTGCTGAACATAGCAGCTGCTTGAGGCAGTGATCACATTTGTAGTAAACAAGTGACTCAACAAAAAACCTGAAAGGATTAACTGAGAAATAAGATGTCTATAGGGAGCTCTGAAAAGTGTTGACTTATTCCAGGAATTCTAGAAGGCCATGCACATAAACAGGGCTATATGCATGCCTGGGAAAGGCCTAAGAAGACCTTATACTTTCCCCTATGGCTAACCATGAGGCAGGAAGTAAAGTCTAACAGAGTTGTACATTGCTGGGACAGTGAAGGTGTATGCCTGACAAAGGCTGGGACAAGGCATTTAAGGAAATCATTTTCCAGTCACTAGCTGACCACTAAACCAATGAAGCAGACACACTCAAGTGGCTGCACAAACAAGACAAACTTTATAAAATTAGTCAAGGAAAGTCACTAGGCAAATTCACAACAATGAAAAAAAAACAAATAGCAGCAATACCAAGTGCTGTGGAAGAGGGAAAAAACAATTCACAAAATTGATATTTGATAATCATTACTTAAAATGACTTTCACCCATAAGTTATGAGACATGCAAAGGTAGAGTAAAGTATGGCTGATACACAGGGGGAAAAATCCACTAGTCAATAGAACTGACCCCACAGAAGCCCAGATGTTTGACTTATTAGACCAATACTTCAAGTAAACTATGATAAATAAGTTCAAAGAAATAAAGAAAAATCATGTCTGAAAAGTTAAAAGAAAATATGAGAATATCTCACTAAATAGAGGCTATCAATAAAGAGGAAGACATGATATAAATGAACCAATAAAATTTTGACTTAAAAACTAAAATAAATGAAATTAAAAACCAGAGTGATTCAACAACAGATATGAATTGGCAGAAGACAAAAATCAGTGAACTTAAAGATAGGGCAATTGAAGATAGTCTGAGAATCAGCAAAAAAAAGAATGAAGAAAAATGAATACAGCTTCATAGAGCTGTGGGGCACTATCAAGCACACCAAGATATGCATAATGGGACCCCAGAAAGGAGGTAAAAGAGGGGAGTAGGAAGAATATTTGAATAAATAATTGCTGAAAATGTCCCAAATATGATAAAAAATTAATATGCATATCCAAGAAACTCAACGAACTCCAAGTAAGGTAATACGATGAGATACACACCTAAACACTGTTAAATGGTTCAAAGCAAAGGCAAAATGAATCTTGAAAGCAGCAAGAAAAGGTGATGTATCATGTATAAGGGATGATCATTAAGGTTAACAGCTGACTTCCCATTAGGAGCCATGTAAGCCAAGAGGCAGTGAGATTATATATACAGAGTGCTTAAAGAAAAATATTATCAACCAAGAATTCTATGTCTAGAAAAGTTACTTTTAAAAATGAAAGGAAATTAAGACATCCTCAAATAAAGGAAGAAAATGAAGAGGTTATTATTGGTAGATCTGCCCTACAGGAAATAAATACTAAAGAGAGTATTTCAGTCTCCCTGAAATAAATGATACTAGAAAGTAATATGAACCCATGCAAAGAAATAAATAGCATCAATAAATGTAATTGTTATGAGTGGAAATGTGTTCCCTCAACATGCACATGTTAAAGTCCCAGTCCCCAGTATCTCAGAATGTAATCAGATTTGGAGATAAGATCTTTAAAGTTATGATTAAGTTAAAATGAAGTCATTAGTGTGGGTCCTAATTCAATATGACTGGTGTACTTATATGAGTAGGAAGAGACACCAGAAACGTACACTGACAGAACAAAGGCTATGTGAGGACATAGCAAGGAGGTAGCCATCTACAAGCCAATGAAAGAGGTCTCAGGAGAAACCAAACCTGCTAATATCTTGAGTTCAGACTTCTAGCCCCTAGAACGGTGAAAAAATAAATGTGTGTTATTTAAGCCGTTCAGTCTGTGACACTTTCTTATGCAGCCCTAGTAAATATACAGTGATTAAATAGGTAAATATTTTGTAAAGTATAATTTTTTTTGTTTGAAACTCTTTTTCCTCTTCTTTGATTTGAAAAACAATGGCAAACAACAATAATTATAAAACTGTGTTGATGGTCTTCTAATATACCGAGACGTAATTTGTATGACAAGAATAGCATGAAAGAGGAAAGAAATCAGCTATGAAAAACTCATAGCTAATCTTACATTTAAGGGTGAAATAATGTTTTGCCATAAGATCCAAAACGAGACTAGGATGGTCACTCTCATCACTTCTATTCAACATTACTACAGGGTAAACGGGTATGAAAAAGACATAAAAGCCTCTAGATTGGAGAGGAAGAAGTAAAATGATCTCTATTTGCAGATTACATGATCTACTATATAGATCCATTAA
The DNA here is from genome assembly GCF_000001405.40 of Homo sapiens. Lineage (NCBI taxonomy): Eukaryota > Metazoa > Chordata > Mammalia > Primates > Hominidae > Homo > Homo sapiens. The sequence continues at coordinate 57,657,625 of NC_000008.11, read as the reverse complement.
AAAACTATTGGAATGAATAAATATTACAGCACATTTGCAGAATATAAGACGAAAATACAAAACTAATTCCATTTCTACACAATAGCAATTAACAATCCAAAAATGAAATTAAGAAAACTTTCCATTTATAATACTATCAAAAAATAAAATACTTAGGAATAAATTTAACAGGAGAAGTATAAATCCTACATGACTAAAACTATAAAACATTGTTGAAAGAAAATAAAGAAGACATAAATACATGTCTTCTTCACATGTAAAGACATCGTATTTTCATGGATCTGAAAATTTAGTATTGTTAACATGTTAATGATACCCAAATTGATGTTGATTCAGTGAACTTTAGCTCAAAATTCTGTCTTTTTTTTTTCCAGAAATTGAATAGCCATTTCTAAAATTTATAGAAAATTAAAAGGGTCCCAGTATAGAGAAAACAATCTTGAAAAAGAAGAATTAAGTTGGAGTACTTAGTCTTCCAAATTTTGATATTTGTTACAAAGTGATAGTAATCAAGACAGTGTGGTACTGGTATAAGGACATATAGATCAATAGAATGTAAATCAGATTTCAAAAATAAACCCTTATGTCTGTGGTCAATAGATTGTTGACAGGCTTCCAAGACCACTCAATGAAGAAACAATAGTCTCTTTAACAAACGGTATTGAAACAATTGTATATCCAGATGCAAAAGAATGAATTTGTACCTCCACCTCACAGCATATGCAAAAATTAGCTCAAAATGGGTCAGCAACTTAAATATAAATAATAAAATTATAAAACCCTTAGAAGAAAATATTAGGAGTAGATTTTGACCTTGGACTAAGCAATGGTTTCTTAGATATGACAACAAAAACAAAAGTGACAACATTTTAGAAAAAAATGTTTAGAGAAAAATTACATTGTATTTCACCAAAGTTTGAAACTGTTGTGCTTCAAGGGGCACCATCAAGATAGAAAAGACAACTTAAAAAACAGGTAAAATATTTGAAAATCACATATGTAATAAGAGACTTTTACTAAGAATATATAAAGGCTACTTTCAAATCAACAATAAAAAGTCAACAACTCAACTGGAAAATGGACAAAGTATTTGAATAAACATTTCTCCAGAGAAGATATACAAAAGGCCCATAAGTATATGACAAGATGTCCAACATTATTATTCATTAGGGATATGGAAATCAAAACCACAATGGGATACTATTTCACACCCACTTGGATGACTAGAATTCAAAAACCAGACAATAACAAGTGTTGGCAAGGATGTGGAGAAATTGGAATCCTCATACATTTCTGTGGGAATATAATATGGCATAGCCACTATGGAAACACTCTGGCAGTTTCTCAAAATGTTAAACATTGTTACCCATATGTTCCAGAAATTTCACTCCTAAGCATGTACCCAAGAGAATGGAAAATATATATCTGCACAAAAGTTTGTACATGAATGTTCATGCAGCATTATTCACAATAGCCAAATGGTAGAAGCAGTTGAAATGTCTACCAAATGATGAATAGAAAGGCAAAATGTACTATACCCACACAATGGAATATTATTCATCAATAAAACAGGAATGAAGACTGATAGATCCTACAATATAGACAAACCTTTAAAATTTTATGCTCAGTGAAAGAAGTCATCCTAAGAGTCCATATATTTATATAGAATGTCCAAAATAGGCAAGTCTGTGCAGACAGAAAGTAGACGAGTAATTGTCAGAGGGAGATGAGGAGTGAGTGCTAATAGGTATAGGGTTTCCTTTTGGTGTGGTGAAAATGTTCTAAGGTTAGGTTGTGGTTATGATTGTACAACTCTAATTTTACTATAAATGGCTGTTTTATGTTTTAAAAGGGTCAATTTTAGCTATTATTAAAAAACAGGCATATTTATGAATAAGTTTCAGAAAGATGGATTGTCAGGTTTCACGCATTGTATGTTATTTATAAAAAAAGACTAATCTATTTGTAGAGGAAGTGACGTGTTACATTTTAGAATGTAAAATGTGTAAATTTCAGATTCATTTGTGGGTAAACTTGTTGTTGTGGGCCTGTATACAAACTTACCTGCCATCTAGTATCTTTTAGGCAATTTGGGGAATCTGTTCTATCTCCCAAACCTAAATGGTGGCATCTTTCACCTTCTGAGGAGGTCAACATGTACAGACAGTGGTGGTGAATAAAATTTTACTGAGAGCAATATCTTCATTGTTGATCCTGCAATAAACTAATTTGAAAAATGAAAGATTTATTTCCAAACAGGGTTATAGTCAGTCATTATTTCATTCTTTGAATCCACACATATTTATTGAGCACCTACAGGTTTAAGGCATTTTCTTAGAAGTTGGGAGTAAAATAAACTGAGCAAGATAAAGTTATTGTCCCTTAATAGAGAAAACAAACAATAAAAATAAATAGTTGCTAAATACAAGGCCAAATAATGGTGACTTATAAGAACGTAGATGGGTTAAAAAATAAAAAAGTCCTGGAACCTGCTGAATTACCTAGAGTAGAAGGAATGTTTTCCAATGAGTTACTATTTGAGGAGAGACCTAACGGAAGTGAGGTGAGGGGGATAATCATATAAGAACATATTTCCCTAAAGGGAGGAGCAAATGCAAAGGCCCTGGGGCAGGAGCGTGCTTGGCTTGTCTGTGATACATTAAGGACTGCATTGTGGCTAGAGGCCAGAGATTTAGCAGGAGAACAAGGATGGAGAGGCACTCAGAGAGGAATCAGGAGCAAGAGCATAGAAAGCCTTGTAAGATTTTTGAATTCTATCTTAATATCAATTGAGAAATTAAAAGCCAGAATTTTTTTCTTTATTTTTCTGTAGCTCTGATTCCCAAGAAATAAATCCAGAGTTTAGTTTTAGAAAATGTGCTGTCCCAATTTTTCCAAATTTCTGATAAAGTCTGATTTCTCATTTCTTTAACACTTGCATGCACTCCAAGAAAGGCATGAAACCTTGAAATGCCAAATGCTTTCTTTCCAAATTACATCATAACTTAAATCTCCTACTACCAATCTTGCCTTAAAAATCTTTTGTTGTGAGACAAGAGTACTTTCAGTGATGGAGCATAACCAGGAGGAAACAGTCCCTGTTGCTTGGGTCTACTCCCTCTGGCATACCCAAGCTATGCAGACAATTTAGTTGTGTCTTCCTGCTACCAAAACAATTGTTCCCTTAAACAAATAAATAAAAGCAGCTAGCAAAACAACTAGTTAATCAGTGCTTTGATATTTGTGTAGGTTGTTTTATTGTTTTTGCTACAAACATAGAGTTCTGGAACTAAGAAATTTAATCAACAATTCTCAGGCTAAAAACAGTTTTCTCCATGGAAGTAGACAGAGAATTAAAGACACGTTGGAAGAAGAGCTGTTTTCTCTCTTCCTTGGTTTGGAAAAGAAATGCTAATCCATATGGCATGGACCTCACAGGCAACATTTGCTTTCACCCCACAACACCTCAAAGCAGGAAGCTTCAAGCACACGGCAGATAGCTCTACTTCCTCAGTGCACTACTGAGAAATGGACATTTTATGAAATATTTTCTGAGACGATGGAGGAGGGAGTGGGAGGCTGAAGTGTTACTTTATATGTAACATTTCACTTAAAAATGTCTGCCTCGCATCACGTCTTCTCTGTGCTCATTACTCAGAGCTGTTCATTCTGGGCCTTCTCTTTTGAAGTGTCTAAAATATTTCCTCTGTTCTGGACCAGCTTACATAGGACAAAGGGGGAGGGGGGAAACACCTAGCAATTAATGGGCAAGTGCCCTTCGTTGTTCCTCAAGCATCTCCAATTGAGGGAGAGGCAAGGTCTAAAAGTTTAAGTAAAATGCCTTGAGAGGAAGAATGCAACTTGCAAACAGTAGAGGGTAGACACAGTGAAAATGGGTGGTCTGTATTAACGTGGGCACAGGGGACTGAAACCAGGCTGGCAGAACATGGTGTCCAGAGAGTTGCCCACAGCCCAAAGGTGATTAATCTCAGGCAAAGACTCATCATCAGGGAGGTTCCATGCAATTTCTCGAGGTGAGAATGGAAGCAGAAGGAATTCCTAAAAGGAAAATGGAACATGTTAATAGATAGGGTGGTCTTGTAGCCACTGGTAGTTAGAAATCTATACAGACAATCAATTAGTGGGCAAAGAAAAAAACATAAGCAAATCTAGTATTTCGATCCTTACATACCGTTAGAGAACAAGGGGGCTAGAAGTGATGGACACGATTGGCAAAATGAGGCAGATTTCTCTAGTCCTAGTAAATATGAGGGGCCAGGTAACTTACCAAGAGAGACTCAACTCACGAATCAAGAAGCAATAAACTTACTACAAGTGAGGAACAAGATAAGGGCTTGACCTCAGGTTCTAGGCAGAAGTTCAGTTGTGCGTGTCTGTGGGTGTGTGCGTGTGTGTATGTGTGTGTGCATGTGTGTGTGTGTGTGAAGGATATAAAAGCATGTTCTTTGCCTTGGACATCACATCAGACAAGCATCACAGAGAGACGCATCAGGATGTATCAAATGCTATGGTGTCCTGCTTAACCACACAGTGCCCAGCACTACCCAGACTCTGGGCAATTTTTTACTCTGTCTTGTTCAGCATTGATTGTTCTTGCTCAAGAACAGTTCAATATTAGCAATTAATTTCTCCAACTCTATTGCCTATCCTGTGTAAGTCATATGTATTTTTACCCAGGTATTTTGGGAACATGGTTTAATTAATTGGGAAGCATGATTCCACTGATTTGAATTTTATGAACCAGAAGACCAGAGGAAAAGAGAAAGAAGTAATTTGAGGGTTATAAAATCATTTACTTGTCAAATGTACACTGCAGGAATGAAGAAAGAATTCCCAAATCTCTCTAATGCATCCAGGTGAACTATCGTATTTTAGCAGCACTCATCATGAGCCCACTCTATCCAGTCCTTTCTACTAGGTACTTGGAAAAACAGAAGACCTGGAACTTTGCATTCCATGTATTTCCCTACGAATATAGTATATGCTTCGGTTTTGAATTCCAAAAGCACATCTACACAATCCATTAGTATTTACAGCTTTGACATTTGGCAAGGAATTTTGACTATGCCTGGGTGAGAAGCAATAAAACTCTCTTGTGTGGCAAATTACTTTGCTATTGAGGGTCACTGCCTGAACGTAAGCACAGGGAAAAGCCTGTCAGGGAGAAAGCTAACTAGTCCAGAGTGTATTCGTAATGGTTATGCTTTAATAAAAAGTTAACATATTATTTAAAAATTAAGCTACCATTTCTGATTTATCTTACCACTAAGACCACAGGTGGATGCTCAGAGTTATTGATCCCCAGCTGATACACCTTGACATTATCAATCATTTCATAAAGTATATTGTTAATGGCAAGGGCACTAAAAAACTTTTCGACCAAATGAATAAAAAGTCGAACGTGCAGTTTTAACAAATCAATTCTTTAAACATATACTTATCAAGAACATACTATGAATGATGGGGAATTCCAAGATATATGGCAACAACTTTACCTCCAGGGGCTTCCAGTTGAAAGGTAGACATTGGTATTCAAAAAGATCAAGGAAATATAGGGTCAGTATCCAGCAATTGGCAAAAGAATTGAGTTTTAAATTATTTAGGAAAAAAGAGATGTATCTTTTCTCTAGAGTGACAAGGAAGGGTTTCACTGAAGAAGGGAATTTCAAGAATTATATGATTTTAAAGGCAGCATCTTGAAGAATATTAGAATTCTGAAGAAAATATTAATGGACAGAATGTTGTCCTTGAACTGATGGCCTATAAGACCCAAGAACTGCTGGTTCAAGAGCCATCTGAGGATGTTTTCTGTGGTTTCTCTCACTTTGCTTTTTTTTTCTTCAGAGTCTAAGCATTGGAAGACTAAACTGATATGGCCCAGTTTTCTTTTAGAAATCTCAAAGATGGCCAGGCACTGTGGCTCACACCTATAATCCCAGCACTTTGGGAGACCCAGGTGGGTGGATCACTTGAATCCAGGAGTTCAAGACCAGACTGGCCAATACGGCGAGACCCCATCTCTACTAAAAATACAAAAATTAGCCAGGTGTGTAATCTCAGCTACTCGGGTGGCTGAGGCACAAGAATAGCTTGAATGTGGGAGGCAGAGATTGCAGTGAGCTGAGATAGCACCACTGGGTGACAGAGAGAGACCTCTGTATCAAAAAAAAAAAAAAAGAAAAAAGAAAAAAAAAAGAAAGGAAAAAAGAAAAGAAATCTCAAAGGTGAATTTTAAATGCGGGTAAAGATTTCTATGTCATAATAAAAAGATTTCATGAATAGAAGAAATCACTTCAATTCTGCACAAAATTTCCCAATTCCAGGACATAAATAGCACATGGAAGCTGATAAGCTGCCTCTCACCATCAGACTTACCATCCGGAGACCTGAACCCCAAGCCATGAGTACTCGTGGGAGCCATAGGTGATGTTTTTCCAGTATGTTGACTGATCTTACCAGACAAAGGCAGAGATACTTGCACTGACCCTCCAATGTCCAGGATGGCACACAGTATGCTAAAGGCACCCCAAAATGTTAATTTAAAGAGGAAAGCCTAAATCAAATCAGTCTTCAATGTAATTCCTGTTCATACTCTCCCTAGCTAAATCTCAATTAATAGACCAATAGGGCCAGCCAAAGTTTACATTAAACAAACACTTGCAGGTAAGAAGAGAATTGAGGATGGAGGATCATGCATAGAATCAGAAAATGGAGTCATTCAGAAAGCCAAGTTAATGTGCTAAAGTCTTCTATGTCTCTCTTCCTGCCTTCCACTTTGTGTGATGCATCTGTAATATTCACACTCTGTCTATGCTACAGGCTTAGTGAGTCATGGTACAAGTATCCAACTGGACTCTATTCTGTTTTTTTCTCTAAACAAGGGAGAGTTCATCTCTCTCAGTGATGACACAGTATTGCCCTGTCTCACTATCTGCCAAACTGATTATTCAAATTACTCATTACTGTACTTAGTGCTAATTCCTGTGGTGTACCTGGTAGTAATAAATACCATTTTACCTAACCAGTCTTTAATTAGGCCCAAGTCAATCCCTGTAAATGAAGCAATGTTCACAACACTCCTAGAAATTTATCTACAAAATTCACAAGAAACCATTTTCTACCTTTCCTCCATGCACATAAAAAATTCCTCCAAACATAAAAAATTAACAGACTGAATTATACTGTCTTGCAGATGGAACCCTCGAATGTTAGCATTTCTTTTACTGTTGTGAATGAGGCAGATGTTATCATCACACCAGCCATAACTTATATGGCATGATCCCCTCCTAAAGCTACTTTCTATTCTTGCCCCTTCAGGCCCTTTTATCAATAGGATCAGGGAAGGGACATAAACTGCTCACTATCACACAGAAATGGTGCCTGTCCCTATCTCATTCTGCTCACCAGTGCCATCTCCCACTTTAATGAGGCCTCAGCTCCTGAAATGGCACCTCTATCCTTCACTCCAATCCTCCACCTACTGCTGTGTCTCACACTTGTTCTAATCCTGGTTTGGGCAGGGATAAAATGTAGACTACTGCCATTAATGGCACTTTAATTATTTTTCATTTGTTTTGTTATCTACCTCTTTTGGCAACTTCTACTTTGTCATTTAGTTCACTAACTGACCTACACAGTACATGGTGTGTCTTTGTCTTCAAAGTCACACAAGATTCCTGAACCTATTCAGGGAAGAATAGAATTTCCTCTCTGTAAATCCATAATTTAACTAGAAGATTTAATTTCCTTCTCATGATCAGTTTCCCTTGAGGTTATATTCTTTTGCAAAGGGAGGTCAATGTTTAGTTCTGCACTCTCTGGCTTAGATCAGATCTTTATTGCCCTCCTGATAGACAAAGTACAGGAAGCAAGTCCATGTGTTCCAAGGTGGAGTTCAAGTTGGATAAAACAACTGCTTAAGTCTTCCATCTTGCATATTGGAAAGCACAGTTTCTTCTGGTTTCATCATATTAAAATATATTTTATCTATGACTTTGACTTATTGATAGAGGGAAAATATCAACACACTCAAAGAATGTAACAAAGACCAATTTTGGGAACTCTAAGTAGAGAAATCATAGTCATTGGTTTTCTGCAATCAAAGCTTGATTTATTGTAAAAGGGTCTATCTACGGTCTACACAAATCTAGTTACGAAGATCAGAACTTCTGATAATATAGAAAGAAAAGTATCTTGGATACAAAAGCTTTGCAATAGCTCTCAAAGATTATAAAAATAAAATTTAATAATGCAAATGAGAGCAATCTTGAGAAGGAATACACACACACACACGCACATGCACACACATGCACACACACACACACACCCCACCCTGGTTCCCAGGACCTGTGCCTGCTCTGGCCATTTGCTGTTTGCCCCTTCAGACCCATCCATTATCCCTCTCTGCTGTCCCTGGACACTGTACTCTAGGAAGTGCTTTAGCTGAGCTTCTTGCCCTCTGGCTTCAAGTTTGGCCAACAGGAGGTACCAGCAGGATATCATAGTTTGCGGATAGAGAAATCGAAGGATCTATTCCTTGAGCTCCCTCTCTACTGGACCAAAGATCAACAATGGCTCTGTTCCATGGCCAAAGCCCATAGGTCTTACTGAGTGATCTTCTCCTAAAGCTGCTCTCTATTCATGCCCCTTCAGGCCTAGGAGTAGTAACATTCCCTGGCTTATTTACTTATTTATTTATTAGCTCTGATGTGCATCATTATCCTCAGTTAATTTCCTTTAAATCTATCTGTACCTTTGTAAATCATGTCTTCATTAACCTCTCTTCACTTATCCCACTGAGTGTGTCATCTGTTTCATGCCAGACCCTAAGTGATCAACACCCATTCTTCTCTGCATAATTGGGGCAACATCATTTTTACCAACTTGTTCTGCTTAATCTCATTTCCAGCACTAAGCCTAACCTACAATGGGTATTAGGCAATCCCAATTCCTCCAACTTCTCAGACTCTGCATTACATCTGCCTCGTAGGTTGTTGGGGCCCTGAAACATGCTGATGTTTCTCTCTGTCATGCTTATCTGATGGGACATCCAAAGCAAAGACCATGATTTTATATCATGGGAACCGGACTTCTGCTTGGAAATGAACTTCTGCCTTGAACCCTAGGCCAAGCACTTATCCTGCTTTCCACTTAGAGTAAATTGATTCCCTCTTTATTCCTGAGTTGAGTCTCTCCCTAGGTAACCTATCTAGCCCCTTAAACCCTCTAGAAATGGAGGGTGGGTGGAAAAGCCTGAGGACTTTGCCCACTGTGGGTGACTGGCCCACACATAATTCTCAGTTGGACCTTCAGAAACCTGGAGCAAGATGCAAAACCTGAGTTCTTCTCAGTTCTTCTCTTTCCTTAACCAGTCACTCATTAATTGAGGTCATTTCCTTACTGTCCTCTAGCCACTGCTACTTTATCTATTAAAAATAACACTATCATGAGTTTATTGAGTGTGGCAGGATAATTGGATGATAATTTGCCTATCACTCTTTCTACAGCATTTCCTGATTTCCCAACCTTCTTCACAGTCAAGCAACAGTGAGAGTTCCTACACGAATTTCCCTAGGCTTTTAACTTTCTAAATAGATTTTTGAAACCTGTGACTGAGAAAATAGCTTGACAAAAGAGGTGTATGAGTCTAAAACGCCTCTGTTTTGAGCTTCAAAATTCAGATCTGTAAAGGATTCTGAGCATTATATTGAAGCCATAACACTAGCAATGTGGGTTTCTCAAAAGGGCTGAGCATCCTTCTCCCACTAGCTAAGCCAGTGGAGGGAAGGGGTATTAGAACCCTAACATAAGTTTGGGTATCAGATAGTAGATTTGTGTGCCCCGCTTTTTCTGGAGAAATGGAAGATGGATGGCCTAGGATTCCTTCAGCCACCATAGAAAGCAGGAATTGGATTGGATAGAATGTCACGTATGCCTAGGCAGGGGTTCTGAGACAGGACTCCCAAGTTTCCCCAGAAGGATGTGAGACAGATCCACTGTGTCAAATGCTGTTTGGAGGATTGTGGAAAAAGCTGATAATGTTTGTAGACCTGAAGAAACCTCACATTTGGGAAGAGGGAATACAATGATAGATGGCAGCATAGACAAAAAACAGCTCAGCATTAGTCAGCCTGAAGGAATAAAAACAACCTAGGTCTGGTTCTAATAGAAGATGGCTGAATAGGAACAGCTCTGGTCTGCAGCTCTCAGTGAGACCAATGCAGAAGGTGGGTGATTTCTGCATTTCCAACTGAGGCTCCCAGTTTTTCTCGTTGGGACTGGTTAGAAAGTGGGTGCAGCCCATGGAGGGTGAGCAGAAGCAGGGTGGGGCATCGCCTCACCTGGGAAGTGTAAGAGGCCAGAGACCTCCCTCCCCTAGCCAAGGGAGGCCATGAGGGACTGTGCTATCTGGCCCAGATATCACGCTTTTCTCACAGTTTTTGCAACCCCCAGACCAGCAGATTCCCTCCTGTGCCTACATCACCTGGGCCCTGGGTTTCAAGCACAAAACTGGGCAGCTGTTTGCACAGACACAGAGCTAGCTGCAGAGTTTTTTTTTTTTTTTGGTACCCCAGTGGTGTCTGCAACCCCAGTGAGAGAACCATTCACTCCCTGGGAAAGGGGGCTGAAGCCAGGGAGCCAAGTGGCCTCCGTCAGCAGGTCTCACTGACATGGAGCCTAGCAAGCTAAGAACCACTGGCTTAAAATTCTTATTGCCAGCACAGCAGTCTGAAGTTGACCTGGGATGATCAAGCCTGGTGGGAGGAGAGGCATTCACCATTACTGAGGCATGAGTAGGTGGTCTTCCCCTCACAGTACTAAGGAAGCTGCCGGGAAGTTTGGACTGGGCTCACTGCAGCACAGCAAAGTGCCTGGGGCCTGACTGCCTCTCTAGATTTCTCATCTCTGGGCAGGGCATCTCTGAAAGAAAGGCAGCAGCTCCAGTCAGGGGCTTACAGATAAAACTCCCATCTTCCTGGGACAGAGCACCTGGGGGAAGGGGCGGCTGAGGGTGCAGCTTCAGTGGATTTAAATGTCCCTGCCTACCAACTCTGAAGAGAGCAGCAGATCTCCCAGCACAGTGCTCGAGTTCTGCTAAAGGATAGACTGACTCCTCAAGTGGGTCCCTGATCCCCGCGCCTCCTGACTGGGAGACACCTCCCAGCAGGGGTCAACAGGCACCTCATACAGGAGAGCTCTGGCTGGCAATAGGCAGGTGTCCCTCTGGGACAAAGCTTCCAGAGGAAGGAGCAGGCAGCAATCTTTGCTGTTTTGCAGCTTCCACTGTTAATAACCAGGCAAATAAGGTCTGGAGTGGATCTCCAGCAAATTCCAGCAGACCTGCAGAAGAGGGGCCTGACTGTTGGAAGGAAAACTAACAAACAGAAAGCAATAACATCAACATCAACAAAAAGGATGCCCACCCAAAAACGCCATCCAAAGTTCATCAGCATCAAAGATCAAAGGTGGCTAAATTCATGAAAATGAGGAAAAAACAACACAAAAATGCTGAAAATTCCAAAAACCAGAATGCCTCTTCTCCTCCAAATGATCACAACACCTTTCCAGCAAGGGAAAAAAACTGAACAGAGAATGAGTTTGACGAACTGACATAAACAGGCTTCAGAAGGTGGGTAATAACAAACTCCTCTGAGCTAAAGGAACATGTTCTAACCCAATGCAAGGAAGCTAAGAACCTTGATAAAAGGTTGTAGGAACTGCTAACTAGAATAACCAGTTTAGAGAAGAACATAAATGTTCTTCTCTAAATGGAGCTGAAAAACACACCACGAGAACTTTGTGAAGCATACCCAAGTATCAACAGCCGAATTGATCAAGTGGAAGAAAGGATGTCAGAGATTGAAGACCAACTTAATAAAATAAAGCATGAAGACAAGATTAGAGAAAAAAGAATGAAAAGGAACAAACAAAGCCTCCAAGAAATATGGGAATCTGTGAAAAGATCAAATCTATGATTGATTGGTGTACCTGAAAGTGACAGGGAGAATGGAACCAAGCTGGAAAACACACTTCAGGATATTATCCAGGAGAACTTCCCTAACTTAACAAGACAGGCCATATTCAAATTCAGGAAACACAGAGAACACCACTAAGACAGTCCTTGAGAAGAGCAACCCCAAGACACATAATCATCAAATTCTCCAAGGTTAAAATGAAGGAAAAAAAGTTAAGGGCAGTCACAGAGAAAGGTCAGGTTACCTACAAAGGGAAGCCCATCACACTAACAGTAGATCTCTCTGAAGAAACTGTATAAGCCAGAAGAGAGTGGGGGCCAATATTCAACACTCTAAAGGAAAAGAATTTTCAACCCAGTATTTCATATCCAGCCAAACTGAGCTTCATAAGCAAAGGAGAAATAAAATCCTTTACAAACAAGCAAATGCCAAGGCATCTTGTCACCACCATGCCTACCTTATAAGAGCTCCTGAAGGAAGCACTAAATATGGAAAGGAAAAACCAGTACCAGCCACTGCAAAAACATACCAAAATATATAGACCAATGATGCTATGAAGAAACTGCATTAACCAATGTGCAAAATAACCAGCTAGCATCATGATGACAGGATCAAATTCACACATATCAATACTAACCTTAAATGTAAATGGGTTAAATGCCCCAAGTAAAAGACACAGACTGGCAAATTGGATAAAGAGTCAAGATCCATTGGTGTGCTGTATTCAGGACACCCATCTCATGTGCAACACATAGCTTCAAAATAAAGGGATGGGGAATATTTACTAAGCAAATGGGAAAAAACAAGCATGGGTTGCAATCCTAGTCTCTGATAAAATAGACTTTAAACCAACAAAGATCAAAAAAGACGAAGAAGGGCCCCAAAGATCAAAAAAGACGAAGAAGGGCATTACATAATGGTAAAAGGATCAGTGCAACAAGATGAGCTAACTATCCTAAATATAAATGCACCCAATACAGGCGAACCCAGATTAATAAAGCAAATTCTTAGATATATAGAAAGAGATTTAGATTCCCACACAATAATAGTGGGAGACTTTAACACCCCACTGTCAATATTAGACAGATTAATGAGACAGAAAATTAACAAGGATATTCAGGATTTGAACACAACTTTAGACCAAGCTGACCTAATAGACATCTACAGAACTCTCCACCCCAAATCACAACAAAATATACATTCTTCTTAGCACCACATAGCACTTATTCTAAAACCGACCACATAATTGGAAGTAAAACACTCCTCACCAAATGCAACAGAACAGAAATCATAACGAACAGTCTCTCAGACCACAGTGAAATAAAATTAGAACTCAGGATTAAGAAACTCACTCAAAACCACACAACTACAAGGAAACTGAACAACCTGCTCCTGAATGACTACTGGGTAAATAAAGACATTAAGGCAGAAATAAAGAAGTCCTTTAGAACCAATGAAAAGGAAGACACAACATACCAGAATTTCTGGGACACAGCTAAAGCAGTGTTTACAGGGAAATTTATAGCATTAAATGGTCACATCAGAAAGTGAGAAGGATCTAAAATTGACACCCTAATAACGCAATTAAAAGAACTAGAGAGCAAACAAATTCAAAAGCTAGCAGAACACAAGAAATAGCTAAGATCAGAGCAGAACTGACGGAGATAGAGACATGAAAAATCCTTCAAACAATCAATGAATCTGGGAGCTGTTTTTTTGAAAAAATTAACAAAATAGACCACTAGCCAGACTAATAAAGAAGAAAAGAGAGAAGAATCAAATAGACACAATAAAAAATGATAAAGGAGATATCACCACTGATCCCACAGAAATACAAACTACCATCAGAGAATACTATAAATACCTCTACACAAATAAACTAGAAAATCTAGAAGAAATGGATAAATTCCTGGACACATACACTCTCCCAAGACTAAACCAGGAAGAAGGTGAATCCCTGAATAGACCAATAACAAGTTCTGAAACTGAGGCAGTAATTAATAGCTTACCAACCAAAAAAAGCCCAGGACCAGAAGGATTCACAGCAGAATTCTACCAGAGGTACAAAGAGGAGCTGGTACGATTCCTTCTGAAACTATACCAAACAATAGAAAAAAAAGGGACTCCAGCCAGGCGCTGTGGCTCATGCCTGTAATCCCAGCACTTTGGGAGGCCGAGGCAGGCAGATCACCTGAGGCCAGGAGTTTGAGACCAGCCTGACCAACATGGAGAAACCCCGTCTCTACTAAAAATACAAAATTAGCCAGGCATGGTGGCACATGCCTGCAATCCCAGCTACTTGAGAGGCTGAGGCAGGAGAATCGCTTGAACTTGGGAGGCTGAGGTTGCAGTGAGCAGAGATTGCGCCATTGCACTCCAGCCCGGGCAACAAGAACAAAACTCTGTTTCCCCCAACCACCCCCCAACCCCCAAAAAAGGACTCTTTCCTAAGTCATTTTATGAGGCCAGCATCATCCTGATACCAAAACCTAGCAGAGAAACAACAAAAAAAGAAATTTCAGGCCAATATCTCTGATGAACATCAATGCAAAAATCCTCAATAAAATACTGGCAAACAGAAACCAGCAGCACATCAATAAAAGCTAATCCACCACAATCAAGTCGGCTTTATTCCTGTGATGCAAGGCTGGTTCAATGTACACAAATCAGTAAATGTAATATATCACGTAAACAGAACCAATGACAAAAACCACAAGATTATCTCAATAGATGCAGAAAAGGCTTTTGATAAAATTCAACACACCTTCATGCTAAAAATACTCAGTAAACTAAGTATTGATGGAACATATCTCAAAATAATAAGAGCTATTTATGACAAACCCATAGCCAGTATCATACTGAATGGGCCGAAACTTAAAGCATTCCCTTTGAAAACCGGCACGAGACAAAGATGTCCTCTCTTATCACTCCTATTCGACATAGTATTCTATGTTCTGGCCAGGGGAACCAGGCAAGAGAAAGAACTAAAGCGTATTAAAATAGAAAGACAGGAAGTCAAATCATCTCTGTTTGCAGATGACATGATTGTATATTTAGAAAACCCCATCATCTCAGTCCAAAATCTCCGTAAGGTGATAAGCAACTTCAGCAAAATCTCAGGATACAAAATCAATGTGCAAAAATCACCAGCATTCCTATACACCAAAAATACACAAACAGAGGGCCAAGTCATGAGTGAATTCCCATTCACAATTGCTACAAAGAGAATAAAATACCTAGGAATACAACTTACAAGGGACATGAAGGACCTCTTCAAGGAGAACTATAAACCACTGCCCAGGAAAAGAGAGGTCACAAACAAATGGAAAAACATTCCATGCTCATGGATAGGAAGAATCAATATCATGAAAATGACCATTCTACCCAAAGTAATTTATAGATTCAATGGTATTCCCATCAAGCTACCACTGACTTTCTTCACAGAACTGGAAAAAACTACTTTAAATTTCATATGGAACCAAAAAAAGAGCCCATATAGCCAAGACAATCTTAAGCCAAAAGAACAAAGCTGGAGGCGTCATGCTCTCTGACTTCAAACTATATGACAAAGCTATAGTAACCAAAACAGCATGGTACTGGTACCAAAACAGCTATATAGACCAATGGAACAAAGCAGAGGCCTCAGAAATAACACCACACATCTACAACCATCTGATATTAGACAAACCTGACAGAAACAAGAAATAGGGAAAGGATTCCCTTTCTGACTCATAAGCGGGAGTTGAACAATGAGAACACATGGACACAGGGAGGGGACTATCACACACCGGGGCCTGTTAGGGGGTGGGGGGCAAGCGGACAGATAGCATTAGGATGAATACCTAATGCATACGGAGCTTAAAACCTAGGTGACAGGTTGATGGGTGAAGCAAACCACCTATGTAACAAACCTGCACCTTCTGTACACGTATCCCAGAGCTTAAAGTATAATTAAAAAAAAAAAAAACCTAGGCCCAGGACTGGTGACAGACAGTTCAGAGGATCCTGTTGGGTATGGCCATGTCATAGCCAATAAGCAAACGCTGTGCTCCATCTCTTACTTCCCACTTGCCTTGCTAGTGTGTAATCTTCCCATTCCTACCCCACAAAAGCTTATATGCAATCTTAGTGGGGCTGGGGGAAGAGGAACATTCTATTTGACTAATAAAACTCTAAATTAACTGAGTTTAACATGCATTTAATAAGATTAATTTTTCTGCGACCAGTTAAAACAGTGTGTCAAGGTTATAATGTTATAAAACACAGTGTTAGATTTTTGCATACCCGTGTTTGTGGTTTATACAATTAAAGCCAGTTACATGACAATTAAAGGAGATAATACATGTGAGATGATGCTTTAAAATTTTTGAGTATTATTTCAAGACTCAACAGTAAGTACAAATAGAAACCACAAATATATTGATTTTTTTGAGTAACTGACATTTAAAAAAATTATACAGGTATATTGATATCTTTACCAGATATGGTTTGTTACCTATACATCACTGTTCACTCCTTTCTTTGTCTAGGTAACCATCCTACTCCTCTGGTCCCATCTTTCCAGGGAGGAGGACCTCACACCATGACTCGTGCTTGCTCAAAACCAATCTTGGTGGACCTTTTGGTTTTGTGTGTGAGCCAATTATGGTAAATGTGATGTGAGCATAAATCTACTAAGAAGGTTCTGGGAAAGTCTTCCCTTACTAATCATAAGACTTATGAGAGAGCATATCTATTTCTTGCTTCTGAACATTGTCATGCAAACATAATGCCTGTGAGGGGAGCCAGCATGATGATGTCAACATTGAAAAACTGACGTTCTTGATTTTCTGCCGTAACTGGGGCTGGCAGTAACTAGTTCCAAAATTTGTGTGAAGTAGATATATTTGTTATTTTTAAAGCAAGTTGAGTGAGGGTATTTTTTTTTGTTACCTGGAGTTGAAATCATCCTAAATTTTAGTTTAATAACGTATCTATTACTGGATATAATTTCTATTGAGTTGAATCTGCTCTGCAACTAAAATTCCACATTAAGATAGCCATTCCATGATCTGGCCAGTGGTGCAAAGGCTGAGCTGGTCAGAAGCAAAATATTTTCATTAAGTGCTTTGGACCAGTTTCCTTCAAAAATGATTAATGCCTATGCCTTACAGTAGGACATTCAAATATAAAAAAACACATTAAGCCTCACCTATTTTCTGGTAATTGCACTCATTCGACCTTATCCCTCAGAAGCCTGGAAAAAATTT
The DNA here is from genome assembly GCF_000001405.40 of Homo sapiens. Lineage (NCBI taxonomy): Eukaryota > Metazoa > Chordata > Mammalia > Primates > Hominidae > Homo > Homo sapiens. Next base: position 57,640,380 of record NC_000008.11, on the reverse strand, counting down.
CCCAATGTGCCCAAAGAAGGCAGTCTCACCCTCAGGTACAGACAGGAAAATTTGAAAGCAATTAGACCTAGTTGATCCCCGACCCTCAATGCTTTTTTTGGCTTCTGCCTGAAGGAAATTAGCCAATGTTTCAGAAATTAGCAGTTTTAAATCAAATGCCATTGTTAATGATTTTCTATCAGCATTGTAACCTGCACTTCTACAGTAATTGCCATTCTGTGACCTATTAGTCAAATGATCCTTTTCAGTTTGAAAAAAAATTATGTCTCTGTCATGTATTAATAAAGCATGGCACTATATTCTCTAACTCACTACAAATAATTCCAGGAATGAGCCACAAGAACAAACTGCTATCAAAATTAACTGTGCATATAAATACATATTCATAGGCATTGGTCTATTCTCCTTAATGTTACACAAGAAATTGAGAAAGCAAATTGCAAGAATGCCAATGTATGACAGAGTTGAACTGGTCTCTACCACCTGACCAAATGATAAAATAAGATGTGAAACCTCAAAGTAATCAGACAAGTGGAGGATCTATGGCTAATTCACACTCACTTACTGAAAGCTGAATGGCTAGTTGATAGGCAGTAAGTGAAAAGACATCCCCTGGAATCAAGCTTGGGAGAACTAACTGTTTCTGATAGTATCAGTCAAATTCTCTTGAACAGACAATGTTAATTTTTTTTTCAATTTCGCTTCTCTCAAGGATGTTTCATAATTTGAGGCTTTATTATCCAGAACAAGCTACTTAAACTAACTGTAGCTTGAAGACTTTATAAAAAAATTAAATTGAGAATCTTCCTTGTCTTGTCTGCATTGGGAAAATCTTGTAAATATTCTGAAAACAGGAAGTCCCACAGAAGGTAAAGAACTGTTAGTCACTATATCAGTATCATTGACCACAAAAGCTGATTGAATAACCTATTGTCAGTAAAAATGGAAAGGTGATTGTAATGGATTATTTTTCTGAGTCATCCATGATGTTCATTCCCTTCATTGATGCTTTGTGTCTGCAACTAAACTGTTTAGCTAAAAAGTATCATACAAGTAATTCTGAAATTATGCATGGAGAAACCATTTAATTACTCATCGTTGAAGGATTTACGTACTTTATTATATGGTTTTATCTCCGATTCATTGCCTGTCTCAGCCTCCATTTGTAGGAAATTGATTGGAAGATTTTCATACTATAAAATATCCCTCTTGAAGCCAAGAATTTGTTTGGTACACAGGTGTGTTAAGTCAGTCTTGCGTTGCTATAAAGAAATACCTGAGGCTAGTCGCAGTGGCTCATGCCTGTAATCCCAGCACTTTGGGAGGCCGAGGCAGGCAGATCACCTGAGGCCAGGAGTTCGAGACCAGCCTGGCCAACATAGCGAAACCCTGTCTCTACTAAAAATATAAAAATTAGCCAGGCGTGGTGGTGCATGCCTGTAATCCCAGCTACTTGGGAGGCTGAGACACAAGAATTGCCTGAACCTGGGAGGCACAGGTTGCAGTGAGCCGAGATCGTGCCACTGCACTTCAGCCTGGGTGATAGAGCAAGACTCTGTCTTGGAAAAAAAAAAAAGAGAAATACCTGACACTGGATAATTTATAAAGAAAAGAGGTTTAATTGGCTCACAGTTCTGCAGGCTGTATAAGAAGAATGGTGCGACATCTGTTCAGCTTCTGGGAGGCCTCAGGAAGCTTTCAATCGTGGCAGAAAACCAAGGAGGAGCAGGCCTCTCGCACGGTGAGAGATGGAGCAAGACAGTGAGGAGGAAGATGCCACACACTTTCAAACAACCAGGTATCATGAGAACTCACTCACTATTGCAAGGACAGCATCAAGCCATGAGGGATCCTCCCTCATGGCCCAAACACCTCTCACCAGACCCCACCGGCAACATTGGGGATTCCATCTCAACATGAGATTTAAAGGGGAAAACATCCAAACTATATCAGTAGGTAAGTCAAAATATTTAAAGAGCATTCATGAGAAACAAGGTCTTCGGAAGGAGCACAGGTGTCAGAAGCCCAGGCTCCAGTCTAAGTCCACTGCTTACGAACTGTGGTTTCTTAATTGTATCTGTTAATCTCTCTGGGCCTCAAACTCCTCATATGAGAAGGACTGATGGTAATATCTGATTCATGGGATCGTCATCTAAACTTGTGAAATCATTCAGCACACAGCAAAGTGTTCTCTGTGGACTATAATTGTGTAAGAGAGGCCACGATTGGGTGGTCAAAAATTGGTAGACTTGGGCTAATTGTAAATCAATACACTAATATCTACAACTATATAATAACTGCCCTGAACATCTCAAAGTCTATTCTGCATTTTTAACAGTGACAAAACTTTGCCAATTTGTGAACATCCTTTCCTGTCTTGACTGCCTGCCCCTACTTTATTTATGAAACTCTTAAGAGTGCACCTATTCCCATTTGTTTCAAGGTTACCTACATGTGTTTCACATACATACAGCCAGGGTGGCATCTTGATAATTTACCAGCTGCTGTTAGGTAATAGTGCATGCAACAATTGCTTCATGCAACAATTGCTTCATTCCACCAATACACATGTTAAAGATTTTTTCATACACATATAATTGTAGAGAAATAAATATATATAACGTGAAATAAATGTTTATTAGAATAATAAATACTGGATTTACTCAATGTGTCATGCAAACTGATGTAATTTACCAGGTCCACATAACCTCTTTGAATGAACAAAAAGTTACTAAGTATTACGAGTCTCAACTTTCCACAATGATATAAATTTATCAGATTAAGAGCAAATAACTAGAGCTCTATAAAATGTAAAATCCTTCAAGGAAGAAACTGTTCTTGCTCGTTGCTCTTTCTAGCAGAACCAAGATTACTTTGGTCAACATTAAGTATAATTTCTACTGAATTTATTACTTTTTGTGTTCTACTTTGAGATACACTAAACATGAAATCATCCCATAAATCTAAGTTCCCTTCTGGTCTAATGCTGTTGATGAGACAGAGTAGAATAATGTCGGCTATTTTTCCTGAGGAATTTAAAAGACAGAAAATGGACTGAAAATTGGCCATGTCTTTTACTTTCTAAATGGCAGGTTTGTTTGTTTAAATGCAAGAGATGCCGCTAAAATTGAACTAAACTTAACAGTGAAATTCTTTCTTTGATAGACCTGCTTGGTAAGCATCAAGAATTCTCTAAAGTTGCTTTTTCATAATCTTTAATATTCTGTGATCAATTCATATTGCTATTTAGATTTTTTTAAATCTTCATATACAAATATTCACTAATCTTCTTTTTAAAAAGAGCCAAAATTGTATAATGTTGAGACTTTGAGCATGAAATACCAGGATAATTGAGAGGAGCTCTATTGACTACTAAAGTGAGCTAACTCTAGTTAAGCTGTTTCTCCTCTTTGTGCCTCAATATTCTCATCAATAGGATAACATTAAACCATCTCTGCTCCCTGTCTATTCCTCAAAAATGTATCCAATCTTAAAACAAAATACTGTTATCACTTAGTGTTATAGCTGAAGACCCAGGCAACCATGAAAGAAGAATCTGAGTTTTAATGAAATGATAATCGTGTTTATAGAATAATAGGTAGAGAATAATATGAAAGGAATGCAGAATTCAATCAGGCAGTAAGTGATTAAGTTGAATACATTCAAGTGATAAAAGAACATATATCAAGGTTACAGAAAACTGTTGAAAGCAACCAGGTATTATAATTCGAAAAGGTGAGGACATAATTAGGGGCAGGTACAGCTTGAATCAGGAGAATGTGGACTACTGAACCAACCCACCTGAGGGATGTGTTATTGGAGTAACAGGTCCAGTTGTTGACTCAGGCATGTAGCCCTTGAGTTCCCTAAACCATATTTGCTCAAAGTCCTGTTGGCATTGCCTGTCTTACCCCTCTGCTCTTTCCTCACTGATGTCACCTGTTGCTAACCTTCTTTCTATTGCAAAAGTGTCTGCACTTGTCTCCTCTAAGTCTTCAGACTCTGCAATTCATCATCTTCATCATTACCAAAGTCAGATTTCCAAACCCCAATCTCAGTTTTCCTTCTTAAAATCTTCAATGGTCTTCAACTGAATTTTTCTTCCCAGGACATTCAAATCCCTTCACGATTTCATCCTCAGCAGATTTTCAGTCTCAACTTCATTTCATGTCCCTATCGTCTGTGTTTGGGCCATGATGTCTCGCTGGGTTGCCTACAGGTCACCAATATCAGATTCACCTGAGATGCATGCCCTTGACCCCATTCCAGTCCTGCTGATCAGACTTTCCAGAAAGGCAGCCTTTGAATACACATTTTTAACTCACTCTTCAGGCAATTTTTAGTTACACAAGAGCTATTGTCACAGTAGATAATTCTCTGTCCTCCCAGCACCCTGCTTCTCAATTCTCTCCTTCCTTTCTGCTTAGGATGCCTTTCCACCCCCACAGATCATGATTTGTAAATTTCTTCCTCCATTTCCCTGACTTTTGTTAATATTTACAGCACCCCCTTGGGGGTATTCATTGTTTCTTTCTCTGTAAACTTCTTGACCGGTGAACTCATATCTTATTCATGTGTGTATCCTTAGCCCATATCATGTTCTTTTATACTTAACAGGTCCTCAATCAATATTTGTATAATTAAATTTTTGAACTGCTCTAAGCCAGTTGAGAGTCACAGGAGAACACGAGATTAATTCACACTAATGGTGTCTGGCAAGGATTTCATTGGTTTGCTTTTATCTTTGTGTTGCTAAATAAAAGAAAAGTCTCTGGCTGCAATTAGCAAGACTTTTTCCTTAGGTAATGAATATTAATATGGATTGTCTGCAGACTTCAGAAAACGGAAAGCCAAATCAGACACGATGGTCTCCATAGGTTTTCTTTTTAATATTTCATATATTGATTTGCAACCTAAGCATTTATTTGATCAAAGCTATATGTCCTTTATAAATGTGTTAAATATTATTTTCAGTAAATTTTCATTGAGCTGGACATTGAAGAATTAGAAGGACTTCAACAGACAGAAATTATTATGCAATCTAGTCAAAGAAAAATAAAGAAATAGGCATGAAAAAGCAGTGAATGAATTAGCATCATACTTAAAGGACCAACTTAGCAGCTGGCTGATGAGTAACTATAGTTTTTCTTCCAGAGGACCTTCTGGCTTTGTTATGCTTTGCCAGTAGGGGCAATAATGTTACCTTTGAGGTGAAATGTACCCCTCCACTCTTTGGGAACCAATGTGGCCCACACTATGGCGGGTCAAATGGTGTTCACTCCTGGATCTGGCTTTTGGGGTGGAATTGGGGATGGAATTGAAAGAGGAAGGGAAGAACAACAGCAAGAATGCTTTCTTTCTCCTGGCCCAGAGAGGCTAATGGCTCCTTCTGGTATTCAAAGAGAAAGCCAGTCCCATTTCCGTTTAGATCAGATCCATAAACAGAAGGGAGCTTTGCAAAATCTCTTTTAGCTAGTCTCTAAAAAGGCCATTCAAAATCTATGCACTTATTTTAAGATGTAGTTTTAAAAATTTCATGTTAGGAAAAATAAATCACGTTAAACACGTAAAAATAAAATGAAACCAGTTATTCTCAAATATTTCTCAAGCCAAATTAATCTCTAGATTCAATTTATGTAAATTTGGGGAGGAGGCAGAATATGCTTCTAATCTCTCTTTTTATAGTAAAAATGCCATGATTTCTGTGACCATGAAAGATACACATGCCGGACAAAAATATTTTCATTTGATACGTATGGTGTTTGGAGGTATGGGAAGGATTAAAGACCATCTTTTTCCAACAAAAGCATAGGCAGTACAGAAAGGAGGATTGATACTAATTAGTATTATTGTTTTTTTAAATCAATATATGCTACAGAGAATAGGAATAATCCTCTGGTTAATAAAAAATAATTGAAAATTTCTACATATTTTCCCTAGTTTCCCACATAATCTCTCATTATTCTATTGCAAGTTTTGCCAATGTTTCCTTATAAAGAAAAACCACAGGATAAAATCTCTGATGGTATAAAATGATAAGAACAATTTCCTTTTAAAAGTAGCTTTCCGTTGGTGGCCACCTGCTACCAATATGTTGATGGTTGATGCTTAAAAGCTCTCAGACATTCCTTACAAATAGCCATTTGTTTTCAAAACATTTCTATTTTGTTTTTCTTTCCTAAAATTTTTTTAAAAATTATATTGTTTTCTGCTCATGTTTTTCTTTTAAAAATTTAAATTATTCAATTTATTATTTAAATTAAGAATTAATGCTGCAATATCCAAAAATATTAGAAGAAACAAAATTCACACCCAAGATATGACTTTGATCAAAATAGTTTTTTAGGTTTTTTTGTTCTTCTTCTGATTGATGGATTTATTCAACAAATGTATCTTTCAGCACTGATTTTTGTGTCAGGCTCTATGCAAGTTCCTAAAATCACAAGATTAATGAAATGTAGTAGCTAATATCACTATGTTCATAGTCTACTAGGGGAAAGCAGCACATTTTAAGATGATTATGATGCAGTATGATCTACATAATAAAAAATATGCAAAAGGCAGGATTTCCTAAATAGTGGTTGACAATTTCCTTAAGGTTTATGAAGTATTTATGGGAGTTAGGGCTATCATGATATTTCTATTTTTGAGAAAGCAAGCAATAAATGATATAATTATTTTTAACTTTAAAAAAGTGTTGTTCAACAGTGTCTATGAGGATACAGTCAACTTGGGCAGATATTCATAAAAGTCAACTTTGACAGATATTCATAAAAGTCAACTTTGACAGATATTCATAAAAGGTACATGATGTGCTCTTGATTCAATCATTTGGGTTTTTTTTAACCACTCCATTTAAGGTAGGTTTTGACCATCATATAGTCTTAAGCTGTGTTTCTTCATTGTTAGATGTATTTTTAATGAATATTGAGGTATTACTTAGGTAGAATAAAATGCATCCATTTTAAATGTATGGTTCATTAAAATTTAACAAACGTATGCACTGGCTTCTTTTCTCATAACCACCAAAATAATGGTTATGAGAATCTCCTGTGTTATTGTATGTGTCAGTAATTGCTTTTAATTATTGTGTAGAATTTCATTGTATGAATATATCCTTCATTTCCCATATTTCAAAGGGATGGATCTTATGAAATTGTCAGATGTCACATTTTATAAATGCCAATGAGGTCAATCTGTTTTGATAGTGCTATTCAGGTTCTCCTAATCTTTATTTTTGTTCTATAAATTATTGAGAGAGCGATTTTGAAATATTTATCACTGTTTATAGATTTCACTGTTTCATTACTTTAGTCAGTTTTGCTTTATGAATTTTTGATCTTTGTTATTAGTAGCACATACATTGATGATTGTTATATCTTCTTGAAGAATGATCTTCTTATTATTTTGAAATATCCTTCTTTATTCATAGCAGTTCTTTTTTCTCAGACTGTAAAAAATGTTCAATTTTTACATATTTCTTTATCCTTTGTGCTATTATTTTCATTTTTCTTTAACTTTTACATGTATTATAACCCTTCTTTAAATGATACTCTTTTTGTTTTAAATGACAATGATCTTATAATGAAATTACAAAGAAAAAGTCAACTTTTTATACATTTTTTTTTTCCATTTCCAGTGCTGTTTGTGAAACCTTGTATATTTAAGTTTTCATCTGTTCTGATTTTCCTTAGGTCTAACAATCTTTTACATATTGTGTAGTATAAGTCATTGTAAGAGATCAAATTATCTTAGCTTTTGTTCATCTGAATTTTTAAAAAATTTTATCCATATTTTGTAGGGAGTTTTTATTGGATATAGAATTCCAGGCTGACCTTTTTTTTCTTTCAATGCTTTCTACATGTTGTTCCATGATTTTATGGCTCCCATGGCTTCTCATTAGAAATAATTTATAATTTTATGTTTGTTTTTCTGTATGTAATGCATCATCACCTTCATCATCTGACTGCTTTCAAGTAATCTTTCTTTTCTTTTTTCAGTTGTTTGACTATTACATGCCTAAGTCTAAAATGTTTGATTCCATTTTGGACTAAGTAAACTACTTGAATCTATGAGTTGATAATTTTCATCAAATTTGAGAAAATTCTGGTAATTATATGTCAAATATATTTTCTGTCTATTTCTCACTCTTTTTTTGGGATTCTAGTTATACTTGTGCTAGGTCATTTAATACTGCCATTTATTTCCATGAGTATCTATTCTTTTTCTTTTCTTCAGTCTTTTTTTCTGCCTGTTATTCAGACTTCCTCATTCATATTGATCTTTCTACAGCAAGCTTGTCCTACTTCCAGTTTGTCCTGAATATTGAGAGAATTTTTTGTTTACTGCCACTGTAATTTTAGTCCTAGAGTATATTTATTTCCTTTCTTAGAGTTTCAGTTTCTTTGCTAAATTCTCTGTCTATTCACTTGTTAACACTATAATTTTTGAGGACATTTAAAAATCATTTGAACACATAATAAGCGCTTAAAATATTATTCTGCTAAATATAACATTGAGAGAATCTTAGGTTAATTTTCCACTGATTGCTTTTTTCTTGAGTATAGGCCAAGTTTTTCTGTTTCTTTGTATGTCTATTAATTTATTATTGTTTTGAAAACATGAAGGGGATGTATTTCAGATATTTTAGTTTCTGTAATTTTTTCCTAAGGAGAGCCGATAACTGTGTGTAGTAGGCAGTTTAATTATTGGCTAATTTCACTGATTTCCTTTAAATTGTTTAATCTTAATTTTATATGTTTTGGTTTGGTTCTGTGGGAAACCCTAAACCATTTTTGCTTGGCAGAACTCAACCTCCAAACTTTATCTACTCTGTGCTTCTTATTGGTGTTTGGTTTCAAGCTTTGGGGGTAGGTATAGAGTAGCCCTTGTTTTCAGTCATGGTCCTTACTCCTAAGATGCAGCCTTTTTGATGTCTTCTTTGGATATCCCACGTTAAAGCCTTAACATCTTTCCATCTGGGCACACCAATGACCCCAACACTACTTGACTGCTAATAGATCTGGTTGACTCTCAATCCTGTAGCTTCTATTCTCTGGAAAGCCTTAAGAAGGCTCAGCTTGCATATATCAAGCCCAGCTCTTGGTCAAGGACTCATGAGGACCCCCTTTAGATGTGTGGAGTTCCTCCTAAATAAGTACCTCTCTGTTTTCCAGTGCCTTCCTCTGCAGATTCAAGGAATGTCAGCTGTCCCGGACTCTGATCTCTGTCTCCTCAGTTCAGCCTACCTTTAGGTTAAGAACAAATTACTGGCCAGGCATGGTGGCTCACACCTGTAATCCCAGCACTTTGGGAGGCTGAGGCAGGCAGATAATGAGGTCAGGAGATCGAGACCATCCTGGCTAACACGGTGAAACCCTGTCTCTACTAAAAAACACACACACAAAAATAAGCCAGGCGTGGTGGCGGGTGCCTTTAGTCCCAGCTACTGGGAGGCTGAGGCAGGAGAATGGCATGAACCCGGGAGGCGGAGCTTGCAGTGAGCCGAGTTCTCACCACTGCACTCCAGCCTGGGCAACACAGCAAGACTCCATCTCAAAAAAAAGAAAAAAGAAAAAAAAGCACAAATTACTAAAGGAATACTTATTTGATAGGAACTTCGTCCTGATTCCATAGCTGTCCCTGTTCCCCCAGTACATAAACACATCTATTTACCCAGATAACAGTGAAACCAAGAGAAGAAAGGGGAAGTATCCATAAATCTTTTAAAACGTATTTTAGACAAGGAGAGTGGAGATGATAGGGCACATGGAGAGGAAACCTAGGAACTCAATGGCAGATATTCTGAGAATGGGGATGTCTGTCATGGAATTTCAAGGTGGAAGCCTCTGTGAATACTAGGATGGCTTATTAGAGGCTTGCATCCCTTTGATTTGACACAGGCACTCAACCAAGTATAAGATAAGGAGCCATTCATTCATTTGTCTGTGAGTCTCCTCACCCACCATTTTCGTATACTAGTCCTCCTATATAGAAAGATGTTTCACATTTTTGCTAAAATCCTTCTTTGTCATCTTATTTGACATTTTATACAGGTAAACTTAAACTATGTCTATGTACTAGGTTCCTCTTGCTGCTGTAACAAACTACCACACACTTGGTGGCTTCAAACAACACAAATATTTTGCAGTTCTGAAAGTCATCAATCCTAACATGAAGGTGTCAGCAAGACTGCATTTCTTCTCAAGGCTTTAGGGGAGAATCTGTTTCCTTGCCTTTTCCAGATCCCAGAGGCCACTTGCATTCTTTGGCTTATGGCCCCTTCACATCACTCCTGCCTCTGCTTTCCTCATTGCATGTCTTTCTCTGACTCTGGCCCTCCTGTGATTACATTGGACTCATCTGGGTAATCCAGCATCGCTCCCCATGCCCAGATCCTTAACTTAATCACATCTGCAAATTCACTTTTGCTCTAGCACAAGTTCCAGATATTAGGAAGGACAAGGATGTCTCTGGAGATCATTATTCCGCCTACCACAGTATAACTATGTTATCATTCTCATATACAACACTCAACAAACATAAACAAAATTTCCCATCACTTCTGATCTACAGTTGAAGTAACTAGAAGTTGGTAAATTTAGAGAATCAGAGGTCTTCAGAAATTTGAGAATTTTTCTTTTTAAATACCCCTTTTACACATTGATATTGATGTATAACATGTTAGTGAGGGAGAAAAATATAAAAGGAGGTTTGAAAATGTAATTCAAATTGACCTTCACTAGAGTTTTAAGCATCTGTCTTGTCAAACTTTTTTTCTGTAGCACATAAAAATGTTTTCATAATTTTTAGCAAGTTAACATTGTAAAACTATACCAAACTAGCCTTTTATCTATTTTGAACAAGAACTATTCACCTTTTCAGTGCCCTATTAAAAGAGAACTGTTTCAAAGAGTATCCTGAAAAAGCCTGTTTGAGATTTTCATTTAGAAACAAATCACAAGTTATTTTTAGAACAAAATAAAAATTTAAGCATCAGGGTTTGAATACAGTTAAAATTTTTTACACTAAAATATATATTTCATTTTCAAACCACACACAATAGTATATATTTAGATTAGTTAGTGACTAAGCATGATTTTTATTCACTAACTTGAGCTATATTTTAAAAATTGATAATTTATTAAGAGGGAAAAGTCAATATTTGTGTCAATGTAGTATACATTAAAGATTTTATTCAATGAACTTTGTAATAAATTCTTTAATATCATACTGATCCAAAATAAAAGAAACCTTTTAACCTAAAACCCCTTCTCTATCACATACCATACATTTTCTAAGAGGGAACATAAGATTATATTATTATCATGCACCAATCAACATTGGGAATGCTTATGTGGACTTAAGGGAGCTCAAAAGTGAGTCCTTAGTTCAGCCAGGAAGGACTGGGGTTAAGGAAAGCTTCCTAGAGGAGATAAGTTCTAAGCTAATCGTGGAAGCATAAATAGGATTTAGCCAACACAGGATAAGCAGAAGGGAAGAGGTGGGGGAGGTCATTTCAAGCAGATACAACAGCATGAGAGAAATTGACACTGAGGCGATATTCCTAGATCATTAAAAAATAGAGTGAGTTTAAAAGATGAGACTAGAGAGGTCAATAAGAAAAGATCATGGAGGATGTTATGTGCCACTTAAAGATCTTGATCTTGATACCACAGTGAAAGGAGAGGGAAGAGAACCAATCGAGAAAGTGATAGAGGATCTCTGTGGTTTCGATGGACCATGCAAAAAAAGACAAACATGACCCCTGACTTCATAAAACTTATATTTTAGCAGCTGTAAACTGACAATTTGTAATTATTTCATTTATTTGTTTATTGCCTACTGCTCTAGAGGAAATAAATCATTCCATGCTATAGAGAATTATGAGGGCCAGGTGTTTTTCAACATTGTCAAGGAAGGAGACATCTAACCTGAGATCTTGCTGGTTAAGAGGAGCTTGCCAGTTGAAGAGTTAGTGGGGGAGATCTTCCAAAATGAGTAAAGGCAATGTTCCAAAGTCCTAGACAAGTTTAGCACTTTTAAGAAACAGTAAAAACGCTAGTGTCAATGGATGAGAATGTGATAGCAAAAAAGAAAAATACAAGGAGATTGGAAAGCCACATGAGGAGACAGATCATGCAGTCTCATTGCACAATAAGAATGTGAATCTTATTCTAATTGCACCTGGTGGTAATTAAAATGTTTTAGCAGAGGAGTGATATAATTTGGTTTAAATTTTTAAAATATTATTTTGGCAGCTGTACGTAAACTGAATTGAAAGATAAGAGTGAAAATGAGGAGATCAAGTAGCTGAGATTTGACATAATTTGGACCACGTGTGGCAATAAAGATGGGGGAACAAATGTATTTGAAGAAGCAAAAGCTAAGATAATAAAGTGGCAAAATAGTACAGTAGAAACAAAAGCAAGTGTAGAAATTATTGTGCCAAATATGCATAATATTTATGGACTGAATTCTTCTTTCAAAATTAAAGAATCTCATATTTTGCTTGGAAGCAAAATGCAGCTCTATGATGTTCACAAGACACATGTAACATAAAGTAAGAAGCACTGGAAATGGAGCGGTGGTCAGAGCAACCAGGACAATGAAGACCATAAGTGATCTTATGAAATGGTGATGGCAACATCAGATAAATGCAATGCAAGGCCAAAGCTGTTAAAGGTGACAGTGAATGGCATAAAACAACAGATGTTATCATCTCCAAAGAAAAGAGAGTTGTCATAATCAGCAACACAATATTCACCATGCAGACAGCTTTGGAAATACAAGGGAACCTGATAAATGCACAATCCCATTACAATAGTAATGGGAAATTTTTTCATGTGTATTTTCAGAAGTAGACAGATTTTGAAGATAAAAATACATAAGAGCACATAAAATTAGAATCAACAGTTCAATTTTGTAGCCTCAAACTCTGAATCTCTGTATGAAAAGCCCAAAATACAGAGATATAAATCCATGCCAACTGTGTAACAAGGACACAGAGACTATCTCATATGTCAGTTTACATGGAAGTGGGGAAGTGAACATCAAGACCAGCCCAGCTGGCTCAAGAGCCTGTGAAAAGCAGAAAATCGGTGGAGACTGCACAGGGCAGAGCAGAGCATACAGAGGTAGGAGTCCTGGCAAACCAAGTAGAAATTACCCATAGAAAAGACAGGTCTCCCTGCTCCCCATCCCCAGAGGGAAGTAGTGACTACAGTGTGAGACCTGGGGAAGAGAGAATTGCCACTTGGATGGTAGAAAGGAGGAGGCTTGGAGGTGTGCAGACCAGAAGGGCATTATTGGAAAGATATCCCAGAAGAGTGAGATGACTCTCAGACTCATCCATGAAGGGAAAGAAGGAGCAGTCAATGAAAATGAAGAATCCTACTGAAGTTAAAGCATTATCACAGCAAGACACAACAACAAAACCTATCTGTCCAAAAAGACTATATATTAAAGGAATGAAACTCTCCAACAATAAAAAAGGGTACTTTTAAATTAAGAAACCTTGTAAGTCACCCAAATTCACACTCCCTAAGGAAAAGGACCTTGAAGGGTAGGAGAAGATACCACTCCAAAATATGTCACTTGGCATAAGAATTATTTTTAGCTGAAGCCAGTGAAAAAGAAGCAGATACAAGAAAAGCTTTCTGCCCTCCCCCTATTCGCCTAAAAGCAAGACATAACTTTGTAAAGATGTCCCCCTTCCCCTCTGTACTAGGAAGACAGAAATTAATTATCGAAGACAACTATAGACGCTTACCAACCTGGAGGCGCTACCAGAGGAATCTATACAACCAACCTACTAACTAGCCCTATCTTCCAGTAGTATCTCCCCTGTGTTTACATTCTCACAGCTTGCCATCCTTAAAACTCAGTTGTTTTTAGAGACAGGTCTTGCTCTGTTTTTCAGGCTGGAGTGCTGTGGTATGATCATAGCTCACTGCAACCTCAAACTCTTGGGCTCAAGCAATTCTCCTACCTCAGTCTCCCAAGTAGCTAGGATTACAGGTGTGCACCACCACAACTGGCTATTTTTTAATTTTAATTTTGATTTTTTTAGAGATGAGGTTTTGCTGTAATGCCCAAGCTGGTTTTGAACTTCTGGCCTTGAGTGATCCTTCCACTTTGGCCTCCAAAAGTGTTATTAATAGAATTACAGGCATGAGCTACCTAGCCCAGCCAAATGTGTTGTTCTTTGTGAAGAAGCTATATAAACCCATGGTCTAACCACTCTTTGAGGCACACATATCTCTGAGAGCTCTCAGGTATATGCACCAGGCACATGTTAATATACCTCTGCTTCTTTTTCTCTTGTTAATCTTTGGTCAGTCTAGCTAACAGGGCCCCCACCTAACAACATAGGAGGAAGGGAAAGAGAAAAATATCTTTTTCCTCTTCTACAACTTAATGCTCTGGCAAAAGCACGAAACCTTTACAAAGGACCACAATGCAGATATAAAGCAGAGGAAAACTGTAACGTAACACTCTACCATGAGTTAAGTATCATCAAAAGCACTCTATAGAAAAAGATGATAGTTAAGCCTGGAAAAATTTGAGGAAAAGAACAAAATTGTATCGGAAATGAACACTAATTACAAATATCTAGGGAGGAATAGAATCAACTGAAAATGTACTGAGATGCATTGAAAAGAGGTATAAAAAAACATGCAAAAAAGTTTAAAAATTACAGATAAAATGATATAGAAATAAATACAGAAAAAGGTCTAACACAGTAATGTCTGCAGAAGAAAAACCAAGCAATAGATTGAACTAATGCTTAACATTATTAAAAAAAAACAAAAAAACAAAAACAATTCTAGGGCAGAATGTTGAATTGTAAAGACTTAAATGTAGATGTTAAACGACCCACAGTGAATGTGGAGAGAATAAACCCAAAACGATACGTTCTGATACACATCCTAAAAACAACTATTAAACTTCAAAGACAAAGCAAATTACCCTCTAAATCTTTGGGTAAAATGATGAAGTCACTTTTTGGTAAGTTTAAAAATAATCTAAAAAATACACTTCAAAGAGTTTCAGAATCTCCCGCCATAGCCTCCAACCCAAATGAAAGAAGTGAGACAAAGATTTGCAAGAACTGAATTTAGTATTCAATCAAAAATTGAATCAGCCCTGAAACCTGAAAAGAAAATCGATTTCAATGCTGATTTCATGTTGTAAGTAAGCCGGCATTGGTCTTGGAGTTTCTAGATCTTTGCTGGAATCCTACCTTAGGCAAGTTACATAACCTCTCTGAAGCTGAACCTCAGTTTTCATATCTTTAAAACAGGAGTGATGAAACTTCAAAAGATGAATGTGAAAATTAAATTAAATTATACATTGAAAATGTCTGGCACATTACAAATATTCACAAAAATGAATTTTTAAATTTTAATAAATTTTTATAGAGTTTCTTAGTACTCTTATTTAGAAAAAATATAGTTCTTTAAAAAATGTAGTCATAGCATATTTTCCCATAAAATGAATTGCTGTAGTTCTTTTAAAATTATTTTTAATAAAACGAAGATGGCGTCTCCCATTGTTGTCCAGGCTGGTCTCAAACTCCTGGGCTCAAGCAATCCCCTTGCTTCAGCATCCCAAAGTGCTGGGGTTACACGTGTGAGCCACCAAGCCGGCCTGCTGTAGCTCTTAATTTTATAAAACAACAAGAAAATTGAAGCTTTTATCATGTTACTTTTATTTATTTTGTTAATTATCATGAATATTTCTACAGTAAGAAATGTTGTCATGAAAGTGTTTATTTTTTATTTCTAATATTTCTTTTTATCACTAAGTCATTTCCGTGCTTTTGTTAACTTCTACTGCAGCCTTGTTGCAAGTTAGAAATGTAAATTCACTTGACCATGGGTTTCTTTTTTTCCTTGAGAACTTTAATGGATTCTCACAATATCACAATATCTAATATGAGTTCAATATCTGACAAATCAAATGTTCAGAATGGTTATATTTTCTGGACTAGCTTTATAATACTACTTGAAATTTATATTTGTCAAGAATGTTGCTTTTTGATGCTGTGGCTTTACATGAAGATTTTCAACTGCTTTCTGCTAAAGTGGGGTCATCCATTTTGTCTCAGAAAAAAATATAGAATGAGTTTCCTTTCATTAACTTCGTTTCTTTTCTTAATAGCATTTTGTACCTGTATCTTTTCATACATAATTTATAGTTTGAAAATTTTCTTTGAAACAGGCTTTTGAAGCACCTAGAAGATGATCTTAACCTTTCTGACATTTATGCCTTCTGCAAATGGGAAAAGCGATATAAATTCAGGCATTTTTCTCTTGGCAAGTAAACATAGATTGACTCTTTGTTTTGAAAAGATAAGGTAAACAGGCCCCAGGAGAACTAGCAGTGTAGTTTAGTTTCTTCCACCAAACATCTGTGTGTTTATTTCCAGAAAAATAGAGAGAAGGAGCATATTTTGGCTGTTAAATAAAATACCATGCAACCTGCAGTGGAGCATCACTGTAGAAATCTCAGTCCAGCTCCTCTATGGCCACTATACTCATGACTATGGTCAGAGGTAAATGAGAAAATAAAAGGCATATAGTACTTTTATGTTCAACATGCATGTTTCAGTCTGTGTCCTCGGGAAGGGGACTAGACAGGAGATTATTGTATAGGATGCCCCTCAGAAGGTGCTCATGAGATGAACACAGGTGGAACGAAAAGGAAGGAAGCAGGATCAGGCAGAGACAGGGCTCAAGTAGTGACACCGTCACCTCTGCAAGCCTGAGAGAAGCTCTGAAGATGGATGACATTACGGAGCTTCTCCAAGGAGGGGCAAGGCCTTTATGGATCTTTGCTAGTGGGTGTGGCCTTGGGTGAGGAAGCTCCCAGCTGCTGAGCTAATCCCCAAAGGGGCTGACAGTTGAGGACTGACTTCTAGCAACTAGGGTGGGAAACCTTGTTTTCCTGAGGAGGATCTAGGTAGTACATCACAGTACTAGAAAAGAAGGGAATTTCATGTTGAGAAATACAGATTCATGAGAAATCATCAAAATGGTTTTCTATTTAATTCAACACAATTCAGTTTTAATGACTGTGTTCTGTGCATTCTGCTGGGAGACTCAGATTATTCTGAAGTGATTATATCTTCTCCCTGTCTTTAGATAACCAACAACTTGTTGGGGGTTGAGTAAGGAATCAATAACTACTCTGCAAAGCAGACTATGCTACATGGCATAAAGAGGTAGAAGTGATCTCAGAAGGTTACAGAGTAGGGGCCCTCAGAGAAGGCTTTAGGATGTGGGAGGCATTTGCAATGGACCTTAAGGAGTTAAATACATTGAAACAAAGACACAGATAAAGGACTTCCAGGCAGAGGGGACATAGCTGGGTTTCCGGTAGGATCTTAGTAACTGCTCATTGATGAGGACTTTAGAAATCCTTTAAAAGGGTAGACAATGAATGATTTTATTATAGAATCGATGTCATAGCCACGGAGTTGGAGAGGAATTTTTCTGTCCTTAGAAATATATCATTAGCAAAGTGAAAGAAGCACCTGTCCTCACACCACAAATTATATATCGAGTCCATCTCTTCATCTTTCAGAAAGGATGGATGGAACACTATCCTAAGTGTTCAAAACAGCAGAAGTTTCTGTGCAGTTTAGATTTACTACAATGCGAGTAAATAAACATAGAGAGTATATGTAAACTTATATCTCCATATGGCAGGCAACTGCACCAATATGCATTAGAACCCAAAGAAGAAAAGAATCTATTTTCTCCTGTGGATCTGTTTCTCCCATTCCTAACAGAGCCTCAGGCATCAATCGAAGGTAGATATCTTTAATAACCCACTTGCTGTGCTCAGAGGAGCAAATTTACAGTTGCCTCCAGCTCTCCTCCCTCTACCTACCCTTGTCTCTGTTGTGCAAGGAAATCACAGTAATGACCACACTTGTTGGCAGGACAATTGCTCTCAGGCAGTAGCCTTCACATAGTTGGCTCTTATAGTCCCCGGCAATTTCTTATTATGTTTACTGTGCTATTTATTCTCCAATTATTTCTTTTGCACAGTGTTGCCTCCTGGCCAGATTATAAATTCCTTTATAGAAAAAATAGCACTTTGAATCTCTCACAGCACCATCATAGTGCCATGCCTCAACAGGTTTGGAGAAAATAGCTGATGATTCTGATTGACTGGGCACCTACTACCAAGCCAATAGAACATTGCTAGAAATTGCCATAGGTAGGCATACTACAATGCCAAATTTAAGCTATCAGGATGCAATTCATATTAGGGCTCATGTTGCTACACCCTACACCCTTGGTGGTCACTACCATGTTTTAGATAGCATGCTGTCCTCGGAGCTTAGGCCTACCCTGAAAATGATTGGGAAAGGCTAGAGCCATTTAGGCTGCTGATGTTGCCCTGGGAGTGAGGATGCTTGAGGTGGCAAGAGTGTGTTCTAAGAAGACTTTCTTAAGTTGTGTTTATTATTACAATGGAACTTTTCTCACTTTCCCCAGAGAAATCTTTAGTAAAATGTAAAGTAATGATAAGTTAACTGTTGAGTTTGACTTACTTTGGGGGTGAGAAGTATTAAGTCCTTCAGTGTGGGCCCAGGACAGAATTGCTTACTAGGCCGGTGTAAGTGATATTTTTCAGAAGAGTTACTTTGTCTCTACACGTAGTAATAAACCATGAAGTTGTTTCTGTCCATATTCTTTAGTCTTGTTCCCTGTGAAGCCACAAAGATGTATCGTGTTCTACCTTGAGGAAGAGAACTAGACTTCAATGTACATACTCTGCGTACCAACCTCATACTTGGCTTCCTTTCATTTTATTCATCTTTATTTTCATATTTCCAGTTTTCTCAACTTATTTCAAAATGTCTTCTTATATCAGTTGGCTCAGAAGCATTTCTAATGAAATTAAATAGAAAAATTAGAGGAGAAAGAAAGAAAGGATGGCAGAATAAAAGATGGCTCTCGAAATAGTCGAGTCAAAAAAGCTGTTAGGTTTACCCTGAAATTGACCAACGACTTTAGATTGTTACATGTTCCTCTTTCAAAATAAACATCACTTCCCAAAGTATCAAAGGTTTAAGCTGTAGAGAAATGGCAGAACTTTTTCTTGCAGTCATTGCCTTTTTTCCATATTTAATCAGAAAATAAGCAACAAATTTGTTAAGTGCCTGTTTTATAGCTGCCTGTGTAAAGAAGAAGGAAGAAAGGAAGAAAAGGAGAAAGAATGAAGAAAAGAAAAGAAGGAAGAAAGGAAGGAAAGAGGAGAGTAAAGCAGAGGGAAAAGGAGAGAGAAAGGAAGAAAGAAAGAAGATACAAGAATGACATCTGTGAGCCCAGTAGATTTCTCCCGATTTAACTTCCAGAACTCCTCTTGCATATTAAAGATTTAATCAGTGATTCATTAACAGGGAGGATATCAGCATTAGAAGGATGCGTGTGTGTGTGTTTGTGTGTGTGTGTGTTTCAAATTCTTCATTACTCCATCCATTCAAGAATGTGTCGTGACTTTACTGATATTAAGATTTACCATCTTAGTAGAATTTGCTGAAGGAATCCTGTTGCTTCCCACAGCAGTATTGGGACTTAAAAGTTGAGCGCCCTTGGTGCCCATGAAGTCAAATCACTCAGTAATAACTTGGAGTAAATGATGTTTTTTTTGTGTGTGAAAATCTTATATAGTTTGGGTTGCAATTATTGCTTGAATTGATTTCAGGGATGTCTGTCAGAAGTAAATGCAAAACTTCTTTTTCTAAGGAAATCCCTGAAATCTTACCAGCCTGTGAGAATTTGTGTTCTCAGTTATAGAATTCTTGGGCCATAAAGATAAAGTGAAACCCCAGTCAAAATAAAGATAAGCCCATAGATATAAATTATTGCCCAGATTTTCTCTGTTCTCATCTTAATCCTAGGCAAAACTATAAATAATCCCTTTCTTCTCCCTGTGCCTATAGACTTTTTTTTTTTCACTGTTCTATTTGTTCCCAAGGCATATAAGCCTTAGCAGGGGTGAAGACGGGATCAGTTCTAACTCCCACCTCCTTCAGGCTGAGGCCTCGCTGTTCATCCTCTTGGTGCCATTAGACCTAAACCCTTTTGGTTCCCAGGGCTGTAGCACTGCAGAAAGTCAGCTCCCATCACTCCCCTGATTTTCACTTTCCTTTTCCATTTGGCCTATGAGAATTCCTTTTACTTTTCTTAATGATAACTTAGGATTTTAAAGTGTCTTTTATCCAGCAGGATTTCTAAATGCTGAAGGACTAGAAGGATTTTTAAATAATCAGAAACATCGTATGTCTGGAAATCTTCCAGTGACACTATTAAATTATTTCTTTCTGTGTCAGTGGGTCAGCAAAATGTGACTGTAGAGCTGGGACTGCCTCTATGCACAGAGCATCTTGGAGGAGCTTTTGCTTCTTAATCAGAAATGAGGGATTGTAACTGTCTTTCCTCCCAATGACTGTGTCTATATAATGACCTTGTAGTATTAAAGAAAGGTGTGTTGGCTTCTCTTCAATACTTCTAGAAAATACCATGATGGAAGCATCAGTGATCATCTTACCAAGCCACTATAAATGAGACTGAACCTATCTTTTGCATGTATTATCCAAATGCGTCACAATTAAAAATATTTGCTTGACTTTTAACCATCCACTTACTAGTTATCTAGATTTAGTTTTAATATAACAAAATGTATAATGCTAAAAAATACGGAGATTATGTGATGAAATATGAGATAGAGTTGCCTCTATTCAATGACAGATAGAATGAGACTGAAATGTCTGGAGAATTCTGAATACCTGAGTGTTGACGCAAAAGTTAATCAGAGCCTCCTGAAAATAAAAGACCGAGTCAACAGCTTTGGAAACCATTGCTTTATTTTAAAAAGAAATAAAAAATTTTAATATTACACAAATAAAAGTGAAAACGGTATTTCTTTAAATTTGCACTAAATTTCCATTAGTCTGTCTTGCTTACTTTAGTTTGATCAAGAGTAAAAGCCAGTCAAACTTAATGAAAAATCATCTCTTCATTTAAAATTTTAAATATTTGAATATTAGCACCTAGAATAAAATGCCATGAGGAGCAATTTAAACCACTGTAAAAACTGAATTTCCAGATGGTTAGAAGAGTTGTCTGCTCGTTTCTTGGCTGAGGAAATGGTTCATCCTCTCAACAGTCTCACACTGACTCAGGGACAGGTCCAATGAGATCCAGGCTTATGAAATCCTTCACCACTTGTCTTGATTTTCTGTTTTTCTTTTTCATCAGCAAGTAATATTCTTTCTCCAACTTTCAATCATTATACTCTGTTATTAGAGGCTATTTAAATTTGCTGCCCTGATGTATGCATCCCAACAGAGTGATATTCTTGCATAAATGGGCTATTGTGATGAATACTGGGTAATAGAACATAAAATGATGTCATTAAAATATAGCATATTGATGCTTTGTCCGCAAGTTTTTCCTGGTCATACTTGAATGAACCATCTTCTGAATTATTTTTAAAGGTGTGAACACATAGCTTAAACTTTTTAATGACTTCAGAGACCCATTCAATATACGGAAATCAATGTAATTAGTATTTGCCCAGAACATTCATGACTATAGCCAATAACTTTTTCCTTAGACAGCCTGCACATTTTAGCATGACACCACAAACCATTAGAGCATTTAACACTAAGCTGCCACTAAGTGTCTACTATGGATTAGGCTTTACATAAAATCCTTACAAAAATCCTCAAGATTCTTATTATTACCCGCAATTTACAGGTGAGAAAATGGAAGTCAGATAATTCAAGTAATTCACCCAATATAGTACACCGATTAAGTGTCAGAGCCATGACTTTCTCTAGGGCCGTTTGATTCCAAGAAGTTTTTCATGCTGTTATCCTGCTTGCACTTGGCCCTGGGATGAACCAAGGCAATAACTAAATGATACTCACACATGGTTTATAGATAAGGAATTTCAGTTGTATTCTCAAGAATGCATCAAAACTAGTGTGATCCTAATTGCCTGAATAAAATCTAATTTTCTCTAATGGAGATCCTGAGGAAGGAGCACTGGAAGAAGCAGGAATTCTTTGGCTTCATGGTCAGGGAACCTCTCCTGTTTCTCACAGTAGTGTGGATTTGGCTTACCCTAGCTCCCCCTCTCCCCAGTAGAGAGTCAGTTTAGCTCAACAAGCATTAAGTGAATAGGAACTTCCCAAGTAACCTACACCAATGTCAGGTCTGGAAACAAAAACAATTAAGGCTCATTTTCTGACCCTGAGGAATGGCCAGTTTAATCTCTTCTATTTTTATTGTCTTTCCCACTCCAACCAAATGAAGTTGGGAGACACATTAGTTACACACACTTCTACTGGAATCTGAGAATTGCAGGTTGCATGTTCCAGGCCTTCCCTGTCAAGAATGAGCTACTGGTCTGGTTCACAATCCCTAGGTGAGATGGCATAGGGTAAGTACTTCTCACACTGTGCAAATATTTTCCAACGTTGCTGTGTGGATCAGGAGAATCAGGGCTGTCCTTTGCTGCCAGAAGCAGAGGGCTTGTTCCTTTTTCTTGAATGTCTCCTTTGTCTAAGTTACTTCAGTTTCTACTATACTGAGATTTTTAATTTGTTGATTATCCATTTTAATAAACTGCCTACTTGTTACTGGCAATGGCAACGTGAGGTTAAATACTTTTTTTTTTTTTTGAGACAGAGTCTCTGTCTGTCGCCCAGACTGGAGTGCAGCCGTGCCATTACGGCTCACTGCAAGCTCCGCCTCCCGGGTTCACGCCATTCTCCTGCCTCAGCCTCCCGAGTAGCTGGGATTATAGGCGCCAGCCACCACGCCCGGCTAATTTTTTGTATTTTTAGTGGAGATGGGGTTTCATCGTGTTAGCCAGGATGGTCTCGATCTACTGACCTCGTGATCCGCCCACCCCTCCCAAAGTGCTAGGATTACAGGCGTAAGCCACTGTGCCCGGACCAAATAATTTTTTTTAATATCCCTATTTCAGGCTATAAGGGAGCATATAGCACTCTTATAGAACCTTTCCAAGGTTTTGTTTCTCTGTTTATGGTGATGTTCTCTATGCTAAAAGAACAAAAATCATAATTTCCTGACATTATTTGTTTTCATTATTCTTGTTTTGGAAATAATTGTTTACAAAAAATGGAATCACCGTGAGAAACTTTATCTTGTTTCCTAAGAAACATGGAAATTGAAGCTGCGAAAACCAGTTGACCCTGTAGAAACTCGAATTTACCGACTCTGATAGAAAACTCTGAGCAGCTCCATTTCTTTTGAATACCTACCCTAAATGGATGATATGTGGGTCCTGAACATTGGACATACATCATCTAGAGTCATCCTCACCTCATCATTGCTTCAATGAGGGGAAGGATAAGAGGTTAGCTGACATGCCTACTGTCACACAGCTTTGTAGGTGACAGAGCTGGAATGTGAACCCAGGGATCTGACATCAGGGTGCGCCCCCTTGTAGCACTGTGATACATCCACTCTTCCAGCACCCGACATGAATAATTCTAACTACCGTCCAAACACTGTATGAAGCAACTGAAACCCAAAGAAAAGGATCATATGCCTATATTCTAAGTTACTGGTCTTCAAAATTGTGTATTCTATACTCCATAAAATAAGTTTGAAAAATTATACCTTATTGCATATTTTTAGGTTGGCATCTAAAATTCTTCATCATAAATTTAAATATCTATGATGGTGCAATTTCTTGAGTATTATAAATATTGATGATTTTAAATGAAATTTTCACATTACCACTTAAATGCATGCACTGGATTTAATTACCATGGTAATTTGATACCCATCATCATCCATTTAAGATATATGTGACTAAGTTTTTTAGTGGTTGGAAGTTTTACACTGTAACTTTTTCTCTTTGACTTTATATTACCAATCTACGTATCCCACAGAATTCTACCCTCATAAGATATTAATCTGCTTGAAGGTCTTTTTCTTAAGTTTTTAATTCTTACAGGCACATAATAACGGTATATATTTATGGGGCATATGAGGTATTTTGATACAGGCATACATAGTGTAATAGTAACATCAGGGTCAATGGGGTACCCATCACCTTCTTTGTGTTATAAGTATTCCAGTTACACTTTTTTAGTTATTTTTAAATGTACAATAAATTTTTGTTGACTGTAGTCATCCCATTTTGCTCTCAAGTATAAATGAATGAGAACATGTGAAGTTTGTCTTTTTGTGCCTGGCTTATTTAACATTAACTTAACATAATGACCAGTTCCAATCATGATCTTGCAAATGACAGAATCTCATTTTTTTTATGGCTAAAGAGCACTCCATTGTGTATCAATACCAAATTTTCTTTATCTGTTCATCTGTTGATGGACACTTAGGTTGCTTCCAAATCTTGGCTATTGTGAATAGTGTTGCAATAAACATGGGAGTGAAGAAATCTCTTCAATATACTGATTTCCTTTCTTTTGGGTATATACCTAGCAGAGAATTGCTGGATCATATAGTAGTTCTACTTTTAGTTTTTTTTAGAAACCTCCAAACTCTTCTTTATCACCGTTGTACTAATTTACATTGCCACCTACAGTGTATGAGGGTTCCTTTTCCTCCTACATCTTCAGCAATGTTTGTTATTGCCTGTCTTCTGGATAAAAGCCATTTTAACTGGAGTAATGCGGTGTCTCATTGTAGTTTTGATTTGCGTTTCTCAAGTAATCAGTGATGTTGAGCACCAAACATAGGCCTGTTTGCCATTTTTATTTCTGCTTTGAGAAGTGTCTATTCAGATCTTTTGCCTATTTTCTAATCAGATTATTACATTTGTTCTTATTGAGTTGATTGAGCTCCTTACATATTCTGGTTATTAATCCCTTCTCAGATGAATAGTTTGAAAAAAATTCTCTCATTTTGTGGGTTGTCCCTTCAACTTTGTTGATTGCTTCCTTTACTGTGCAGAAGCTTTTTAACTTGATGGGATCCCATTTGTCCAGTTTTGCTTTGGTTGCCTGTGTCTGTAGGGTTATTACTCAAGAAACCTTTGCCCAGACCAATGTCCTGGAGAGTTTTCCCAGTGTTTTCTTTTATTTAATAGTAGTTTCATAGTTTGAAAACTTGGATTTCAGTCCTTAATCCATTTTTATTTGATTTTTTATATGGTGAGAGATAGAGGTCTAGTTTCATTCTTCTGCCTAAGGATATTCAGTTTGTCTAGCATCATTTATTGAGGAGACTGTTCTTCCCTCAATGTATGTTATTTGCACCTTTGTCAGAAATGAGTTTATTATAGACGTATGGATTTATTTCTGAGTTTTCTATTCTGTTCCATTGGTCTATGTGTCTGTTTTTATTCAAGTACCATGCTGTTTTGCTTACTATAGCTCTGTAGCATAATTTGAAGTCAGGTAATGTGATTCTTACAGTTTTTTGCTCAGGATAGCTTTAGCTATTCTGGATCTTTTGTGGTTCTATATACATTTTAGGACTATTGTTTCTATTTCTGTGGAGAATGTCATTGGTATTTTGATAGGGATTTCACTGAATCTGTAGATTGCACTGGGTAGTGTGGACATTTTAACAATATTGATTCTTCCAATTCATGAACATGGAATACCTTTCCATTTTTGTGTCCTCTTCCATTTCTTGCATCAATGTTTTATAGTTTTCATTGTAGAGATCTTTCACTTTTTCGGTTAGTCTTATTCATAGGTGTATTATTTTACTTGCAGCCATTGTAAATGTATTACTTTCTTGACTTCTTTTTCAGATTTTTTATTGTTGGCACATGGAAGTGCTACTGAGTTTTGTATATTGATTCTGTATCCTGGATCTTTACTAAAGTGATCAGTTCTAATACTTTTTTGATTAAGTCTTTAGATTTTTCCAATTATAAGATCATATCATCTGCAAATCAGAATAATTTTACTTCTTTCTTTCCAATTTGGATGCCCTTAATTTCTTTTTCTTATATGACTGCTGTAGCTAGAACTTCTAGTACTATACTGAATAACAGTGATTAAAGTGGACATCCTTGTCTTGTTTCAGATGTTAGAGGAAAGGCTTTCAGTTTTCCCCATTCAGTATACTAACTGTGTGTCTGTTGTATATGGCTTTTATTGTGTTGAGATATGTTCCTTCTATACCCAGCTGAGATATGTTTTTTCTATGCCTAGTTTTTTGAGGATTTCTATCATAAAGGGATGTTGAGTTTCATCAAATGCATTTTAAGCATCAGTTGAAATGGTTACATAGTTTTTGTCTTTAATTTTGTTGATATGATGTATCAAATTGATTGATTTGCATATGTTGAGTCAAAATTGCATCCCTGGGTTATATCCCACTTGGTCATAATGAATGAATTTTTTAGTGTCTTCCTGAATTCAGTTTGCTAGTATTTTGCTGAGGATTTTTGCATCAGGGATATTGGCCTGTAGTTTTATTTTTTTGAAGTGTTTTTGTCTGGTTTTTGTATGAGGGTGATACTGGCCTCATAAAATGAGTTTAGAAGTATTCCCTCCTCCTCCATTTTTGGAATAGTTTGAGTAGAACAAATATTAGTTCTTCTTTAAGCGTTTGATAAAATTCAGCAAGGAAGCCATCAGGTAGTGGGCTTTTCTTTGCTGGGAGATTTTTATTATGGCTTCGATCTCATTACGCTATATTTATCTGTTCAGGTTTCAGATTTCTTCATGGTTCAATCTTGGTAGGTTGTATATGTCTAAAAATTTATCTATTTCTTTTAAATTTTCAAATTTATTGATATATACATGATCATAGTAACCACTAATAATCCTCTGAATTTCTGAGGTATCAATTGTGATGTCTCTTTTTTGTCTCTGATTTTTTCCACTTGGGTCTTCTCTCTTTTTTTCTTAGTTAAGGCATAAGGTTTGTTGATTTTATTTATTTTTAAAAAACAACTTTGTTTCATTGATATTTTGTATCATTTTCTTAATTTCAGTTTCATTTATTTCTGCTCTGATCTTTATTATTTCTTTTACTAATTTTGGGTTTGGTTTGCTCTTGCTTTTCTAGTTCTTTAAGATGCATCATTAGGTTCTTTACCTGAAGTTTTTCTACTTTTTTGATGTTGGTGCTTATTGCTATAAACTTTCCTTTGAATAATGTTTTCACTGTGTCTCATAGGTTTTAATATGTTGTGTTTTAATTTTCATTTGTTCCAAGAAATTTTTAAACTTTCTTCTTAATATCTTCATTAACCCATTTGTCATTTAGGAGAACATTGTTTAATTTCATATGTTTGTATAGTTTTCAAAATTCCCTCTTGTTATTGATTTCTAGCTTATTCCATTGTGGTCAGAGAAGGTACTTAATATGATTTCATTTTCTTGAATTTTTTGTTCGTTTATTTATTATTTATTTATTTTTTGAGATGGAGTCTCGCTCTGTCACGCAGGCTGGAGTGCAGTGGCATGATCTCGGCTCACTGCAAGCTCTGCCTCCCGTATTCCCGCCATTCTCTGGCCTCAGCCTCCCAAGTAGCTAGGACTACAGGCACCCACCACCACGCCGGGCTAGTTTTTTTTCCGTATTTTTAGTAGAGTCGGGTTTCACCGTGTTAGCCAGGATGGTCTCAATCTCCTGACCTCGTGATCCACCCACCTCGGCCTCCAAAAGTGCTGGGATTACAGGCGTGAGCCACCACGCCCGGCCTCTTGAATTTTTTTTATAAAGACTGTTTTTGTGGCCAAACATAGGGTCTATCCTTGAGAATAATCTATGAGCTGAGGAGAGGAATGCATATTCTGCAGCCATCAAAAAAAATTTACTGTAAATATTTACTAGGTTCATTTGTTCTATAGTGCAGATTAAATTTAAAGTTACTTTGTTGATTTTCTGTCTTGATGATTTGTCCAATGCTGAAAGTGGGATGTTGAAGTCTCCAGCTTTTGTCATATTGAGTTCTATCTTTCTCTTGGGCTTTTATAATGTTTGCTTTATATATCTTAGTGCTCCAGTGTCAGGTACATATATATTTAAAATTGTTATATCCTCCTGCTAAATTGGCTCCCTCATGATTATACAGTGACCTTCTTTGTCTCTTTTTATAGTTTTTGACTTGAAATCTATTTTGTCTGATATATGTATAGCCACTCCTGCTCTTTTTTTGGTTTACATTTGCATTGAATATCTGTTTCCATTCCTTTATTTTCAGTCTCTGTGTGTCTTTGTAAGTCAAGTGTGTTTCTTGTAGGGAAAAGAACATTGGGCCTTGTTTTTTTCTCCATTCAGAGAAAAAAACATATCTTTTGATTGGACAGCTTAGTCCATTTACAGTCAATGTTATTACTGATAAGTAAGAAGTTACTCCTACCATTTGTTATTTGTTTTCTGGTTGTTTTGTGATCTTCTTTTCCTTCCTTCTTTCCTTCTTGTCTTCCTGTCTGTGAAGGTAATTTTCTCTGGTCGTGTTTTAATTTCTTTCTTTTTATTTTTTGTGTATCTGTTGTAGGTGTTTTGATTTGAAGTTACCATGAGGCTTGCAAATAACATCTTAGAATTATTTTAAACTTAAAACAACTTAATACTGATTGCAAAAGCAAACAAGCAAAGATAAAACTAATAAAAACTTTAACCCTAATGTTTTAACTTTTTATTGTTTCTATTTATATCTGATGATACTATGTCTTGAGAAGCGTTGTAGCTATTATTTTTGATAGGTTCATCATTTTCTTTCTACTCAAGATATGAGTAGTTTACATACCACGAATACAGTATTATAATACTCTGTGACTTTAGTGTGTTTGTCTGTGTATTTACTATTACAAGTGAGTTTTGTACCTTCAAATGATTTCTTATTGCTTGTTTATGTCCTTTTTATCCAGAATGAAGAACTTCCTTTAGTATTTCTTCTTATAGGACAGTTCTGGTACTGAGGAAATCCCTCAGCTTTTATTTGTCTGAGAAAGTCTTTATTACTCCATCATGTTTTAAGGATATTTTTGCTGAATATGCTATTCTAGGGTAAAAGTGGGTTCTTTTGTGTGTGTGTGTATGTGTGTGTTTTTATTTCCCTCAGCTCTTTGAATATGGCATGCTACTCTTTCCTGGACTGTAAGATTTCCACGGAAAATTCTGCTGCCAGATGTATTGGAGTTCCTTTGTATGTTTGTTTCTTTTCTCTAGCTACTTTTAGGATCCTTTCTTTATCCTGACCTTTGAGAGTCTGATTATTAAATGCCTTAAGGCAGTCTTATTTGGGTTAAATCTGCCTGGTGTTCTATAACCTTCTTATTCTTGAATATTGTTATCTTTCTCTAAGTTTGGGAAGTTCTCTGTTATTATCCCTTTCAATAAACTTTCTACCCTGATCTCTGTCTCAACCTCTGCTTTAAGGCCAGTAACTCTTAGATTTGTTCTTTTGAAGCTATTTTCAAGATTTTTGTACATGTGTTTCATTCTGTTTTATTCTTTATTATTTTGTCTTCTCTGACTGTGTATTTTCAAATAGCCTGTCTTCAAGCTCACAATTCATTCTTCTGCTTGATCTATTCTGCTGTTTAGAGGCTCTGATGCATTCTTCAGTATGTCAATTGAATTTTTCAGCTCCAGAATTTCTGATGAAATTTCAAAAATTACTTTAATAACTTTGTTAAATTTATCTGATAGGATTCTGAATTCCTTCTCTGTATTTTGTATTTTGTTTAACTTCCACAAAACAGCTATTTTGAATTTTCTTTCTTAAAGGTCACATATCTCTGTCACTCTGGGATTGGTCACTGCTGCCTTATTTAATTTGTTTGGTGAGGTCATGTTTTTCTGGATAGTCTTTATGCTTATGGATGTAAGTGAATGTCTGGGCATGGAATAATTAGGTATTTATTGTAGTCTTTGCAGTCTGGGCTTTTTTGTAACTGCCCTTCTTGGTAAGGCTTTCCAAGTATCTGAAGAAAATTAAGTGCTGTGATCTAAAGCTTTGGTCATTGCAGCTGTATCTGCATTAGAGGGCACCTCAAGCCTAGTAACACTATGGCTGTTACAGACTCACAGAGGTACCCGCTTGGTGTCTTGGATAAGATCTGGAAGAATTCTCTGGATTACCAGGCAGAAATTCTTGTTCTCTTCTCTTACTTCTTTCACCTCCCACCCCACCGGCCTCTCCAGCAAAACAAAACAAAACAAAAAGTCTGTTTCTCCATACTGAACTACCTGGAGCAGGGGGATGGGTGACACAAGCAACCCTGTGTTCTCCACCACTGGGACTATCCTGGGCCAGACCCAAAGCCAGCACAGTACTGGGTCTTGCCCAAGGCCTGTGACAACTACTGCCTGGCTACCACCAATGTTCACTCAAGGCCCAAGGACTCAGCAGGTGGTGAATCCAGCCAGGCTTGTGTTCTTCCCTTCAGAGTAGCAAGCTCCTACCTGGCCAAGGGTGGATCCAGAGATGCTGTTCGGGAGCCACAGGCTGGAGACAAGGAACTTATGTATCTACTTAGTGCTCTATTTTACTATGGCTGATCTGGCACCCAAGACACAAGAAAAAGTCTTTTCCACTCCTCCTTCTTCTTTCCTCAAGCATAAGGAGTCTCTCCCAATGGCCATCACCATGCCAGGCCTGCAGTGAGTACTGCCTGGACACCACCAATGTTCATGCAAGGGCTATGGGCTCTTCAGTCAGTTTATAGTGAATGCTACCATGACTGGGACTCTCCCTTCAGGGCAGTAGGCTCTCCTATGGCCCAGGGCAGGTACAATATGTTATCCAAGAACCAAGGCCTGGAATCGGGGACCCCAGGAGCCTGCTTGGTGCTCTACTCCACTGTGGCTGAGCTAGTACCCAAGCTGCAAGATGAAGTCCCCTTTGCTCTTCCCTGTCTTTTTCCTCAAGTATAAGGAGTCTCTCCCATGGCCATCACAGCTGGGAATGTGCTGGGTCACAGTTGAAGCCAGTATGGCCCTGGGTCTCACTTAAGGCCCATAGAGAGTACTGCCTGGTACTGATTCTATTTATTCAAAGCCCGAGGGCACTTTATTCAGCAGGTAATGAATCTTACCAGGACTGGGTCTTTCCCTTCAAAGTAGTGAGCTCCCTTTTGACCCAAGATGTGTCCAGAAATGTAGTCCAGGAGATAGGGCCTGGAATGAGGGCCTCAGGACTCTTCCTGGTGCCCTATCCTACTGTGGCTGAGCTGGTTTCCAATTTTCAAGACAGAGTCCTCTTTACTCTCCCCTCTCTTCTCTCCAGTGTAGAAGAAAGGAGTCTTTCCCAAAGCTGGGTGCTGTGGTGGCTGGGGTTGGGAGCAGGGTGATATAAGCATTCCCTTGGCTGCCCCAGCTGGTGTCTCACTAGATTGTGTGTCTCCCATATCCACTGGCTCCGCCCTGGCACAGTACCAGAACTTCCCCAGGAATTGCACTCCTTGTGCCCTAGACTGCCTTTCAAGTCTATTTAGAACCCCAGTGCACTGTAGCCCATGGTGGTAGGGCTTGCTGGAACTTAGATTATGACTGCTGGGATAGACAATTCACCTCTAGCTAGAGATGATCTAAATGCTCCCTCCATGGGTGCTGGCTGAATTCTGCCCCATGTTGCTTTCTGGTCTCACAGGGAAGCATTAAGTTCCAATGCAGATTCCCCCAGTCATTGCACTCTGTCTGCCCCAAGCACACAGATTCCCTTTCTATGCCATGGGGTCACTGCCAGAGGATGAGAGAGAGGTATCACTGGCAATGCAAGACTGTCTTTCCTACCCTTTTCAGTGTATCTTTCACTGATATGAAGTTAAAACCAGGTACTCTGATTATTCACCTAATTTTTGGTTCTCATAAAGGTGGTATCTGGCATGGATAATTGTTCAATTTGGTGTTCTTACCTGGGAAATAATTGCTGGAGGGTTCTATTTGAACATTTTGCTCTGCCTCCTCTGCAGTCTTTTTTGGTTACTCTGTCATTCTTATCTGTGTATATATATATATAATTTCATTTTCTTTTTCCTGTGACCATACATAATGAAAAATTAAATTTACTCTATATGAACATTACTATTATTTTATTATTATTATTAGTGATAACAGTAGAGTGATTTTAGTATATAATAGTAGCAATTGGTGCTTTTTAAAACAGCTTATATATCTGTGGATAAAAATTATTTATTGGTGTACCAAGACATGCTTCAGAATCAATTCTAGAAACTTTTTGAAAAAAAAAAAACTTCTACACTGCTCCCAAGCTATTTTGCTTACATAAATGCATATGTGGAGAAGTGCACAGAATGTTATTATTACAATGTCACTCAGTTTGTGAGCTCCTGGGTTATATGCCAAATAAATCCTATGGTGATTACCAATTATTTTAATGGTTGTATCATTTGATGACTCAGTTAGTTTTTCCTTTTATTTTCTGAAGGGAAAGAAATGGAATCCATGTCACACAAAAGGATTTGCTACTAGTCATTAGTCATCTATACCAAAAGGGCTACACCAAGTCCTATCAAATGATCACTAATTATGCCTCTTTGACTTAGAGGCACCTGTTTAAACTGACTTTTTCCAAAAATAGCTGGAAAATAAAAAATATTAACCCCTGCCTTAGTCTGCTCAAGCTGTCAGAAATTATCATAGACTGTGTGGCTTAAACAATGGACTTTTATTTTTCTCAGTACTAGAGCCTGGAAGCCCAAGATCAAGACGCTGAAGATTTGGTTCCTGGCAAGGTCTCTCTTCCTTTCTTGCAGACAGCCAACTTTTTTTATGTGTCCTCATATGGTGGAAAAAGAGAGAAGGCTCTCTCTCTCTTCCTCTTCTTATAAGCCACTCATCTCGGATCTCATCTAATCCTTATTATCTCCTTAGGGCTCACCTGTCTCCAAACACCATCACATTGGTGGGTAGGGCTTCAATATATGAATTTGGGGAAGGCCACAAACCTTCAGTCCATAATAACCTCAATATATAAAATATTTTTATTTACTTTAAAGATACAGAAACATTGTTGCTCCAGTTTATTCAGCTAAAAAAGGTCCACCTATCTAGAAAATCTGATTTGTCAAACAAATCAAATGAATCCTACTTACTTTCTCTCCAAAAGCCTAACTCATTTTAATTTAAATAAATATGTTGATATGTATTCTTGTGACAATTGAATCACTTCAAAATTTGAGTTCCAAGATAAACAGATGATCAATGGATATAAAGATAGCTGGATCCCAGAGCTTTGCAAGGAGTTTGCCTCCTAGACATGAGAGCTGGTGGGGCCTTCAGTACTGCCCTTCAGTACTGCCCATGCACAGTCTCTTTGCTTGCTCTCACAGCCTCTCCATTAGAGCCATGTGGTCTAATCAACATAACCAAGAGGTGATGTTATTAAATAAGACTCTCATCACTCTCATCCCTCATTCTTTAATATATACTTATCTGAAATGAAAACATTCCAAAAAGAGTTAAAATGACACATTTTAAAAGTTAAGCTTTCCTTTCATCAGAAATATGTGTTTTAGAAAAAGTTATCGGAGTTAAGGTACTTAATTAAAGTTTATGGAGCTAATGTTCTGGGTTGTTCCTTTGTACCCAGAGGATTTTATGGCCTGGGGACTGTGTACCATGTTAAGTCCAAGGTGACAAGTGTGGCTTTCTTTTGTAAGCAAGCAAGAGGGAACTGGCAAGAGAAGGTGGAAAAGGTTAGTAGCCTCTTAATGTAGACTATAGGCAGATACAATTTAGGAAAGAATACCTATACAAGTTGAAGATACGAAAATTGGTTCTTTCCCACGAAATTTTTAAAAAGTGTACGTGTACCTCCAAGGGCAAATGTAAACCAGTTGATAATTGTTGTTCAAGGCAAATTGTTGTACAAGGTAAAAAAAAAATTAAGTGCAATTTGTCAGAAAAGAACATTTGTAGAATATTGAGATGAATTTAAAAACTTGAAATTGACAAAAGGTCTTGCAATTTCATGACATCCTGGAATGGCTTATATTAGATTGTGAAAGATTTCCCACAATAGGCCTACATGCATGAGTGCCTGTGCATACTGGAAACTAAGATGCAGATATCACAAGCTATAGTGCTCTAAGATACGCCTTTCCTTAGACTTGTTTTAAATTCATTTAAATATCATGAAAACAAATAACAGAAATTTGTTAAAATCAATCACATAACTGAGCAGCTTTCTTTTTGAGGATACTGCAGTGAGAAACAAATTGTTACTGATCTGAAAATAATTCAACTTATCCCTGTTCCTTTGTGTAAATTTATTTATCAAATTCCTGATAAATATAGCTGGAGGTCTCCTGGAAACCCTCATCAGCATAAAGTAATGAGAAAAAAAAGTTGAGTTATTAAACTGTTCTCAATTCCCTAACATGTCTTGTCTAATCTATGAGGGTGGATTTAAATATATGCTTTGTGGAGATTTATACGAATAAAGTCACATTTGCATAGTATTACTGGCCTCTTCTGTCTCTCTATTATCATACGGAATGCTTTAAAAATTTATTTCTTCCCAATTGACATATTCATACCAATAGGTGCCAAAGTGCTTTCTTTACTAAATTAACATTAAATGTGCTTGGGGAAAGAGTTACACACCAAAAAATAATTCTGCTCACTAGAGTGAAATTGCATTAAAATTATGCACAAATGCTTCAAATAGAATGTGGAACACATTATACTATTTCAAGGACACAGAATTTTGATAGCTCAATTCATTTAACAACTATTTATTGTGCACTTATTCTAAGACACTGTTTTGTACGTGCCGCATGTGTTCGAATTCAGAAGGACTTTTGAGACAATAATCTTCTGCCAAAGACAAGATTCCTCCTAATATACCTAAGAGACAAATACATAATCTTCATTTAGATACTGTGGATGTGGAGCATGCTCTGCCTCACAAAGCAGTCTGCTCAGCTATAGCATCTCTGAATGATTTGTAATCTATAATTTTCCCTTGCAACAATGTGTTTAGAATTGATGCTTTCTTCCATATGTGACCCCACCAGCAAAAAATACGGTAACGTAATTAGTACATAAAAAATTTAAAAAGACATTTATTTCCTCTCTCTGTGTATCTCCTATTTCTTTCCCAACCTATGTAATTTATTTTTTGTTTCTACAACTTGCCTGAAATTGTAAGAGGGTCAACAGCAATTTCCTGACTACCATACATTCGTAGTCATACTTCTGACAAGTCTGTACCAGTACCTTTCCTTAAATTTCAGCTTTCTTCATATAAGAGTCCATGCACTACCTATTTTAATCCAATAAGCTATCATCACTATACAAATAAGGGCCAGAAGTTTTAAAAAAATTTAAGTCTATTAACTCCATTATAAAATGATAAATAACCCAATTTAAAAATGGGTAAACAAACTGAATAGACATTTCTCCAAAAAAGGTATACAAATTGTCAATAAACACATGAAAAAATGTTCACCTCATTAGTTATCAGGGAAATGCAAATCAAAACTACAATATAATACCACTCCCTAGTCCCCACTGGGGTGGAATAACAAGGATTTTCAAGGATGTGGAGAAATTTATTTATTGTTGGTGGAAATGTAAATAAGTAAATTAATTAAATAAACAAGCATTTATTTAATGTTGGGGAATGAATGGAATCTTCTTTTATTGTTGGTGGGAATGTAAAGTGGTTCAGTCACTTTGGAAACAGTTTAGCAATTTTTCAGAAGTTTAAACATTGAGTTATCATATAACACAGCAATTTCACTCCTATGTACATACTTGAGAGAAATGAAGGCATTTGTCCACACTAAAGCCTGCGCAGGCATTTTTACAGCAGCATTATTCATAATAGCCAAAAAGTGGCAACAACTCAAATAAAAGTCTATGGATTGTTGAATAGATAGATAAAATGTAGTATGTGCACTCATTGGAATATTATTCTGCAACAAAAAGGAATGAAATATTGATACATGATTCCATATGGATAACCATGAAACATTATGCTAATTGAAAGGAGCCAGTCACTAAAGATCACACTGTATTGATTCTGTTTATGTGAAAATTCTAGACTAGGCAAATTTATACAGATAGAAAGTAGACTAGTATTTACCTAGGTCTGGGCTAAGAGTGGTCAGTGACTGCTAATGGCTATATATGGTTTTATTTTGGGATGATAAAAATGTTTTAAAACTGAGTGCAGTGATAGTTCAACACTTCAATTAATATACTAAAAGCCACTGAATTGTATACTTTACATGGGTGAATGATATGGTATGTGAGTTATATCCCAGTAAAGCCCTAAAAGTTTCTGAATGGTAAAACGCATTCAAAAAATACAATTCCATTCTTTCCTAGTACATGTACTATCTCAAAAATAGTTGGAAAGAGTTGCTTTAAAATATATGAAATTAATTTATAGTCAACATACTTATTGAATGTAAATTATTCTATTGAAAAATCTATAAATAATTTTTTCCTAAAACAAATAAAAAACCTTCTTTTAGTCAACCTCCTTCCCATCGCTCCTCTACTTTCCACAGCCATGCTTCTTTAGACTTTCTTTTCATCCATATAAATTACTTCAAAAACTTATTTGCTTAGGCCAGATGTGGTGGGCCTGTAGTACCAGCTACTCAGAAGGCTAAGTTGGGAGGGTCCTCTGAGTCCAGAGGTTGAAGGTTACAGCAAGCTACGATCACACCACTGCATTCCAGCCTGGGCTGCTGTAAAGTGAGACCCTGCCTCAAAAAAAAAGAGTAATAAAGAAAACAAACAAAAAACCCTTAGTTGCTTAAAAGAGTAAACATTAATTGCCTTATCAGGTCTGTGTGTCAGTAATTAAAGAGCTGCTAAACTGGGTGATTCTGGCTCAAGATCTCTCCTAAATGCGTAGTCAAGCCAGGGATTAAATAATCTGAAGACTTGAATGGGGCTGGCAGATTCAAGTCCAAGATAATTCACCTGCATTCCTGGCAAATTGGTGGTAGTTGTGTGTTGGCCTCACCACGGGGATGCTTGAGTGTCCTCATGACATGGCAGTTGGCTTCCCTCAGGGCATGAGATTCATGAGAATGATGTCTTTTGTGAGCTCAAGGCCTTTTTATGAGCCTCTTTACATCTTCACATCTTTTTTTTTTTTTTTTGAGACTTAGTCTTACTCTGTTGCCCAGGCTAGAG
Organism: Homo sapiens; assembly: GCF_000001405.40. Classification (NCBI taxonomy): domain Eukaryota; kingdom Metazoa; phylum Chordata; class Mammalia; order Primates; family Hominidae; genus Homo; species Homo sapiens. The sequence continues at coordinate 57,603,256 of NC_000008.11, read as the reverse complement.
TGCCATGGCAAAATCTTGGCTCACTATAACCTCCGCCTCTCAAGTTCAAGCAATTCTCCTGCCTCAGCCTCCCAAGTAGCTAGGACTACACATGTGTACCACCACACCTGGCTAATTTTTTTTTTTTTGCAATTTTAGTAGAGATGTTGTTTCACCATGTTGGTCAGACTGGTCTCAAACTCCTGACCTCAAATGATTTTCCCACCTCGGCCTCCCAAAGTGCTGGAATTACAGGCATGAGTCACCATGCCCAGCCCCACATCTTTATATCTTATTGTTGGTCATGGCCTCACACAATTTATAGTTTCAAAGATAGAATAGTTTTAATTTGAAACAAAGGAGAAATCTCCATACAACATTTAATGCACCTAGCTTAACATAACTAAGGTGAAAACCCCATGTGTACAACAGAACTCCCTGAACCTTCTTTTGGTCACATAAAGCCTTCATACCTTGTCCTCTCCCTCTCTTCTCCCTTCACAGTAATATTTCTAAACTTGTTTCTAGATCATCCTATTTTGTGCAGTTTGATTTTTGAAAATATTTTCAGTCTTACAACTAACTTGTTTAAATTTAGATTATTGGTTGGAACTTAATCCTGCAATTTTTCAAAAATCATGTTGAATCTGGATTTTTGCCTGTAGTGATGGAAATGTGCTGTCCATTATTGACCTTATGTATATGCAGAACAAATGTGTGCCTGCCTACATGGTATAACTTCAGAGAAGTCCAATCTAAAGGATAGTCCTGAAATCCTCATAAAGTGAAACTCCTTTAGAGGCCCTGTCCCTGAAATTCCCATCCTGCTTTTTGGATCTGAACTTTCTCTGTTAATAGTTGAAGTTGCCTGAAAAGTTATACACGAAGCTTTTCATTTCACCTTTAGTTGATCCCTTGGGTTACTTGTCACAAATCAAAATGTGGAGCTTTTGTTCCGTGTAAGTGAATAGATAGGCATGTTTTGACTAGAGCTGAGGACATTTAAAAAGGCCTGGGACTTAAAATGATGCTGAGGCCAAGTAAACCACTAAACATAAGGCATTAAGAGTCAGGGGATGAAAGAGCATTTTGGCAAGAATGGAGGACCAAGGGAGGGCTGCTGGGGTGGAGAGTGTCCTAGGAATTATAGGTCACTGACCTTACGAGCGCATAAGCAGATGGCCTTCCATTATGGTTTGAGCCCTCCTAGCTCTCCTGATTTTACGCTATTGGGGTGGCTTTGCATTGACATCACACCATCACCTACCTCCTTTAAAGAACAAGGCTAGTGAACAGTCTGGCTTGTGACTCTGGCTGCTGTAGAACAGGCCAACTCCATCTAAGTCTTGTAGCCTCAGAATCCATTCTTAGGTCTTGTAATCAAGTAGCTACTCAGCCAACTGACCACATCAGAGTCCTTATATGGCTGGCACAAGGCCAAAAAGCACTCAAGATGAGATGAACAAGAAACCAGGATGTTGGCCCACACATAACTCTTAATGGTTTGCTTCCGTGCTCTTTTAGATTTTTATTAGATTGTTGTGAAACTTCAGTGATGGGAAATTCAGAATGTATTTGCTCTAGGCAGTTGCTTATCATTTTGTATACTGTAATTTAGAAACAGAAGGAGTTACCATTTTTCAGGAAGAAAGAAATTAAGTGTCAAAAGTTGGTTGTTTTCTCCATATGCAGTAATGCTTTATTTTCCCCATCTTTGTTCAGGAAATATAACCTATTATGATTTGAGCACGCTATAATTCACATCGGTTTCCATTCTCACAACTGACTCCAGGAAAATACCTTCAATTATTTCTGGAAAACATTGAGCTCTGAAAGGAGATGATGATAATCTATTGTTCTTGCAGCAGCTAGTAGCTCTTGAATGGCCTCCATCACCAACAGATATGGCAGGTTTAAATCAGCAGCATAAGACTGTCTCATCCGAAGTACTGTCGAATATAAAATCTATGGCAGAGGGGCACCATGGCAGTCCCAGGAAGATGTTTATTCCAGGGTCACAGGCTCATAATAAATAAACTGCCAAAAAGTCTATTCACATTATAGCCACAGGCATTCTAGCATTTTGAGCACCCTCAGATTCACCTGGGAAGATTTCTTTTTAACACACATTCCAGAGTTCTATCCTAGCAGAATTTTATTATTTTTACTTTTAGTTGACATGTAATAATTATACATATTTCTGGGACACAGAGTGATATTTTGATATGTGTATATAATGTGTAATGATCAAATTGGGGTAATTAGCATATCTATCACCTCAAACATTTGTCATTTCTTTATGCTGTGAATATTCAAAATCCTCCCTTCTAGCTTTTTGAGAATATACAACAAATTATAGTCAACCGTATTTACCCTACATTGCTGCAGGCTGTGGAAAACTAAGACCCATTCTTCCTATCTATTAATAGCTATAATTATGTGTCCATTAACCAACCACTCTTCATCCTTCCCCTGCTCCCAGGCTCTACTAACTACAATTCTACTCTCTACTTCCATGAGCTCCAACTTTTTTTAGCTCCCACATTTGAATGAGAACATGCAGTATTTGTCTTTCTGTACCTGACCTATTTTACTTATTCATGTGGCCATAAATGACAGAATTTTTTTTACATAACTAAATAGTATGCCCTGTTATATATATACACTCATTTTCTTTATCCACTAGTGTGTTGATGGACATTTAGGTGGATTCTATATCTTAGAAATGTGTGAAAAGTCATAGCAGAATTTCTAAAATAAAAAATAATAAATAAAAATTTATCAGTGGTATAACCAGGTTTCCAAGTCAGTGGAGTGACTGGAGAATAGTCTATAAAGTTGGTGGAATTTGAGCTAAATTTTAAGCAATGGGAAAGATTTTGATATGGAAATGAGAGATGAACGTATTATGGGTAGAAAAGATGACAAAATCCAAACCACAGAGATGGATAAATGTGGGACTTGGGGAGACAGCAATATCGCTGCCTGCTAGATAGGAGAGTGGCCAGGTCAAAAATAAGGTTGATGTTGGAAATCTGCCTGAGGAAGAACTTGAGTGAGAGACTAAGAAGTTGGGTTTAGGCTACTGTAAAGTATTATGTGTTTTAGAGCAGTAAGAGACTGAGAGAATTTCATCTGTCACCCTAAAATGATTGTATTGAAGGGAGAGCCCTTATGTAGGAGACAATTGTGATAAGCCTGGAGCAAGTGTGTCAGTTTGAAGACCATGGTCTAAGGTCATGGTTGTGGAGAGGGTGCGCAAGGGTTTACCACTAACAGACATATTCCAGTCTCTTTACTGCAATGATCAGGTCATTAATTTATCTGTGGAAAAGTAATTGGAGGTAGCTGTGTGGATGGTACAAGGAGCTGGAGACTCCATCTGGGCCGGTGCTGCCCCAGAAAAGCCCATCCTCCTGGCCTCCTTAGCTCAAAAGGTCACCTCTCCAGAGAAACACAGCCCCTTAATCCAAAGAACTGGAGATTTCCACCTCCCTCCAATTCACAACCATGTGGTTTTGTCTTAGCGCTAATCTCCTGCTGGTACTTTTAGGTTGTAGGGTTTTTTTGCTTATTGGTATTTCTCTCTAATAGAAAATAAGATCAAAAATAATTAGACATCTTTATTGTCTTGTCCAAGATTTCATTTCAGTGCCTACATCAGAGCCTGGCGCATAATACATGTTCAATAAATTTTGGTTAAATAAATGGATAAAAGTTTTATAATCTATTTTTCCACAACTTTTAAGCATTTCTTATCTTTATATCCTTCTTGCCCATACAGTGCTAAGAGACTAAGTAATGAATACATGAGTGGAAGGTTAAGTTTCAGAGATTATCACTCTCATGCTGAATACAATGGCCTATGCTTTATAGACCGAGCAGAAGGATTGAAATTCTTCCTCAGATTCCACAAAGAAATTAAAATTGCTACCCCCAAGAATACTTGTCAAAAATTATCCGTCTCACTAACCATCAAAAAAATGGTTGTACAATCTTGGATAAGCCATTTCTTCTCTTCAAGTTCTGGCTACTTTAATTACAAAAACGCGGTTTTTGTCCTGGATCTTGACTTTTCCTCCTAAGTTTAGTCTCTCTCACTCTATCACAAGTCCTTGGCCATTTCCTGTTGGACAGGATAAGCTCCCTGCAGGGCTGGAGAGGGCAGAGAGCCGAGGTGTGGTGAGAGGCAAGGTGGACATGTGAGTCCCAGCACAGCTTTCCCAGTCACAGCCTTCTGGTGGACACCTATGATAACTTCCACTTTGCATGTTTTGAGGAGTTTAGTTTGGAGGCTTTTAATGAAACCTATTCATTCCCTACACAGAATTCTAGCCTATTTTGTTTGATCTCTTCTTTGTTTGATTGTTTGTTTTTTACCTGCCTGCTGTTCATTTATACAGTACTGAATATTTGTGGGATTCTTTTTCCCACTTTAAAATTGTAATAATATTGTGTCCCCTTCTAGCAGACCCTAATTCTTACAAAGGAAAACACCAAAGGATGGTTTTTTTAAAATATGTTAAATAATTGACCTGTGAGCTACATTCCTCCAAAGTTTTTTGAAAGTAACAAATTTTGTTTCAACTGGCAGAAAGAATTCTTAGAACACCCAATGAGTTTATAAAAACTAGCTATTCTATTCAAAAGGCCTGTTAGCCACTTAAACATGACTTGTTGTCTCTCTTATCAATGGGTTTTGTAGTCAACACAGAGCTCAATAATAGAGATAAAGCAATCAGTCACCAGAGCATATCACAGAGAAAGCAAAGTTGTGAAGACATCATAGTAAGATTCTAGAGCTTCTTCTGAAAGTGTGACATCGTCACCTCCCATATAGTTTTTGAAAAAAAAATTCTCTAATGTCTATATTATTTCAAATTTTAGGCTACTGGAGGTCAGGGGCTGTATATTTAAGGAAACAGAGAAAGGAAATATGTCTAATGATGTTTATTTTCAATTACCATGGTATATTCTGTGAAAAAATGAGCTTTTATCGGGGGAACCAGACCCCAATATTTCAACATAGGTTCTTTTCTATTTTCCGTAAGTGTCGGCCAGTCTGAGGAATAAAGAGAAAGAGTACAAAAGAGAAATTTTACAGCTGGGTCTCTGGGGGTGACATCACATGTCAGCAGGTTCTGTGATGCCCCTTGAGTGGCAAAACCAGCAAGTTTTTATTAGGGATTTCAAAACGGGAGGGGTGTACAAATAGGGAGTGGGTCACAGAGATCGCATGCTTCAAAGGCAATAAAATATCACAAGGGCAGAGAGGCAGAGTGAGATCACAAGGCCAGGGCAAAACTAGAATTACTGATGAATGTCCATGTCCTGCTGGGCACACATTGTCATTGATAAACATCTTAACAGGAAACAGGATTCAAGAGCAGAGAACCGGTCTGACTAGTATTTGCCAGGCTGGAATTTCCTAATCCTAGCAAGCCTGGGGGCACTGTGGGAGCCAGGGCATATTTCATCCCTTATCCACAACTGCATAAGACAGACACTCCCGAGCCGCCATTTTAGAGACCTCCCCCTGGGAATGCATTTGTTTCCCAGGGTTATTCTTTGCTGAGAAAAGAATTCAGCGATATTTCTCCTATTCGCTTTCTGAAAGAAGAGAAATATGAGTCTGTTTTGCCCAGCCCTGCAGGCAGTCAGGCCTTATGGTTATTTATCTCCTTGTTCCCTGAAATTTGCTGTTATCCTGTTCTTTTCAAGGTGCCCAGATTTCATATTGTTCAAACACACATGCTTTACCAACAATTTGTGCAGATAACGTGATCATCACAGGGTCCTGAGGTGACATACATCCTCAGCTTATGAAGATGATGGGATTAAGAGATTAAAGTAAAGACAGGCATAGGAAATTATAAGAGTATTGATTGGGGAAGTGATAAATGTCCATGAAATCTTCACAATTTATGTTCAGAGATTGCAGTAAAGACAGGCGTAAGAAATTATAAAAGTATTAATTTGGGGAACTAACAAATGTCCATGAAATCTTCACAATTTATGTTCTTCTGCCATGGCTTCAGCAGGTCCCTCCATTTGGGGTCCCTGACTTCCCACAACAAGCTTTGATTTATTTTTGCTTTGTGACAGTCTGGAGATGTTCATATATCCTCTTTTCATAGGAAAAAAATGGTTTTCCAAGGTCATTACTTTTGCAATATACTAAGAGGATGTTTTAAGACAAAAGAATAGAAAGAAATGCTGGAACATTCCTCTGGATATTGCTGCACTGAATTCCTAAGCAGAAATTTATATTCTCTTTTTGTGAACTATGAAACTCCCCCAAATCTATGGAAAGCAATCTCAGAACACAACAGGAGATCTAAATAAATTAGTTTTTTTATTACAGATAGTAGAAATTCTCTCTCCTCTCGTGTGCAGATGGTAACTAATAGGTTTGGTTTATTAAACTCTATCATAGTTTTTCAGTGGGATGTAAAGTCAGGGTTCATAAGATATCTCCTCTGGCAAATCTCATTTCCAGACTTTCCTAATTTTCTCTTAAATTAAGAAAAAAGGAAGTTCTGCTTCTGATATGTTTTCACAACTTTAAACAGCTTCTTTCAGGGCTGTTTACCAAGTAAGGACTGTGCAAGGTTAGACTGAAGCTTCAAAGTGCTTGACAAAAACTGTCTTTGTTCCCCTTCAAGAAACAACTCCAAGGAGGCAAAACTCACAACTGGAGTATTCTAATACCTAGGCATAAAAACTACCAAAGCCCTAATGTTACTCTAAAATGCTTATACTAACCAGATAATGGCAAACAACAGCAATTCCAACTGGAGCAAGTGTTTAATAATTCTACAGCTACAAATGCATGACACATTCATGCATTTGCAGCTGTAGTAAAGGCCACTTTTAAAATTCCTCATAAAGCCCTCCAAAGCTGCATCTTACACTGAGAATGCACTAAGAAGCAGCTTCACCTCAGTTTTGAATCCTACATATCCCCCTATATTTAAAGGAATGATAATTTGTATATACCTCATAATGAACTCTTGCTGAGAAAGTAATTACCCACATTTAAGAGTATATATCAATGAATAATGATGAGATTGCTTTCAATTAAATGAATGCTGATACAGTAATGCTCCCATATGCACATACATATTTGGTAAGATGATGATGTTTCTTGACAATCAATATTTTCAAAGGCAATAATTTGTCTGCTCATGGTAACTCTCAATGTAGGCAGCTAAGTACTAATTGCCTTTTTATCCTAATTGGTTTTTTTAAAACATAATAGGATGACAGATATCTCACATGTAAAAGCATAGTAACCTTTTCCCTATGTTACCAGCAAGTACCCTCATGTCTGCTTTTTCCATAAGTGGCTCTTGCACTGCCTCCCAACCTACTACAGGATTAAAATGGGGCTAAATTGCCCAGCAAGTCGTCAATTGCTAAATTCCCTTAGCATTGATGTTTCAGCAGGTAAAATGCTATAGGTGTGCTGTTATTTTTTGGAAACCTATATCTCTCAAGATGGGAAAGTTTCAATATAATTTTAGAGGCTTCAACTCAGAGAACAGGCAGGGAGAAACAAAAAAGAAAATGTTTTCATATAAAACAATTACCAAGCAATAACAAAAAAAATGAAATCCTGTACGACAGACAAACCTCTGTAAGAAACTCATATCTCTTATACTTGACTTTACACCTAACTTGGAAAGGATTATAAGGAATTGTCAGAGGAGCATCAGTGTGGCAATGGGGCAGAATGATTTGAGCCTAAAGGGTTGCAAAGCAGGCAATATTGAGAGAATTTGGAGCAGACTTCTGCAGACATGTGACTCTAATACAGAAAGAGTACTGTGCCAGGAAGGAAAAGACCCCTCACCATGGTTTAGTTACTTTGCATAAATAAGTAATGGACTGTTATGCATCCTCTATGAACCCCTGGTTTATCTTTATTCGTTGGATCGTGCATGTGTGCATGTTTCTATATCCACCACACTCTGAGATGGAAGGAGTAAGGGAAGTGTATTTAATAGAGTAAAGAAACACAGTCTAAACTGCAAAGACAATGGTTTAATGGCCAGTGAGATGCCTCAGGATGTTTGCTGTGATGATTTTAGACTCTTGACTTTCTGGAAAAGGAAAAGGCTTTGGAAAAGGCTGAATGATGTTTGTGATGTGGGCCACGAGGGGTCAGCCAAGTAACTGTCTGGGCTCTGACCCTTGGTGCTTGACTTAGGGAGGAATATGGACGTGGTCATACTGGGGTGATGGTTTAGGGGCCAGCAGGGTGAAGTTATGAGGAAAAAGGTGAGAGGCTGCTTAGTGAAGCCACACTGACTCCAACTTCTACACACATCGCCCTGTCCTGTGCTCATGATTGTTATGGGATGGAAAATTAGGCACTAATTAAGATTCCCTTGGTGACAGTTTGGTAGCTGTTTTGGAGGGACTATTGGCAGGATGGTGCCATGCCATGAGGTAAAGAGGTCTGAAGTAGAGCAGTGGAGAGACAGGTGAGAGGCCTCGCCAGGAGATCATCTGCAGGTAGGGATGTTACCAAATCTCTATTTGGTAATTTAATGCAGCCAGTCAGAGAGAGGCAGATATCCAGGGTAAGTGGAAAGAAGGTGAAGACTTTAAAGCCTCAGAAGACCCCATACGAAAGGTATTGTGTTGAGTGCTATCCAGTCAAGATAATGCGAGAGTTTGGAATAATGATAGACTCTCAGAGTAACAGTTGAAGACCATGGATTGCATGGAAATGCAGAGGCTAGCTCTCTTTTCTGTCGTTTGTCTGAAAACTGCTCGAGATGACTCACTGCATCGTATTCCTCTTTAGGACCACTATCTTGTCCAGTGGCCTGGCAAAGTCGGTCTTCAGCACATACGCGAAGCTGAGAGAATGAGAGGGGAGCTGGCAGTGGGTTCCTGGGAATGATCACCACTGCGGAAGGCAGGCAGAGGATGTAAAAGGAGCTCACAGGCTGCGGACTGGTGGCGGGATAGGCACAAAAACAGAAGAGAGGGCACCTGGAAAGAAAAGAGGCTCCCAGGAAAAGATGCTAGTTGTAAAGCAACTTATGAGTTTGGATATCTGGACCCTCTCTGGTGACAGCAATATAGGTAGGATGTGGAATCGTCCCGAGATTCATGTGGAAATGGAGGAGGAAACCAGGGTGCAAAGCCAATGGGAAGGCTGAGTTTCAGGGACTTGCCTGGGAGAATTTGGCCACATCAGTAAACTCTGGTGGAAAAGTCAAAGGAGAGAAGAGAGAAACTTGTGATCTCCAGGGATGGTAGCTGCAGTCAGCTCCTGGGAAAGGCCTCTCCTCACAGAAGAACCTATTTGTTCATAGAGGTTATGAAATAAGAATAAACACAACGTGTCACATCACAGAAATAGGGTAATGCTAATCTACATATAATACACTTAAATACTGTTGTTATATGACTATTTCACAATAAAAATGTTGTTTTGTACAAACTATGGTACATCCAGACAATGGAATATTATTTAGCTACAAAAGAAAATGTGCTATCAAGCCACAAAAATATATAAAGGAACTTTAAGTGCATTTTGCTAAGTGAAAAAAACATCTGAAGAAGCAACATGCTGTGTCACTCCAACTTAAAGATATTCTTTAAAAGGTAAAGCTATAGCAACAGTAAAAAGGTCAGTGTTGCCAGTGGTTCGTGGCACCGGTCGGCTCGGGGAAGGGATAAATAGGTGGAGCCCAGGTGATTTTTAGGACAGTGAAACTATTCTGTATGGGACTGTCATGGTGGATACATGGCATTGCAACGTTTGTCAAAACCTACACAATGTGCAACACAGAGAGTGAACCACAACGTAAACTATGGTATGGACTCCATTAATAATCACGTACTGATATTGGTTCATCAATTGCAACAAATGTACTACACTAGTGCAAGATGTTAATAATAGGGAAACCATGTGTGTGGGTGGGGGAAAGTATATAGGAATTCTCTATACTTTCTGCATAATTGTTCTGCAAATCTAAAACTTCTCTAAAATATAAACTCTATTAAGATTTTTTTTAACCCAAAGGACTATAAATCATGCTGCTATAAAGACACATGCACACGTTTGTTTATTGCAGCACTATTCACAATGGCAAAGACTTGGAACCAACCCAAATGTCCAAAAATGATAGACTGGATTAAGAAAATGTGGCACATATACACCATGGAATACTATGCAGCCATAAAAAATGATGAGTTCATGTCATTTGTAGGGACATGGATGAAATTGGAAATCATCATTCTCAGTAAACTATTGCAAGGACAAAAAACCAAACACCGCATATTCTCACTCATAGGTGGGAATTGAACAATGAGAACACATGGACACAGGAAGGGGAACATCACACTTTGGGGACTGTTGTGGGGTGGGGGGAGGGGGGAGGGATAGCATTAGGAGATATACCTAATGCTAAATGACGAGTTAATGGGTGCAGCGCACCAGCAAGGCACATGTATACATATGTAACAAACCTGCACATTGTGCACATGTACCCTAAAACTTATAATAATAATAAAAAATAAATAAAAAAAGGTACTTGTAATGAAAAAAAATGAAAAAAATTAAAAAAAGATATTTTTTAAACAGCTATTTTGTATAAATATAGATTTAAACAGCTATTTTGAAGATGATAAAAGAATAAGAGTTGAATGGCACTTAGTATCTTTTAAAGCAATTTTTAATTGAGATTTTGTGTATGCTAATGTATTAATAAAGGGAAACTTAAAAATGGCATGCTTTTAAATTCCATTGCTTTTTTAATATTGTATAATTTACTCCACTAAAAACTTTACTCCAATAAAAATCCTTATTTTTTTGAGTTTTATAATGTATATTTATTTTTGTGTTATTAATATTTTAATCATTTCCTTCTGAAGAAGAAAAATAGGAGAAAAACAAAATCTTGCTTGCCCATGGAAAAACATATTAGTTCACATATTTAGGAGCGGACACTAGCTATTTCACCCTTGGCTCATGAGGAGAGATTTCATTTTAATCCTCTTAAGTAAATGAGCTCTGATAAACAGATATGCTTTGTAAGATGTGTGCAGAAACCTTAAATTGAATGATCACTTTACATGAAAATTCATAAAGTGCTACAAACTGGAACCAGTATTTCATCTAACTCAATGTCATCATCAAAGTGTCTGCCAATGAATAAACTCTTATATAAGAGACGTGTGTGTATGGCCAACTTTATCTCTGGTAAGCGGGAGAGTTAAACTCAGCATCCATTCAAAAACCATGTTGTACATCTCTGTCATTCTTTCACAACAATTAGTAAAAGAAAGAAATGACCAGTCCAGGCAAAGAACCCAAAATATGTGTTATATTCCAGTGGAGAGAAACTTATTCTAAAATTCAGGGATTCTCATGGTGCTGTACTTTGTAAATAGTGAGAAAAAGACAGTACATCATGATTAATCCAATGCAGAACAGTAAGGGGTGTTTATGAATCAACACCCCAATCACTGCCCAGAAATTACATTATGGTGGGAGAAAAAAGTGAAATTCAATCATGATATCATAGCAGTGTCAGTGTGTGGGACAGCCTCATCAGCTCCTTCTGGCATTTCACCATCTTCAACTCAGGAAAGGTCACTGTCTCCCATGAGAGATCAGGCCAAGGGCCCCTTTCCGTCATCTGCTGTTCATTTGGCAGCTGCTGGGTGTGTCTTCTGAGGACCCATCACGAGGTCTCTGAATTATGAGGTGTGCTTATATTTGGCTCTGAAGCTTGCTGCTGGACAAGCTGATTTAATTCCTTCAGTGTCTTTCTCTGGCACAGAAAGAAATAAAAAAGACATAATTATATTCATTTAAGAAGTTCCTTTTTTTTAAATGTAGGCACAACACTAGTGGTTACTTCTCAGAGAAGTGGAGAAATAGAAATAGAAATGACTTACTTGTGTATTTGTGCTTGTTTGTAAATCATACAATTTTAATGAAAACATATACAATAAAGCTGCTTGTGTCGTCAGTGCATGGTTTGTGGCTAGAAAGTGGAGACCTCCCGGGCTCTGTCTTGGAAACCTTCAGCATCTCACTCTAACTGGAGAAAACCTACCCACGTGGTTCCTATAAAGCATGCTCTGAATGGAAATTTCCTCTGGGGTTTCTTAAACTAGCTCAGTCCATGACTTGCCAGACTCTCCCCTTTAAATCTTCCAACTTGAGCTGTGGCTGATTTGGGGTGGAAATACAGATGAAAACAGATTATACTTGGGGTGACCTTTTGTCAAGATCTCAAGGCAAGCTGAGTTCAGAAACTCACACACCCTTTTCACATTAAGAAAATTAACTTGGCAGAGGTATACGAGGCATCTCACAAATCCAGGAAGACAGAATTGGCGTTTTCAATGAATCACAGTCTGTGAATCAGCAGTCGACTGTGGCTACCTGTCAGCTCCAAATAGCAGAATTCTAATTTTGTAGCAGCTGGAGGTGCAATTTCAAAGTTCTCTTCTAATTACAGAATGCCCAGAGCTCTCAGGACGGAGTCACCTTTGGTGTCACACACTTAGGACATTTGTAGTTCAAGTTAAAACAGGGCCAGTGGTCAATAGCCCTTCAGAACCCTCAAAGCAAAGCAAACAATGCTGTGCTGCATTTATGCAGTTATAGATGAAGACACACACTGCATAAACCAAAAATTGCTAGACTGCAGTGTAAATGCACTAAAATATATGTTGGTCCTGATCAAAGCCACTGTCGATTAATTGGATATACCAATATTTCCCAGCCTACAAAACCAGTGGCAATCTTGCTTTACCTGGTGGAGATGATGGAGAGAAGTGGACACTGTATCATAGCAGAAAGAACATCTCCTTGACTTAACCACTGCACAGCTTTTGCCGTGTGCTCTGTAGTATGGCTCTCAGGGTAATGTGATTGTTTTCTGTCGCTTACTTCTATCACACTTTGGGTACCTCAAGAGGGGTTACTGACCTAATAACTGTTATAATAGTAGTATTTATTGAGTACAAGTATGTAACAAATGTATTTCATTTGACCCTCAATGTATTACCCTATTTTGCAATTGAAGCAATGGAGACTTAGAGAGGTTAAGTGACTTGCTCAAAGTAACATGGATCAGGTTATTAAACTTTAGCTTGCATCAGAGACCCCGGAAGGGCTTATTAAAATTCAGATCGCTGGGCCCCACCTCCAGAGTTTTAATTCAGAGATCTGGGCTGGGGCCTGAGAATTTGCATTTTTAACAAGTTCCCCTATAAGGCTGATCCTGGACCGGGATCACAGTTTGAGAACCCCTGGCCTAGATGACTAGGGGCAGACATGGTCCCCTGTCCTGAATCTGGGTGACTCTGAGGCCCATGCTTGTTCCAGAGCCCCAGACTCACCCATGGTCTCCATCTCTCTTCCAGAGCCTGAGCCCCCATTACATGAGAGGATTTCAAGAAATGTGAATTGACCTTCTGCCCCCACCTGTCTCCCAACCTGCAACATCCCCTGTTCTTTTTCTAATTTACTCCTTCAAGTGTCAAGTTTCAAATGTCACTTCCTCAGAAAGGCCTTTAATAAAATAATGTATAAGCGAGCATTCACTCAAGTTTATCTGTTAAATGTAAGTCTTCCTCTTCAAACCCCAAGGCCCATGAGTCTCTCATCTTTCCTGTTCTTCTCAGAACAGAATCATGTCCCAGCATGTAGCACAGTACTTGGCACTTAGGAGGTACTCAGAAACTATTAATCAGTAAGTTGAATGAGAGAAACTTCGAGAGATCTGGTCCTAGTTTTAGTATCTATGAGTTGTGTGGAATTGAGTCAATGCCTTGCTGTTCCCAAATCCTAAATCTCTCATTTAAAACATAGATAGCATTGTATGAGGATGTTTTTAAATAAGCTCATGAAGCGAAAGTGATGCTTTAGAAATGATCTCAGCTCCAAAACCGCTGGGAGCTTACAGTTGACACTCAGTAGTTGCTGGTTGAATTGAATTCGATTTGGCTCATTTAGGTAGAGTGATTTTACTCTATCCAAGATTCTTAACTTTAACAGGTATTCATTTGGGGACATCAAACATCTCTGTTGTTGGTTATGTCTTAGGGAGCTTAGAAGTGGTTCCACCATGTTCTGATTTCCTTTTTATCGCCAAGAATAAAACAATGCCAGTCACCTTTAAATGTGTTAGTATTACATGTCACGTGCCTTAAAGAATGATCTGACAGGTCTTCATTTGCCAACTGAATTCCTTCTCATTAAGCTTTGTTGTGGGTTAAAATGTGGCATTAGAGTGTCTTTCTAAGGCTTCCCATACCTATTAGCAATATGTGTAAGCAAGTAGCCTATTTATAAAAATCATCTTCTGAAAAATCTACACAAATACAGCAAGCAGAAGCAGGCAGAGAACAGAAAGATTCATTAAAATACAGTGGAGCTCTCTTTTTAACAGGAAAGGAACTCTTTCCTATTTTTAGTTTACAAACACTCCCCCCTCTAAATAGCTAGCATATGTCAAATTACATACGTGTCAAAGTACACAATTACCAACAATTCATTTTAAGTTCCTCCATATTTATAACCTATGCCATTGCTCATGTTATATTTTACCTACACGGAAGGACACAGTTGAAAGGAGAGAAACTTGGGATTCTCCCTTGGCAGAGTTTAAGCAACCCTCAATCTTAATGTCCTCCACTAAACAACTAGCTCAAATGGTGGAAACTCCATTTCTGTAAACATTTTTCCTAATGTGGTGATGGTGTTTACACAACTCAGGGCAGAATCTTTCAACTTTGCCTTTTCAGGGCAAACCCGTGCTTGAACAACAGCAGGTGGACTCTGGATAGCACACACCTCAATGCTGCCAAAGGGGAAAGAAGGTTTGTGTTTCCTGTTTGAGAATGTGGCCTTAGAGATGATGCTGGTGGAAAAGTCCTTTTTCTGGCTTTTCTTTTCCCTTAGAAGCCAAACCTCACAGGTGTGATGACAGGGCAAAGAAACAAATAGGCTAAGGCTAATGTGAATCCAGGCACCTGTCCAATACTTTGGCCCTGGAGAAAGAGAAATATTGAGAGATATACTCACAGACTAGGCATGGTATGCTCTTTTCTTGTGTCTGATTTACAAAGTCAGCTGTCAGGAGACTGAGCAGAGAGTGATTTATTGTAAGCCGTGATGACTGTCATATCTCTTTGTATTAGAACATGGGTAACTCCTAAACAATAAGTTGTTGTTGTTGGTTCTCAATCCAAGAAGAAATGTAGCTAATGTATTTGAAGAAAGACCATCTTGCAAGAGCAGTGTTCAAAAATCCATTTCAATCCATAAAGATAACAAGGTATTGAATTTCTAAATCACTCATGGCTGAGTAGCTTTAGCTAACTTTGCAGATGTTGTGAAAGAGCTCTCCAAGCATCTGGGAACTGAACTGTGCCTTCCATTTTCTGGAGGAATACAGGGAAACCAGGCAGGTTAATGCCTTTCCTGACGTCCCAGAGGAGGTCAGTGCCCGAGCCATGATTTACAGCTTGACTTCCTAATTTAGGGGAAATTCTTACAAAATCAGGCCATTCTTATGATATGGAAACCTTGGAGAACTTCAGGAACAGGTGTCCTGCAAGGCAACGAAGAGAGCTTGAAGTTAATACCAGGCTCATTAGTGATATTCTCAGTAAAGAAGGACGCTGAGCTTAGCTTTTCCCTGTTGCTGATGCAGAAAAAGAGTGGAAATGCAAACAGTGCCTGCCAACTGTTTCTTGCTGACTCAGGAAGTTCTTAGTTCAACCACTTTCAGTTGCCTTCTTTCAGATCCTTTGTGTTTTGAAACAAGACCTTCAGTGACACTGCTTACACCCCGGAGCAATTTGAGTGCTATCAAATATTCCATCTACAGAGAATGAAGGATGGGGCATCCACACTTGCCCTTCAGTCCCTTTGTCAATATTTGTGCCTCCCACTGCCGGAGGCTGCAATTCCATAGAAGGGGGCCATGGAATCTATTGGCAAGCACACTTTGGCCAGAGAATGCCAGTGCACAGGCCCCATTTGGAGCTGGTGAGGGGAGCAACATGCTGCTGTGGGGGGTCACAGACCAAAGTGGGGAGCCAGGCCTCAGGCTCTTGCCAGGTGGCCATGCACAGAGAGGCCTGTCTTTGTTGTCTGAGTCCCTAGTTCAGTGTGCCCTCCTTTCTGTTGTCCTTACTAACCTCTTCTCTCCTATTTTCTCTTCCTCATACGCCTTCCTCTCTTCACATTCCCTTTCTACTTCCCCTTCCACCCTGCCTTTAAGGCCACATTTTCCTGGTGGTCCTTTTCCAAGCTAACCTCATCCTGGCTCCCATATGAGCATGCTGCTGGGTGCTTCAGGATATCTCCATGTACTTTTCTCCTACATGGTGCTCTCGAGCAGAAACTTGCCTGTAAGATTGAAAATAAATATGAACACACAGGCTATGGAGAGAAAAAAGCTTTGAATATGTTTTTAAGTAACCTTAGTCAAATACGATTTATCAGATTTTATTTGGCAAGGAACAATTCACGAATCAGATAGCACTCAGAACTGGGAGAGGTTTGGAGAGCTCTGCCAAGCAGCATGAGCAGTGACCTTTTATAGGCTGCACACAGAAACAAAATAGAGAAATCACCTGGTTGGCTATAGCTGGACATTTGCCTTATTTGTGCATGGTGGGATGAATTTGCTGCCTGTGACTGGCGAAATCTGGCTATTTGTTACAAAAAATATACCACTAAGTTAGGTTTCTGTTAGCTTATGTACTAAGTTAGGTTGTAGTTTGTTAAGTAGGAACTCAAAGTATGAAGATAGTCTCAGGCTAATGGCCTCCTGCTTGTTTTTCTTTAAAAAATATAACATATATCTATGTGTTATCAGTGTTCATCTCTGGATATTCATTCTCCCTTTTATATAATTTTCTATTATATTCAATTAAAAATTTTAAAAAAGCAATGCACTCAGCCATTTCCTTGAAAAATCACAAGGTCAGGAGATCAAGACCATCCTGGCTAACACGGTGAAACCCTGTCTACTAAAAATACAAGAAAATTAGCTAGGCGTGGTGGCGGGCGCCTGTAGTCCCAGCTACTTGGGAGGCTGAGGCAGGAGAATGGCATGAACCTGGGAGGCAGAGCTTCCAGTGATCTGAGATCGTGCCACTGCACTCCATCCTGGGTGACAGAACGAGACTCCATCTAAAAAAAAAAAAAAAAAACCTACAGAAAGTAAACACCTAGCTCTTCCTGAAATTATTTTTACCAAAGTTTTTTGTTTCTTCAGCAAAAAAAGTAACATTTTATTTGAAGGCTATTTTCCATGTAAGGATTTTGCTAAAATGCAGTCTCCATCATTCCAATTATTTCTTGATAAATACTAAAAAGAAATATGTATATTGGGTAAATTTCAATTAAACCTAGTATTTAGTTTAGTAAATACTAAATGTGCCTGAGACATACCTGTTTTTTTAAAATAGAGACACTTCATACGGTATTATGTAGAGATTTGAGATACATACTCGGTGTGTTATTTTCCCCTGCCTTTTACTGCAAAAAATTTGAAAAATACAGAAAAAAATAGAAGTCTATGAAAATGACCATATACTAGCTACCCAGAAAATTCTAACTTATATTTTTCTTTATGACATATCTGTAAATTTATATATACCTCTATTTATCCGTCAATCCATCTTTTTTTTAAAAAAAAAAAGTACTATTTTTGAGCTCAAATAGCCCTTTCAGAGAGAAATGAAGCCTTAAGTAGCTAGCAAAATGCTTTGGTCAATATGCATACCAAGCAGGATAAGTTGGCTAGAAAACATTACTTGAATCTTTATTTATTTTATTTTATTTTTTTTTAGATGGAGTCTTGCTCTGTTGCTCAGGCTGGAGTGCAGTGGCACAATCTCGGCTCACTGCAACTTCCGCCTCCTGGGTTCACGTGATTTTCCTGCCACACCCTCCTGAGTAGCTGGGATTACAGGTGTCCGCCACCACATCCGGCTAATTTTTGTATTTTTAGTAGAGACAGGGGTTTCACCATGTTGGCCAGGATGGTCTCGATCTCCTGACCTCGTGATCCACCCACCTCGGCCTACCAAAGTGTTGGGATTACAGGCGTGAGCCACTGCGCCCAGCCTACTTGAACATCTTAATTCTATCTTTCCACTATTGAATTTGATTTTAACTGCCCAGTTTTTAATATCTCTTTTTCTCTTTGCCATAATGTGTTTTGTTTGTCCTATTCATCTTGTAATAAACACTTTCCTTTCTTTGAACAAAAAGAAATGATTTATGAAAATATATAATTTGTATAAATTATATTTTCACTTTGCTTTCTCTGATGAAAAATAAGTGGTTTCTGACAAAATACAGTTTTAATAAATATTAATAGACAATATTTTATATGTAATTTAAGAAGAAAAGTATCTTTTTATTAAAACATAGTCATTGCTATCTCCTCAGTACACATCAAGCATTTGCAATCTTTTTTTTGTGTACCAGAACCCTTTGTAAAATTGTACGCTTGAATTCTATGTAAGAACATGAGAATTTTAGGCCCAGCTTTTCCTCTGGTCTCTAGCTAACCCGTTCTCCATTCATTCATTCATTCATTCTTCTTCTTCTTTATTTATTTTATTTATTTTATTTTTTGAGATGGAGTTTCACCCTTGTTGCCCAGGCTGGAGTGCAATGGTGTGATCTTGGCTCACTGCAACCTCCACCTCCAGGATTCAAGCGATTCTCCTGCCTCAGCCTCCCAAGTAGCTAAGATTACAGGCATCTGCCACCACACCTGGCTAATTTTTCTATTTTTAGTAGAGACGGGGTTTCACCATGTTGGTCAGGCTGGTCTCAAACTCCTGACCTCAGGTGATCCACCCACCTTGGCCTCCCAAAGTGCTAGGATTACAGGTGTGAGCCACCAGCATTCTTCTTAAAAGTGGTTTGTATTATATCATTTTCAGCTTAAAACTCTCATCAGCATCCTCTCATAGCAATTAGAATAAAATCCTAATCCCTTATCATATCCATAGGTCCTCTGAGATCAGACCATGTTTTCTGCAGCCCGGCCTTGGTACTAGTCCTTTGCTCACTACACTTCACCTCACACTCTCCCTTGGTTTCAACAAACCAAATTTCAAAGACTCAAGTTTCAAAACTCAAATCTTGGTTCAGCCACAGGATTTTGCACACGTTGTTTGCACTGTCTGAACAATTATGTGCTTGACTTCTTCATGTCATTTACTTAAATGTTAACTCCTAGGAGAGGATTTTTCTCATCATCTCACCCAAAGCATTTCTCTATGCCTTTTCTTACCTTCATAATATATCCTTTGTGATAACTTGCATCTATTTTAATTATCTCTTTACTTATTTTTGTAAGTTTCCCCTGTGAAAAGGCAAAGCTTTTATTTGTTTTGTTTATTACAGTAATCCCCACCTTTAGAAGGATGTTTGGCACATACTGGCACACAGGGAATATTTGTTGAATAAATAACTTGGAATAGTCATTAACTTTTAGATTTGAGTTGTGCAGCTACTTTAAAACACTTGGTATATGTGTGTTGTTTTCCCAGACATCTCCAAATGCTAGTTTTCATTCAAGTGGCATGTTTTATAAAGCTCACATAGATCATCCTTGAAAATGCAGATTCCTTGAAATTTCGAGACAGCAGGATTAAGGAGGGATTCTTGAGTCTGAATTTTTAGCAAACTTCCCAAGTAATTCTTATGTGCAGGCAGTTTGTTGACTACAACCTGTTACAAATTCTTACTATGCGATTTTGAAAAATAAATAATAAGTGATCAATTGCTAGCACCACTTCTGGAAGAAAAGTCAGCACTTTGGACACCTTGAGATCTAACTGTGCCTACCAAGTAATTTTTGCCCTGAATGTAGAAAATGGAAGGAGCTACACAGAAAGTGTGCTTTCATGTTATCTACCTTGCGCATGATGACTCAACTCACTCTGAGTCCTCAGTGAAGTAAGATGAGTTGGAATCTTTATATTTTATCCCTTTCAATTCAGAAATAATACTGCTAGTAAAAAGAGAAAAACTCACTCCTGCAAGAACTAGTGTTATGTAATGATAAGTGTAGTCGGTTGTATTACATAAGAGTTTTTTTTTTATTATCCACACAGTCAAAAGGATGTAATGATCCACATTCTCCAAAAACTGTTCTCATGCACTAGAAATAATTTAAAGGTTCTAGTATCTGCATTATGAATACAATTGCTTGATTTTGTATGCAGATGAGTTTAACATAATAATACTCAATAAAATATATTATGTATTTTATACACACATAATACATAATAAATGTATGTTGGGTTGTACTAAAATCTGTTTCTACCCCCAGAACACTTATGATACCAAATGTGTGGGAATTTTGGGGTTTGGAGTGCAGTGGCGTGATCTCGGCTCACTAAAACCTCCACCTCCCGGGTTCAAGCCATTCTTGTGCCTCAGTCTTCTGAGTAGCTGGGATTACAAGCACCCACCACCATGCCCAGCTAATTTTTCTATTTTTTGTAGAGGCAGGGTTTCGCCATGTTGGCCAGGCTGGTCTCGAACTCCTGGCCTCAAGTGATCCACCCGCTTTGGCCTTTCAGAGTGCTGGAATTACTGGTGTGAGCCACCACACCCAGCACAGTGGGGTTTTTTTGCCCCCCTCACACCAACAACCAATTCTCTAACTGTCTGGACACCAACTGGTGTTCTACAATTTAATTCAATTCTGACACCACCTGGAGTTAGCATCAGAACCCAGAAAGCGAGAGCTGAGTCCCACAAGGCTGCCCCCACTTCAGATGCCAAGTGCAAGTCCCAGACCAAGATCAGATCAGCTGGACTGTTCGACCAGCTGTAAACTCAGGCGGTTCCCACAATTCCCTCCTCAGTTTTAATAATTAGCTATGATGGCTCACAGAACTCAGGGAAACACTTTACTTACATATATTAGCATATTGGAAAGGATGTTATGAAGGATACTGATGAACAGCTGGATGAAGAGTTTCACACAGTGAGTTCTGGGGTGTCTGTCTTGTGGTTAGGGTGCATCACCCTCTTGGCATGGTGGCAGCATTACCTGCCCGGAAACTCTCTGGACGTCATCATTAAGGGGTTTTATGGAGATTTCATCACATATGCATGGTTTATTATTAACTCAATCTCCATCCTCTCTCCCCTACCTAGAGTTTCGGGAGAGTGGGGCTGGAAGTTCTAGGTTTCTAACCAAGGTTTGGTCTTTCTAGTAACCAGCTTTCATTCTAAAGCTATCCAGAAGCCCACCAAGAGTCACTTCATTAAAACAAAGGATGCTCCTATCACCCAGGAAATTCCAAGGGATTTATGAGCTCTGTGTACGATTCCCCTGTCACCCCCATTGCTTAGGAAATTACAGGGTCTCTTTGTCAGGAAATGGGGACAAAGATTAAATAAATATTTATTATTATGCCACAGGTTGCCAGCAGACCATTCTAGATCCCAAAGCGAAGCAATATTGGATTAAGAATTAACAATTAGGCCAGGCATGGTGGCTCACACCTGTAATCCCAGCACTTTGGGAGGCCGAGGTGGGTGGATCACGAGGTTAGGAGTTTGAGACCAGTCTGGCCAACATAGTGAAACCCCGTCTCTACTAAAAATACAAAAAATTAGCTGGGTGTGGTGGTGTGTTCCTGTAATCCCAGCTACTTGGAAGGCTGAGGCAGGAGAATCATGTGAACCAGGGAGGCGGAGGTTGCAGTGGCACCATTGCACCCCAGCCCGGGCAACAGTGTGAGACTCCGTCCCAAAAAAAAAAAAAAAAAAAAAAAGAACCATTAACTCTAGACAAATCCTTAGAGCTAATTCTTGTCAGTCTAATTCTCTCATTTTACAGATGAGGAACTGAGACTAAGGATCATGTCGTGATTTTCCAAGGAAATGCCACAGAGAACTGGCCACATGCCTATAAGGAGGGAAGCACGGGCTTCAATACCCAAAGCCAGGTGCAGTCGATACGCGCTGATGCTGAGGCTTCAGGGTTTAAAGGGAGACTTCACATTGTAATTTGTCAAGCTGAGCTCTGGGCTGGCAAGTTGGCATTTCAATTTAACCCAAGGCCTTCTTGTTTCTCAAGCCTTAATATTGCTAGACTTTTTTTTTTTTTCAATGCTGTATAAATTGTTTTCTTTGGCTCTATCTCAAACCCAGTAGTTGAAAAAAAACATTTTCCCACTCATTTAATTAGAAAGGTCCAGAACATGTACCCAAAGAGATTGGATTTCACCTTAGGTTAAAATCTCACTGAATGCTGCTTGCCTTTTTAAACACGTGAGTAACTTAGCTCTTTATTAAACAGAAATAATTATACCAACTCCTTTCTTCTACTTCCCCATCCCACTCCCTTCCGCCTGACCTTAAAAGAATTTTACGTATAATAACCCAAGAAGATCTGTGTTTAAAGGAAAGCAACAAAACAAAACTTCACAAATTAAGCAGTGTGACAGTGGTGAGAATGTATAATAATTGCAGCAATATTATGGGTATTATCATTCTGACTTACTAAGTAACCAAGCGCTTACTTGGTGTGCTGGGAACATCCACCATGTCCCCCACACATGAGCTCATCCGATGACAGTTTGAGTCATAAAGTGTGGTTTTATTTTCTAGCCTGTTTGAGGATGTGAATATGTAATTCCAGTGCAAACACTCTCAACCTTGTACCTGTTTATTTTAGGAAATAGCATGGCAGGCTACAACTCAGAGTTAATTGCAACAAACAAATGACAGATTGTTCAAAAGTAGGATACATGCCAGAAATACAGATGACTAGGTCTTATGTGTCTCTATGTTAGATTTTCTATAGCCTTTGATTTTGCTTTCACCCTTTAACGATTTCTTTCACACATCACCAGATGCTGCTCTTACAGCTTCTAGTGAGAAGACAAAGTATATTTCAGCAGTGGAGGCTGTGAAGTTAGACACATCTGGGTTTCAATCTTGGCTTCATCAAGCCTCGGTTTTCACCCCTAGCAAGTTATTTAATTTTTCTAAATCTCAATTTCCTAATCCGTAAAACAATATTATGCATCTTATAAATTGCTATTAGGATTAAGTAAAATAAAGTATGGAAAGGACCTATCTTTGAACCTTGCAAGGAATAATCCTCAACAAAATTATAATATTTTGAAACTCTCTGAGGCAGTGACTTCTCTTGTTGTAACAACATCTGACGTCAAAGAACAAGTGGGTTTGTAATTACATCAATTCTCCTCTTTGGTCAATCAAAGTACTCAGTCATCAAAGCATTTATATTTCCATTAGGTGAAATCCACTGAGAAATGACTTTACAAGTCAGATTATCACCAACTGTAGAAATTTCTAAAATAATAAGCAACACTTGTGGCTTCAAAGAACTTATTTGACAAATAGCTAAGTTTTATCCTTTTATTGAAAATAGGCTTACCAAGCATTTTGGTGTTACAGGACATTTTATGGTTTCAAAATGGGCATTATATTTGGGATTTTTCTAGGTCATTGAGCAGTAAAAATTATCCATGATTTTCTGAAGACAACAGTCAAAATTTGGCTCACTCTGGGTGCTCTTTTCCAGACATCTTGGCAAACCTGAACTTTCTCTAGAGATTCTGGTTGGAGGGAAACATGAAAATGGCATTACTTCTATTGTAAAGGGCAATTGCTCTCCAGGCTTTTTTTGTGTGTAATGGAGACACAGTCAATATGAATAAGGGAAAATTGGTAAGGCAAACTTGGTGGTTCATTGCCAGTGGTATTCTGGAATGACAGTCTTAGGTTTGAATTTGTTTGTGAAAGTAGAGGAAGAGCACGTTGTTGAAGAAGGAAAGTGAAAGATACTTGGTTCAGAAAGCAAAACCTTAGCCTTAGGTGGCTTGCAGGTGGCCTGGGCTAGAAATGTGTGTAAACAAACTCAAAGAGGTTCTTGGATGCCTGTCCCAGAGGCTGGCCCTGCTTCACTCCCACCCGCCCTTCTTCTCTCAGGTCAGGTACCATCCCTTGGAGGCTTTTCCAGAATACCCGCCCCACTCCTCATAGCTGTGTGTTTGGTTGCTCTCATTACTTGTTATTACACTCCATTACTGTTGCACTTAATTGCATTTACTGTAGTAACTCGTTGACCTGTTGGCCTCTCTGCCAAGATTGTAAGGCAATGAAGAGTAAGAACAAGTACTCGGCATATTTCATGTTCAATAGAGGTAGAAGGGAGCGAGCTGAGGGCAAGGACAGGAGACAGGGAAGGAATAGAGGAAAATAAGGAAAAAGGGAGGTCTCAGGTAAGTGATGACTGATTTCCATGAAAGGCCAAATCTCCTGGTTTCCATTATATAAGGTCTCTACATGAATGAGACAGAGGCAGAGATGTGGAAAAGGAAGTGTCACACTTTCAGGTCACCTCTAATTGATCAGATGATTTCTTTCCCTCTAGTATCAAAATAAGAATTTTTTTTCAAATCAAGATATTTTTTTCAAAGAAAGCATGTATAATTTCACATTTTAAAAATGTGTTGCTATATCTACTCATTGCTAACACATAGAGGTCTGCTTGTATTTAATGAATCTTCTATTCTCCCCTGCCCCATTCAATGTATAGCTGTTCTGGTTTGTTTTTTATTTGCTATGCTCATTCAAGGAGATTAAAATACTTCAGTGTAAATACCCACTGGCTGTAAATATCCTGAAGCTTCTGTACTTGACTCAGGGAATGTCTGAAATTTATTTGTAAATGGGAGTTATGGAAGATCATATCAAGGGAGGCAAGCTACCAGAAAGGCTGCCTTCCCTCTGAAATGAGAGCTGGAGGTCCAGTCACCAGGATAGAAGCCACTGCAAGGTCCTGGGAGTGGGGTGGCACTTCTAGAAAATTTGATAAGTTTCATCACATGGGGCCGTTAGGATTTTCCCATTTTATTGCCCTTGACATATGTCACTTACAGGTGTCCCCTCCCCCCACTGCAGGACAATTGACCTGGCTCCACCTGCCTCCCATCTTACTGGCTCATATCTCACTACAGATCTCCATGCAAATGGGATACTTTCTGCCTCTGCACTAGTCAAAATTCTTGTCTGTTATTTAGAGAGACTGCACTTTCCACCTTGGACTTCTAATGCCTGCTGACATTCTGCTCTTCCTTCAAGGTGCAGATCAAATGCCCTTTCATGGAGCCTTCTGACTTGCCAGTCTGGAATTTGGCCCCATTTTCTGCAGAATGATTGTTACTCCCATTGGTTGTGTTGGCTCACAGGCCAGGCTTCTCATGAGGGAGAGCAGGTGTACCCCAAGGTGGATTTATTCAGTCTCTGCACAGGTTTAGGTTGTTTGAAAAGTCCCACAACTTGCTTGTGCTTACTCATCACACTTACCTGACTTAAATGAAAATAATGAATTTTCTCTTGTGCTCCAATAAAATGCGTTTGTATCTTCAGGGAAAGAAGTAATTTTTTTCCATTTCTTGATATTCATTGTAAAAGTACAATTGCCATAATAATATTACATAAAATTTAGAAAATAAGGAATAGAGAAATTACCCATAATACCATCACCCAAGCACAATCTTTGCTGTCTTTTCTCTTGCAATCATTCTCTAAATGTTCTTTTCCATGGTTATGTACATAGTGCACACACCATACTGGGGCCTGCATTTCTTTTTTTTTTTAACAGTATAATATGCAGTAGTTATCATTTTTGAAAAAATGAAACATATTTTTAAAATAAGACTTTTTATATGATATATTTTTACTAGTTCCTTAAAGTTGAGTGTAGTAGTATAACAATAAGATGTTTCTCCCGTTGTATCCTGGCCCGTGGAAATAAATCTGGCATGTCAGGCCATCGTAGAGTTTAGGACGAGCAGGTGCAGGGTGCCGGCTGCTGGCCGATGTATGCCTGGCTGCCCTACTTCTGGTTCTGAAAGGGCCACTGCTGCTCTCTAGGTCCCTAATCGACCTCTCCTGGAGAGTCTTCTCAATTTTTCTTTTTCAACACTAGCATCAGGAAGATCGTACTGGGATAGCTTTTTTCCTCCTATGTCTTACTCTGAAACTTTTCAAAAACACCTATCAATGTCAAAAGATTTTACAGTGAGCGCCATCACCTGATTCCTCCACTAACATCTCACTTCACGGGGTTTATCATACCTCTCTTCATGGTTTCGAGCCCTGTGATGATATTTCTCATGAAGGTGAATTTCCCCAGGGCCTCAGACTCGGTTTTCTGCCTGGACCCTTCCAGGATCCATTCCAGCAGGACTTGGGCCCTCAGGTTAGCCCGAGAGGACAATGTTGGAACTTAAAACACTTCTACTTCCTTTGATGCGTGTTGCCAAATTAGTGCTTCCAAAAAAGTGTGCATCATTTGTAATGCCACCAACAACATATGAGTGTTATATTAATTCCACTGAGTGTTATCTCTCAAGTTTGGAGAAGGAATTTAAATTGACAGCATTCTTAGATTGAACCACTGAGCCGAGATTGAGCTCTTGTTGCACTCTGACTTGTTATATAGCTCTTTGTGCACATATTTCATTTTTCTTTAAACCCTTGTGCTCCTTGAGGCAGAAGCATGTTAGCTGATAATCATTTTCTTCCACAGCCCCCAGCACAGAGCTTTGCACTTAGAAGGTGCTTCATAAATGTTTGCTGGAAAATAAAATAATAATCTGTATCTATAACTTTCGATAGGTCAGTAAATTAGCAAGGAAACAACTACTTTCAAGATGTTTAGAAGAATTAAAGCAAGGGGAAGGGCCTTATGTTGCATAGTTAGCTAAATTATATTGCCTGTGGTTTTGATTTCTTCTGAATTGAAAGGTCTACTGACAGTCCAGGTTTACTTTATGTGCACGACAAGACTAATAGGCACATTAATAATGTGCTTCACAGGTAAGTCTGGGATTCTATATATTCATGTTTATCTTGAGGGTATCAAGAAGATGACTCTGTATCTATCACAATGACTAGAACATCTTTACAGACACACTGTCACCTTGACAAAAGTGCTTTTAACAAAAATCTGGAATGAACATTTAAAAATACAGTTGTCTGGACTGGGCACGGTGGCTCATGCCTGTAATCCCAGCACTTTGGGAAGCCGAGATGGATGGATCACTTGAGGTCAGGAGTTCGAGACCAGCCTGGCCAACATGGTGAAACCCCATCTCTACTGAAAATACAAAAACTAGCCGGGCATGGTGGCACGCACTTTTATTCCCATCTACTTGGGAGGCTAAGGCAGGGGAATCGCTAGAACCTGGGAGGCAGAGGTTACAGTGAGCCGAGATTGAACCACTGCACTCCAGCTTGGGCGACAGAGTGAGACTCTGTCTCAAAATAAAATAAAATAAAATAAAATAAAATAAAATAAAACAAAATAAAACAAAATAAAAATATGGTTGTCAGTACAAAATCTTCAGGCAACTTGATTCTGGTTAGCAAGAGCAGCACACAAGGTCAGTCTAGAAAAGTTATGTACGTTCTGTGTGGTAGCCTTTGCAGTGAGATAATTGACCATTTTTCTGGTAATCAGTTCAATGTTTGGAAGACCTGTCTAAAGTCACTTCACATCTGCAGCTCAAGCGCGTTGCTTTCTCACGAAGCCCTCTATTTGTCCTTTGTCATGGTCACTGCCTGCATATTCTTTCACCAAATTGCTCCATCTCTGTTATTTTACATTGTATACACCAGTCACTTAATATGATTATCTATACTCTTCTAGATACCTGACTTTTTTTGTCCACAGTATCAGATGCTAGGCTAGACTTGGGGGACATAGCAGCAGGGTTCTGCCCTCACTGCACCTACCAGCCAACAAGAGGTTTGCCCGCCACACTGGACTAACGGTGCCACCTTATGGCCAACATGGGCCAGGCCTTGTGCTTTCGCATTACTGCTCAATTTTGCCTTCCACCTTGGCTTCCTTTTACCTGCTTTTCTTCCCTTATCACCTCAATACATTGTATCTTCCTGATTTCCTTTCCTCTTCTGTCCAGCCTCTTCCCAAACACCAAGCTGCTTGCATTGTCAATATCCTTACTTCCTTGTCTGTCCACCACATCTTCCCTGAAACTCCCACCACATCTTCCCTGAAACTCCCCAATCTTGGATTTACCTAATCATTGATTTTCTCCACTATTACCACCCTGGGCTTCTGAATGCCGCTGGAGGAGCACACGATGGCCATGACTGCAGGAACTCAGCGGGGCTCCTGGTTGAGCTCCACATTCCTTGCACGAGCTTCCCTGTGTCCCCACCAGCCACGTCCTCTGCAATTGCTACTGTCTAACTACTTTCAGAAGATGACCTTGTCCTTACTCACAGAGAAACAAGAACCCCCATTTCTCAATCTCCTGTCCTTCACATGGACAAAATCACCTATATTTGCATCTGTCCTTATCTTTTTCTTGATTCAGATTTGACTTATCTACTGTTCCTAACCTTGATGAAGTCCCTTCCAGCATGTTTTATTTTCTGTGTCCTCTCCATTTATCCTATAATGTGGTCATTTCTCTCATCATAAAGAGTTCCTTCCCTCAACCTGGACATCTCTCTGGCTACCCCTTTTTCTCTTACCTGTCACTTTCTTTTTAAAATTAAAATCATTTTTAATACTTCAAAATTTTTTCATAAAACATTTCACACATACTACAAGGTTTAAGAATAATGTAATAAGCAGTCATATTCTCAGAACTAGCCTAGAGGAACAGAAAAACACAGTGCACCTGAAGCTGTGTATTCTCCAGCCATAACTTTTCCTGTCCCCATCTGAGAATCAACGCCATCCTGAATTTTGTGCTTAAAATTTCCCTTTAGTATAAGAAGATCATGTACATGGCCTAGGGTTCCATTTCAATCTCTCAGTCTCTATTCTATAGGCCAATCAGTTTTGGGCCATCTGGACACCCTAAAGATGATCATACTTATCCATTATATCTTTGACTTTCTGCTTATTGGACTAGGGGAGTAGGAAGCAGCAAGGTTTATGGAGGCCTTAGTCAGACACATGTAGGAGATAAAGCCTACAATGACTTAGGGCTGGCTGCATTATAATATTTTGGAGATTTAGTGGTTCATGTTTACCAGAACACGTCTTTCCAAGTAAAAAGAAATATTATGTCTCACACTTCCAGCTTCAAAGAAGGAAACACAACTCCTAATAGGCTCCGTTGCATACATGCCATACCTAGGACTATTTCTCTGGACCATGCATCAAGTGCTACGAAAGGCTGCCAGCTTTACATGGGACTCACTGTAGGAGAGGTCTCTGTAATACACCTAGACTATGCAAGAGGCCCTGCTGCTTGGGCTATAGGACCTGGAAAACCGAGATGCTAGAGGTATATATGATAGGAAAAGATGGTTGTGGTGTTTATGGCAGACCCCAAAAGGAAAATAACAACATAGACCTCCTTGGCCTTGGTAACAAGGCCATGCCATTGCCATTTGCATCTGCAATTCAACTTTCAAAACACAACTACAGGCATGTCACTGGGCTCTGGTGGAGACAGAGCTTCTGATCATGGATTATCAAGTGACCATACAGCCAGAAATGTCCATCATAAGCTTGATCTGACACAAGTCGGAAAGACAGGTGAGCCACTTGTACTCCGTCATAAGGACAGAGTGCACAAGACCCCAGTGTGGTGCCGTCCCACAAAGAGATGAAAAACTATTTGGTAGCAAATAGACTACAGTGAACCCCACTCACTCTTCTTCTTAAAGGTATTCAAATATGTCATTTTTAGTAAGTTTCTTCATACATGCATGTATTTGCTGCTGAAAATTAAAATAGCACATCAAAATTTTCTTTTATTGCAATTCAAATTTTTGAAAACCATAAAACTTAGTTATCAAATTATTATGCTTTAGCCAAACTACCCAATGTTTCCTTTATAATCTTTCCCCTACAAGTTACCTTGCCTCACACTCTTTATATTGGGTATAAAGAGTTCAGCATTCCTTGCATGAGCTTCCCTGTGTCCCCACCAGCCATGTCCTCTACAATTACTACTGTCTCAATACCCTTTATGTTCTGTATATTTCATCTCACTGACTTCAGGTTTCTAAAACACATGGAAATACTTAAGATCTATTGGTGCTTCTTTGGGTCAAATAAAAAAGTACAACTAAAGTATATTTGAGTTATTCAAATACATTCAAACTACACAGATTCCTTAAAAATTACTGGTATCAAAGTAAGACGCTTCCTTACTTACAAAGAAGGAAAGAAGAAGAAAGAAAAACAAAAGCAGAACTCATCACGGGTTATCAAAATTATTGGTATACAGTTTATTCTAGCATGGAGTAGCTTTCTCAATCTGCTGCATAAAATCACCAGTAAGAAAGAAAAGTACAAGAATAAGGTTTATAGCTGAATCAGCTCTGTGTAATAATTCCCCATTCTAGCATTCCCAGAAGGATCCTGTCTACAATAAACGCAATAACTACAGCCACATTTGAATGGTTCATTTCTTGATTCATTCTGAACTCCTTTGAGCCGTGTCTCTTAGTTCTCTTTCAAGACAAACAAATCTGTTGAGTAAAAGGTATCTGAGTTTTGCCATCCTTTCGTTCCTCACAAATAAAATGTTCTTACTCCTCCCCTCCTGTAAGGCAAGCCACCTCTGATCTCCTGAAGATCTTTTCTCTTTGGTCCTGTTGCTGGGGTAGACCTTCCAGTAACTGGGAAAATAATTTGGTACTAGAGTTGAGAACCAATTTACTAAGATTCTTTATTAACGTTTCTGAGCAGATGGGATGAGAGGCCTCTGGATTCCCTGGGAATTTTCTTCAGTGGGCATCGGAGAAACCTCTGGGATCAAGGTTGAGTTAAGCTTTTATGATGGCTCCATTGATGGTCTGGTCAAAGCTCTAAGTTCCTCCAGGATATTTGGGTCCTGGAAGAAAGTGTTGCTGGACTCTCAAATGGCAACAAGGTAGCCTGAAAACAACTCTGTATCCCAGAACAAGCCTGAAAACCCAAACTGCAACAAATGGTGGTGAAAGAGCCAGCTCTACACCCATTCTTGAATGGGCAACAATTCATTTTTGACAGGATTAGGTACCTATTTTGGATATGTGTTTTCATTTCCTGTCCACAGAACCTCAGCCAGTCCCACTATCTGAGTGTCAAGTACTACAGCAGATGCTGGCAATACTAAAACTAACAGAGGATAGAGTTCTTTCTCCTGGATAGTTGTGGCAGACACTGGCTTGCTGCTTACTACTTCCATTTCATTTTCCTAGGCAGAAAGGAAGACCCCCTTTCCAGCTTTCTGGGATGTCTGGCTAGCACCTGTTGAGAGATTTGGTCAATGAAATCTGGACAGAAGGATGTCGAGGCTTGGCCATAGGTGCAGCTGTGAGGCCCTCATAGCCTCTCTTTCCTCTCTGTGGAAGTCAGGCAGCCCATATATCTAAAATGGCAGCATCATGAAGCAGAGGGAAGCTGAGTTTTTAACTCACCACTTGGACTCAAGCTGTTGTGGAGAACCATAGACCTTCACTGTGTTAAACCATTAAAATTTGGAAGTTACCTATTGCAGCCACCATCAATTATGTGAAGAGTATGATGTTCACTCTGGTAAGGGAAAGCAGATATGCAGGGAACAGTGTACTGTCATGTAACAGGTGCTGTGACAGAAATATCCACAGTGATATGGAAGCCAAAAGGTAGGAGGTGTGGGTTACTCTGTGAGTAGGAAGAGAAACATGGGAATATCTTTGCTGAGGAGGCACTGTTCATTTGAGACTTAAAAGATGAGAAGGCGGGTATTTTCCAGGTGGACAGCAGCAAGGGGGATGACATGCTGGCTGAGGAAAGGGTGCATGTGAAGACTGAAGGCCTCATTGCTGGTGTGTAAATGAAACTGAGCAGTCTGGAGACTGGAACTTAGTGGTAAGTGAGACTGGGGTGGGAGATGATGGAGACAAGGACCTGACTGTCAGATCATCTATGCCTAAAAATCTGGTAACAGTCAATGGCGAAACGGTGAAGAGTTTGAAGAGACATATGATAACATTTGAATTTTAGAAAAATCACTCATTTTTGAAGTGTAAGGTAGAGTGAAATTACTTTGGATCTAGGGAGACCAGTGTGAAAGAATGTGGAATCGTCTAGTCAGCAGGCGTTCAGAGCTTGAATGAAGTCAGTGGCAGTGGGGTGGAGAGGAGAGGAGGGAGCAGAGTCTGCAGAACATGAGGGCTGGGTAGATAGGAAAGAGTTTAGAATTATTCTTGGGCCCCAGGCATGGGTGAGTAGGTATATGGAGATTCAAATTAGAAATGTATAATGGAAAAAAAAATGACCAATTCATAATAGCCCCAAGGAATTAAAGCATATTTAGAAATAAATATACAGAACCCAAATAAAGAAAACAAATTACAAAGAGGCAAAAGAAGACTTGAACAAATAAACAGATCATACTGCTGAGTGGAAACAAACTTTATCATAAAGATAGTATTCTCCCTAAATCAATTTATAAGATTATTGCACATCTAATAGAAATACAGCAGGACAAGAAATTTTAAAACTATCCTAAATTTAATTTGTAACACAAATTAAGAAAATGTCAAAAAATGAAAAGGAGGATTTATACTCCTATATATTAAAAACCATCATAACATTATTTTAATTGAAATTCCATCATGCTGGTAAAATAGTTGGCACCAAGATTAATGCAACATGATAAAATACACCAAAATACACTCTAGTATTTAGAAAAATTGAGTGTGTAATTAAGATGATGTTTCACACAAAATAGTTCTTAAACAAATAGCTATTTGAAAACTAAATACATATAATTAATTGCTAATTTAATTTTAAATTTCAGGTGGAGTAAAATTTTTTTTATTATTATTATACTTTGTTTTAGCGTACATGTGCATAACGTGCAGGTTTGTTACATATGTATACATGTGCCATGTTGGTGTGCTGCACCCATTAACTGGTCATTTACATTAGGTGTATCTCCTAATGGTATCCCTCCCCCCTCCTGTGTCCAAGTGTTCTCATTGTTCAATTCCCACCTATGAGCGAGAACATGTGGTGTTTGGTTTTTTATCCCTGCTATAGTTTGCTGAGAATGATGGTTTCCAACTTCATCCATGGCCCTACAAAGGACATGAACTCATCCTTTTTTATGGCTGCATAGTATTCCATGGTGTATATGTGCCACAATTTCTTAATCTAGTCTATCATTGATGGACATTTGGGTTGGTTCCAAGTCTTTGCTATTGTGAATAATGCTGCAATAAACGTACATGTGCATGTGTCTTTATAGCAGCATGATTTATAATCCTTTGGGTATATACCCAGTAATGGGATGGCTGGGTCAAATGGTATTCCTAGTTCTAGATCCCAGAGGAATCTCCACACTGACTTCCACAATGGTTGAACCAGTTTACAGTCCCACCAACACTGTAAGTGTTCCTATTCCTCCACATCCTCTCCAGCACCTGTTGTTTCCTGACTTTTTAATGATCACCATTCTAACTGGTGTGAGATGGTATCTCACTGTGGTTTTGATTTGCATTTCTCTGATGGCCAGTGATGATGAGCATTTTTTCACTGTATTTTGGCTGCATAAATGTCTTCTTTTGAGAAGTGTCTGTTCATATCCTTTACCCATTTGTTTATGGGGTTGTTTGTTTTTTTCTTGTAAATTTGTTTGAGTTCTTTGTAGATTCTGGATATTAGCCCTCTGTCAGATGAGTAGATCGCAAAAATCTTCTCCAATTCTGTAGGTTGCCTGTTCACTCTGATGGTAGTTTCTTTTGCTGTGCAGAAGCTCTTTAGTTTAATTAGATCCCATTTGTCAATTTTGGCTTTTGTTGCCATTGCTTTTGGTGTTTTAGACATGAAGTCCTTGCCTGTGCCTATGTCCTGAGTGGTATTGCCTAGGTTTTCTTCTACGGTTTTTATGGTTTTAGGTCTAACATTTAAGTCTTTAATCCATCTTGAATTAATTTTTGTATAAGGT
This sequence comes from Homo sapiens, assembly GCF_000001405.40. Lineage (NCBI taxonomy): Eukaryota > Metazoa > Chordata > Mammalia > Primates > Hominidae > Homo > Homo sapiens. The sequence continues at coordinate 57,569,284 of NC_000008.11, read as the reverse complement.
GTAAGGAAGGGATCCAACGTCAACTTTCTACATATGGCTAGCCAATTTTCCCAGCACCATTTGTTAAATAGGGACTCCTTTCCCGATTTCTTTTTTTGTCAGGTTTGTCAAAGCTCACATAGTTGTAGATGTGTGGTATTATTTCTGAGGGCTCTGTTCTGTTCCATTGGTCTATATCTCTGTTTTGGTACCAGTACCATGCTGTTTGGGTTACTGTAGCCTTGTAGTATAGTTTGAAGTCAGGTAGCGTGATGCCTCCAGGTTCGTTCTTTTGGCTTAGGATTGACTTGGCGATGCAGGCTCTTTTTTGGTTCCATATGAACTTGAAAGTAGTTTTTTCCAATTCTGTGAAGAAAGTCATTGGTAGCTTGATGGGGATGGCATTGAATCTATAAATTACCTTGGGCAGTAGGGCCATTTTCACAATATTGATTCTTCCTATCCATGAGCATGGAATGTTCTTCCATTTGTTTGTATCCTCTTTTATTTCATTGAGCAGTGGTTTGTAGTTCTCCTTGAAGAGGTCCTTCACATCCCTTGTAAGTTGGATTCCTAGATATTTTATTCTCTTTGAAGCAATTGTGAATGGGAGTTCACTCATGATTTGGCTCTCTGTTTGTCTGTTATTGGTGTATAAGAATGCTTGTGATTTTTTCACATTGATTTTGTATCCTGAGACTTTGCTGAAGTTGCTTATCAGCTTAAGGAGATTTTGGGCTGAGACAACGGGGTTTCTAGATATACAATCACGTCATCTGCAAACAGGGACAATTTGACTTCCTCTTTTCCTAATCGAATACCGTTTATTTCTTTCTCCTGTCTGATTGCCCTGGCCAGAACTTCCAACACTATGTTGAATAGGAGTGGTGAGAGAGGGCATCCCTGTCTTGTGCCAGTTTTCAAAGGGAATGCTTCCAGTTTTTTTCCATTCAGTATGATATCAGCTGTGAGTTTGTCATAGATAGCTCTTATTATTTTGAGATATGTCCCATCAATACCTAATTTATTGAGAGTTTTTAGCATGAAGGGCTGTTGAATTTTGTCAAAGTCCTTTTCTGCATCTATTGAGATAATCATGTGGTGTTTGTCTTTGGTTCTGTTTATATGCTGGATTACATTTATTGATTTGCGTATGTTGAACCAGCCTTGCATCCCAGGGGTGAAGCCCACTTGATCATGGTGGATAAGCTTTTTGATGTGCTACTGGATTTGGTTTGCCAGTATTTTATTGAGGATTTTTGCATCGATGTTCATCAGGGATATTGGTCTAAAATTCTCTTTTATTGTTGTGTCTCTGCCAGGCTTTGATATCAGGATGATACTGGCCTCATAAAATGAGTTAGGGAGGATTCTCTCTTTTTCTATTGATTGGAATAGTTTCAGAAGGAATGGTACCAGCTCCTCCTTGTACCTCTGGTAGAATTCGGCTGTGAATCCGTCTGGTCCTGGACTTTTTTTGGTTGGTAAGCTATTAATTATTGCCTCAATTTCAGAGCCTGTTATTGGTCTATTCAGAGATTCAACTTCTTCCTGGTTTAGTCTTGGGAGAATGTATGTGTCGAGGAATTTACCCATTTGAAAACCAAATACATATAATTAAATCCTAATTTAATTTTAAATTTCAGATAGAGTAAAAATTTAAAAAAAAAAAAATCATAGCCTTGAAGGTACAGTTAAGAAAGTTCTTTTGTTGAATAAGGAAAAATGCAAAATTATAAAATATTATTTACTGGATTACATTAAAATCAGTTTTTAAAATTAAAATAAAAGCCCATCAATTATATGTAAAGGAAACAACAAAAGGAGCATTTACAACACACATGTCAAGGAAATTTTAGTCTTAATATGTATAAAATCTCCCATCAATCAATAGGAAAAAATGAACACTACCAATAAGAACAATTATAAAAGAAAAAAAAAGAGAAAATTCACCAAGGAAGAAATTAAATAGCCTATGAGCATGAAAAAATTAATATCATTGGTGGAGAACACAAACTAAACAAAAAAATAAATGATGATGGATTAAGGAGGTGCTGAACATGTGGGGAAGTAGTCATTCTCATAGACTTGGGTAGAATGTAAGCTTTCTATGGGACAATTCCTTCCCTAGATGTTCCTGTCTTTCAGGCTCTGCCTTAGAGCAAGCTTCTCAGCCTGTGGGATAGCCGCCCTGCAGGCTGTAACCCTTTATAAGAAATAAAGTTTCCTTTCTAAATTTATGGATCTCATGATTTTCCAGTTGACACAGAAAATCTGCCTGAAAGCCTGAAATATTTAGTATCTGGCCCTTTATAGAAAAAGTATGTCAATCCCTGCCCTATGCAGACAAAAATACAGAAAGTCTACAAATAATATCTAAAATAAAAGGAATTATCTCTGGTATAGAAAATTTTAAATGATTTTTGTTTTTCTTTGTTATAGTTCTTGTATTATCCAAGGGAATATTTTCAAATTAATGAATTTTTAAATTAACAAATAAAAATTATATTTATTGTGTACAACTTGATGTTAAAAATTATGTATATATACGTGTGGAATAGCTAAATTGAGCTAATTAACATGCATTACCTCACATATTTATCCTTTTTTACACTATATCAGCATTAGCAATTTATTGTATGTTTATAAAAAGGAGAGACATACTTTAAAATATAAGTAATCATTTTCACTGGAGAGATAAAATTATGGTTAGTCTGCATGTCTTTTTTGACCTTTTTTCTGTATAGTTTTTATATTTTTAATACGATGACTATATGTTACTTACATAATCAGAAAATACTTTTACATGCATTTTAATCAAAGTCCTGAAATTTCTAATTTTTATTTTTCTGATTTCTTGGGGCATCTTTGTATTACATTTAACATCTTTTTACTTTTTCCTAATATGGGGCAAAACTTGCTGAAAGACTTTGACAATCAGAGTTTTTAATGTTACCTACTTTGAAGTTTAAGTCAAGTCACAAATTACAGCAGCCATCTGGTCTTAGTTATCTATAGTTTAAATCATGATATTTCAAAAGAAATAAATCCAGATATGCAAAATATACAAAAAGAAAGACCAGTTGTCAACTTTCCTTGTTTGCTGTGTTTTGCTTTTTTGGATCTGGATAAATTTACTCAAGTACTTTCAAACTCTCTGGAAAATGCCTATTCCTATATAACACACTCCTATTTTATAGATTATCAAATTTTAGAATTAGTTGAAAAGTGTCCTGTGTGATCTCACAAAGCTTTGCAATCATGATTTCAAAATTTAGTAAAAAAAAGCTCAAAACCAAAAATGCCAGCCCATCTTGAACATAGATGTGAAAGATAGCCTTCTATGAATGACTAGATAATTGATTTCAGCAATACATTAAAAGTTAGATAGTTTTGGAGATAGAACCAAACAAAACCCAAGGAACCACAGGAAGATGGAATGTCCACACCAAGGACATCTGTCCTCTCTGCAGTTACCGTCTCTGGGTGCAGAGCTCACTGTGTGGTTCTGTCTCTCAAAAGGACTGCGAACCACAGCCTGGGCCATCCCCCTCCCCTGGTTACACCCAGCTCAGCCAAATGCACTGCCATGCCCAGGCCTGGACACCTCTTTCTGAGACCTTCCCCAAACTTCAGAATTTGCATGTGTGGGTTTCATGATCAATGACTAGCTTGCGTTCCTGTTGTCTCTGGAACAGACTTCTATACGAAAGATCAAATGTCCCTTCCAGCTCATGTTCTCCCAGACAGAAACCAGCATGGATGCTTGCTCAGGAAGCAAGCTCACGTGCACCACCAGAAGGCCATCATCACAGTCGCATTTTTATCTACCTTTGCCTTGTTCCCTTGTAGTTCTTTGGTGGGGATATACCATAAGGCCTTAATTTCTAAACTATATTGATTTAGACACTACTCTTCAGAAAAAAAAAGTAAGAAACATATGCACATCTAATGTTTATATCAACTGACATGTATTTATTGGAGATCAAGGAGATCAGGTGAATGTGATTTTGGCATCAAATTTCCTCCAGTTTAAAACAGAGAGGGGTACCAGTAGATGCTGGGTTTAAAACAGAGAGAGGTACCAGTAGATGCTGGGCATGGATTTCAGCCACCATCAAGCAGTTTCTTCAGTACATCTGGCCTGGCATTTCTAATGCTACTGATATTTCTATCTCATCACTGCTATTTTCTTCTATGACCTAGTAATAGGCCAAGGACCAAAGATTCTTGGGGTCTAATTGGTCTTTAAATTGCTAGTCATTCTCTCCGGGACAGCAGGAAGAGCGCGCCCAGTTGGCAAAATCTTTAAGGAATCCTGGGAGTGAGGTGGCCAGGAGTCGTCATTCTCCAGGACTGGCATCCTGCCTTGCCGGGCTTCCTCCTGCTTCTTAGTCCCAGAATGCTGCACCCCGAAGGCCTCCCTGCTGGTTCTTGAACAAACTCTGGGGGCCTCTCAGCCCACAGATGAGGCCAGAGGGAGCAGGCCTCAAGAAAGAAACCCAGGCTCAGGCCATTTCCCCCAAACCCACATCTGAAAGTGGAGAATACATCATGAGAACCTACCTATCCCAAGCCTCTAGGCCAGTGAGAAAGTCCTGGCCTTGCTCAGTGCCCAGCCACTTTCTGCCTTTTTAAATCTTGGAGGAGCAGAGCTGTTTTCAACTCTCTGTGGCAATCTGGACTTCATCTGTTTGTCTAGAAGACAGGAGTGCTCTACATTGACAATTCTGAAGGAGACTATTTCAAAGACAAAGAAATGCAAAATACAAAGGGCTTAATTCCTTGCATACTTACATTCCCCCACTTATAAATCATCTTATGAATGCACTGAAAGCATGAGTCACAGAGGGAGAGATGCATGATCAAAGAGTTCATCCCTGCATTTCAAAATGAGGTCACCTCGAATTCTGTGTGAAGGTGAACGGGGATACTGGCAAGCTCAGTTAATAATTATTCAGATTCTAGTCATTAATCCAGTATGTCTTTGTCTTGCTGGATAGAGATAAACAGAAGAGCAAGAATTTCCAGATCAAACGAGTGTTCTCAGTAGGACTATTAATACTTTTCATTATACAAGCCATTCATTTAATGAAACTAATTTCAATTTCTTAAGCTGAAATACATACAATGCAATCTGAAGTATGACTTGTTTTTTACCTTCTGATGTAAGATGAGTTTGAAAAGCAAAATGTAGCAATTTGTTTTATGAAATCAGAGATCAAACAGGCTTTCTAAGGTTGCAGGGTGATAGAGGACTTTATCAGCAGTTCTATTTTTCTAACTCTTTCCTAGGTGTTTTGATATCCTTTTTGTCACCAGTCTGCCCTTATTTCTCAAACTTGTTTGAAATATTTGATTTTCACATGCCACTGCAGTAGCCTTCACTGGGAGAAAGGGACAGAGAGGGAGAGAAGAAAAAAAAAGAGGATGAGAAGGAAGAGGAGGCAGGGAGGAAAGGATGGGAAGGATGCCTGACATCTTTTTAAAGAGAATGACTATTCTTTTCAATGCTTCCCCTACTCTGTTAAGTGCAGGGTAATGTCAAAAAATAATAGGAATAGAAAAGATATTCTGCATTTGATCTATAAACAGATCTAACACAATCTCAGCTACCTCTAACTTACAGGTGATCTAAAAACAATATTTTAAATTGGCACCTTAGAAATACTGTGAAAAAGAAAAATTTCTTTATCTTTGGGAGTGGAAGAAATCTTGGCGTGCCCGCCTGCCCTTCCTTCCTTCCTTCCTTCCCTCCTTCCTTCCTTCCTTCCTTCCTTCCTTCCTTTTTTCTACCCTTTGTTTTCTGATTATAGTGCAATGTATTAGGAGAAAGACCTCACCTCTCTAAATATTCATTCTCCTATCAGTGAAATTGGACTGAATCCTGATTCCCCAGAACTGGGGTGGACCTGGGGTATACTCAAGACATTACTATAGGACCATGATGATTGCTTTCCCTTGTTATATCAAACATTTTTTCCATCACCTATAATCTTCTTCATATTCAATATTTTGGCCAGTCGTGGTGGCTCATGTCTGTAGTCCCAGCACTTTGGGAGGCCGAGGCAGGTAGATCACCTGAGGTCAGGAGCTTGAGAACAGCCTGGCCAACATGGTGAGACCCCACCTCTACTAAAAATACAAAAATTAGCTGGGCATGGTGGCACATGCCTGTAATCCCAGCTACTCAGGAGGCTGAGGTACAGGAATCGCTTGAACCCGGGAGGCAGAGTTGCAGTGAGCCAAGATCATGCCACTGAACTCCAGCCTGGGCCTCAGAGAGAGACTCTGTTTCAAAAAATGAATCTATATAAATAAAATATTCATCGAACTGAATCCCTGTATAAATAAGTAAATTAGAAATTATTAGTTCCTAAAATTTGATTGTCAATGTTCAAAGTACCTTCTTAAAATAAATTCTCTATAGATCCAAATAAAAATTAAGCAGTTATTTCTGGTCACTCTTTCTTTTTTTTCCCATTATTGTTTACATGAGCTTATAATGTTACAAATAATCATTATTATTCATAAATATGTCCTTTACTATCAGATCAAGTGGAAATAAGAAAAACTCTATTATATTAAACTCCTACAATTTTCTCTGAAATCTGTGAAGAAAATAAAAGAGATATGATCAATATCCAATGTCTCATAGTCTAAATATCTTCGAAGTCTAGAAATGCTATATTATGAGATGGCAACTAGAAAAAAATTACCTCTGATGTCTCTTATCAAAGTAAAATCCTTTTCAGTATAGGTTTTTTGAGAACTGATGTGTTTTAACTATTTTGAAATGCTTATTTTGCTGTTTAAAGCATATTAGTTCTTTCAAAATAGTAATGAAATATAGGAAGTGTTTACCAAACCTTTCAATTAAATACAGAGGAGCTCTCCTTTTGAAAACATTTCTTGTCAAGTTATATATTTTTACAACTAATGAATTCTTAGATTAAGATTTTCAAAAAATAGCTATGCCTCTTTTGATGAGTTTAATAACATCATGGAGCAATATCTTTCTTACTATTTAAAAAAAAAAATCTAAGATGGTAAAATAGCATGTTTTAATTTTTTTTCTTTAATGAAGGCCACAAAACTTGTAGATTATTGTTAACATTTGATTTCTAAAAGATATAGTATGTACAGTCATATTACCTATGTTTAGACTTTTAATTTAAAGAAGAGTTATTGAGGGGCTTCTTTTTTTATAACAAATCCACTGTGAGTCCATACAATGTTTCCTTGCTGTTTTCATTTAATCACAGATGCAGTGCACATCAAAATTTCCCAGTAAGTACTGACTTAGTAGATTTCCTGCCAGATACAGGTGTGTAGTCAATCTTGTGGATGAAAGCGTGTGCTAACTCAAAGAGCCAAGTAAGTGTACCTTCCAACCAAAGTGAGGGGCTTTTAATGAATTCATTCCTAGAACTGATGTCTCTGCTGCCCTCCACTGCCTGGGGGATCCCTGCCCTGTTGGAATCAATTGAATTGTCACACATCAGAGGGGAACCTATGGGGCCTAAAGGGCATCTTGGTCAGAGCTCCACCTATCAGCCTAAAATGAGACTTCTAGAGAAAACGCTTTTAACCATCCAAAAGTATACATTTAGAACGACTTTAGGGCACAGAGATGTTAAATGTTTTGATGGGTCGTGTGTACATTTTGGAAGCCCCTCCCCAATTGAACCACGGGCAGGATTAAAAATACCCTGAGCTCCTATTGTGTTTCTGGGCTCTGTGCTGAGAGACTGTGCTGCTCAAGGAAATTAAATTTTGAAAGTTTGACAGCTATAAGGCTAGCTGGAAAAATTTCAGACTGTGCTTCAATAAAGCAACAATGGGATCCATGGGATCATAGAGAAAGTCATCCTGACTACAGGAAAACTGGGGATGTACTGAGGGCCCTGGGCCTGGCCTGGGGCTGGTTCTGGAGGAGGGTGTGATGGATGAGTACCTCCAGGAACCGGCAGAGCCCCACAGATGGCACAGCATGGGGCCTGTTCAGACACTGGAGTGTGAGTCAGAGTAAGACAGAGATAAGACAGAGAAGGATGGATTGGAGCCACATTGCAGAAGCCCTTAATTTGTCATTCTGAGGAGTTTAACTTAGTGAAAAATGATAGGACACCTAGTTTACTCTGCAGAAAAGACAGAATAAAATAAGACAGAATGGAGTAAATAAAACTAATGCCTGAACCCTTTCGATGGGTCAGACTCTATGCAAGGCATCTCACATAGAGCATTTATTTTATCCTCACAAAAATCCAGTGACATAGGAACACATTTTATTGACAAGAATTCTGAGGCTCATATTCAATATCATATCTGGGGCAGAGACCGCTAGCTACATGTTCCCATATTTATCGCCAACCTTTTCTCCCTGCTCATCTCTGTGGCAGAGCCTTCAGAAACTAAAAATTCTCTGCCTCAGCCTCCCTTGCAGGCTAGAAGTGTCCCAGTGACATAATTCTAGCTGGTGAACTATCAGGGGAAGTCTGTTAGGAAGCTTTTTGAAAAGTTTAGAATTGCTTATTAAAAGACAATGAAGCCCGGGTCCCCGGCAATGCCCCCACTCTGTATTCCTACCTGCAATATGGAGGTAGTGATACCAGCTGGGAAAACCTCGGCATGCCACAGTAGCCCCTGACTGCACTGCCAGAAAGGTTGTCCCTGAGGTCATGGAGCAGAAGGAGTCACACATCAAACTAAGGTGTTGAACCTCAGAGACTTGAGTCCGTCTAAAGCCTACAGTGAGAAGCAAGGAGAAAGAGAAGGGAGGAGGGAGAAAGACTCACTGAGTCCTATGTTATGACACTTGCTCACCCAGCCCCCTCTCCACCACAGCAGGCTTCTTGCTGAACCAGTGTGTCAAGCACCAGAGCTGATGGTGAGCCACGGGTGTCCACAGGCAGACAGTGCCTGAAGCCAACACATGCTGCTCTGCTGCAGTGACGCCGTGGCCCCCCTCATCACAATATCACTCCCCAACCACCTGAAGAGCAGGCAAGCCTCACATATGCATGCCTTTGGCAGAAAACATGTGAGGCCATATGGGTGTCACCCTGGGGAGGCTGATGTAGAAGGGCATAGCTTTCAAACCACAGGTGACATCATCTGAACCTTGTGCATATTTAAGGTTTATGTGGCCTTTCTATTGCTATCTGTAGATATTAGTCTTCTTTGTTCTGTCTCAACACATAAATATCCCCTTTATCCTATATCTGATGTGTCTTATGGGTTACTAATTTATAATCTATACGTCTTATGATCTTCCTATGACTCACAAGCCATAAGTTGTATATACTTAATACAACTTATGAGTTACATCATCCATTTTCCTTTCTTGTCCTCTAGCAAAAAATTAAATATACACAAATAACACAGCACACATGCTTTAAAGATACCCCCAAAGAAGACACATTTCCATTAACCATGTAGCTAGAAGACTAAAGAGCAAATAAAAACCTGTAAGGATGGAGTGGCAAGACAGAGACTGTGTCTTCATGGAAGCACTGCAGTTGAGCCAGAGCCAGGAACTGCCCTCCCCAACACTTCTTGCAATGTGCAGAGCTTAAGCACCTATTGAGTAAACCATTATTCACTGAAATTTCTTTCATGTGTACCCAAATGCCTCCTGTCACCATTCATTCAACAAGAATTTATTGAGGACCAGTTGTATACCAGACGCTTACTTTAGGAACTAGAGATATAAGAGTAAAAGTAATCTCTGTTGCTGCGAGACTTACTTTCTAGTGAAAAGAGAAAGAATATTTCTTAAAATATTAACTTTTGAATTTCTGTACGTAGCCATGATGGGGTAACTGGTACTAAATTTGCCCTGCTCCTGTAGTCAACTAGAAAACTCAAGATTCTTGCAGAAGGCAGGCGAGGTGATAAGATATGGAGGGTGGGGAATGAAGAATTTGATTTTATATTGAGGTCAGGGAGTTTTCTAAACTGACTCAGCAGGGTTTTTGCTAAAACTGGGCCAAGTAGGCCACGAACAGAGTCCAAGGTCAGGGTTTTAAGGACTTAAAGGAGTTTCACTAAAGCTAGGTCAAGGAGAGCATCTTTGTTAACTCCCAGGGAAAGAATAACTATAGGATGACATAAGTTGAAAAATCACCAGAGCCCACACAGGGCTGGAAGATGCAGTTCCAGGCAACAAGAGAGGACTCCGTTGAATAGCCACAGCATTCAATAGAGACCCCAGGAGGGTCTTAGCAGTAAGCATCAACTAGTGCTAGACAAATCTGTTCTAAACTCACCCAAACAAAGTTAAAGTCAATTTTTAAAAATATCAAGCCATTTGGCATGTAAATAACTGCCTACGGGAACAAATTGCGACACTCATTAAAGGAAAACAATATAATCTTGACACTTAATGATTTAATATTTACAATATTCAGCAACCAATCAAATATTAGTGTATATGCAAAGATGCAGAAAAATGTGACCCATTATTATCTGAAAAAATGTGAATAGACATGGTTTAGAAATGTCCAGAAACGACAGAAGTGATTAAATTTGCAGATAGTTTAAAACAGTCGTTATAAATATGTTCAAGCATTTAAATGAAAACATGAGCACAATGAGAAAAGAAATAAAAAATATAAAAAGAATCAGATGGATCTTTTAAAGCCAAAAATTGTAGTGTCTAAATGTAAAAATTTATTAAATGGGTTGAACAAGATATTTGATAGAATGTTTAGTAAATTTATAGGCAATGAAACTTTCTTTTTCAGTAAAAACATTCTTTATTTGTAAGCAGACATTTCAAACTTTTTGATTACATACATCATGCAGAATGACTGACCTCACACATGGTTGTCTAACTGTTCATTGTGACATCTTTTTTGAGATGATTATAAATTTAAGAAGAATGACTGCAGTAGTAAAAATAATTCATGAAAATGACTCTCAATGAAGCAAAACACTACATAGCACACATGAAATACTGTTCATCCCTCCTGGATGTTTAATTCTCTCCTAATGTAAATATCTATTTTAGAAGACTATTATATACAAAAATGGCTGTTGTTTTTGTATGTGCATCTATAGGCACTCAACTGATAAAAACAAGAAATTTTCAAATAATTTTACAAGGATTGGTTATTTGCCCTGTTTTGTTAATCCAAAACAGGACAATACCCTTTGATTTAAAATGTTCATTTCTTTTAAGAAAGCATTTTCTTCAGAAGATGATTTTGACCCATGAAAAGGTTGTTTTACCCCTGGTAATCTTTTTGAAATGGGGCTGGCTGTTAAACATTATCCAAGTTCTTTTCAGTAAGTGAAAAGGAGTAGGGCTTATTTTGAGAAGAATTCTTCTAAATTATGGCACTGAGAAAACTTCTCTGCAGTGGTGGGCTCACCACTTTCATCCTGTGGTAGCTCTGGGAGCACTCCCAGTGTGAAAACCCTAGCACAGGTAAATTCACCTCTTTGAAATCAGTAATGACCCTGGAGAAAGGTGAATTCCAAATCTAGTAGCATATTCAAGTCATCTGGCAGAGAAGCAGGCATAAAAGACTTTTCTAGGTACTTGGGGTGCTGCTGTAACAAATATCTAAAAATAGAAAAGTGGCTCTGGAATTGGGCAGTAGGTAGCAGCTGGAAGAATTCTGGGGAGCATGCTAGAAAGAAGCTAAATTTAGGCAATGAAACATTTTGATCTGAAGAACAGAGAGAAAAAATCTGAACAAAGTTATATGTATCTCAATGATACGTGGACAATATCAGTCCATCAAATGTGCATATAATAGACTTCCAGAAATGGAAGGGAGCAAAAAAAAAATTTTAAAGAAATGTTGGAGGACGATTTTCCATATTTGGCTAAAAAGAGCAATCCACAAAAATAATAAACAATGTTAAATAGAGTAATTTAATAGAAAATAGAAAATTAAAGTACACCAAGGCACATCATAATCAATTTGCTTAAAATTAACTATAAAAAATAAAAAGCCAGAAAAAAGGACAATTTTGTATAGATATACAAAAATTAAAATTATCACTGACTTTTCAACAAAAGCAGTCCAATTCAGAATGTGATGAAACAGCTTTAAAACACTGAAAGATGGAGGGGTGGTGGTGGGGGGACATCCCTGTTATCCCAGGATTCCATATGCAGAGAAAACACTCTTCAAAAATATAGGTGAAGTAAATATATTTTTGACAAATAGAAACTGAAATAATTCATTGCTAGCATACTTGCTCTGCAGAAAATGTCAAAGGAAGCTCTTTTATTGAAGAAAAATAACACTAGATGGAAACTTAGATCTATACAAAGGAATAGACGTACAAGTGGTAAATGTGTGAGTAATTATTTTCTCTTCTTAAAGTTTCTTCAAAAGACGGTTGACTATTTGAAGTCAAAATAACAATATATTTTTAAGGTCTGTAATCTATGTATAAGTAGAATGTATGATAATTAAAACACAAAGGTTGCAAGGTTCTTCTGTTTTACACACAGTGGTATAATATTAATTTATAGTATACCATGGTAAGTCAAACATACATAGAGCAACCACAAAAAGAAAGTAAAACCAAAAGATATAAGAAATGTTCAATTAATCCGAAAAGAAGGTGGTATACACAATAAAGCTAGGAATTAACTCTTAATCAGTAAATTATTAGTCGCAGTGAGTAAGATATTTATTTATTTATTTAGTATCCCCGGAAATCCTGCTATAAATATTCTAAAAGAGCAGTAACACAGTGTAAGACACTTAATTGGTTCACCACATTACCTTCTTTAGGCAGATATTTCCTGGATTAAATAGTTAAGTACTTTTTAATATAGGGGCATGGAAATATGTTCACTCCAAGTATTGCTTTACATGCAGGGACAAGGAATTATGCTGCTTTTATTTTTCCCTGATTCAAATCCAACCCTCTGACAATTATATGTCCCAAACTTCCTACTACATCATGTTGTCATTTGATGGTGTTGTCATTGATTGGGTTTTTATTTTGGAATAAATTGCCTGAGAGAGAGTTTATTGACAGTAAGAAATTTATATCTGCTACTTCACTTTCAAATTACATGGATTTAGAAGCCAACCTTTATTTCCAACTTAACTGTTTCTTTGGTGTTCTGGAGAAGTGTGAGATTCACAGGTTAATCTTGTGATTAAGGTGACCCACGTGCTAAAATCACATTTCTCACTTATTTCACTTCTGTTTTAGGTACATCTAAAAAGTGTGGGACCACACTAATGACATCATGCAAAGGCAATGATGTGCACAGAATCTTAGACTCAAGTCTTGAGGATTTCTGACATTATACAACTTATCTTTATATTTCCTGTTTATAATTATCAGAGAGGAAGAATTATATTTTATTCATCTCTGTATTCATTGCATTTAGCACATACTTTTCCACTTTGGAGGAACTCAATGACTTCCATTTTAAATTTAATGTATAAAGAGGGATTAATTGGAATTTTAAATTAGGTGAACATTTTATCATCACTCAATGGTAACATTTTCCAGTCCAGCAAAAACTTCTAGTGCCAGAACTTTCCGTTAAGTACTAATACGAAGTGGCTGTTCTGACACTTAGAAGCGATAGAAGGCCTGTATTCATTAGGGATATTCACTTGACTACACACTCACTGTAACAGTCAGGAGGTGAGAATACACCTCATCATCATAAAAATGACCATACTATTTATAGCATCCATACAAATTCATAAAGTGCCATTTGCCTAGCAGTCTAGCTGTCTGGCTGGTCAATAACTTAAAAGTGTAATAACCTGGGAGAGGATGTGGCAGCAGGAAGAAACATGGAGCAAAGTTACCTGATTCCTGCGCTAATTTTTGTGTTTTAACCTGTTTTCCCTTGTGTTAAACAGTATTTTTCACTCATATCAAATCCAATTCAAAGGATACTTTCCAACCCTCCAAATTATGATGTTCACCTCTTTTCCCCGCAAGTGACTGCTAATTCAGAGAAAATTACTTGTCTTAAATTACGTCAGGTCATGTTTCCTCATTGCAGTATTTTGAGTCAGAAATTTGTTGGGTTTCAATTTACCCTGCAAAAAGCATCTGAATACACTTCACTGGTGCCAATTAGCTATTAGAACAGCTTTCTCTCTGCATTACCTGTTAACTGGATTAAAAAGAACAAAAATGCCATATATTGGCATAATTCCTTAAACCAACTTTGGTATTTTTGCTTCTGTATTAGAAGACCCTAACACAGCAGCAGACTTACACTCAAATGGCCATAAAAAGTAATGGAAACCTCTGGAAAAAATTATAATCATTAATAAATAAACACAGTCTCAGAAAAATGATGTTCTATGAATTCCACTAATAATGATCTTCTAAGGGAAGACTTCTCTGTCAGAAAGATCTGTGAAATTTAAGATTGATATGATGTCTTTACCAATGCCTGCACATGTAAAACAAAAATAGAAAACTATTTTCAGGATAAGGTTTAAGCTTAAGCATTTTGTTTTTAGCAAAGACACATTCTTACCAGAAAAAAAATCTATTCAGATAAGAAGAAAAATAGACTTCAAGATGAAATTTTTCAGTTATTTACTTGAGAACAGTATAATCTGGATGAATTATGCATTCTCTGCACTTTAATACATAATGTGTGTTCTGTTGTTTATTCCAGAGCAAGTGTTCATACTACAAGAAGTATGTCCCTAGAGTTGATGTAAAAGGTTCAGCAATGTCTCTTTCATTCTTAGAATATTATTAGAGTGCTGATTATTAACAGGAAATACTGAATTTAATTTGAACATACTATTCTTTTTAAGAGTGTTTCCCTGCCTTATGGAGAAAGCATGTTAGGAAAACAGGATTCTGTTTTCTATTTACTGTACCTTGTCCTCTTTCACTTGAAATAAGCAGAAGGAGGAGAATGGAAAGACACAGAGATCACAGAGTGCACATTTTTGAAAATAGCTCTGACTTGGTGTGGCTTATTTCAGAGCCTTCATTTCACCTGGAAAGCCTTCTTAGTATACTGCAAAAATATCAATCCTGGAAAAATCTCTAAACCTCAGGCAAAAATTTTTCCAAACTTCTGATTCACTCTGCTAATTCCTTTTATCTTTGGCCTTTGCCTATCCTTATAATTTCTAACAAAGTGAACCAATAGAAAGACAGAAGTTCGATTTCAGCATGGAAGCAGGCAGAAAATCAACAGCTACAGTAGCTGAGTGTCCAGGGACTGCTGTCTTTCAGAAAGACTTCTATTATAACATTTCCAGTTGTAGAGGAAAAGAAAAAGGTAACTATGAGGGAAAGGAGTTTCAGCCTCATAATTCTGGGATTGGGAAACTGTTTTTCTTTCACAGCTGAAATCCCCTACTCAGCAAGAAAATCCTGTGAGAGGAAAGTTTAATTCTTTAAGCCATTTGCTCCTCCTGCTCTCAATTATAGCAGCAAAAACAATATAATGGAGTTTTAAAATCCAGTTAGGTACATTTAAAATCAAAAATTAAGAAATGAATTATATTTTTGCCTTTAATATAATCCCAAAATCACTAAAATAAAAAAAACTTTTTTTTTTTTTAGTTTTCTTTATGCATTTTTCCAAAAATGCAGTTTAAAAGTTAATAAACTCAGCTACTTGGGAAGCTGTGGCAGGGGGATAACTTGAGTCCAGAAGTTCAAGCCCAACTTGGCAACACAGTGATATCCAGTCTCTATTTAAAAAAACAAAATAGTTCTAGATCCCTGAGGAATCGCCACACTGACTTCCACAATGGTTGAACTAGTTTACAGTCCCACCAACTGTGTAAAAGTGTTCCTATTTCTCCACATCCTCTCCAGCACCTGTTGTTTCCTGACTTTTTAATGATTGCCATTCTAACTGGTGTGAGATGGTATCTCATTGTGGTTTTGATTTGCATTTCTCTGATGGCCAGTGATGATGAGCATTTTACCATCCCATTACTGGGTATATACCCAAAGGACTATAAATCATGCTGCTATAAAGACACATGCACACGTATGTTTATTGTGGCATTATTCACAATAGCAAAGACTTGGAGCCAACCCAAATGTCCAACAATGATAGACTGGATTAAGGCAATGTGGCACATATACACCATGGAATACTATGCAGCCATAAAAAATGATGAGTTCATGTCCTTTGCAGGGACATGGATGAAATTGGAAATCATCATTCTCAGTAAACTATCGCAAGAACAAAAAACCAAACACCGCATATTCTCACTCATAGGTGGGAATTGAACAATGAGATCATATGGACACAGGAAGGGGAATATCACACTCTGGGGACTGTTGTGGGGTGGGGGGAGGGGGAGGGATAGCATTGGGAGATATACCTAATGCTAGATGACGAGTTAGTGGGTGCAGCGCACCAGCATGGCACATGTATACATATGTAACTAACCTGCACAATGTGCACATGTACCCTAAAACTTAAAGTATAATAAAATAAATAAATAAATAAAAAATTTAAAAAAAATAAAAAACAATTTTTAATTTCATAAACCCATAAAATTAAATCCATCATTTTTTAAAAAAAGATCCCCAGGTATTTTGGTGTGTAAATATATAATTATTTATATAAATAAAAATAGTTTTGCAATTTGTTCTTTTTCAAACTGAAATTGAAAGAAAACTTACACAAGGTAGCTCAGAAATAATTAGGGAAAGGTATTTTCATCTATGAGAGGAAATAGGAAGTGTTTTCTGTGACTTTGACACTTTAGCTATGTCCCTAAACCAAGACGGGTGAAAGCTCCAGCTAATTTTCAAGGATTTCTTCCAGTGCCCTGGCTTTATGATTCATGGCACTGAGTTTATTAAGTATTAACTGAATACAGACTAAACGTCTCATCATTGTGCTGGGTGCTGAATGGTTGCTGGCTTCAACTGTGGCTACACCATTTCCTAAATAGGTAACCATAGGAAAGTCCATTAACTTTCTTAAGCCCTAATGTCCTCCTCTGTAAAAAATAGGCTTGTTAAAATAAGTGTCTCCTTGAGAAGGTTGTCACTATAATGATGTACTGACGTCATGAAATAATGCATTCTCAGGGACATAAGAAGTGCTCACTAAACACTATTCATGAGTATGGCTTCACAAGTGTATACATACAAGTGTACTTATAGGTATTGTTAGTTAATGAATTAATGGATAGAACAAAGGAATGGAAAAAGGAGGAAACAAAATTAGCCAACTTTCTGTGAGCCCATAGAAGATTCCTCCCCACGTTGGCCACAGTTTATCTCAAGGCCTGGGCACAGGGAATAAAAGCTATCTGGTGTCAGATGCAGACAAAAGTAAGCACCTTTACATGTTCATCACAATCATAGAAATTATGAACAGTCCTTTCTTTCCAACTTTTGCAAATCTCCTCCTCTTCTGTTAGTTTTTGCTTATGCCACAGAAAACATATAAAAGAACTCATAACTCATTAACTAGCAACACCTACAAGTACACTTGTGTGTATGCACTTGTGAAGCCATACATGTCCTCAAGACATGATTAACCTAGGTACTGACAGTCTCGTTCAGTTATGAGGGTGAAGCTCAGGGTCACAGCAATGCAGATCACGTCTACACATTCTAAGGAGGCCCAGCCCCTGCTGCTGAAGAACCCATTGTTCTTTTCAACCAAGTTCCTGTGAGCTGTTTCACCGGTCTTCAAATATTTTATTATTCATTGTGGTAAGTTCCCTTACATATAAGGATCAAAGAAAAATGTCACTGCCTAACAAAAAATGGAATAATCATTTGAGAAGTTTTTTCCAAATGTATGCAGATTTGTATATGCATTTAAACTGACAACTACTAAGTACCCAGGATCTACCTGGAATTCTGGATTTGAACACAAAAGAAAACTTCCAAAATGCCATACTGCACCACCCTATAAGGGCCCGAGCCTGTTAGCAGTTTAATGATACCTGAGATCTTTAAAGAATCCATTATCAAGAAAACAATAGCATATTTCAACTCACTTTGATGATCTGCTGCTGTTTAGGTTCTATAATGTGTGTATCCAAGTGAGGGTGAGTCAGCAGCAGGAAGAAAGCTAATTAAACACTTTTCAGATTACATTATCGAAAATGAGGCTATCTGGTTGATTGTCGCAGTGGGCATTGCAGAGTGCTAAAGCTTCTCTGAAAACATAGTGCTGCCAGTGGGAAAAACATAGGATTAAAAATGCCACAGTTGACATCCAAACACCAGTTTTTCCATGTGACATCTGAGAAGAAAGTTTGTCACTTGACCTTAACATCATTTTAAAAAGAATAACCCATAGTTTTGAATAATCTATGGCATGAAAAATCAAGGTCAACTTTGAAAACGATGAGCAGCCCTTTTTCACATAAGACATTGTTTGTTGAAAGAGACTTGAACAGAACCTTCAAAACAGCAGAACGTTCCTTTTCCATGTGGATCCTGGGGTTAAAAATATTTTATGAACTCAAATTTTCAAGTTTACCCATGTCTTAGTCAAGGTCCTTAGTTGTAAGCAATAGAAATTGGCTGACTAATTAAGCAGGAAAACAAAATACCCAGGAGTTTATTAAAAGATATTGAATAGTGTACAGAATGGTTGGAAAGGCTGGAGAACATCTTTGAGGCTAAGCTAGAAAGAATATATTTAAATCCCTCAGTGCAGAACCGGCCTGTGAGGAAACTTTGCCTGCTGCAATTGCCACAATCCCATGATGTCACTTTGCACCTCTGACCTTGGAAAGCCAGTTCGCTGGCTGCAAAAGGATTCCTCAGGGCGTCACTTTCATCCCATTGTTTACCTTAAAACAGCAGTCTCTGGAAAGAACTGTGATTGGCAGATGATAACCCAGCTTACCATCTGCACAGGAGATGGGAATTATACATTTTTGGATTATACCTGGGGGGTGTGGTAAGTCTCTTTCTTCTAGAATTTTTCTAGAAATAGCCCAAAATATCCTGCTGACAGAGAATATAATCCTGTATTTTGAGCGATCATCTAATTTATTCAGCAGATCGAAACACTTTTGAGAGTGAAAAACAAGATGCTATCAAATAATTACTCCAGGAAAAGAGGTATAAACTGCATCACTTCAAGTAGAAATTATCACCTGGTTATAGTGACAAAGATTTCATGCCTGGGATACATTCTCAGTGCTGCCACAAGTTTTTTACCGTCTACCAGGTTGGCTGCACTGCTCCCAGGTACAAGGCCGCAGCTCTACAGGCATCTGCTAGAAGCTGGGCAAAAACACCAGGTGTAGGACCAGAAAGGGTCATACTGCCTCAGAGTCCTTCTGACATGATCCAGGTTCTCACTGGAGGAGAGTTGGTCCTGTGTTCCTCACCACGTTTATCTGCTAAGCTCTCCAAATTATGCACAGTGAAAGCATACTAACTTAAAATCAGTATATTTCAAGTGATCTTGCAAAGACATTGAAAACACTGCCACAGATGCCCAGATAAGTCTATTTTTTTCTGGTTTAAACTGGAAGGCTAATCCAATGGGGAACTCATGTGAAGGTGGAGGTAGAAATGTGTTTCTTTTAACCCTTCCCATTTCTAAATTAATTGGTTAGTTTCTATTGACATAAGTAAGTGGCTACAAATGGAACCGATTTTGGAGTAACTAACTGGTCAATAGGTGAGGCATTGCTGAGACCATGAATAGCAGGACTGGATGGGTGAGCGAGCAAGGTCACCATAAGAAGGGGTCAGAAAAGGCTGCAAAGTTCTCAGGTTAATGTGGATGATTTAAATGCTTAGTACAAAACCTATCTTTAAAAATTGATTTCCTGAACTTTACATACATTGATCTTATTTTCTTAGTTATTCTGCTTCAAAAATTAGTATGAAGACTTCCACAGAAACATTATTTTTTCTGTCAAATTTTACTACAGTCACATGTTGCTTAATGACAAGGATACATTCTGAGAAATGCATCATTAGACAATTTCCTTATTGTGCGAACATCATAGAGTATGCTTACATACACCTAAATGATCAGAACCTATATAACCTACTACAAACCTAGGCTATGTGGCTCCTGGGGTATAAACTTGTACAGCATGTTACTTTACTAAATACTGAGGCAATTGTAATACAATTGTTAAGTATTTGTGTATCTAAACATAGAAAAGGTAATGCTTTGCATTACTACATTGTGATGGCTACAATGTTGCTAGGCAATAGGAACTTTTCAGCTCTATTATAATTTTATGGGAACATGGTTTCATATGTAGTCCATTGTTGACTGAAATGTCTTTAGTGGCGCATGACTATTCCATTTTTATATTAAGAAACATTTATTGGTTACCTGCTCTTTCTGACAGTCATGGAGGTTAAAGTAATGAATATTACAGTGTTCTTGCTCCTGAGATGTTCTCTGTCTAATGGGACAATGGATATGTCAACAAGTGTGCTTCATGACCTTACAGGTGACTTGACTTTGAGCTGAGTATTATTCAAGCATACTCAAAATGACAAACTATTGGAGAAAAATCACATACACGTTGAACTACATAGACAAAGGATGGAAAACACTGCTACATTTAATCCTAATACCTGCAAATAAGAACTTAAAATAAAGAAATATAGAAAAACGACTAAATTTTTGGTTAGTTTTTAAAATAAAATAACTAAAAAACCCCCACCGCTTTTCTAAAACACAGATGTGGCCATTTCTGCAATAGATTTATGGTCCTTTTACGACCCATTAAAGTCACTGTATATGACTAATCACAGACCCAGAAGCCCAGGCAATGAGAGCCAAGAATTAGTCCTCCCCAGGGTCCGTTATTCTGCTCAACTGAACTGCTGTGAAAACAAGTTGCATTATCAGGGCTTTTTTTTTCAGCTGATTCTAAAAATAGTTTGAAGGCAGAAAGAAAAAGAAAGGTATTGAATGGTTAGATTTGAAAGCTTGACTGATAAAATGAAATTTTTTCTAAAAACCTTAAAATTAAGTATTATTATAGTTTCTCTTCAACTGTGAAGTATCTGACACTGCCCTAAGTGCCCACTTTTATGAAGGATAACTTTGTCCATTGACAGATGAGAAAACGAAGATCCGAAAGTATTCAGGGCTTTACCTAAGGTCACAGAATTTAGTAAAATAACTGGGCAACAGAGTAGAGACAATCAATCCTCAGATAACCCAGAGTAACTTTGAACTAAACAAAAATCAATGTTAAAATTTTTAAATAAGCACAATAATTGGCCAGTGGCCTCTAGCTTGCCTTTATGGAATAGGAGTGCCCATCCTGGTGTTTTTTGTTTTGTCTTGTTTTTGTTTTTGTTTGAGTATGGTGGTCTCAAATTTGTTTCTACACCTTGCCACACAATGATATTTAGACCTCACAGAGGATCCTCTAAAAAATAGTGATTTGTCCTAGAATATTCAAATCTTAGACAAGGTCACACAGAATCAGGCACAGCCCAGCTATACCACCTACTCATCCATTCAATAATATTTACTTAGAATTTGTGTGTCAGGTGCTGTTCCTGATAAAGGGAATGCATGACCATGTGAGTGATTTATAAGTGTAATTTTGTGACAATTCATAGATAGAAATTAACATTTAAGGAAATCAAGAAACTAAACACTGATCCTCTTCTCTTAGGACCGTAGAGATATTTAGCAAGGTATGGCAATATGCCTGCTTCTTATTTTAGGTATTGATTCACATATTCATCTAACAAATATTTACTCAACAACTGAGCCATGCCATGCATTGGCTAAACCAAGCATGCTGAGAAGTTGAAGGGCCTAAAAAATGATATGTGCAGTTCAGCTCTCACTCTTTATTTAAAGAACAAATCTTACACTTTCTGTTACATGCAAAATTAACTTTAAGATAACCATTCAAGGGTTACTTTGTGAGAATAAGAGGCAAAACAACTAGGGTGTCTACTTGGGGGGTGGAGTGGTAGAGTTGGTTACTGAGGTGAGATCAAGGAATGTATTGACTATGGATATCACAATTGTTGTTTTGCTTTGCTTGTGAAAGAAGAGGTTGAGAACTACCTTGAGATTACCTACTAATCTTTCATCAGAAATGGTCACCATGGTATTGGTATAGCAATAAAGTCAGCATTAACTACTTAATGTATAAGAGTCCTGGGTCTCTTTTCGGGGTTCAAAAGGCTGAATAGCAGCTTATCTCTGTTGTTGAAGGTCAACACAAACATGATTATGAAAGCCCCTAAACTTTCCCCAAAAGTAGAAACATATTACATTTACCAAAGCATTTAAAGCAAAGAAAAATGAGATCCTTTCCAGTCTGTTGCATACCCCTTCAAGAATAAAGGATTCTTGATGGCTTCCTTGCTATTGGACATGTGCCTCCCCTCTTGCTGCAGCTCCATCTTCAGGTCCATTTTGCTCATGCAAATGGAACACGCAAATGTGGACTAGCACCTCCTCTTTGCTGTGTAGTTTCAAGTCAATCCTCTCAGGCAGACCCTCTCACAAAATTGAGATGTGCTGACATTTAAAATGCCAGGCTGTGTTTATTGAGCAAGAGGGTTCATAAAAGTTTATTTTGTCATCACAATTTAAAAGACCAAACATCCCCTTGGCAGCATTGCTCGGATGTCTAAAGAGCCTCACAGAGAGTGTGAACTGATGAAAATTCCTGATGAAATGTTTATGGAAGCAGCAGGGCTGGTAAGGAGGCAAGTGCTCTAATCAAAATGACCACCCTGCCTGTGAAACATTCTACATTCAAGTTCCTTTCATAGGGCCAGGGCATAAAACCTGATCATAAAGTGCATAGCTAATGAAAGAAATATGCCTTTTAATAGGCACAGTTGACCCAGTAAACTGCATGGGGTTGGTTCATAATCTTTCATGGCCATTACATCTTGCATTCATTTCCTCTCTGTGGCTCTCATCGCTGCATGTTCTATGCCTTCATGATCCTGCTCAAATTCCTCTGTGAGTGGATTCCATCCCCACATAGACCTCACCTCCCTGTGAGCTTTTGGGAAAGAGTATTTGTACTTGCCCTGTGGCATCATGAACTACTCTTTATTGTGGTGTTCGCTCCCTTCAAATAGCCTTCACACTTCCTGAAAGCAGAAATCGTTGCTTAGAAAACTGTGAATTCTCTACTCTTATGTTCAATTCATATTAATTTACTGAATACAGGCAAATCATTTCTATGTTAATTGTTAAAAATTCATTAACAAATAAAATCATGAGGTGCCACCAATCCACACCTCCATGCTCATGGAACATGGCATGACCTGGGCAGGTAGGAACAAGGGTGGTGGCAGATCATGGTGACATGAAAGGGGAAAAAATGCAGGAAAGCATGGGTGGAAAACCCCAGATCCTTTGAAAACTATGGCCATTCTTATCATCAAAAGAGTTGAACACAAATAGTAAGTACTTGAATGTAACAGAGATGGGGCTGCTCACTTTATGTGAGACAACAGGACAGAGATCATTGGCTAAGAAATGGCTCTGGAGTGACTGCATTAGAAAAAGACTGAGTGTGAAAAGCTGGCACCTCACCAACATAGGACCACCAGTGTCCTCAGTGATCAAGGATGCTGGTCAAGACACAGTTCTCCTCGATGAGCTCTAATGCCAATCTTGATCTGCTAACAAGAGACACAATGGCCTTTCCTCTCCCATCATGGGCAAAGACAGACATTTTTCTGTACATTCTATGTGCAGACATCTTCTAGAATATGGGAGGCACAGAGAGTGAATAAGCCCAGGTTTTTCAAGTGGACTTCTGCAGGTGTTTTTTGGTTTTGTTTTGTTTTGTTTCAAATGCATTGTATCTTTTCGGTGAATTTTCCACAGAATTCAACCTGGCTGGGCTTTTTCTGGCCTTCTTTGGAACATGTTTGCCTCACAAACACTGCAAGTAAAGAGAAAACAATGCAGAAATAAGTTAACTATGGTAACTTAAGGTACATATTGAATACAATAAATGGATATGAATATTTACTATTCCAACTGACATTTTCTGTGAACCAGTCAGGGAATGACAAAGTGTGTTTGCATAAGATTTTGCAAGTTAATCAAATGCGTTCTTAACCAATCATAAAACATTTATTGGTACTGCTTTGTCCCTGCTTTATTTTGTGACTTTCAAGCTCTATTTCTAAGCTGTCTTCTTCCCTCCATCTGCACTGCCTCCATCTTTTATTTGGTCACAGTTTTGTGATGACCTCTGTTTCTTCTTGGCCCCCACAATTCTGTTCACACAGCACCCAGAGTGCATTTTTTAAACATACATTAAATCATGTCACTCTTTGTTAAAATCATTTCATGAATTTCCATTGCATTTAAAAAAAAATTCAAAGTCCATAGCACGGTGTACCATGTCATGTCAGTAAAATAAAACGGTAAACATTATTATTTAAGAAGTGTAGTTATTGTGGCAGTTGCGAGGATGGGTTGAGGAAGGAGGGGACCAGAGCAGGTTTTGAAATGAACTGATGAGCCCTGAGGAGGATGTGAACTGGAGCTAAAGCTATGCTGAAAGAACAAAATAGATAGGTTGCATTAGGAGTCAGAACTGGTAGACCAAGTGGGCAATGAAAATGATAAAATAGGAAAATTAGCGAATGACTTTTAGGGTTTTGATTTTAAATAATTTATTGATTGCAAAAGAAAATTCCTGAGAAGGAACACGTGGCACATAGCACAGAGGAAGAAAGAAGAGAAAAAGGAGAGTGAGAAGCATTGGAGGGACATGGAAGTTATTTATTAACAAACATTCAGGGAGCACTTGCTGTGCGCCAGGCACTTCTCCAAGGATTAACAAATGTTAACCCATTTAAAGCTCCTAACAGACTTCTAAGGCAGCTGCTATTACTACTAGCCGATTTACAGATGAGCAAAATGAAGCACAGAGATGATATGTAATTTCTCCAAGATCCTACAGCTTATAGCTGCTGGAGCGGAGATTGAGACCCGGTTGGGCTGGCTCCGGAGTTTATGTTGGAATCACTCTGTGGCATGGTCTCTCTGAGAGGTCCCCAGGTGGGAGAGGTTCAGGTTGTGCTCAAGGATAAGCAGATCCAGGTTACTACAGAGGCCTGGATAGGTGTGAGTCATGCCCAAGGTGAATGGTGCGAAAGCCCCGGAGTTCAGACTACAGTCCCCTTCCAGAGTCCTTTCTGATATACCATGCTGCTGCGTGGAATCAAAATACAAAAAAAAAAAAAAAAAGATAATATTTGTGAATGCCAGATATAATTTCAGAGTATTATAGATAATACAGGAAATATTCACAGTTGTTCGAGGAAAAAGATCAGCAATGAACTGGCAGAAAATCACTGAGATCTAGTTCTCTTCCACAGAGCACTGCAGCTTGTCCATTTAGGAAGTCGATGGATGTAGTAGCCACATGCCTCACACGATCACAGATAGGTTTTAGATTTCAGAATCAGGTACATTCAAAGTTTGCAGCCAATGGGGATCAGGATATGTGATTTTTATTTATTTATTTTTAATTGTGGCAAAATACATGAGATAAAATTTACCATCTTAACCATTTTTAAGTACATAGTTCAGTCAGTAAGTACATTCACATCGTGTACAGCCATCTCCACCCTCCAGCTCCAGAACTGGTCATCTTCCCAAACTGACTCTCTCTACCTCTTACCCCCTACCCCTCCATTACCTCTTCATCCCAAGTTTCTGGCAACCACTATTCTACTTTTCATCTCTAAAGATTGGGTGATTTTTCTATTTAATCTGGTATCTTCTCTGTGAGACTCACAGAGTGTAAGGTGCTGAACTTGAGGGTAGAACTGAACCCTTCCTAAGGAAAATAAAAATAAACTTCACTCCATAGCAAGACAAAACAAAACAGAAAACCCTTTATGGCTTCTTCCTGATGGTCTGTACCTCTCCCCCATCTACCCTTTGCCCACCCCAGTAATGGTCCTGGGGCAGAGACTATGACTAATGAGAGACTGTTCCAATATTAAACTCCCATATACTAAGGCATTGGGAAATAAAGAACTTTTTAATATGATTTCTCTATGAAAACCTTTCACTCATTTAATCCAAAGATGCCCTTATTAGTAATGGCTCTGAACTTAGAAACCTTTGAACTTCTCTAGGTATCAGGAAACTAAAGATCTTTAATTTAATAGGAGAAACCACCCCTTCTCTGTAACATTTCAGTGAGAGCAAATCTATGCTAGTCACATCAAAGAAAAGATGTGTGTTGGAGATGTGAATGTTCAAAATTTGCATACTTGATAATGAAATACGCTTAAAGAAAACAGAGAATATAGGCTTTGGAATGAGTCAGGTGTGAGTTGAAATCACAGGTCTGCCATTGAGCCATAGGGTGGAGTTGAGCAAGCAAGTTTATTCTTCTGAGCCTTAATTTTCTCATCTGAAAAATGGGAATAATAGACTGACCTCACAGGCCCAGGTAGAGAATAGATAGGATAGTGTGTAGAAATGCCTTGAAACTCAGTGGGCATTCTATAAGTGCCATTTTTCTATAAGTGCCATTTTCCCCCAGGTTGTATTTCTAGTATGACACATTTTTGCTGCAGATTTTTATTTATTTTCTGAGGTTACATAGAAATACCCCAAAATGAGATGATATCCTGTAATATAATTATTTTACAATGCTAACTGAATTAAGTCCAAAGAATCTTTTTTATTTTACTCTGAGATTTCATAAGAAAGAAACATATATATACACACATATATATGTATGTAATATTACCTCATATATAAGAACTTGCCACAAGGGAACAATGTTTGCCAAGCAACTTGTGGCAGTACACCTGCTCTAAGGACAGCATCTGTCATGTTGAAAGTGGTGACACCTCAAGAGGCAAGAAGGTCTTCAAAGCCCTGCTGGACTCTCAACACAGGCAGGTCTATGGGGCCAATGCCACATTCCAGATCCCCTATATGTTTTCCCTAATAAGCTGAAACTTCCTTTAGTATCAGAAAAGCATGTGAAAAACCCTTAACATTGTTTCAGGAAATAAATTAGAGTTTAAGGGATTATAGAGGAGACTCAAGTGTCTCTAATTTCCACCTGGTTTTAATTCCACATATTGAATTCATACCAACTCGAATTAATTTAACGAAGGTGTAAGTTCTGAACAAATATTAACCAGGCTGAGGCTCTCACATACCAAAGACACTGCTACAAACCACTCGTTTCCCATGGATTCTTGTTTCACCTGATGAACTCACCTAGGAATGGCAGACTCCTATGGTTGTTCTGGCTTAATGAGAGCAATGCAGCTCTTCTGTGGAAGAAATGCTGGCAATACAGTCAACAAGCTGCATTTTAGGAAAAATCCATATGGGGTCGAAAATGATTTAAAACAAAGAACAAGAAATAAAACACTAAAGTTATTTTAGTTTGACGTAATAATAAGTCTAATGTTTGGATGTTTTGTGGTTTTCATTTTCATGAACCAAGTCAGGCTCACAATGGCAAAAGGGCAATGAAACCAGCTCAGATGTCAGCATTAACCAAAGCCTCCCATTCCCAGGTGTGTGCAACAACCCCTGCTGGTCTGGATTCCTTTCCTGCTTCTTCACTTTCCAAGTTTCCCTTCTTTTAGTCTTAGAGATCTGACTTATTCTGCTGTTAGGAAACCATTTTTTAAAAAAATTTTGCAAAAGGGTTGCTAATGGTAGAATGATTTATCAATTTTCACAAATACAGTACCCTTTCTTCCTCAACTTGCCCCCGCCATACATCTGTAAGATGTTACGAAAGTAACAAGTAAAAAACTTTTAAAATTACCAAGTCTTTCAAATATATATGTGTGTGACAGTATGTGTGTTTGACTATATATACACACATGTGCCTATAGTACATGTATATATGCAAATATAAGTGTGTATATGTGTATACACATACATATATAATAATACACTATATATATATATATAAAATTCAATTTTGTATATATACAATCCTGGATTTCCTGGACTTTATTATTTTATGTACTTATGTTCATTAAGAAGTTAGTGTTCTCCCCATATCCCTTCTTCCTTTTTCCTCCCATGGTATCTGGGCTAAACTTACCCTACACTATCCACACACATCCCACACTTCCAGGTTTGAGGAGGAGGAAAGTTACCATGCTTTGACATTGTATTTAGTTATAATAACAGAATTCAGGCAGGCCAAAAACTGATCCCAAGAAAATTACCTTTTTTTAATCCTAGTTCTTCAGCAACCAGGTTGCTGTGTGTGATGGTGCCTTTCTGGCAATGGCACTGTTATAGTGGGTAGCTCTGCAGATGTGAGCAGGGCAGGAGAGCCCCCATCCCCCTCATTAGGAACGTCAGGATACCATCAGCTGATGGTCAAGTGGTTGTTAAGCTGTCTCGCTAAAATAATAATTGGTCACAGCTGCTGCCAGGGAAAGGCCATCTCCCAATAGATAGAAAACACCTAGAGCCAGTGGTAATCAACAGCTTCCTGATAAGATCTCAGGAGTTGGACAAGTGGGCTCAGGCATGCACACTAAAAGGCAAAATGGTGGAATTTAACTGCTCTATGAGCTTTCTCTAGGAACATTCAACTGGCAAGGGAAAAATGCCTCAAGTGAGCATGTGCACAACTTCGGTAAACATAATACACATGCAACACATGCATAATACGCATGCAACCACTCCCAAGTGCTGGCAGGCCACTGCTCATGTGGATGGCCCACCCCAAGGAAAAATCGAGGGAGGAGAGATACAAAACCCCAGAAGCATGCCAATGTATGAAAGCCCAACTCAAAGGTCAAACAGGGCACTTGAATCTCTCAAATCACCCACTTGGCCCTCTTTCAAGTGTACTTTACTTCCTTTCGTTCCTGCTCTAAAACTTTTTAATAAACTTTCACTGCTGCTCTAAAACCTGCCCCTGTCTCTCACTCTGCCTTATGTCCCTTGGACAAATTCTTTTCTTCAAGGAGGCAAGAATCAAGTTGTGCAGATCTGCTCAGATTCACCACTGCTAACAGCACCAGCTCATCTGAGTGACAACTGTGGAATGTTTTGGCTCACACTAATAAGCAAGTAAGACTGGGCTCCTGATCCCGCCATAACTTCTGGAAACAAGAATGAGAGCCACTCCTCTGTATGGAAAAGATCAGGATTGCAGTAGTTTCCAGTGCAGAATTTTTTCAAGGTTGATGATTTTCTTTTATTAAAATCTTTTTTGGAACTCATCCAATTCAACTGCATAAAGAATATCAGAGATGGCTGGTATGATTGGCTAAATGGAATATTCAGAAGGGTCTAGAGTAGAGCCCTGGGGAGGGTATTAGCATCACAACTGTCTTCGTAAAGTCTTCACAAGAACTACAAGGAGCTGGCCAAAACTCAAAGTGAATGCTCTGAATAACATCCTATTGTCTACTCTGAGGTTAAAGAGGGAACTTCATACAGAATTTGTTTATAAAAGAATATTTATTAATTTTTTTGAACTGAATGATCATTTCAAGACACTAGCACCAACTGTAAGGTAAATACGCATTTTAGGAAATTTTGTTTTTTTAATCCATCTGCCACAATCATTGGGGATATTGCATTTCTTTACTGAATTTGGATTTTTGAGAATACATAAATTTTATTTATTTTTTGTCAAAGAACTCATTTAATTTACATATTAAAAGCACAACTCATACTTAGGACCTGCAACATTTTCTTTCTGAGTGACGTTTGAAAGCAGAGATAAGCATCACTCTACACATCAATATCTTGTTATTTTCTTACCCAGTTTAAACTGAAAATGGTTAATCCACTCTTGAGGGAAACACACATTTCCTGCTGAGATCTTCCAAGTCTGATTTCCAAGGGAAATGCACACAACTCTTCTGATTCCCAGCCGATGGCCAGCGGTCCTGTTCTCTCCCAGTGTTGGCATGGTTGCCCACACTATTGTGCCTTCCCCACGTTACGGTGCCTCTCCCACCAATGTTGCTGCCTTGCCTGGCTTCACATCTTCCCAATAGCGCATAGCATTCCTGGGTGTCCTGATCTACACATAACTCCAGTGTATATGTCAGTCTATCAGTTAACAGCAGCTAAGTTAATAATTTTTTTCTTATTCTCATATTCAAGATTCTGTGATCAGATCACAGGTGACTCCTCTATCTGGACTGAGAATCAGTATTTAATCCTGATTTTATTACTTATTAACTCTGTAAACTTGCACATGCCTTAAACTCTCCAAGCCTCAGTTTTTGCATTTGTAAAATAAGCAAATTAGATTAGATTATATCTATTGTGGCACCCAGCTCTAAAATTTTATGTTTCTAATTATTTAATATCTGCAATGGGCATAGTAGCATTAACTATTATGTCATGCTCCCTCAGCTGGGTGGCCTAATTTTACCCCACACTTCTCATTAAGTCATCATCCTACAGTGTCACACTGGACTTTTCTTCCAATCATTTTCCTTTCTCTCTCAAAGGCTAATTTGACTGACTTTGCAAATCTGTCAATTTTCCTTAGTTTACTAACTTTATGGGATCCAAGTTACACTGTTAAAAGGTAAACTCAAACAAAAGACTAAACTTGCATAGCCAGAGAATTTTGAAAAACAAAAGTAATAAAGTAGATCAGCCCAAATAAATAATAGGGGGACAATTCAAAGCTATACAATTAAAGAAATTCAGAACTGATGCAGAAATATAATGTATGGGGCCAAAACAAGGCTGGAAAGAAGGCCAAGAACATATGGAAACTTATATTATAATATTGAAACTTCAAATAAGCAGGTAAACTATGGATCAACTGTCTACTCAATTAGAATGAATTAAAGTTGAAATACTTATACCTCATAGCAAGATAAATTCCAAATGGTACAAAGATGTAAATATTGTTAAAAGTCATAACCATCTTAGAGGATGTAAATATATTTTAAAATATAATACCAATAAGTATAATTTCTAAGCATTCCATGAAACTTAGAAACCATAAAAAAGTTAGACAAATTTGACTACAAAAATTTTAAAATATTTATGAGAAAACAAATTGAAAACAAAGTTAAAAAAAAAAACAAGGAAAAACAACTACATCACACATGACAAAGGCTAATTTTATTAACAAAGATCTCTTACAAATAAATGTGAGAAAACCTAACCCTCAGAAAAATGGGCAAAGATTGATCACAGGAAAAAATTATGTAGATGGCCAATAAACAGATGGGCACAGATAAGCCTGACTGATGCCTTTGGCCTCAATCAGCAACTCTATGTGTGGTGTGAGAGGGAGGAACAGGGACCCTCATTCCTAACGGCTTAAATTTTAACCTCCTGTCTTCAATTTTCAGCTGTTTGGCTTTGGACAGCCAGCTAACCAGTTCTGCGCCTTGGTTTGGAGAGAGTAATAATAGTATGTATATCCTATGATGGTTTGAGAATTAAATGAATCAATATTTGTTTGGGATTGAGTCAATATTTGTATGGGATTTATAGTATTCTAAATAACATAGAAGGTAATTTTTGGAGGACAATTTATAAATGTCAATATTATAAATATCCCTACTCTTTGGCAATTTTTCCACTTTCAGAAATTCATTCTACAGATTTACTCTGTAGAATCATACATACAAGGTTGTTGTATGTATGATTTTAAAAATAAAAATTAAGGAAAATATCAAAATGCTCATCAGTGAGGGACTGGCAAAAAATAAATTTTGGTTATGTTAAGGAAGGCTGCATAGTCTTTGAAAAGAATGAGACAGGTCTATATCTATTAAAACAATAAAATATCAGTTTATATTGTTTAGGGAAAAAGAAAGTTGCAGAATAAAAATGTGTTCTGTGTGTGTAAGAGAAAGAGAGTAGGCTATGGGGCGAATGTTTGTGTCTCCCCAAATTCATTTGTTGAAGCCCTAATCCCCAATGTGAGGATGCTTGGAGACAGAGCATTTGAGAGGTGATTAGATGATGAGGACAGAGCCCCCATCATGGGATTAATGCCCTTATAAGAAGAGATGACAGAGATGACCTCTCTGCCACATGAGGACACAGCTCTGCAAACCTGAAAGAGGGCCCTCCCTAGGAACTGAATTGACTGGCACCTTTATCTTAGTTTTCCCAGCCTTCAGAACTGTGAGGAAAAAATTGCTTTTAAGCCACTCGTAGTCCGTGATATCTTATTACAGCAGCCTGAGCTGACTAAGACGTGGTGTGTGTGTGTGTGCGTTGTGACATCAGAGAGGATCTTTACCAGCCCTGAGGGGATTTACCTCTGAGGCTGAAACTGGCAGGGAGGAAGCAGAAATGAGGGGGCTGGGGATGCAGAGAAGGTATAGCAGGCACGGAAGACTGATAGAACTAGCAAGGAAACACACATGCCACGCTGAATAGGCCCTTTCTCCTCCAGGAAGATTTCATTGACTACTATTTATTAATACTCGCAATAATTGCAAATCTTTCTATAGCGCTCACAACCTGCCTGGAATAAGTATTTCATATATATTAACTTGCTTGTCATACATCCCTATAAAGGAGATTCTTTGGTTACTCTTCTTTTACATATAAAGAAATCAAGGGAAAGAAAGATTAAGGAAGTTGCCCAAGTAACAGAGCAGGGAGGAGAAGTGCTGAGATTTCACTTGGGAGAGCTGGTGCCAGCATCTACAGGACAACCCCCACAAGATAAAGTGGCAGAGGACATGGGCCCAAATCTCACCTCAACTGAAGATTCATTTTGCAGCAGTCTGCATAACAATATACCAACCACAAGTGAAAATAAAATGATGTAAGGCTTGTGCTACTGGATTTTATTTCTTCATATTCAACACACATTGGTATTTTCCTAGGAAATTATTCTGGGAATTAAAATTTTTGGTTTCTGCCAGCCGCAGTGGCTCACACCTGTAATCCCAACACTTTGG
Organism: Homo sapiens; assembly: GCF_000001405.40. NCBI lineage: Eukaryota > Metazoa > Chordata > Mammalia > Primates > Hominidae > Homo > Homo sapiens. The sequence goes on along the minus strand of NC_000008.11, from coordinate 57,536,479 downwards.
GAGGCCGAGGCGGGCAGATCACCCGAGGTCAGGAGTTCGAGACCAGCCTGGCCAACATGGCAAAACCCTGTCTGTACTAAAAATACAAAAATCAGCCTGCCGTCGTGGTGGGCACATGTAATCCCAGCTACTCGGGAGGCTGAGGCAGGAGAATCACTTGAACCTGGGAGACGGAGGTTGCAGTGAGCCGAGATTGCACCACTGCATTCTAGCCTGGGGGATAGAATGAGACTATCTCCAAAAAAAAAAAAAAAATTATTGGTTTCATGCCCAATTTGATCCTTAGGAGAGTCTTTAATAAGCCAGAAGCCTCTTCTCCTTCTCCGGAATTGGTGTGGAGGGCCCACCAGGACTGGGTGTCTCTGTTGCTGGAGGTCCTGGGACAGTAACTTTCCATCAGACTTCTCTGCTCCAAGGCAGGCCCAGCTATCCCAGCAGGGCCAGGGCTCTGGCTCCAGAGGGCGGCGCTGCAAGAACCATGCACGACAGAGTCCCCGCATTTTCCCTGAGCCTCCCTGGGACCGCTGCTTTCAGAGCACACACCCTGACCTGGGCTGGCTTTCCTAAAGCTCATGCAGCTTCAGCCAAAAGCACTCCAACTAGAACACATCCTGAACAGTTCAGCACCTACTAGATTCTATCCGTAGTCTGGCATTTATCATTTTTTAAAGTAGTAATATCATAAATCAATCATTGACAATGACTGATAGTCCTCCTGGGTCCCAAGTTCCTACTCTTTATAGTAAATTAGAGGCTTATCGGGGCACCTTCATTTTTTTTTTTTCCAGATTCCTAATTTAATGCTGAGGCTATCATTACTTCACCTCCCTAAAGCAACCAACACTCAGAAGCAATTTAGATCCTGGGAAATCTTTATGTAGCTCAAGCAAGTCACAAAACAATGTTTTTCTAAATTTTTCGTCTTCAGTAGAAATTTCTAAACATATATTGATGAAAAAATAGGTGGTGGGAACTTTGAGGACTGATCCAAATGTCATACATTTCATATCAAGCCAGATCAGTAACAGTTGGTACCAAGATGCCAGTTTGATTGAGGACATAAGTTATATTCAGCCTATCATTTGGTTTCCAGGACTCCAGTCTCCGAGTTACTCTTATGCAGTTCAAAGAGAAAGTTGTTCAGAAGAGCTGTTATGGTGTTTAAAGAGACTCACTGTAAGGAAAGCCAGGAGATGGCTGGCCAGAATTATAAATGAAAAAAAAAAAATGGTAAATGTGACTTGGCAGGAAATGCCTGGAAAATGTGAAGTGAGGAGGGAGTGAGGAGGCAGTGTCAAAGCAAAGGCAGTATTTGTCAAAAGAAGTGAAAATTATGGCATTGCCAAGCTACTTCCAAACCAAATGGACAATGAGCAGAGAATAAAACTGGCTTCTGAGGGCTTTAAATAAATGTTCTGTTTTCACAACAGCCGCCTCTTCCAAACCATTGGCTATCTTTAGTTGGAGGATCACCTGCAGTCTTATTTGCACATCTGTATTATAATTTAGGTTTATGGTTTATATTCACAGATTCACTGCAACCTTCTATGTTTGCTATAAAAATGAACTGAAATGAGCCTGTATTTAACTATAAGAAAATGAAATTTTGAGGACATAAATAACAATAAAGAGCATATGACAGTGTCTGTATTTATAGCCAAACACTTTATTTTGGATGGGACAGGAGGAGGAGGAAAGGAAAATTTAGAAATATCAATAAAGCTTTTTCCTATGACATGTTTTTAAAATTGTAAAAAGCTATATTTATGTGCTTCTGGAGGTGTTATATAATTATATGGCTCTCCTAGCATTTTTGACCACAAAAAACCTAACTGTTGTCTGGGAGATCAGAAGGATAGAATCCACCCACCTCTGCAGTGTTAATTATCATCCAATATCACAGAGTTCTTCTTCCCCTGAAAGGTTTCCTTAGGTTCCCCACTGGCTACAAACCCAAGCCCAGCAGTTCACAGACCTCACCTAGCCCTTCATTCACTCAGCCTAGCTCTGCAGTTTTGCCTCAGCCTCTGGTCCTTCCAGCACATCCTGCTTGATCAAATCAAATCGTCTCCATCACCCGAGTGTGGCACGTGCAGATGCTGTTGTTCCCTGTGCCCACCTGGTAAATGCTCAAACAAAACATTTTCCTTCATTTTCCCATCGAGGAGTGAGCTCGCTCTTCTCCTTGCTCCCTGGGATATCCTTGCTCCCTGGGGCCTCTGTTCCTCACTCTGTTACACTCTTATGTTGTAATCATCCATGTATTTTTCCATCATCCCTATTAGACCCTGAGCTTCTCAAGTGCAGGTGCTACGTCTTATTTTGAGGATAATTCAAAATACCAGAGGGGCCCGGATGAGCTTGATTTGCTTGATTCCTAGCCGTGATCTAATGATGGTACTTTGCAGCATAGCAGAGTGATATTATCTCCACCCAATGAAAACATTCTTGATTTGACAACTTTGTCCAGTCCTCAGAGCAGGATTAGATTGAAGCCTGCTTTGAATTTGCACCACCAGAGTGATTTTTTAAAATGGTAATCCCCGTGCCAGCTGCCTGTGTATAATAACCTTCCCTGCCTTGCTAAACCTCCCCAGGAACCCCGAGCCCTTGGCTATACCTGAGGAAACTGCACCTCAGGGCAGGTCACTGAGCCATCTGACGGCTCCTGGGTGGAACACAGGGTGCCGAGGTGGGTGCTCAGTTGTGTTTGATGCCAAAACCAGAGCTCTCCCAAATGTTCTTGGAGATCGAGTCAAACTCCTCTGCTGGGTTTGTAAGGGACATTCATCACTGGCCCCAGCTTATTTCCCCAGCACAGTTTTGCATTCAGCCCTCTAAGCACCAGGTCTGGTTGGCCACCTTGAGCCAGCTTCCATTTCTGCTGTACATCAGGCTGCCCTCCTTCCCGGGACTGAGCACAGTTTTCTCCTAGACCAGAACACCCCCTCCCTGCCCGCTATCCTGAAAACCCAAAAAGTAGAGAAAACATATTGGATTTTCTCTGTCATATTGGATTTTTGTATGCATCAAGGTTGAAGATTTTCAATATTGGAAGTGTATAATTATCCAAAAAACCTTGAGTTTTTGGTGAATGTAGTTCATCAAACTGCATTATATATTAACAAAAGTGTTAGATGGATAAGTCTTCAACTTTGAAATAAGATTAAACAAGCTTTATCTCTGTGACAGAGAAATAGCATTACTTCATTTAATTCATGCAAAAAAAGTCATCATCTTGATATTTAACCAGTGACACAGCAAATATCATTGTCTGAAATATTAAGTAAGGTGATTGGATTATTTGTGGTCTCCTTATTTTATTGAATAGATTGTTAAAAGTTTTCTCAGGCAAAAAGAGCACAGAGACTTGCCAGTTAAAGGTGATGGTTATGGTACTAGTGTAGGTACCAAATGATGTTTTTGTATATGTAAGTTGTATATCTGGCCAGGTGTGGTGGCTCACCCCTGTAATCCCAGCACTTTGGGAGGCCGAGGCAGGCGGATCACAAGGTCAGGAGATCGAGACCATTCTGGCTAACACGGTGAAAACCCATCTCTATGAAAAAACACACAAAAAAATTAGCCAGGCGTGGTGGTGGCCACCTGTAGTCCCAGCTACTTGGGAGGCTGAGGCAGGAGAATGGCGTGAACCCAGGAGGCAGAGCTTGCAGTGAGCTGAGATCACGCCACTGTACTCCAGCCTGGGTGACAGAGCAAGACTCCGTCTCCAAAAAAATAATAATAATAAAACGTATATCTATCTATGCATGTAATTTTATACAAGGTAGTGATTTAAATAGTGAAAAGAATCTGACTTGTTAGTAAATACACTGCGACACTTCCTATTGAAATTCAGATGATGTAAAATTTTAGGTCATTTTGGTTTGGTGTTTTTAACTCCATAGCCAACTTCCCCCACTCAGTGTCACTATCTATTCAATGTAGAAACAAATATTATTTATAGGTAGTATTTTAAGTACAAATAGTATTTGTAGGTAGAGACAAATACTATTTAACTGATTGGGCCGGTCATCCTTATTTCTCCTGGATAAGACATGAGACATCCTTTATCCCACTGGTAATTTAAATGATCTCTCTCTTTCCACTAGGGAGCCATGGAATTCTATCCAGAGTGAAATACTGTCCTATCACTGCACGTGATTGCAGAAGGCAGAATTGATAGCGTTCACACTCATAACCAAAAATTTTCAAAGTTACATCTTCACCAAAACTTCAATTCTGGCTTTAACTTCTGACCTGCTTATATAATCTCTTGATACGATTTGTAGATTTCTTTCTAGTGGTTTGGGAAAGAGAAAGTAAATGCGTTCTTGGGTCCAGAGACAATATAACTCATTTTTTACAGGATTCTTACAAGAAGGATCTTAAAAATCTGTTATATTTGGAGATAGACCTAAACATTTAATATGACACTCTAAAATGCTTTACACTTTTTTTTCAGCATTTTCCACTTTTTTCTTCCCTTATGCAACCCTGTGAGGCAGGGCCAGGTGAATTAAGATAATTCAGCAGATTTTACAGATAATTAAGTAAGCTGGGAGAGGCTGATGCACCAGCCCCAGCTAGTGAGTGGTGGAGCTAGGAGGGAATTTAGATGTTTTGAGTCTTAGCCCTCAAACTCTGCCTGAACTGGGAGGTAGGTTGTGAGCTGCTTTATGTAGTGAATCTCTAAGCACACTAAGCTACTAGGCAGAGTCTCTAATTTCTCCTGCTAAGGTTTTCATGAGTCACATAAGTGTCAGATAACACAATTCTCCAAAGCAAGCAATACTAGATCAGTTGCCTCAATCTGCTGGGCTCAAGAGATGTTCTAAAAGGTCTCTGTCTCCTGGGACTGCTAGCCTTGGAAAAGAGGATGAGAAGCAAAGAAATGAAGAACAGAGGAGGAAAAGGCCTTGAAGACTAACTCCATCAGTCTTAGTTTTGCTGCAGCTGGCTCTAGTCGAACTAAATTATCACTGCTCACCTACCTCAAAGGAGCTAGAACAACAAATATTTAAATATTTACCAGAATCTACAAATTGCATCTATACAGGAATGCACTGTGACTAGGTGGCTTAATTTTAAAAGACCAGCAAAGCAGGCTGAGGACAATTTTGCCAACAGTACCACATCTATTGCCAGTAAAAAGGTTATAAAAATGAACAGGAAAAGTCGTATGTGTTCAATACAATATAAGCAAATTCAGGCAGCAAATTGATCCAATTATCCTGAGAACTGAAACTCAACCATCCTCCCCCGCTCCACCCCACATTCACTCAATAACTACCACCATCATTCTTACTTTGCCTCCAGACCCACCAAAGGAAAAATAAAATTACTTTTGACATAATGATCTTCGTAAGTAAAACATAAAACATTTGAAGGTCTGAATTATTTGGCACGCCTAACTTTTATTCCTATATTCTGATTTTGTTAGTCTCTCTAACATTTGTCAGAATTTTAGAGTTGACTGTATTGAGTTATAATAAAAACATTATATAAAACGTAAACCCAACACACACCCTTAGCAGCATTACCTCATTTAATTCATCTGCTTTCCTCCCTTATTGTTCTGACATGGCTGATTATGACAGACAGCTCCTTTTGGTGCATATCAGAGATGAATATGCAAAGAGGGCTGTAGCATTTACATATTTACCCATTTATGGCACATATTACCATACTTATGCTGCCAGTTAATGTCTGCAAGACAGGAATAAAAGAATTTTCAACTGTTTTACTGCCTGAAAATCACATTTGCCTCTGCAGGCTGCTACTTAAATCCTTTCAAGAGCTTCATGTTCTTATCCAGGCCCTTAAGCCCCAGGCCATGGGCTGCTGCCAACTCCCAATGCCTGAACACAAGGTCTATGACCCACTTAAGTTGAATTTCTATTCCAATCCTTTGCTTCCTCCACTCTACTTAGAGTTTGTTCAGATCCAGCAGCACCGGGCATTACCTCTCAAAACCCTGAGGGTCAATGACAGTGGGTGTCATTTATTTGTTTGGGGTTGGGGAAATAGAAGATGGAGAAGATGCTGAAAACTTAACAGTGTTGTAGTTTGAGGCATTTTAGCAAATGTCCTTAGGCAACATTAAGAAGAGGTGCGAGGTGGCTCACATCTGTAATCCAAGCATTTGGGGAGGCCCAGGTGGGTGGATCACCTGAGGTCAAGAGTTCAAGACCATCCCGTCCAACATGGTGAAACCCCATCTCTACTAAAAACACAAAAAATAAGCTGGGCATGGTGGCACATGCCTGCAATTCTAGCTACTTAGGAGGCTGAAGCAGGAGAATCACTTGAACCCGGGAGGCAGAGGTTGCAGCGAGCCGAGATTGCGCCATTGCACTCCAGCCTGGGCAACAAGACAATAAGAAGGAAACTCCATCTCAGAAAAAAAAAAGAAATTCCACCATTTGCAAATATGTATTATGATTTTGTTCCACGGTTAGGTGGGTAAGCTAGCACAGTAATGAGCACAGAGAAACTGCTCAAATATATGTAATTAAAAAGCAAGATTCAAAGATTTATAGATTCTGATTCACATACTGATCAACATCAATAACCAAACTAAGCAGAAAATTTCCAAGTCCTCCCCTCACTTATGGCCACATAGTCAAGTGAATAGTGACACATGAAAAGTCAAACCAAGTAACTGAGTAATTCAGGCCATAAGATCTTCTACTATAAGATTTGTGAACTTTGGTGCACAATTTTCAACATTATATTGCAGATATATATATATATATAATTATATATAATTATATAATATTGCAAATAGAAATATATATTTATATATAATATTGCAGATATAAATATATAAATATATTATATATATGCAATATAATATAATTATATAATATAATATAATATATATATAAAGATTTCTAAGTATTTCCAACCTTTTTATAAAAATATACAACACACACATTATTTGAGTAGCAATTCAGATTATATTTTATGAGAACACATTTACTTAAAATAGCAAAATAGGATAGTAATTACGCTTGCCTGATGTTTCTTATTAACTGCACGTGCAGTCAATATCTGTTCAGAGTCAGCTTCTAGAGATGCAAAAGGCCAAAGTAAACAAGGGCCACGGACAATGATGTGCCTTTCTTTATATCTGGAAACAGATCAGAGCAGGAGACCACAACAGAAAGCACAGTCTACTCTGCAGAGATCGTCTGGAAAAGACTCAGGCTCTCTGGGGCAGGGAGAGGCACTGCCATCAAGCCAAACAGAGCAGCAGAGGTGTACATAAGCTATTAAGGCTGACATGCTACTTTTTCCAGATATGGCCAGAAAATTGTTACAGTGTGGTGTTAGAGATGTTAATAATTCTCTCAATAACCAAGGAGAGAAGGTATATATCCCCATATGCCATATATCTATCTCATATAAATCTTATATATGGCATATATATGTCATATATGTGAGAGATTCTTGTTCTTGCCTATGTGAACCCCGAAGATTTGAGACAGGTCTCAGTTAATTTAGAAAGTTTATTTTGCCAAGGTTGAGGACCCATGCCCATGACACAACCTCAGGAGGTCTTGATGACACGTGCCTAAGGTTGTCAGAGCACAGCTTGCTTTTATATATTTTAGGGAGACATGAGACATCAATCAACATACGTAAAATGAACATTGGTTTGGTCCAAAATGGTGGGACAACTCGAAGCAAAAGCAGGACAACTTGAAGTAGGGGAGGGGGCTTCTAGGTCACAGGTAAGTGGGAGACAAATGGCTGCATTCTTTTGAGTTTCTGATCAACCTTTCCAAAGGAGGCAATCAGATGTGCATTTATTTCAGTGAGCAGAGGGATGACTTTGAATAGAATGGGAGGCAGGTTTGACCTAAGCAGTTCCCAGTTTAAATTTTCCCTTCAGCTTAGTGATTTGGGGGTCCCCAAGATTTATTTTCCTTTCACACCTATTGTATTAGTCAGCTCAGGCTTCATAACAAAATACCACAAACTGGGTGGTTTGCACAACAGAATTTATTCCTCAAAGTTCTGAAGGAACCAAGATTAGGGTGTTGGCAGGTTAGTTTCCCTTGCCTCTCTCTTTGGCTTATAGATGGGCATCTTCTCCTTGTGTTGCCTCATGGCTTTTGCCTGTGCTTGTGTCCCCCTGGTGTCTCTCTCTTCTTATAAGCACATCAGTCCTGTTGGATTAGGTCACACACTTAGGACTCCATTTAACCTAAATTGTCTCCTTAGAGGTCCTGTTCCTAAATGCAATCAAATTGTGATTTAAGGCTTCAGTGTGTGATTTTTTGCGGGGACACAAGTCAGTCCATAACACCTACTGTAGGACAAAGCTGAACTGATCTAAATTACACTCCTGAAGCTTCCTGTTTAGCATGTTTGAGTATGTTGAATTCACTTTTGAATATCTCCCTATATGAGTTTGGAGGTTGTGGCCAGCTGTGATATTATCAATACCTGGGATTTTTGAAATATTTTGTCACTTAAAAGGCACTTTTGCACATATAGGGTTTATTCAGCAGCTATTATGACCTTCACATAATAAAGAAACAGGCGGGTGGATTATCTGAGGTCAGGAGTTTAAGACCAGCCTGGCCAACATGGTGAAACCCCGTCTCTACTAAAAATACAAAAAATTAGCTGGGCATGGTGGCACACGTCCGTAATTCCAGCTACTTGGGAGGCTGAGGCAGGAAAATTGCTTGAACCTGGGAGGCAGAGGTTGCAGTGAGCCGAGATTGCACCACTGCACTCCAGCCTGGGTAACAGAGACTATGAAAAAAAAAAGAAGGAAAGAAAGAAAGAAAGAAAGAAGGGAGGGAAGGGAAGGGAGGGAAGGAGGGAGAGAGGGAGGGAGGAAGGAAGGAAGGAAGGAAGGAAGGAAGGAAGGAAGGAAGGAAGGAAGGAAGGAAGGAAGGAAGGTAGGAAGGAAGGAAGGAAGAAAGGAGAGAAAGAAAGAAAGAAAAGAAAGAAAGAAAAGAAAGAAAGAAAGGAAGGAAGGAAGGAAGGAAGGAAGGAGAGAAAGAAAGAAAGAAAAGAAAGAAAGAAAAGAAAGAAAGAAAGGAAGGAAGGAAGGAAGGAGAGAAAGAAAGAAAGAAAGAAAGAAAGAAAGAAAGAAAGAAAGAAAGAAAGAAAGAAAGAAAGAAAGAAGGAGAAAGAAAGATTGATTCAGTGAAACTGAAATGCTTGGTTCATATCTCCTAATTAGGGAGTGCCAGGCCTGGTGATTATTTAACTTAGTGCCACCTCTACATATGAAAGGTGCCTGGTTAAAGTGATGACTTTTCATCATGTGACTCAGAACAATGCCAGGCTTTTATTTTTTTTCTATCATCTAATTCAACAGGTTGGAGACTGCTTCTCCATGCATTGCTGGGCCCCTGAATTCAGGAGTGGGAACAGAGACAGGGAAGTACATTCAGGTGAGAAAGTGAAAGGCAGAGAAATGTTTCAATAATCATGCACCTACCATATGGCCATAGAGTCTGATATCCTCAGCAATGAGAGGTCCAGCAGCACCTTATTCTGAGCATCAGAAAGCACACACAGAGAACACGCAACCTTGAGCTAGCCAGCTCTCCTCTTGGGCCTCAGCCTTTGCATCTGTGAAATAGATTCCTTTCTTCTTTCCATTTGCCAGGGTCACAGTGAGGACTAAGCAATGCATAAAATCTGATACATGGGAAATGGTCTGATCTTGGCTCACTGCAACCTCTGCCTCCCGGGTTCAAGCAATTCCGCTGCCTCAGCTTCCCAAGTCGCTGGGATTACAGGCGCCTGCCGCCACGCCTGCCTAATTTTTATATTTTTAGTAGAGACGGGGTTTCACTATGCTGGCCAGGTTGGTCTCAAACTCCTGACCTCAGGTGATCCGCCCGCCTGGGCCTCCCAAAATGCTGGGATTACAGGCGTGTGCCACCGTGCCCAGCCTCCACCAGCCATTCTTTCTCTTTTCCACTTCTTCAATAAGTGTTCCCGACATGCTTCTGAAGAAAAACTACATTAAATTAATTCTGTACCCTTCAACCAAAAATAGTAAAAAATTTTAAGAATGTAAAGAACAAATCGCAATTGTGCAAAAAAAAAAAAAAAGAAAATGGGGAAATTCTCTGAAGGTAGCACCAGATATTTGTCTATTTTCCTTTGAGCTTAAAGAACTGCCTCTATTTTATCATTAGTGCATGGCTTGCTGGCTTGAATACACACAGAGAAATGTTCCCACTTTACTTATGAAGGGAGAGATGAGGAAATAGAAACATTAAGTAACTTCAAGGGGGATTGTAGACCTGTGCCAAGAGCGTAGGCCCTGGAATCAAACCATCTGGGTTCTACCCCTTGCTAGCTATGTGACCTTGGACTGTCTGTGTAGTCATTTCAATGTTCTCACCTTTAAAATAAAGATAATAATGAAAACAAATAAAAAAGCTGTTACAAGGATTAAAGAAGACATGTGCAGAGCCCATAACATATTATTGTCATTTATTTCAAAGAGCTAAGCAATAGCAGAACTGGCACTGGACCCTTTTCCCACTTTGCTGAGATGAACAATTATCATTGGTCGTATTATTGCTTGTCTATAGAAGATAAGGCCAAGAGGTTGCAAATAACTAGGGAATTTGGCCTATGAGTATGATTGCCCAGGGAGAGTTCCTTAATTTGAATGATACAGCAGTTGCATTCTTTGCAGAGTGAAGGGATGGAGGTGGTCAGATTTCCCAAGAAAGTTATAGGCATGAATCAGTCTCATCCTGGGTCTCTGTGTCTAATCCATGTGGTAAATCTCTGCTCTGTCCATAGGTTTGCTGACAGGTCAGCTCCCCTGCTCCAAAACTGCCTCTAACAAGTGCCATACTGCCCCCAAAATTCTATTATTGGAAATACAACCCTTTTAGATTCACATATATTTTAAGCATTTTTCTGAGCCCCTTTTCCAAAGATAAATATAGCCGTGAATGTTATAGCAAGACTTATTTAAAAGATCCTCAAAAAGCAACATTGTACTTCACATCTATGACACTTGCAAAACTTATTTAATAACTTATCATCACTCACATTTTCGTTCTGAATTTTTTGCTTAGCTTTTACCAAGTACCAATCTCTGGCTCTGTGTTTGAACATGACATGTCTTAATCCATATACTTTGTCCAAATCATTATTTACTCCAAAGCTCATTTCCTTTACACACAAAAAAAATTATCTCTAGGGCCAGGCAGGGTGGTTCACACCTATAATCCCAGCACTTTGGGAGGTCAAGGCAGGAGGATTGCTTGAGACCAAGAGTTTAAGACCAGTCTGGACAACATAGCAAGACTCTGTCTCTACAAATGATAATAATAATAGTAATCTCTAGTTGGCCCTGTCTCAAAGAGCCTTTCTCTGCCCTTGAATTATTGTGCATTTGAATTATCCAACACTAATTATACTATTTTACTTTCAATTTATGTGTGTGTGTGTGTGTGTGTGTGTGTGTTATCAGTTTTCCTAGCTAGATGTATTTCTCAAGGGCAGAAACAGCTGCTTTTTAGTTCCATGTGTAATGCCTAATATATTGCTCATGGTGTAAAACCTGAATGGCAGTACAAACTCAGCAGTGAAATGAATATATTCTTTTAATATTTAATATTTAAAAAACTAACATACTCTTCAGGCAGACTATACAAAAGGAAAGATGTTTATGCATTACAGTTGATATGAATACATGTTTTAGTATTTAAATTTAGATTCAATCTGTATTATTTATAAAAGTCTCCTCCCTGAACCTTAAAAAATGTTTTTGAAAAATAAATGTCCTTGTCAGTTAGCGGTCTACCTGAGGCATTACAGATAGTAGTTCAGAATTTGCTTTCAAATATGCCAGCAAAAAAGAAAAAGAAAAATTGAGGGAGGATTACTGAAGCTGTGTGCTGGGAACTTGGAGATACACTCTACTTTTCTATATGTTTGAAAATTTCCAATGTAAAAAGAGAAGAAAAAGAAAAAGAAAGAAAATCTCTGAGACAATAGTGCAACACTGTTTTAATTCACTGAGTATCTAAATGATGGTGGAGCAGGTGAACATGTTTCTACTTTTTCCAAAGCAGTAGTTGGAAGTAGACTGGCTTCACAGTACAATTGCAAAACTGGGACAAAACTGCATCCTGGGCTTTTAGCTTGGTTTATGGATTATTTTAAGAATTTCTCTCAGGACTGGTTTTATTGGCACAGAAGAGGATATTATTATATACAGGGAAAAGTCATCAGTGCAAACATCGGCAGAATCAGAACTTGAGTTGGAAAAAGCAATTTATTGTGATATATATATATATATATATATATATATATATATATATATCCAGAAAGCTCACATAGAGAACATGCAACCTTGAGCTAGACAACTCTCCCCTTGAGCCTCAGCCTTTGCGTCTGTGAAATTGATTCCTTTCTTCTTTCCATTTGCCAGGGTCACAGTGAGGACTAAGCAATGCATAAAATCTGATACATGGGAAATGGCGTGATCTTGACTCACTGCAACTTCTGCCTCCCGGGTTCAAGCAATATATATATATATTGCTCCATATATATATAATATATATATATATTGCTCCATATATATATAATATATATATATATTGCTCCATATATATATAATATATATATATATTGCTCCATATATATATAATATATATATATTGCTCCATATATATATAATATATATATATATTGCTCCATATATATATAATATATATATATATTGCTCCATATATATATAATATATATATATTGCTCCATATATATATAATATAATATATATATTGCTCCACATATATATAATATATATATATTGCTCCATATATATATAATATATATATATTGCTCCATATATATATAATATATATATATATTGCTCCATATATATATAATATATATATATTGCTCCATATATATATAATATAATATATATATTGCTCCACATATATATAATATATATATATTGCTCCATATATATATAATATATATATATTGCTCCATATATATATAATATATATATATATTGCTCCATATATATATAATATATATATATATTGCTCCATATATATATAATATATATATATATTGCTCCATATATATATAATATATATATATATTGCTCCATATATATATTATATATATATATTGCTCCATATATATATTATATATATATATTGCTCCATATATATATAATATATATATATTGCTCCATATATATATAATATATATATATTGCTCCATATATATAATATATATATTGCTCCATATATATATAATATATATATATTGCTCCATATATATATAATATATATATATTGCTCCATATATATATAATATATATATTGCTCCATATATATATAATATATATATTGCTCCATATATATATAATATATATATATATTGCTCCATATATATATATTATATATATATTGCTCCATATATATATAATATATATATATTGCTCCATATATATATAATATATATATATTGCTCCATATATATATAATATATATATATTGCTCCATATATATATAATATATATATATTGCTCCATATATATATAATATATATATATTGCTCCATATATATATATTATATATATATTGCTCCATATATATATATTATATATATATAGCTCCATATATATATAATATATATATATTGCTCCATATATATAATATATATATATTGCTCCATATATATATAATATATATATATTGCTCCATATATATATATTATATATATATTGCTCCATATATATATAATATATATATATTGCTCCATATATATATAATATATATATATTGCTCCATATATATAACATATATATATTGCTCCATATATATATAATATACATATATTGCTCCATATATATATTATATATATATATATGGAGAGAGAGAGAGAGAGACAGAGAGAGAGAGAGAGAGACTCACTCTACTGCCCAGGCAAGAGTGCAGTGTTGTGATCTCAGATCACTGCAACCTCTGCCTCCCAGGTTCAAGGGATTTTTGTGCCTCAGCCTCCCAAGTAGCTGGGATTACAGGCGTGCACCACCATACCTGGCTAATTTTTGTATTTTTAGTAGAGACGGGGTTTCACCATGTTGGCTAGGGTGGTCTCAAACTCCTGACCTCAAGTGATCCACCCACCTTGGCTTCCCAAAGTTCTAGAATTATAGGCATGAGTCACTGGGCCCAGCCTATTTTGTTTATATTTCATTTCCATTTATGTACATGAACAATATATCTTTTTTATATATAAAAACTAATTCTAATTAATGTAAAATATCTTCTTCTATCAGTATAACATAAATTCTAAATGGTTAAAAAGAACCGTAATAAATAAAATAGTGAACACTCAAAAATGTGTTGAGTGCTACTGTGTGCCACACATTCTGTAGGGGCTGTAGACACATTGAGAAAAGATCTTGCTCTCTGGGACCCTGCATTCCAGTGGGTTGGAGGCAGATTTTTAAAAATAACGATTATATGGTATTTGAGAAGTATGTTTGAGTTATGGAAAAAAAATATGAAGGTAAGGGAATTACCAGTGAAAGAGGCAGACGAGGGTGCCTTCCATTTCAAATATGGAAGTCAGGGCAAAGGCTTATAGGAGGTGGGAGATGAGCCTGAGGTGTACTTGGTTTGTGGGGAGGCTAGACATGACCTATAGTGACAGCACCTTCTATGTTTCAGGGGCAGTGTGGACACCCGAGTGGCTAGAGCTGAGTAAGAACAGAGGAGAGGCACAAGGCAGAATTCTCTTAATTTTGATGGATAAAGTCACAAAAATATATATCAATCACATCAAGCATAGAATGCTTGTTCAACATAGGTCTTTCAACAATGGAAAATGTTAATTCTAAAAATATATATCAGCTGAGTGTGGTGGTTCCTGCCCGTAATCCCAGCTACTAGGGAGGCTGAAGCTGGAGGATCCTTGAGACCAGGAGTTCCAGATCAGCCTGGGCAACATAGCAAGACCCTATCTCTTAGGAAAAATAAATTTAAAACATTAATTAATTAATTAAAAAACAGAATCCAAAGATTCTGATTTAATTAAGTTTATATATATGTAAATGTCGGTTCATTATCAACTGCAGCCAATGGGTCACTCTAGTGGGGGATGCTGATGATGGCGGAGGCTGGCATGTGCAGGGATGCCTGGGAGGAATTGCTGAACCTTCTGCTTAGTTTTGCTAGGAACTTTAGTTTTGCTCTCAAAAGTAAGTTTATTAAAAATATATATATAATCCTAGTTTTATATATTTACATATATGTAGGTATATGTATGTGTGTGTGTGTGTATATATATGTGTGTGTATATATATGTGTGTGTGTATGTATGTGTGTATATATATATATCTCATAATATCCAGGGAAAATTTTAGCACTTTGATAGTGCTAAAAATTCATGCAAGTGAAAAGGTTTTGAAGAATTCATATTATATACTTTTGTGGTAATGTTTTGGATTCTGTTTTAATTAAGTTTTTAGTCTTTTAATTGTTGTAATAATTACATATGTGAACAGAGACTGTTTGTTTAATCCTTGTTCTCTTTCTTTTTAAAACCTATTTTTTTCTTCATCTGCTAATTAGAATAACAATACCTGGCAGATATGTGTCATAGAATCTAGTGAGAATCTACACACACCGTGCTGTTGAATGGTTCTTTGACAACTAGAAAATGCAAGACTAAGGTTGTATTTTGTTAACAATAGTCACCTAATCCATTTGATGCTATATGCAAATACTATTTAAAATGTAGCTGAATATCCTTAGTAAATTACTGGCATGTTTGTACTCACAGACCTGTCTTCTCTAGGTCTGCCCTTAAAGACTGAAGATGTCATTGAATATGCACAGTCCACTTAGCATGACCACTCACCCCAGGTCGAGGTTCAAGATAATGACTCAGCCACCTTACACTTCCTCACACATACCTCATGTGCTATAAACTGCTGGCCAGGACCTCTGTAGAATGTAATCTTTAGGCTGGACAGCTGTACTTGAGAGGACTGTTGGAGGGAAGATGTGCCCTGAATTACTCAGCAACTCTAAGGTTTACCCCAAACCTATAAAACCCTGCTCATCAATGCCTAAGGGATGCTTTCAGATCATTTGTTGGGTTCCTGAATTACACGTGATTTTCAAATAACTGTTTTGACACACAAATTTTCCATTCACAAAATGATATTAAAATGTGTCGACAATTGAAATGAGACTCAATGATAAGGCTGTCTTTAGGATTTAAACGTAGCCCAGTGCTCCAAATGATCAGACAAGGCCCATTTGTTTGAACCATGTAGCGCTAGTTATATCTTTAATCATCACATCCATGCCATGAGGCACATCTCCAAGGTCACGATGTGGGCCAGAGTCACATAAGAATTGAGGTCATACAACAAAAGCTGGAGAAGATTGTCAAATCCTTGATGTATTTCTGTTATTACATGTAGCCTGGAAACAGTGAAAACTCTGTAATCATACTGCCAGGCAAGAACTGGTCCTAAGCAATGAATCTTTTCCTTCTTCATAAAATGGAGCCAGAAATCTTCTGGAAGAAGTAGGAAGGCAATCATATTTTCAATGCTGTTGAATAGAGGTTTCAGAAGGGATTCCTTCATTTCAGGAAAATGCCTTTAAAAGTGAACAACCCCGCACTCTGCATAAAATCTACCTGGTGGGGCTGGTTGGAGAGATGTTGGTCAAAGGATACAAAATTTCAGTTTAGGGGAGGAAGGAGTTCAAGAGATCTATTGTATAACATGGTGATGATAGTTTTGTTTTTGTTTTTATTTTTGAGACAGCGTATCGCTCTGTCTCCCAGGCTGGAGTGCAGCGGTGTGATCTCCACTCGCTGCAACCTCCGCTTCCTGGGCTCAAGCGATTCTCCCACCTCAGCCTCCCAAGTAGGTGGGACTACAGGCACGTATTCTTGAAAACTACTAAAAGATTAGACATGAAGTGTTCTCACCACCAAAAAATAAATATGTGAGGTAACACGTATGTTAATTAACTTGACTTTGGGAGAGCCCCTTCCTCTCCCAAAGTTTGACACTGTTAATTAGGACCAGACCGCAGAGCAGTTATGCCAAAGCTTTCGTCCTACCAGAACAGGATGCCAGCTCATGTTTTCAGAACCCCCACCTGTGGTCATTAACCATAGGAAGTCGCATGTAGCTTGTTACATGTTAAGTCATTCACAGTTGTTCACATTTTCTGGGCATTACTAGTCAGTCACACTAATCTGCCTCAGGAAAAGCATGAGTAACTTTCTCTGACCTCCTGTGGCATTTTCATTTCCTCTCTACCATGTGCAATGTCTGGTCTCATTGTGACTCCTCTCCATGTGTGACAGTGAATCTCAAGTGTGACCAAAACCCCTGCCTTCCAACACTTGACCAATCAATCATGCCTTACTGAAATGGAAAAAGTATTTCAGGTATTTCATTCCAATAATCCGCCTTTTCTATTTTTTAAACTGCTGAATAGATAGGAGAGGAATAGATATTTCCTAAAATAAGACCATACAGTTGACCCTTGAACAACATGAGTTTGAACTGTGCAGATCCACTTATACACAGATTTTCTTCAACCTCTGTCACACCTGAGACATCAATGTCAACTCTCCTCTTCCTCTTCCTCCTTAGCCTACTCTACATAAAGACCGTGAGGCTGAAGACCTTTATGATGACCCGCTTCCACCAAATGCATAGTAAACATACAGTATTTTTCCTTCCTTTTGGTTTTCCTAATAACCCTTTCTTTTCCCCAGCTTATTTTATTGTAAGGATACAGTATATAATACATACAATATACAAAATATCTGTTAAGTGGTAAGGCTTCCAGTCAACAGCAAGCTATTTAGTAGCAATGTTTTTGGAGAGTCAAAAGTTATACGTGGATTTTTGACTGCTAGAGGCAGAAGGTCAGCACACTTACAGCCCCTTCATTGTTCAAGGGTCAACTGTATCTATAATACATACATATATACACACACACACACATATACACATATATATACATATATATATATATAAACACACAGATACATGCATACACACACAGCTTAGTGTTATAGACTATTTCCTTGCTGTGGATATATAAATTTAATATATATTAAATTATATGTATAATCCCCATAACAAGGCAGTATTCTTGAATACCAGGATTATCTAAATTTCAAAACCTTCCCTTTTGCCAAGCAATGCTTAAAATTCTAAATATAGTTTTATCAGGAGTTAGGATGTATGGTTTAACCATCAGAGCAGCTTTCTCACAACTAGGCGGGAACAATGGCACTACCTTGCTATGAACCATGGAAGGCACTGTTATGGGTTGAATTGCATCCCCTCCAAATTCATATGTTGAAATTCTAACCTCCCAGTACCTCAGAATGTGACCTTATTTGAGATAGGGTCTTTACAGAGGTAATCAAATTAAAATGAGGTCATTAGGGTGGGCCCTGACTCAAAATAACTGGTGACCTTACAAGAAGGGAGTTGGAGGCACACACACCCACAAGGGGAACACAAAGACAGTGTCTACAAGCCAAAGAGCAAGGCTTAGAACAGCACCTCCCCTAAAATCCTGAGTTTGTTCAAAAACGACAAGCCCTACCAATACCTTCATTTTGAATGCCAGCCTCCAGAACTGGGAGACAATACATCTCTCTGGCTTAAGCCACCTGGTTTATAGTACGTTGTTAAGGCAGCCCTGGCAAACTAACATAGACACTTAGATTCATTCAACAAACCTGAATTAAAGAACCTATTATGCACAAAATCCAAGCTGGGCTCTGGGGTTAGAGATATAAATGTGTTTTCTACCCTCAAAGAACTTATACTTAGTGGAGAAGACACCAAGCAAACAATCTTATAAGTAATTGGGGTTATGTTTTCTTTCTGGCTACAAAGGAGAAGTATAAAAACCACTGTGATGGCATGAAGGGTTTTTTTCCCTTTCTTTTTTAAAACATCAGTCTTCTCAGAGAAAAATGTCATGCTTTTCCCACTTATATCTGCTGTGCCTTTGACCTGCACGGCACTCAGTACATCTGTGACCACGTGGGGCTCCTTAGGGCTCTGGGGCCAGGGAAAGCCCATTAAGCTGAGACTTGAAGGATGAGAATGATATCTAGATAAAGAGTGAGGAGAGTATTCTGAGAAAGGGATTATTTGTTCATACTCCTGCAGCTCTCCAAAGTTTGCCCAGGAAATTCAGCCCAAGTGCATGTGGCTAAGAATCAGAGCTGAGGTGCAAAGCCTCATCTTGCTCCTAGGCCATTGGCTTAGACCTTACTGTACACTGCATGCCAAGTTTATAGGATAGTGTCCTCAGGAGGAGATCTGAACGAGGGGAGCTGGCACACTGCACTTGTATCTTCATGAAGTAGTGCCTGGTGAGTTCAGCATCAGGGACAGGCAACTATAAAGCAGCCATTTATTAAGTGCAAATTACGTGCATGACACTCTGCTGAATGCTATTAGAAACATAAAGATAAATGAGATATTCTCTTCCCTCATTCAAAATCTGCTTGATTCTGACTAAGATGAGGATACTTCTTAGTCATTCATTTGGGGCTGATTCAACTCCTCACACTCCCAATGTGATCTTGTTTAGTGTAAGCATTACCTTGAGCTATGTGCATCATATATGATCACCCAGTGGCTATTTGAGCATCAGCTTTGGTAGTAAGACGCTCAGATGAGAAATTTCAACATAGTTGGTGGGCCTCAAACCTGGTGCAATCTCACTGAACCACATAAGCAACTGAAGTGGCTAGATGGGCCTCTATATTTTTGGTATAGTTAAGCATCCCTCATCATTCCAGGCTTGGAATTTATCTAGATGATCAGGATCACAGATAATAAGCTCTCCTTTCATAACCAAAGACATGATTTCAGCATTTAATTAGATACTACTCTAGTGGGTATTAAGTTACCAATAATAATGAATTAGAAATACATAAAATACAAAAAAATTTGTCTCTCTAGGATATGTACGCTAACAGTGATATTACAAGTAATTCAAAAATAAACCATGCAGAGGAAATATTTCTCAAGCTTCATCTAAATTAACATTTGTTTATAATGAGGAGAGAGCTTTCTCCACTTCCCCAGCTCAAAGTGAGCCCTAAGGACTTTCGATACATCCCCCGGTGATTTAATTAAAAGATAAATGGAAGCTAGGAAATAGAAAGAATAACACTTCGCTGGAAAGAAAATGCAGAAATGAGAAGGGAGGACAGTCAAGAAGCAGAGGACAGGAATATAGAGCAAAAGCTTCAGTAGAGAGGAATTAACTAATAGAAAGTAACATAAATACAGGACTGGAGAAACATCACTTAAGACCTACCCAGATGGATGACCAATGCATCTTGAAACAACTTCAAAAGATTAGGAAAAATTATTGCTTTTAAAACATCAAAATTATGTCAATCTTTTTCATCTTTAATGATGTAATATGCTTATTCAGTTTCTGTTACTTTGCTTTCTGTTTCCTTACCTGCTTTGCAGATAAAAGCCAGCCAATGCGTAAACTCTAACCTAAAGTGATTCTGTGACTTCGCATGCACATACCCACGGGCTGAGCTGGGTGTGAGGCCTCAGCATGCACTTGCTTTGAGATGGAGATATGAGGTGGAGACATGAGGTGGGGCAAGGCCCAGGATGGCAGCCCCTTCAGGGCTGGGCTCCCGCCTTTTTAGGCCATTTGCTAAGTTAAATGCCCCTCACACCTTGGGACCACCTTGATTTCTGTAATTCCTTCACCCTCCAGCAGAGATCATAGGGCTGCCCTTGAGAGTGAGGGACAATCTAAGGTGAAGCCAGACTGGGCCTTCTTGGAATGTGACAGGCCACCTTCCAGCCACACGCAAAGCTAAGGAAAATAATCAACATTTCTCCAGGTGCCAAATTAAATCCACTTTACATGTGAATGAATGAAAACATTAATGACTGTACATATTTCTCAGTTTTGTTCAGTTTATTGTAAGTGACCTTTGAGGTAACTTATGAACACTTTGAGGACATCATTATGCCCTGGAATTGTGCTTAAGTCACAAAGGGCAACATTTAGATGATGATATTTATATCTAAGTAGCTCACATTAAAATTGTACCAAGACCATGTCATAAACTTTAAATTATACGGGAGTTTGTCTATTCATTGAAATGAACTCTATGCAACTTATTAATTTTTCTGACATTATTCAACATCCCATTACTGGTACATTTATGACTATAATAATTATCAATGCAGCATTGTTCTAATTCTATAATGTTTCAACTAGATTTCACAAACTAGCCAACTCTGCTGGGAATATTCAGTATTGTAATATTGAACATAAATAATTGTAGAGTTGGGATATGCATTAAAGGAAATATGTAAAGGAAAACATCACTCGGGATTATAAATAAGTATACAAATACATAGAAAACAAACAAAATGCCTCTCTAATGTCTCACAATACAAAGTATTGCCACACTCTCAATCCATAATTCCTAAAAAAGAATTTATGCTAGAAAATAGCAAAGCAAACAAAAAATTTCCAGAATCATCTACATGATTGCCTTTAAACAAGATTAGCCTGGGAATTCCAGCATTCTTGTACCTCCTGACTGTCAGCTCCATCCCCTGGACTCTGATGCATCTGTCTGGGTTCCTCCTTCCCGAGCAGTGGCCTGGAAAACTTTCTAAGGCAGTAAGCCAAGGCAACTGTAGGGCTCATCTAATTTGCTTCCCATGTCTCAGGAATCAGTGTCCTTATCACCTGATGCAGAGTACCTTAAAAACTTATTGTTTCACATACATTTTGCTTGGTTATTTTGTTGTTTCAGGAGGAAGGGTAAATCCAGCCTCTGTTACCCTGTCTTGGCCAGAGGTGAAAGTCAGAGAAGAGATGAAAACATGTATGGAGAAAATATTTACAAGAGTATAAAGATATGTAATTTCATTTTGAAAACTGTTAATCTTTTACAGATAAAACAGGTTTTAAGGCTTTTAATCATTGTCATACTTCTAAGACCAGAGGCATCTTTTTCAGTTTTTTTCAATGTGTTTTTAGAGATGGGTCTTGCTCAGTCACCTAGGTTAGAGTGTTGTGGCTTGATCATACTTCGCTGCAGCCTAGAACCCTGGGCTCAAGCAATCCTCCCACCTTAGCCTACTGAGTAGCTGGGATCACAGGCACATACCACTACACCTTGCTGATTTTTGTATTTTTGTGGAGATAAGCTGTTGCTATGTTGCTCAAGCTGGTCTTGGATTACTGATCTGAAGTGATCCTCCCACCTTGGCCTCCCAAAGCTCTGGGATTACAGGCATGAGCCACCATGCTCAGCCAGTTTTTTTTCTTTCTTTGTGGAATGGAATGAAAGAGGAAATCAGATGCCCTGTAGAAAATCAGGACATTTGGCCTGAAAGACCAAATGATTGCTCACTATGACTGTCTACATGAAAACCCTAGTAATGAGACAGAAACATTTGAAAAATGTCAGTAATGAAATTGATGATACAGTAATGAAATTGAAAGATGCTGATCAACAAAAAATTTTATTCAATATATACTTTTTGTATTTTGCTTTAAATGAAGAATACATTTAGAAAAGCATCTAAGAAGGCCAATGCAACTCTTCTGGGAGCTCTGACATCTGCCCACAATTAAGAAGGATATGGACAATATGCCATGAGGACTGTAAAACTAAGTTTGCCTGGTTAATTTTATGACAACTTGACAGGGTCACAGGATGCCCAGATATGTGGTTAAACATTATCTCTGGGTGCATCTGTAAGGTTGCCTGTGGATGGGATTAGAGTGTGAATTGGTGAACTGAGGGAAGCAGATGGCTCTCCCTGGTGTGGGTGGGCATTCTCCAACCCATTGAGGGCCCAAATAGAAGAAAAAAGCAGACTAAGGTCGGATTTGTCCTCTGTCTGACAGCTTGAGCTGGGGCATTGGTC
This sequence comes from Homo sapiens, assembly GCF_000001405.40. Lineage (NCBI taxonomy): Eukaryota > Metazoa > Chordata > Mammalia > Primates > Hominidae > Homo > Homo sapiens. The sequence continues at coordinate 57,513,504 of NC_000008.11, read as the reverse complement.
TTCTCTTCCCATGAAGCTCCTTATTCTCAGGTCTGAAGACCCAGAAATTTACAGAATTATAGGAATTTACAACTTTAATTTACAGTCAGCCCTTTAGCTCTCAGGCCTTTGCAATACACCACCAGCTTCCCTGTGTTTGCAGCTTGCAGATAGCAGATTGTGTCTTCTCTGCCTCTATAGTTGTGGAAATAAATACCTCATAAATCTCTCTCTCTCTCTTTCCATATATGGATGTATGTGTGTGTGTGTGTGTGTGTATTTCTACAGGTTCCATTTCTCTGGAGAAGCCTAAGTTAAAAATAAATACTAAAATGTCGATCCAAATAGTAGTCTCAAACAGGGTGAGGTCATTGAAAAAGATAAGGAGAAAAATTATTCTCAACACTTCTGCCCCTACTTTGCTATTTGGAGCAAAATGTATCAGGAAAATCTAGGCCCATCAACTTGGGGAGAGATGGAATGAAACCATAGTAGAAAAGCCTCATTCCCTCCAGAACACCAAGGGCTGCTCACAGGGGAGTCTGTTTTCTGTATTGCACCCCACGAAGTTATACAGGGCCACTTGTCATTTTTAAAGTTCTGTCTGCTCTGAAGCTGATGTGCAGGAGTGAATGGTTTTGTTAGTGAGCACATTAAGCCTTTCACTCATTCAGTAAATATTTATAGAGTGATGACTCAGTGCAACTGTGGGGTTCTCTACTCCTTATATCGAACACAGTTACTTGATGACTTTTTTTAAGAAACCTATTTCTTTGTGAAAAACAAAAATTAGCCCAGAAAAGAAGGCCTACTATTGGTGCTCATGAACTAATGAAAAGAAAAAAAAGTTAAAAACGTCTAAAAATGTGTTATGATAAGCCAGAAATTTATATTTTTGGATAAATTGAGGGAAGAATTCTAAACTGAATATTCCTCACATCTGTGGCATTAATCATCTACTTTTTATATAGATTTTTGTATCTGTTTCACTGGATATTTCTACCAGTACAAAATGTCTCCTCTGCTGAGACATCTGTAGTGAAGGCGAAATGAGTGAGGACATTTTATTCCCCAGGCTCCCTCCGAGGAAAAAATTCCTGTGTCGACCTAGAAGAAGGTCTTGGTGTGTCTCTGGAGTAGGATGGAAGAGGTAGGCCCATTCAGTTCAAAGGCCAAGACTTCAGAGGAGGGGAGAATTTCTCTTCATGAGACAAAGAAAGGCATTTTGTGGTTTTTCTCCTGAGTATGAAGATGGAGAGAAGAGAAAGAGGTAAGATAAGAGACAAAGAGTTGGCTGAGATGAATTGAGTGGCCAGTGAGGCATATCATGTTTTTATATTAATACTTAGCAATGTTAATGAGCTTCATTTCTATTATTTGGCATAAGCCATTTCTTAATTCCCACATGAAATCTTCAGGGCAGTCTACACTGCTCACAAATGGCTTATGTAAATGAATTCTTTCAGTCAAAGTTTGAGTTTCAATTTTAAAGTAGTGCAGCCCGAAGACAGTGTACACAGAAAAAACAGCTCAGGAGGCCAGGAAGGACATAAAAAGTAAACTTTTATTATTTGGAGAAATATAAAGGAAGGATTTTGTATTCCCATATGCTATGAGATTGACAGGGTTCTGAGGAAACTAATCTAGATTTCTGAATAATCAGAAAATTGCTTCAGAAAATTGCTCAGAAAATGCCAACCAGTATCAGAATTGCTTGTAAATAAATGTGATTCTAAAGAAAACTAGAACTCTGGAAAATATTTCTTTCATTTTTAACCGGATGTTCGAAAAGTGTTTATTTCCCATGAGTGCCAATAATGCCTTATACTTAAATTGTATTTTAGTTTCATTTTCTCAATAATAAAATGGGAAACAGACATGATTAAGAAATTCAAAATAGAAAAGGGTATAATAAAAAGTCACTACCTTTATTGAATCACCAAGACCTAAGCAAACACACCTAACAAATTTAAAATGTAAGCAAATGACTTTGTGGAAAAGTAATTTGTAATTTTTGAAAGATTATGGGAAAGAATCTCACAAACATTGAATCTGGAAAACAGAAGACCACAGATTGAAGTCTACCCTCCTCCAGGAAACTGTTAGAAAGTGTTAAAAGATCAATGATTTGAGAGGACATGAAGAAAACAATAATTACTAAGAATCTCTAAAAATGAACACTTTGGAAGAGGAAAGAGGATTAGCATTCTGGGACTCTTTTCTGACATTAATGTTTAAACAGAAAAATGAAAATCAGCCAAAAAAGATATATTTATTCACTTTATGTAATCATATTCTACCCTTAGATTGCAAAGGACTCAATTTTCTAATGGGAGATGAGGTCAGAGAACAAAGCTGAAATGTATACACATGGATCTCCTCCCACCTCTCCCCTTTCATGCAACTGCTCCTCAGTGTCCTGTCTGTCACTCTCACACCTGAAGTCCCAGATCTTCTGAAGCTCCTGCTGCTCTGAATGGATGACTATAATTCTTCTTGGAAAAGTCTCTCGTGGGTTTGGAAATGTTAGCTTCACAGAGAGGCCACGTATCGCTTCAGCCACTGCCTCTGTCAGAAGGGTCCTGCTGTGGACTGAGAAATCTTTTGATGCTCTTCAAGATTCTTTGTCTGCCCCAAAACAATCCACTTGGTCCTCACCTCCTGTCTTGCTTGCTACCCAGTGTGAGAGCACTTCGTCTGCCCTGAGGTCTGTCTGCCATGACTCCAGGCCTAGCCACCCACGAATGGCCAGTCTGCTGTATCCTGAAGCCCCCAGGTTGATTCCTCCCAGTCCACGACCACCTCTTGTACTCTGGCTGATTAGTTTAGGTGCTTCCCAGCATTGATCCAGGCCAGGTGTCCTGTGCTATGCCTCTTTTCACATAAACATATTGCTAGACCCATTTTGCCTAAGTCAAACACTCCCAATATCCTGGCCTTTGCCAGGAAACTGGGCTACTTAAATCCATCTACCTCCAGTCCTAATAGGAAACTATTTTATTTCCAACAAAAATAGGAAATGTAAATCATGTAGTATAATCACAGGTGGCAGTGAAAAATGGCTGTGACTTCAAGTCCCCTCTATTTTCCTGCATGGAACAAACTATATGGCAAATAATTTTCTAGAAATGCATCCCATACTCTTGAGGTTGAAAACTATTAGGCAAAATTTCAATATATGATTTGTGTTCTGTTAGAAAAAAAGGCAGATCATTTTCAGCTTCATTTTTGTGATGCTGCAGCTTAATGTAAATGCCCAAAGATCCTTTAGGATAAACACACATTTCTACTTAGAAGCCAACTGTATTTCACATTTATTTTTTTAGAAAGTGAGAAAAAAAGGAAAAACAAAGCACTCAAAATATTCATTCAGTTGACTATCTCAAATACCACCTCTACACCATTGTGTTTGAGTCAACACATTGTTCAGCATAGTAAGTTTAAATGCAGCATTCCCAAAATGGAATAAAATAAGGATGCTATTTTCATGGACTAATGTTAGGATACAGAACTATTTAACTTATCTTTTAAAAAATAATAGTATACAGGGCTGGGTGCGGTGGCTCACGCCTGTAATCCTGGCACTTTGGGAGGCTGAGATGGGTGGATTGCCTGAGCTCAGGAGTTCGAGACCAGCCTTGGCAACACGGTGGAACCCCATCTCTACTAAAATATAAAAAACTTAGCTGGGCATGGTGGCGTGTGCCTGTAATCCCAGCTACTTGGGAAGCTGAGGCAGGAGAATCATTTGAACCCGGGAGGTAGAGTTTGCAATGAGCTGAGATCACACCATTGTACTTCAGCCTGGGCGTCAAAGCAAGACTCTGTCTCAATAATAATAATAATAATAAATAATAGTATATAATACTGGAAACAAGTAAATCAGGTTTACTGTAGCTATGAATAAACACAAAACACCTATTAAATAAAATCCAAATAGGCTGTTACAGACATAGATGCCTTTTGTTCAAAACAAAAACTGAGCTTTAATTTCAAACATGTGTACACATAAAACACATGCATGTGCATGTATGTTCACACAAACATATTTAATGCCCCAATTTACTAGACTTGTGAGCTTGATTAGTAACATAGCATGACGATTCTCCCAAGTTCGCATACTTCGCTCATGAGCAGGGAGACATCATAATTGGCAGATGGAGTGAAAAGAAAGAGCCCTGATGACAGAACTGAAGAGCAAAATGTTCTACCATCTCCAGGTATCCCATCTCAGCACTTGGCTCTATTCAAATAAATATAAAAAGGTAAGCAAACTGTGTTTTTGTTTGTTTGTTTTTGAGACGGAGTCTTGCTCTTGTAGCTCAGGCTAGAGTGCAGTGGCACGATCTCGGCTCACTGCAACCTCTGCCTCCCGGATTTGAGCGATTCTCCTGCCTCAGCCTCCTGAGTAGCTGGGATTACAGGCGCCTGCCAACATGCCCGTCTAATTTTTGTGCTTTTAGTAGAGACGGGTTTTTGCCATTTAGCCCAGGCAAATTGTTTTAAAACTATGTGGCATTAGGCATTACCGCCAGCAAGGTTCTTACCTCTGGCTTCACTTTAGAATCAACTAGGATGCTTCGAAAAAATACCTGACTCAATATGATCAGTTAATTCAGACATGTTTTTAAGGTCAGCCTAGGGATCAGTATTTTTAAGTTTCCAAATGATTCTATGTAGTGATGGCTGAAAGCTACACTAAATTTATCAGGTATGTTTAATTTGCAAAGCAACAGCCAGGCTGTGCCTTCCTCATATCCTCCCACTCAATTAAGAATGTCAGAAAAATGCTTGTTTCATAAGCAATAACAAAACAAACAAAAGACCTATCCACAAGAGTTCAGCCATGTATACACATGTAATAAAATTACTTAGAGTTAAAAGTGGAGGGAGATTTAGAAACTATGTGCCCGCTCCTATAAGGTACAGATGAGAAAACTGAAGTTCTAAGCTGGAATGCCTCGGATCAGGTCCCACAACAAATGAGTGACAGAACCAGTGCCAGAAAAGAATTCCTAAGACCCAGTGCAAAGTCCCTACTGTCTTGGGACCTTTATCTTTCCAACAGATATTTACTATCTACCTGTATCATATGTCAGACTCTACCCTAGGCACCAGGGTTAGAAAAGTGAACCAACTATAGCACTTATCCTAAAGGATTTATTGGTAGTGGGGAAAACAGTTTGAAAAGAGATTTTTTTAAATTATCAGTGAAATAGTAGAGGAGATACCAAACATAAAACAGCTAACTTTAATTCATAGCTTTCTATGTTCCAGGCACTGTTCTAAGCAGCTTAGATGGATTCTCTCATTTAATCCTCACAATGATCTTTAGACCCATGTTTCTTAAGCTTTCACATGCATGAAAATCTCCTTGAGACTTGGCTAAAATGCAGGTTCTAATTCAGTAGTTCTGGCGTGAAGCCTGAGAGTCGACTTTTCTAAAAAGTTCCCAGTTGATGGTGATGCTGCTTCTTGACCTCTCCTTGAGTAGTTGGTTCAGGCACTGGTTCTCAAGCTTAGCTGCACGTTACATTCCCCTGCAGTTGGGGAGAGTGAAACACACTGGTTTCTGGACCCCATCCCAAAACAAGAAAATCCCAACCTTCAGAAGGAGAGCCCAGGCATCTGTATTCTTTAAAGTGATGATTTGCAAGGAAAGCCAGGAGTGGGAACCACTTCCTCTCACTCACCACTACCTTTCCCCATTCTATAGGTAAGAAAACTGAAGCTTCTTAAGGGTCAATAAATTGCCTGAGGTCACACAGGACTCGGAAGTGCTAGGCTTGGGATTCAAATCTAGACAATTGATTTGCTAGGCCCATGCGCTTAGCTACTGTACTAATGCTTTCCTTTTTATATTCTATGATACTAGAGCATTGGGTTTTGAAAAAGAAAATGCAGCATCATCACTTTTGACCAGTGTTGATTTGCTGTATTTTTATATTCGAGTAGCAAAACTAGTGAAGATTTTATTAGAATTGGGATTATAATAATGTATCATCTTCCTCAACCCCTGAAAAAATAAGAAAATGTTCCCATAACATGTATGTGGGTTTTCAGCCTCTCTGTGTGAGATGAGGCTGGGAGACACCTGAGGATGATGATGATTTGAGGAATAAAGGGAGGACTCGAGAAAGACCTTTTGAGCAATGTCCCCTTTTGCCTTAATCATTTTACAGAAAGCCACCGATTACTTTACTGGTCAATCATACTTTAAAACTAATTTTCTTATAAATTTACTGATTTATAGACAAATCATCATAAAAGACCACTAACGACAATTAAGTTGATCCAACTGTGAATAGCCATTACACACAGCATGTGAGACCTTCGACTTCAATAGCCTTTAAGCTTTTGTATTACAGCATCATAAAAAAAAATCAAATCACATATTTTTGTCCTAAGAAAAGCTAATATGTGTTGCTTACAGTAGTCTATTTTATCTCATGATGTGCTAAAACAGACATGTCTCTATCACAAAAGCCTAAAGAACTCTCTCTTCCAGATAAAATTTGATGTTCTTCAAGACTTTTAAAATCTGAAAGCCAAAGAATGTAAGGTTCTAATTTCAAAATGAGATAGGTCACTCCTAAAGTAAAAAAGGAAATAATTATCAATATTATAAAGACAATTTTTCTATTTTGTTAGCACCAGGGTCTTATCTATCAGCTTCCAGTGAGTACAGAATGAAAATTCAAGTGTCCTTCCCAGCCAGAATTCTTTTGAGACCTGATTTCCATGAAAGTCTAAAGCAGCTAACATTTCCAGTTGGCATAAAGAGAAACTTCTGGAATCCACAGTGGTATACCCCAAATTTAACTTGGCTCTGTGATTATCATCTGAATGATGAAATTCTGTTTTAGCTGTCAATATAATATTTTGAACCTAAAGAAAATTATACCTATATTTTTACCATCTTTCATTTATTCAGGCATGGAATGTCCAAAAATATTATTTTCACAGAGATACAATTTTCTATCTTCCCCCATGATTATTAGTTTGATGAAAACATTGTTGAAGAGCAATGGATTAAAAAATAGTGTCTTAGTTGCTCCTCCAAAATTCTTTTCTGTTCCACTTTTTAACTAGTTCAGATAAAATAAGTTGAAGACATTGATGTTTTGAGTTTTAGACAAAAATTCTTTCAGCAACAACAATGACTAAAGAAAGGGGTGATAATAGCAAATAAGCCAATTAGAGAAAGGGAAGATACACTCAAAAAAGACACACATGCATGCTGGAAATTCCTCTCCATGTGTCATCAGCTTCCTACAACCTTAGTGAATTTCTTTGACCGTCCAAAGACTATAGAAACTTCCTGTTCTGCCAGGATGGAGTAGCCCTCTTCCTCCCCTGTGCTCCCTCATACAACTAGAAAACCTAGATAACACAACAACAAGCCTTTTGAAGATGAAAAAAGAAGAAAGTAGGCTGCTTAGGGTCATCGGGACACAAATAATGACCTGGTATTGAATCTCCTGTCCTCCTTATCACCTCCCATATATCTCCAAGAGGGTGTTACAGAATTGCCAACCCAGAACTACCAGCAGCACACACAGAAAAGCACGATAAAAAGTAAAAAGCTCCAAGAAAACCTAACAACCAACAATCTTTGGCCATATGCATTGGGAAGGCCCAGCCCAGGCAACTCTGGGTGACAGCAGCCTGCCTGTCAAAACCGAGGAGGTGATTCCACCCTTTGAAACCAAGATAGAAGTGCCTTGCTCCCCAGGCCTGGGCACTCTGGGCCTATGGTGGGAGTGGCATTTCCTGTGATCTCTGAATTGTCTTCATGGCCTTTCTTCCCTTTCTTTGAAAAATAGTGCATGTTCATGGCCAAGTAGCTGTCTTGGTCCCATTCTGTAAAATCCAAGATGTTCCGTAGCTTTCTCATTTATCTCCTTTAGTTCCCATTAGCCTCCCATGCCCATCTTCTTTAGTTCAAACTGGCAGTGTTTCTGCTTGTCTAATTTCATAACCTCTTTATCAGGTAACAGTCTAGCCACACCCTTGGTGTAATCTCTTCAGAACACTTTCTCATTTTTACAATATGGGCAGACTGAGAATTTTACAGATCTTTAAGTTATGGTTCCTTTTTGTTTAACAAAGCCTTTTTCAATTCACCTCTCTCTTTTGGCATTTCACTATGAGCAGTCAAAAGGACCCAAACCACACCTTCAATACTTTGTTTAGAGATCTCCTCTGCTAAATGTTCAGTGTCATTACTTGCAAATTGTAGCTTCCACAAAACACTATAACACAATTCAGCCAAGTCCTTTGCCATTTTATAATAAGAATTCCATTTCCTCCAGTTTCCTATAACCTGTTTCTCATTTCCGTCTGAAGCATCTCCAGAATTGCTTTAACATACATATTTCTACCAACAGTCTGTTCATTATTATTTATGTATTATCTAAGATAGACGCTTTCTCTTCAGCTTTCTTCTTTTCTTTCTAAGCCCTTGCCAGAATTAACTTCAATTTCCATATTTCCACCAACTACCCTTCATGGCAATCTAGGCTTTTTTAAGCATGTACCTCAAAACTCTTCCAGCCTTTATCCATTACCCAGTTCCAAAGATTCTTCCACATTTTTAGGTATTTGGTACAGCAGCACCCAACTTCACAGAACCAAAATCTATGCTACTATGTTCAGGCTACCATAACAAAATGCTACAGATTGCATAGCTTAAACAACAGAAATTAATTATCTCACTGTTCTGGAAGCTGGATAGTCCAAGATCAAGGTTCAAATAGAATTTGGTTTCTGGTGAGTACTCTCTTCTTTGCTTGCAGACAGACACCTTTTTGCTGTTGCACATGGCCTGTCTCTGTATGCGCACAGAAGACAGTTCATGTGAGGATACAGTGAAAAGGTAGCCGTTTACAGCATACCCTGCCTGAACATTGATCTTGGACTCTCCAGCACTCAGAACAGTGAGAAAACTAATTTCTGCTTTGAGGTCATGTGGTCTGTGGTATTTTGTTATGGCAGCCCAAGCAGACTAATATACTCACCCTACTCCAGCCAAACACCAATGGAAACACACCCCTCTTCTTAGGAGTGCCTAGTGAGAAGCTGATCTTCCACACACATCCTCAATTCCACGGAAGGGGTGGTACATTCCAGTCCCCTCACTTGGTGGTATCAGTTAGGCTTAGGTGGGAGCTGATCTTCCATACCCAGGTGGTGATAATAGATGACAGCAATCTGATTTCCCAACTGGGGAAGTATCTCTGTAGGAGACCAGCAGCTCTTTTATCTCTCCCCCGGCAAAAGCCAACCATGTTCTGATTTTCCTACCAGGTTAGTGTCAGTGGGGTCCACCAGCAAGCTGAGACTCAGGAAGACTAAATCAGGTGGCTTAAGTGAGAGCTGGTCAGCACTACCTTTCCAAACTGCCCAACTTGTGTCCAGCAGGGCCTGTGGGGAGCTGGGCCTCACCCCAAACTGGCATTGCAGTAGAAGGAGGTTGTGGGGGGCAGGGCTAGTTGGCACTCTGCTGCTTTCCCCACTCCCCTCCACTGATGTCAGTGGGGCAAGGGGGGAAACTAAACTCTCACTCCACTTGTTGCAATTAGGCAATGTGTGAGCCCCGCTTTTGCTAGCGTGGTGTCAGCAGGGCCCAGCAGGAAGCTGAACATATACTCCTACTTTGCCTTTGGGCTTTAATTCAACTGCTTGCTGAAAAAGATTAAGTAGAATCCAGATTATCATAAAATAATATCCAGAATGCCTAGGATTCAATGGGAAATTACATCATAACAACAACCAGGATAATCACAGCCTGAATGAGAAAAGGCAATCAACAGACACTAACACTGAGATGAATCAGATATATGAATTACGTGGCAAGGTGTTTAAAGCAGTTGTCATAAAAATGCTTTGAAAAACAATTACATGCTCTTTTGAAATGAATAAAAATAGCAAACCTCTGTTAAAATATTAGAATTACAAAAAAGAACCAAATGGAAATTATAGAACTGAAAAAATTTAATAACCAAACTTTTTCAAAAATATTTCTAGATGAACTCATTAGTAGGGTGAATATAACAGAGAATAGAATTAGTAAATTTGAATATTGATCAGTAGACTGTACCCAATCTAAACAACAGAGAACACAGGCAATAAAAATAGTCTCAGGGACCAGTGGGACAATAATAAAAGAGTTATCATTGGTAATTTCAGAGTCCCATAAAAACAGGAGAAAGACATTCAGACTGAAAAAAATGTTTACAGAAGAATCGATACAAACTTCCCAAATTTGGTGAAAGATATTATATCTACACATTCAAGAAACAGAAAATTCCAAATAGGTTTAATCCAAAGAAATCCATACCAAGAAACATCATAATTAAACCTCTGTAAACTAATGACAAATTAAAAATTTTGAAATCAGCCAGAGAGAAACAACACGTCATTCATAGGACACCAATTCAAATGGCAGTGAATTTCTCATCAGAAACCACAGAGGCCAAAAGGAATTGGCACAGCAGTTTTCAAATACTGAAGTAAAGAACTGTCAGCTGCAAGTACTATATCTGGTGAAAATATCCCTCAGGAATGACAGAGAAATGAAAACATTCTCAGATGTAGAAAATCTAAGAGAATTCGTTGCTAGCAAATAACTGTAGATGAAGTTTTCCCTTGCCTTTCTCTGCTTTTTATGATTAACTTTATGCTTGCTATTGCCTTCTCTTCCAAATCGTCTCATTACTAAGAAGTCAGAAAGCTGCAAGGAGTTATGCAGGTCATTCTATATTTGTACAATAAACATCTGTTTAGCTTCCAGAATTACCATGGGACAAAAATGATGCCTAAGCAAAGTATTTGTTTGACTGCCATTTGGCTTTTTATACTTTGCTTTTGGAAGCACATTTGTAGCTATTGAAATCAAATCTTTGGTAGGTAGATTAGAAACTTTATAATCTAAAAGTTAATCTATAAAGAATGCTTAAGATTCTGAAACATACCACCTGTCTTTTGATTTTTGTTTTAACACCACTCTCATTATTATTTAAAAATAAAGACTTGGGCTTAGCAAAGAAAAGGTGCAGAGTAGCAACTTGGAGAGAGGGTGAGGTTCCCACACCTGTGGTTAGTGGTAACGATAGACAAATACTCAGATGAAAGTAACCTAAATCAGAACAAGATATGTATAGGCAAACCTAATCATGGATGAAAGAGAAGGCTTAGAAGAAAGAGGAAGGCTTAGAAGAAAGGTGTAGCCAAAGGCTGCTAGGGTCTGGCTTGGCCAGTAAGGTTGACATCACCTTGCCATCCTCACACATGGGAAAGCACACACCACATTTCCTGCCTGCCCCCAACCCCACACACAGAAACACACATGCACACAGAACCACACACACAGACACACAAGGCTTACCTTCATGATATCTGCCTAAAGGAAAGGTTCCTTTAGGAGATATATCCAAAGAGGAATGCTCATTTTATATCTATCTCCTCTGTGAAAAAAAAAATCTTATTCAGACCAAAAAGTATATTCCTCATATTCCTCTCAGCCCCATCCTGAAAAAAAATGTAAGTGGCTGATGCTGCCTGCAACCTAAGCTTCTCTAAATTCTGGTTTAAGAGCTTATGAGGCTGTCCATGTCCTTTGGGACTGTTGTTGCCCATCTCTTACTCTGTCTTCATCCAAGTATGACGATCGACTCGCCTTTGTCCTTAAAATGTTCATTATTTCTGATATGTTGTGGGGTTTAGATGAGAGCTGGCCCTTTTCTTGGGGTTATCTTTACCCTCTGTGGCATCATGACTTCAGGTACCAGGCTGGGATCTACCCTACGAAAAGCATCACAATCTGTTTATGGAAGGTTATGAAGGATTTGAGATGGAGAGCAGTGTAAACCAAACATAAAATCCTAAGCCCCCTCAACCAACTGAACGGACCCCTTCTGGGCCAAGGGAATCCTGAAACACTGAGTTCCAGCCATGATGGGAAGGGAAGTTTGACATGCCTCCTTATACCCTCTCCCTTTGGGGTTTAGGCTCAACTAACCATCACTAACATTAAAATAGAGATCATAAGACTGACAAAACACAAGGTTCTTTGTGGCAATAAGATATCAAATTTCAACGTGACTCTGGTATAGCATCACTTGCTCTCTGAAAGCTACTACATATGAGACTTCATCTACGAAATGAAGGCCTTGGCTTACACAACCCCCTTATCTTAGCTCAAGCTAGTGACTTCTTAAGTCTTTAGATAAAGCTTAACCCTTTCAACCAATTGCAAGTCAGAAAATCTTTGAATCTGCCTATGAACTGTAAGTGCCCCCTCAAGATATCCCACCTCTTTAGACTGAACCAGTGTACACATTCCAGGTATTGATTTATGTCTTTGGTTGTAACTCCTGCCTCCCTAAAATGTATAAAACCAAACTGTAACCTGAGCACTTTGGGCACACTTTCTCAAGACCTCTTGAGACTATATCCTGACAATGGTCACTCATATTGGCTCAGAATAAACTTCTTTAAATATTTTACAGATTTTGGCTTTTTCATCAACAGCAACATGACCAGAGAGGAATCATATGCTTCCTAGGCATGCAGCCACCTGAGCCATGTGAATTGTAACAGCAGACACCACAATAAGGCTCTGAAACCCAGTGGTTCTCAGTGTGTGGTTCCTGCTCCAGGATCTCTGGTGTCTTCTTGGGAACTTACTAGAAATGCAAATTCTCATACCACTTTCCAAATGCCTGAATAAGAAACCAGGCATGGGACCCAGTTTAATAAGCCCTCCAACTGTTTTTGTTTTTGTTTTTTTTTTGAGACAGAGTCTCGCTCTGTTGCCCAGGCTGAAGTACAGTGGCATGATCTCAGCTCACTGCAACCTCTGCCTCTCAGGTTCAAAAGATTCTCTTGCTTCAGCCTCCTGAGTAGCTGGAATTACAGGTGTGTGCCACCACGGCCGGCTAATTTTTGTATTTTTAGTAGAGATGGGGTTTCACCATGTTGACCAGGCTGGTCTCAAACTCCTGACCTCAAGGGATCCTCCTGCCTTGGCCTCCCAAAGTGCTGGGATTACAGGGGTGAGCCACCACACCCAGCCCTGACTGTTTCTGATCACCTGCAGTGGTTTCCCTAAGAACCACTGCCTAATGCATGTTTCCCCTATGCTTGTGGTGGGTCTTTACCATACAGACTCTCAGACCCCTTGGCAGAATCTCTTGATTTAGTAGTCCTGGGTAGGATATAAGAATGTGCATTTTTCACATGTGTCTTGGGTGATCTTTACCATTAGGCACAATTTGAGGACATTGCCCTTTCCCTTCCTTGAGAGCTGTGTGTATCTACATCACCCACTCAGTCATAGTTAACAAATATTTATCAGTTATTTTTATGTAGAATAAATGTTTTAAATCAAAGTGCTAAAGGTTGCTTTATTTTGTTACTAAATAATATTGGTCATCATTACTATGCTCTCATTTTTTTCTTCATTAGTTGTGAAGAAGGAAAGATTCTTGGTACCCACTTTCTCCAAGTTCTTATGGGTGAGAAGGAAGGCTATAGACAGCTCAAGCACGTGTCTCTTTGGAACATCAGCCTGATAGGACTTACAGCAAAAAGAAAAGCTGATTTTGTAAACATCCAGTTTTAAAGTTACATATATTTTTAAGCCTAGACCATTTTCACACATCAATTACAAAAAGATGATAGCATATACAATTACAGAAAGCTTACCTACCATTCTTGCATCAATTTGAGCCGAAATTATTTTCTAGCCAAAACAATTCAGTGTCTATCATCTAAACTCCTTCTGTTTCAGTATTAATGAAAATTCAGTAAATGTCTCAACTACAAAAAAGCTCATATCTCTTTCTTTGCTATACCATCTAAAGGTCCATATTCCAACTGCATCTCTGTTTCTACCAGATAGGTATAAATACAGAGAAAAAGTAATTTTCAGTATAGTATGCTAATGAATCCATGCCAGAAATCTAATTATCCTCTAGTGAACTAGTTTAAGTACTTTTCAAGAAGGATACAATGAAACTGAAATAAACATTTGTTGACCACATCCATCAACTTTGTTCATCTCTCTTAACATCAGCAATTACTTATTCTCCCTGAACCACATTATCATAATACTGACCTGGCTCTGCAAAGGGATGATTTATTTTGTATATTCTAATAGATGAGCCTGAAGCATGCAGGCACCTGACTAAATTTTGTGGTGATGTTTGCTGCATTTTGAGTTAGAAGACTTTCCCTAAGAGTAATCATTCTTGTGCAAACAGGGATAATCCCTGGGAGTCCTATGTAGGGGTCCTGTCAGGCAAGAAAGCAGCAAGCAGAAATCAGGCAACAAAGGATATTTGAGTTAATGTAAAACATATCAGAGACTCATCTGCATCTATAATGGCCTATAGAGAATGCCATGACTTGGGAGAAGGTAGATGGGCTGTCCCTCTCGTCAGTCCACCGACACTTCTGTAGCAATAAGCTGCCATCCACAATGTCTTTTTTCTATTAATGCTGACTGACATTGTTTTGATTTTAGACACGCTTCACCCAAGAGAAAATGCTTAGTGAGGGTTCACAAGCGGGACCAGCTACACAAATTGCAGGGCCCACAGCAAAATAAAATTGTGTGAGCCTTGTTCAAACATTAAGAATTTCAAGATGGCAGCAGTTGAGCATCAAAACAAGTACAAGTTCATTCTGAGGGCAGGGCCCTGGTGCCGGCCCAGGTCACAGGCCCAGGAAGCCAGTTTGGGTCACAGCATGTGTTACTAGAACACGACACTTCCAATGGATGACTGTATTGTCACAATAAGTCCCTGTCTTTTTGGATGCCTTTGAGCATAACCATATAAAATTAATTTATTAAGACTTAGATTGTTATATATTTTGTCACTTTCTACTACCAACAACAGGAAAAGGATTGGAAAGACAGCACAGACTATAACTGGCAGTTGGTATGACAGCCGATTAACTGATACTGAAGGCTTGGAGGAGCATATGTTATCAGAGATGGCTATGGCGTTTCTTGGAGAAAAACGGTACAAAAGTCAAATCTGGAACATGGTGTTTGTATCACACAATAATTGACCGTTCAGGAAATCACGTTATTCTCTTCTATTATTTGTTTCTATGTGTTTGTTTTTACTAGATAACTGTGGAAAAGTGACTTAATTTCAACTTTTTTAATACTCAATTTTTTTTTTTATTTTGTAAAGCTTACAACATACCAGGAAGTGGCAGTTACATAAAAAGCAAAAAAGGGGGGCCGGGCGTGGTGGCTCACGCCTGTAATCCCAGCACTTTGGGAGGCGAGGCAGGCAGATCACGAGGTCAGAAGATCAAGACCATCCTGGCTAACACGGTGAAACCCCATCTCTACTAAAAATACAAAAATTAGCCGGGCGTGGTGGCGAGCGCCTGTAGTCCTAGCTACTCGGGAGGTTGAGGCAGGAGAATGGTGTGAACCCGGGAGGTGGAGCTTGCAGTGAGCCGAGATCATGCCACTGCACTCCTGGGCAACAGAGTGAGACTCTGTCTCAAAAAAAAAAAAAAAAAAAAAAAAAGCAAAAAAGGCTTACAAACTAAAAATAGGAGAGATGCTCGTTACCCGATTTCTCCTAATTATTCTGTCTTGCCATTGGTATTATTAAGTTCATATTTTCATTATGAATATTTGTATTAGAGCTTTTTCTTTTGTGCTTCCAAAATATCATTTGCAAAAGGGGGAAGTATTCATCCACAATGTTTTCTAAGTTGTATCTTTCCTGTCAGTTTTCAAAGAATGATTTCAAGATTAACTTAACAGAACTACATGGTTGGAGAAACAGTTCAAACTTTTAATCTTACTGAGAATCAATTATTTTTAAAGACACCTTACATCTCTCTGTAAGTGATGGGGCATTTGGGCTTTCTGTGCCAAATATTTCCCCCCTTATCCTCTCCTGACCCAAAAGTTGTCCAGCCCTCTTGTTAGCAGGTGGTTTCTTGTAATATCCAGCTGTTGGAATAGATCCCTGATGGTATGAGAGCCCTTGCTAAATTTTTGGTTACTGAAAATGGTGTCCAGAGTGATCCTCAAATGTGAAGGTTGGTGTCACCACCTGGATTGTGTTTCCAGATGCTCCACTTGTCAGATGACCAAGGAAGAAGCTGGAGGAAGGGAAGAACACCCTGGCACCTGCAGGAAAGCTCTGTGGCTCTGTGATCTTCCTCTTTGCTTGAATAAATACATTTGATCAAGCCCTTTCTGAACATGTCTTCAAGGCAAAAATTTTCAAACATCATATTCTTTTATTCGTTTATTCATCAAACATTGAACATGCAAGTGTGCTCAAAGCACTCTGCATTCTGGGTAGAGAAATAAAAAAGTAAATACTCTACCCTGAAATAAATTCTTATGTACCACAAGATTAACCAATAAAAAGATGTACATGGGGTAAGAGCTATGGTCAACAAAACTCACTGTAAGTGAGAGCAGAAGGTATTAGGGAAATGTCCCAGCTGAGTCTGGAAGGACAAGTGGGAATTATGCAGGTGAAGGGGGCAGTTCCTGGTGGAAGAACTGAGCAGGACTGGGGAGTGGTGTGAGATGAAGCTTAGCAGGTAAAAAGAGCCCAGACCATGGGAGCCTTTAATGTCCTGGTAACATATTTTTATTTTATCCTGAAATAATGAGGTACAACTGAGGAATTTCAAGGAGTAACTGAGCATATGTCACAGGCATGATTACTTTTTGACAAAGTATAAGCCTAGCATATTCAGTGTCATCTAATTTGGAGTTAATTAAGAGGAAAGGAAGCACTCTAAGATGGTGGTTTCACAAATGTGTCTTCACATTGAAATCTCCTGGGAGAATTTCAAACTGATGTCTACATCCCATTCCCAGAGGCTGAGCCACACTGTATCCTGGTCTTTGGAATTGTAAGATACTCAAGTGATTTTACTGTACAAGCAGACTTGGCAACCATTGTCTAAAAAAATATGTAGAATTAGAAGAGAAAACGGGTGAGGAAGAACCATAGTAAAAGTGTTGGGTGAACAAGAGGAGCCTGCCAAGGAGAATAAGAGGAAACATTATGGTGGAAGAGAACTGGGGAAGTGTAGTTTCCTGGAAAGTGGAGAAGGGAGATGCTGGATGAAAGGGTAATCAAAATAAGAAGATGGACAAGTGATCACTGGATTTGGCATACAGAAGGAGTTGGAAGGCTTCACAAGGGCAGTTCCAAGCAGAGAAGGCAGACTGCAATGAGTTTTTGAGTGAATGAACAATGAGAAGGTTTTCAACAACTTGCTTACAAAGAAAAAATTTCCAGTAGTAGAGGAAAGATGGATCTTCTCTCCTTCAATATTACTAATATCCTTCAGGGTTAGCCATAACATATCTTCTCTATACTTAACCCTCTACCCAAATGACTCCCATCAACCGCTCTCTGAAAACTGTTAAATAAAATTTTCTTCTTGATAGCACCAATGTATGCTGACACATTTAAAAGTGGCCTCTACTATTAGAACTTCATTCTCAGCCTTGCCTTCCTGGTGGGAAATATAACTATTATGGTTGGAGAAGGTGGTTAGATTTTGGCACGTAGAAATGGAGATCAACTTGTGTGAGCTTTCATTTTTATATGAGTTTTCTGTTGCCTTGGAAACCATGGTCTTTGTGGAAAAAGCAATGTATTTTGTGGATAGATGAT
Organism: Homo sapiens; assembly: GCF_000001405.40. Lineage (NCBI taxonomy): Eukaryota > Metazoa > Chordata > Mammalia > Primates > Hominidae > Homo > Homo sapiens. The sequence goes on along the minus strand of NC_000008.11, from coordinate 57,495,838 downwards.
CAAGAATTCAGGTATGCTCTGTATAAACATTGTGCATCTGTGTGAAGAAGCATTGGCCATGCTTTGTTGGCAAGAGGGCCAGAATTTGGTTTTGGTATATGTCACATGTCTCCTAAAGCATATTTGCAAAATGTTTCTTGGGCAGAACAAATATTATAAGGAACATAACTTCATGAGTTTTTCTTTGAACACATGCCTCACAGAAAGTACAGCCAAAAGTGGAAAAGTGACCCAAAACTTAAGCCACATACTTGTCTTTCATTCATTATTTCTGAGTATTCTAAGATATGTGAATATTGCATTTGTTCCATCTTCATTACTATTAAACTTGCAGGTTCATGTCATAGAGTCACAGCTACCAGCCAATAGGAACCTGATGATTTTATCCCTAAGGGAAACAGAGCATTTAGGCGCCTTGAGGAAAGATGGAAAAATCATAAACCACAGTGGCTATTATGCACTTCAGAAATCAAAAGGCTTTTCCTGTAAATTGCTTTGAGGAATTTTGAAAAATAATCATTAAAAAACAGCAATCTTAAAGGCCCCAACCAGCAATAGGGTCAAGTTGGTCATAGACTTTAATTTACAACTTTCCCTTTTGAAGAAACGAATATTCTTCATAAATAAATTTAAGATGCTTTTTGGGACACTTCTCCAGCATTTGCACAATAAATATTTGTTAAGTGATCATTTTGTTCTTGGTCTAAAAATACAGGAATCATAAGACATCATTCTTTCTCTTGATAGGCTTACAGTCTAGTAGGGGACAGATATTTATAAGTTAGTAAATCTAGTTAAGTATAGATAGGCTACATAGTGGTTCATAGGCAACAGTGGTCAGTTCAACATGGGGAAATATAAAATAATAATTATGATAGGAAAAGCAATAAACTTAAAACAAGAGATGTTCCTTAAAGTGAATTTCTAAACTTGTAAAGTCTTCACCTGTGGGCAATGGACAAATGGACCAAGGATTTTTGCCTCAAACTGTACTACCAGCTATCCATCTCTCAGGCATTGAGCATTCTAAGAGCTTGGTACCTAATACCACTCAGACTATGATAGAACCATTTCATCATTAGGCCAGTCTTTTATTAACAGGCTCCCTGGTAGCCTGAAGTACTTAAAGTATTATACTTCTTTAAATGCCAGTGATCAAGGGCAGTTTCTTGGAACCGCCATTGTGAGGCCACCCAAATCCTTCTGTATGCCAAATCCAGTGGTCACCTGTTCATCTTCTTGTTTTGATTACCCTTTTATTCTGCATTCCTTCTTCTCCTCTTTCCAGGAAACTGTACTTCCCCAGATTTCTTCCACCATAAACTTTCCTCTTATTCTCCTTGGCTCCTCTTGTTCAGCCAACACTTTTACTATGGTTCTCTCCTCACCCATTTTCTCTTCTAATCCTACATACCTTTTTAGACAATGGTTGCCAAAGCTGCTTGCACAGTAAAATCACTTGAGAATCTTACAGTAATTCCAAAGCCCAGGACACACTGCAGCCCGGTCTCTGGGGATGGGGATGCAGAAGAGAAGCTTATTCAACTGATGGCATCTAACCAGTTAAAAGTATCTGGTGACAATTTGTATTATACATCCATCTCAGCTGTGTAAACTCCCTATGATCTCCTTTTTTTTCCCAAAATAAGTGAATTTCCTATTTTTTATTTGCTCTATTTGTTTTATACTCTTCTAAAGAATGATTATGCATATAAATTTTCTCAAGATTTGTCAAATAAGGAAGTATTTCCACTGGGAAAAATAACATATATAAGAAAAAGTCAGGTTACTACAAAGAAGTAGAAAGATTTTTTTAAAAAATCACTTCCACTTTATTGTCCTAACATCTTTCTCTTTTGGATAACTGCACATAAGGTCCTCTGTGTGCAGATACATTTGACTGTTGTTTTGTTTATTGTTTAATTTGTTTTGGTTTGTTTCTACTATCAAGGAACTTAAAATAAATCAAATTATAAATAGATAACTCCAGAAAGAAAGATAAGTAGCATATAGAATGTGGAAGTGGTGAGAAGACATGAGTCAGTCAAGAAAGCTCCTAGCTCCTTGGAGGAAAAGTATGTTGATTAGAATTCAAATAAAATAGAAGAGAAAGACTTCTGGTTTTAAAGTAACACAAAAGCACAGATTTTGCACCCTCCTGTCTTAGAATTATCTCAATGCAGTAAGTATACAGAACAGGATCTCCGACTTCAATAAAACTGGAGACATTTGTTACTTCAAACTATAATATGTAAAGCAAGTAAAGAAGTAGAAACTGAGTTAGCAGTGTGCAAAAAAAAAAAAAAGGAAATGTAAGTCTTGCAGAGAGGAAGACTGTTATAAAACAAATAATTAAACTCATGAAATTTGTTTAGTCTTGGGAATTGGAAGCACATATACCATGGAAGGTGGAGTGAAGCAAGGGCTGGAAACGGCAATTGGTTGAAATTCTATGTGAGGGTTGGTTTTTTTCCCACCCCAGTCTGCACAGTCAGCAAGGAGAACCAAGTGATACATGGACAGCGGGAGGAAAAAAATCAATAAAAAATTCAACAATATTTGATCCAAAGGTATTATAGCAGAAGAAAGAGAATACAGAACATTGGAAAGAAAATTTCCAGTGAAATAATTAAAGAAAATTACCAACATTGAAAGTATGACTGACTCATGAAATTTTAGAACACTGGGGATAAATAAAACTCTGAGTGTTGATAGAGAGAATAATAAATAAATACCACAAAATGAGCTTTGGAAATAAGAAAGACGTTCAACTTCTTAGTAGAATATTGGATGCTAGTAGATGATTGAGTCATATCATTAAATTCTTAGTGAAAATAATTTTCAAACTAAAATTGCTACTCACCTGTGAATGAAGCTGAGCTATCAGACCAGCAATGTGTAAAACATTGAACCTCTCATCCTCCTGTTCCTTTTCTCAGGAATCTACCAGGGCATATGCTCTCTCACTGACCTGATCAAATAAAAACAAGGTAAAATGAGAACAGCCTGGTGTTCAGGAGCTGAAGAATAAACACCGAGCAGAAAGCGAGGGGGCCCGCAGGGCACTGGAATGACAGACTCTAGCATCACTGTGCGGTGGCCCAGAGCACTGACACTCAGGCTTTCTGTGGAGAAGGAACCATTTTTGTTTTGTTTTATTTTCCATCCCACCAGAGGCAGATACTTTTGTAAGACAATAAAAATAAATTTTGAGAAAATCGTCTTGATTTAGGGTAATGAGACAATATCAATTGCTATAAAAATTTCTAAAACTTAATTTCTGTACTGATTTTATTATGGTTGGGGGCAAACAGTCCTCTCACTGGAACTGGCATGAACATATTACTGAAAATATGAAAGTCAGTGCCAGGAAACCCATAGGTAAAGCGATGCCACTGGGGATAGGATGGAGAGTAAGAAAGGGCTGGCAGGAATGAGGCAGGGGCCACATGTATTTTTCGTATATGACGTTTGTCCCATTAAATGTCAGCTATGAACATGTATTTTGCCAAAATTAAAATTAAAAAAGAAAAAGACTACAAATAGGAGGGAAATATGCTGGGGTAGTGGGAAATAGGTCAAGCTGCTTGAATGGCAAGGCAAGCTGCAGAAACTGATGAAAGTCAGAAAGAGCTACAACTTGGAGGAAGGCCTATGGGTAGTGGGTTGTGTGTGACTAGGGTTGAAAATCCAGGAAGATAAGAGAAAAAATTTAATCACTAATTTTTTCAACAAAGATTTAGGGAATGTCTACTACAGGCTAGGCACTAGGAAACAGAATGGGGGAAAATATTCTTGCTCTTTGGGATTTGTCTCTTTTGGAGATACTTCCATTTATGTCCATTGCTTTTTTGCTCATTTTTCCATCAGGTTACAATTTCATCAGGTTGTAATTCTGGAGATTACAACCCAGTTGTGGGAGTCTGACTATAAACAGGTAAGTAAGTAAATGATGTCTATGTTAAGTGCTACTAAAGGAAGATGGGGTAGAACCATGATTCTGTACGCAAGTGATGCTATAGCTTTGCACCCACAGCCAGAGAGTTTTACCTCTCTTTCTATGAAGCCTAAGAAGGAAAGAGGTTCCGGGAAGGTATAGGAAACATGTTTTTATGAAATGGGCATGCTTGGTTTAGTACTCCAGCTTCAGGACCTCAGCTGCAACTGATATCATAAATTGAAGTCAAGGGAGTCTTTAAAGTTTAGCCTCTTATAATCCAGCAGGACAGAGTTCCTGCGTCACACACACAAAATCAATATTTTCAGTGTAAAATCTGATGAGAATATCATCACTGAGAGTAGATGAGAAAGGAACTGAAGATGCCCCTAGATGGCAGGCTTGCCCAGGAAACCAAGGAAAAAAAGGTAGCCATGACGTCTGGAGGGGACTTTCGGAGCCAGATCACTGCTTTATCCCCCTTTCTCTTCCAGCAGTTTTGGAAAGGAAGAGATAGAGATTGTGCAGAAGAGAGAGGTAGAGATTATTTTTTGATCACTCAATTTGTGACAGCCACTGTCGGGCACTCTGCATAGATTTTCTCATTTAATCTCGCAGCCCTTTAGACTGGTATTATTTCCTTCAGTTCAGAAGTAAGTAAACTAACAATAAAATGGTAAGTGACTAGGTGAGGAAAAATATCCAACATCTGAAAACAAGAACTCAAACCCAGGTCTGTATGTATCTGGCATGGGAACGGAGGAGGTGAGACTTCCTTGATCAGGAAGGAGGCAGAGGCTCTGGGCTGAGGAGAAAGGTGAAGAACTTGAAGGGAGAAAGGTCATGAATCTCTGAAAGGTGCTCTGAGATCTGAACTCACTCATTATTTTTTCTCCATAAAGTCTTGTAACATGAGTTCTAGCAGGTTATATGACAGTGTTGGTGGATGAAGACGATAGAAGGGCAGGGATATTCATTTGCTGGGGCGCCATAGCAAAGTGCCACAGACTAAGTGGCTTAAAACTAGAGATTTATTTTATCATAGTTCTGGAGGTTAAACATCCAAGATGAAAGCATTGGCAAGGTTGTTTCTTTCTGAGGGCTTTCTCCTTGGCTTCTAGATGTCCATTTTCTCCCTGTGTCTTCACATGGTCTTCCCTCTGAAGGTCTATGTCTGTTTCTTGATCTCCCCTCCTTATAAGGGCACTAATCATATTGGATTAGGCCCCAACCTAATTACCTTATTAGAACTTAATTATCTCTTTAAAGACCTTATCTCCAAACACAGTCACATTCTGATATGCTGCGGTTTAGGACTTCAACATATAAATTTTGAGGGAGCACAATTCAGCCCATGATAAAGAAGCTTTCAAGGTGTAAACTTGAAAAATCACCAGATCTATCCATTTGGAAAGGAGACTTTATTCCTTATAAAGGCTGCCCATTCCACAGGCTGGGAAGTGCAGCCTCCAGCAGAGACTTTTATCTGGCACTTTAAAGGAGGAAGGAATTATTACTTTTTAATAATAATTATCCTAACAGGTGTGGGCCATTTGTCTTTTTTGAAAATACTTCTATTTATGTTCATTGCTTTATTGCTCATTTTCTGATCAAATTATTTCTTTTTCTTCTTTTTTTATTCTATTGAATCGAGAGTTCCTTATATGTTTTGGATATTAACCCATTATTAAAATGTGGTTTGTAAATATTTTCTCTCATTTCTTAAGTTGCACTTTCAGAAGGATTTTAATTGCATGTAGTCCCATTTGGCTATTTTTTTTTATTTTGATGCCTGTGCTTTTGATATCATATCCAAGAAATTATTGCCAACATCAGTTTCATAAGATTTTCCTCACGTTTTTTTTCTAGGAGTTTTATAGTTTCAGGTTTTGCATTTAAGCCTAGATTACATTTTTTGTTGATTAGTGTGTATGGTGTAAGACAATTTCCCAACACGATTTGTTTAGGAGACTATCCTTTCCTGTTTCCTTACTGTGTTTTCTTGGTATTCTCCCTTTTTTAATGCAGAAGATACAATTCTGTATTTATTTGAAAATAATGAACTTGGGAAAGCCAACTTAATAGCAAAATAGATCAGTTGCCTAAATACACAAAATAGGTATCATTTTCTATACATCAACAATAACCAATTTAAGAAGTCAACAGCAAAAAAATCCCATTTCAGTTCAGTTCAGAAGTACGTAACAACAAAAATTTATAAAGTTTTTAGAAGAAGACTAACAAGTGTTCAAATTGTATCTGAAGAAACCGTATTATTTAACTGAAAGAAAGAAAGGGAGACTTGAGTAGACGGAAAGCACACCATATTTCTGCAAAGGGAGATTCAATAGTGTAAAAGTTCTCAAATGAATTCATAACTTTCTTCATTCTCAATTAAAATCAAAGTAAGAGATTTCATAAAATTTGATATCTATATTCTAAACTTTAAGTGTAGAAAATATTCTTGGCATTTTTCTTAAATGTCACTTGATAGTATATGTGTGGGTTTATTTCTGGGCTTTCCATTCTGCTCCATTTGTCTGTATGTCTGTCTTTTTGCCAGTCTCATACTGTTTTAATCGCTGTAGCTTTATAATATATTTTAAAATGAAGACGTGTGATGTTCCAGCTTTGTTCTTCCATCTTGAGATTGTTTTGGCTCTTTGGAGTCCTTTGTAGTTCCATATGAATTTTAGGATTTTTTTTCTATTTCTGTGAAAAATGTCAATGGCATTTTGATAGGGATTGGATTGAATCTGTACACTGCTTTGGGTAGTGTAAAAATTTTAATATTAATTCTTCCAATCTATATGTATGGGATGTCTTTTCATTTATTTGTGTTTTCTTTTGTCAATGTTTTGTAGTTTTCTGTGTAGTAGTCTTTCACTTCCTTGGTTAAGTTTATTCCTAAATCTTTTATTCTTTTTGACATCTGCAAACAAAGATAATTGTAGTTTTTCCTTTCTGATTTGGATGTCTTTTATTTATTTATTTATTTTTTGCCTGGATGTTCTAACATTTCTAGTACTATGTTAATTTGAAGTGTCAAGAATGACTTTGTTTCAGACCTTAGAACTAAAGCTTTCAATTTTTCACCATTGAGTGTGATGTCAGCTGTGGGCTTTTCATATATGGCATTTATTATGTTGAGGTCTATTTCTTCTATTCCTAATTTGTTAAAAGTTTTTATCATGAAAGGGTGTTGAACTTTGTAAAATGCTTTTTCTGCATCTATTGAGATGATTGTGGTTTTCTTTAATCTTTCATTCTGTTAATGTGACATATCACATTAATTGATTTTTGTTTGTTGAACCATACTTGCATTATAGGGATATATTTCACTTGGTCATGGGGTATGATAATTTTAATGTGCTGTTGAATTTGGTTTGCAAGTATTTTATTAATTTAACTTTAAGTTCAGGGGTATATGTGCAGGTTTGTTATATAGGTAGACTTGTGTCATGGGGATTTGTTGTACAGATTATTTTATCACTTAGATGTTAAGCCTAGTACCCATTATTTATTTTTCCTCATCTTCTCCCTTCTCCCACCCTCCACCATCCTGTAGACCCCACTGGCTGTTGTTCCCCTCTATGCATCCATGTGTTCTAATCATTTAGATCCCACTTATAAGTGAGAACATGGGGTATATGGTTTTCTGTTCCTGTGTTTGTCTGCTAAGGATAATGGCCTTCAGATCCATCCATGTCCAACAAAAAAACATGATCTTATTACTTTTTGGCTGTGTAGTATTCCATGGTATATATGTCCCACTTTTTTTATTACTCATTATTTTTTATTATACTTTAAGTTCTGGGATACATGTACAGAATGTGCAGGTTTGTTACATAGGTATACATGTGCCATGGTGGTTTGTTGCACTCATCAACCAGTCATCTACATTAGGTATTTATCCTAATGCTATCCCTTTCCTTGCTCCCCACCCTCTGACAGGCCCTGGTGTGGGATGTTTCCCTCCCTGTGCCCATGTGTTCTCATTGTTCAACTCCCACTTATGAGTGAGAACATGCAGTGTTTGGTTTTCTCTTCCTGTGTTAGTTTGTTGAGAATGATGATTTCCAGCTTCATCCATGTCCATGCAAAGGACATGAACTCATTCTTTTATATGGCTGCATAGTATTCCATGGTGTATATGTGCCACATTTTCTTCATCCAGTCTAATATTGATGGGCATTTGGGTGGGTTCCAAGTCTTTGCTATGATGAATAGTGCTGCAATAAACATATGTGTGCATGTGTTCTTATAGTAGAATGATTTTTTATCCTTTGGGTATATACCCAGTAATATGATTGCTGGGTCAAATGGTATTTCTAGTTCTAGATCCTTGAGTAATCACCACACTGACTTCCACAATGGTTGAACTAATTTACATTCCCACCAACAGTATAAAAGTCTTCCTATTTCTTCACATCCTCTCCAGCATCTGTTGTTTCCTGACTTTTTAATGATTGCCATTCTAACTGGCATGAGATGGTACCTCATTGTGGTTTTGATTTGCCTTTCTGTAATGACGAGTGATGATGAGCTTTTTTTCATATGTTTCTTGGCTGCATAAATGTCTTCTTTTGAGAAATGTCTGTTCATATCCTTTGCGCATTTTGATGGGGTTGTTTTTTCTTGTAAAATTGTTTAAGTTCCTTGTAAATTCTGGATATTAACCCTGTGTCAGACGGATAGATTGCAAAAATTTTCTCCCATTCTGTAGGTTGCCTGTTCACTCTGATGATAGTTTCTTTTGCTGTGCAGAAGCTCTTTAGTTTAATTAGATCCAATTTGTCAATTTTGGCTTTTGTTGACATTGCTTTTGGTACTTTAGTCATGAAGTCTTTGCCCATGCCTATGTCTTGAACGGTATTGCCTAGGTTTTCTTTTAGGTTTTTATCGTTTTAGGTCTTACATTTAAATCTTTAATCCATCTTGAGTTAGTTTTTGTATAAGGTGTAAGAAAAGTGTCCAGTTTCAGTTTTGTGCATATGGCTAGCCAGTTTTCCTAACACCATTTATTAAATAGGGGATCTTTTCCCCATTGCTTGTTTTTGTCAGGTTTGTCAAAGATCAGATGGTTGTAGATGTGTGATGTTATTTCTGAGGACTCTGTTCTGTTCCATTGGTCTATATATATGTTTTAGTACCAGTACTATGCTGTTTTGGTTACTGTAGGCTTGTAGTATAGTTTAAAGTTGGGTAGCATGATGCTTCCAGCTTTATTCTTTTTGCTTCAGATTGTCTTGGCTATACAGGCTTTTTTAGTTCCATATGAAATTTAAAGTAGCTTTTTCCAATTCTGTGAAGAAAGTCAATGGTAGCTTGATGGGAAGAGCATTGAATCTATAAATTACTTTGGGCAATATGGCCACTTTCACGATATTGATTTTTCCTATCCATAAGCATGGAATGTTTTTCCATTTGATTGTGTCCTTTCATATTTCCTTGAACAGTGGTTTGTAGTTCTCCTTGAAGAGATCCTTCACATCCCTTGTAAGTTTTATTCCTAGGTATTTTATCCTCTTAGTAGCAATTGTAAATGGGAGTTTGCTCATGATTTGACTGTCTATTATTGGTGTATAGGAATGCTTGTGATTATTGCATATTGATTTTGTATCCTGAGACTTTGCTAAAGTTGCTTATCAGCTTAAGGAGTTTTCGAGCTGAGATGATGGGGTTTTCTAAATATACAATCATGTCATCTGCAAACAGAGGTATTTTGACTTCCTCTCTTCCTATTTGAATACCTTTATTTCTTTCTCTTGCCTGATTGCCCTGGCCAGAACTTCCAATACTATGTTGAATAGGAGTGGTGAGAGAGGGCATCCTTCTCTTTTGCCAGTTTTCAAGGTAATGTTTCTAGTTTTTGCCCATTCAGTATGATACGGGCTGTGGATTTGTCATAAATAGCTCTTATTATTTTGAGGTTCATTCTATCAATTTATTGAGTGTTTTTAGCATGAAGGGGTGTTGAATTTTATTGAAGGTCTTTTCTACACCTGTTGAGATAGATGATGTGGTTTTTGTCATTGGTTCTGTTTATGTGATGGATTACGTTCATTGATTTGTGTTTGTTGAACCAGCCTTGCATCCCAGGGATGAAGCAGACTTGATCATGGTAGATAAGCCTTTTAATGTGCTCCTGGATACAATTTGCCAGGATTTCATTGAGGATTTTCACATTGATGTTCACTAGGGATATTGGTCTGAAATTTTCTTTTTTTGTTGTGTCTCTGCCAGGTTTTCATATCAGGATGATGCTGGCCTCATAAAATGAGTTAGGGAGGAGTCCCTCTTTTTCTATCGTTGCAAGAGTTTTAGAAGGAATGGTACCAGCTCCTCTTTGTACCTATGGTAGAACTCGGCTGTGAGTCCATCTGGTCCTGGACTTTTTTTGTTGGTAGGCTATTAATTACTGCCTCAATTTTAGAACTTGTTGTTGGTCTATTTAGGGATTCAATTTCTTCCTGGCTTAGTCTTGCAAGGATGTCCGTGTCCAGGAATTTATCCATTTCTTCTAGATTTTCTAGTTTATTTGCATAGAGGTGTTATAGGTGTTTATAGTATTCTCTGATGGTAGTTTGTATTTCTGTGGGATCAGTGGTGATCTCCCCTTTATCATTTTTGTGTGTCTATTTGATTCTTCTCTTTTTTCTTCTTTATTATTCTGGCTATTAGTCTATCAATTTTGTTAATCTTTTCAAAATACCGGTTCCTGGATTCATCCTGGACTTGATGCTGTCATCATGATATTAGCTGGTTATTTTGCAGACTCTTTATGTGGTTGCTTTATACTGTCACTGTCTCTGTACTTCAGTGTGTTTTTGTAGTGGCTAATGGTCTTCCCTTTTCATATTTAGTGCTTCCTTCAGGAGCTCTTGGAAGGCAGGTCTGGTGGTATTTGCTTGTCTGAAAATAATCTTATTTCTCCTTCACTTATGAAACTTAGATTTACCAGATATAAAATTCTGGGTGGAATTTCTTTTTTTTTTTTAAAGAATGTTGAATATTGGCCCCCGATCTCCTCTGGCTTGTAGGGTTTCTGCTGAGAGGTCCACTGTTAGTCTGATGGGCTACATTTGTAGGTAACCTGACCTTTTTCTCTAGCTGCCTTTAACATTTTTAAAATTATTATTTTGACCTTAGAGAATCTGATGATTATGTGTCTTAGGGATGATCTTCTTGTGAAATATCTTACTTAAGTTCTCTGCATTTCTTGAATTTGAATGTTGGCCTCTCTAGCTAAGGTGGGGAAGTTCTCTTGGATGAGAGCCTGAAATATGTTCTCCAAATTAGACCCATTCTCCCCATCTCTTTCAGGGACACCAATGAGTCATAGATTTGGTCTCTCTACATAATCTCATAATTGTTTTGTTTGTTGTTTTTTATTCTTTTTTCTCTATTCTTGTCTGTCTTATTTCAGAAAGTCAGTCTTCAAGCTCTGAGATTCTTTCCTCTGCTTGTTCTATTCTGCTATTCACACTTGTGATTGCATTATGAAATTCTTGTTGTGTGTTTTTTAGCTCTACCAAGTTAATTTTTTTCTTTTCCATACAGGCTATGTCATCTGTCAGCTCCTGCATTGTTTTCTCATGATTCTTAGCTTCCTTAGATTGGGTTTCAATGTATTCCTGTAGTTAAATCATCTTTATTCCTATGTATATTCTGAATTCTCTTTCTGCCATTCCAGCCGTCTCAGCTTGGTTCAGAACCCTTCCTGGAGAGGTGCTGTTGTTGTTTAGAGGAAAGAAGGCACTCTTTTTTTTTTTTTTAAGTTTTCAGGGTTCTTGTGCTATTTCCTCCTTATCTTTGTGGGCTTATGTTACTTTAATCTTTGAGGTTGCTGACCTTTCAATGGGTTTATTTTTCTTGTATTCTATTTGGTGATCTCAAGGGTTTAATTGTGGTATTAGGTGGATTCAGTCAACTGATTTCATTTCTGGAAGACTTTAGGGGACCAATGCTCAGCTCCCCGCTCCTGAACTGCATGTTCTAACTCTGGGGCTTGTACTGGGCCCCAACTTTCTTCTCTGGTTCCTCAAATTTAGAAATCCACTCTGCTGTAGGGGGTGGGGTGCTCCCAGATTGCTGGTCACTAAACTCTGATGGATGGTCTCAGCCAAAGCATTTCATAGTGCAGTGACAGTGGGATCCATCCTTGTTCTGTTCAGGTCAGACCAGCCCCATTTGATGGGCAAGACTGTTCTGCAGAGTCCAGGACTTACAGCTCACCTAGGGCTAAAGTCTCCTATGGGAGCAAGTCAAAACTAGGGGGATGGCCATTCCTGGCTCTGGTCTGCTACAGATACTCCTGTACCAAACCCTCTGGGCTCCACATTATTTGACTTGCTGCCCCTACCACTTCTCTAAGCAGCTCTGTCAACTCAAGTGTCTGTGGTAGTTGAGGGGTCTAGCTGTTGGGATTCCAGAGGCCAATGGTGTGAGAGTGGGTTGCTCCTTTCCAGTTCTGCTTATTTGTCCTGGAGCCACTGGGGGCCAGGAATGAGTCCAGGTGCACAGTAGCCCCATGTGGGGTTCCCAGGTTCCTCCCCCTTCAGGCCAGCTTCTGTATCTTCCCTCTCTATATATTCTGTACCTTTCCTCTGAAGATCTGTTAGGGAGTGCACCAGTCAACTTGGTCCCTCGGTAGCATCTGTTTCACCTGTGTCTAGTTGGCCATGTTCAAACTTTCACCAAGTCTTATTTTCTGAGGATTCCTATATCTATGTTAATCAGGCATATTGGCCTGTAGTTTTCTTTTCTTGCATTGTATCTGTCTGGCTTTGGTATTAGGCTGATGATAGACTCATAAAATGAATTTGGAAGTGTTCCATCTTCTTCAGTTTTTTGGTAGAGTTTGAGGATTAACATTAATTCTCATTTAAGGGTTTAGTAGAATATACCAGAGGTGCCTTCTCATCCTGAGCTTTTCTTGTTGGGAGGGTTTTTATTACTGATCAGTCTCCTTACTAGTTATAGGTCTGTTCAGATTTTCTATTTCTTCATAATTCAGTTTTGGTATAGTGTATGTTTCTAGGGATTAATACTTTCTTCTAGATTATCTAATGTGTTGATGTGACTGTTTCAAAGCTGAAACTCTCTTTCATGTAGTTATGTGTAATACTGTGGTTATTCAGTGGACCTCAGTGGGGTGGGGGTGCATCTGAAAATGTGCATGTGTATGTGGGGGGATTTACTAGTTGTCCTGATCATGAGGGGATTTTATTGGCATTTGATAGGTAGAGGCCATGTATTGAAAGTGAAGATGAGGCCGGGTATGGTGGCTCACGCCTGTAATCCCAGCACTTTGGGAGGCCAAGGCAGGTGGATCATGAGGTCAAGAGATCAAGACTATCCTGGCCAACATGGTGAAACCCTGTCTCTACTAAAAATACAAAAATTATCTGGGCATGGTGGCACACACCTCTAGTCCCAGCTTAGTCCCAGCTGCTCAGGAGGCTGAGACAGGAGAATCACTTGAACCCGGGAGGTGCGGAGGTTGCAGTGAGCTGAGATTTCACCACTGCACTCCAGTCTGGTGACAGAGTAAGACTCCATCTCAAAAAAAAAAAAAAAAAAAAAAAGGTGAAGATGAGTTCCTTCCCCAAAATACCCAAGCATAACCTTTAATACTTACATGCCATAATCCTCAAACACAGAACACTCCAAGGTTGTAGATAAGCCAGAATTTAATGAGAGTAATGAGTACAGACAACAAGATACAACATAAAGGGCACAGGCAAATCCCTGATTTTGTCACTAACCAGGTGTGTGTATCTTAGACCAAATATCTTACATTAATCTCCATTTAATTGAATATAGCATGGATAGAAATACACAGCTAATAGAATCAAGCTGAAGAGTTAATAAGAGGGTGAATGTAAGTAAAACATATGGTAAGCAATTGAAATTGTGCATGCTATTCTCACTTTTTTTTTCTGACATAATTAGTTTTGAGTCATTTCTCCATAAACCTCTGCTCTTGTCCACTTCTCCAAGAACAGGGAAATGGCTGTCTTAAAAATCATATAGTATGTACTTGAGCACAAAAGGTATTTAGTCTGCTTGTTTCTTTCCACTCTGCTGGAAAACTAACAGTCACTTATTACTAATAAAAGTAGAAAGCTTTTGGATCAGGTTCACAATTAGTGTAGCAAAAAATGAAAATCCTAGTTATGATTTAGATAGGAAAATAAGTTCTCCAGCAGGAAGAGAGCTACATACTTGAGTTCCCAGAATGTAACACCATCAGATAAATAAGGCTCATAATGTTATTTCTGAATTATCAAAAATAATATCAAATTATATCCTGTATTCAATGTTTAACAGAAGCAAATAAGAATGTTGTGAAAAAATGTTAATGTTATCATTATTTTTTAATGAATTTTTACTAGCAAAAGCTTTAAGCACTAGCTACCCTAGAGATTCCCCTGTGTGAATTACCTCATCTCTTGACAGGAATACATTAAAGCAGCATTGTCTATATAGGCATACCTTGAATATATTGCAGGTTTAGAGGCAGACTATTGCAATAAAAGAAATATTGCAATAAAGCAAGTCCCAGAAAGTTTTTGGATTTTCAGTACGTTTAAAGTTGTTTATATTGTAGTCTATTAAGTGTGCTTCATGTCTTTAAAAGAGTGTACGCAGCTTAATTGAAAACACTTTATTGTTAAAAAATGCTAATGATTATGTGAGCCTTCAGCAAGTCATAATCTTTTTGCTGATGAAGGGTCTTACCTTTATGTGGATGGCGGCTGACTGATCAGAGTAGTGGTTGCTAAAGGTTGGGGTGGCAGTGGCAAATTCTTAAAATAAGACAACAATACAGTTTGCCACATGAATGAATTCTTCCTTTCATGAGAGATTTCTCTGTAGCATGCAGTGCTTTTTGATAGCATTTTATTCAAAAAACTTCAAAATTAGAGTCAATTCTCTCAAACCCTGCTGTTGCTTTATCTACTAAGTTTATCTAATATTTGAAAGGCTTTGTTATCATTTCAACAATATTCACATCTTCACCAGGAATAGATTTCTTCTCAAAAAAAAAAAAACCACTTCACATTTTTTACTCATCCACAAGAAGCAACTCCTCATCCATTAAATTTTTATCATGAAATTGCAGCAATTCAGTCACATCTTTAGGGTCCACTTTTAATTCCAGTTGTTTTGGTATGTCTACCACATATGCATTTACTTCCTCCACTGAAGTCTTAAATTTCTCAGTTATCCTTGAGGGTTGGAATAAACTTTCTTCAAACTCCTGTTAATGTTGATATTTTGACCTCCTCCCATGAATCACAAATATTTTAAATAATATCTAAAGTGGTGAATCTTTTCTCAAAGATTTTCAATTTACTTTCCTGAGATCTATCAGAGGAATCATTATCTATGCTGAACAGCCTTAAAAACATATTTCTTAAATAATTTTGAAAGCCAAAATTACTTTGTAATCCATGGGCTACTGGATGTTGTTAGCAGGCATGAAAAGAACATTAATCTATTTGTACACCTCCATTGGTGATTTTGGGTGACTAGATGTACTAACAATGAGCATTAATATTTTCAAAAAAAATCTTTTTTCTGAGCAGTAGGTCTCAACAGTGGGCTTAAAATATTTGCTAAGCCAGCCGGGTGGGGTGGCTCAGACCTGTAATCCCAGCACTTTGGGAGGCCGAGGTGGGCAGATCATGAGGTCAGGAGATCGAGATATCCTGGCTCACACAGTGAAACCCCATCTCCACTAAAAATACAAAAATATTATCCGGGCTTGGTGGTGGGGGCCTGTAGTCCCAGCTATTTGGGAGGCTGAGGCAGGAGAATGGTGTGAACCTGGGAAGTGGAGCTTGCAGTGAGCCAAGATCACGCCACTGCACTCCAACCTGGGCAACAGAGCAAGAGCCCGTCTCAAAAAAAAAAAAAAAATTGTTAAGCCATGCTATAAAGAGATGTGCTATAATGCAGGCCTTGTTCCATCTATAGAGCACAGACAAAGTAGATGTAGCACAATTCTTAAGGGTTCTAGGATTTTTGAAATGACAAATAAGCATTGGCTTTAACATAGAGTCACCAGCTGCATTAGGCCCTAACAAGAGCGTCAGCTTGTCTTTTGAAGGTTCGAAGCCAGGCATTGACTTCTCAGCTATGAAAGTCATCTTTCAATAGAAACCTGTTTTGCAGGCAACCTACGGAATGGGAGAAAATTTTTGCAAACTATGCATCTGACAAAGGTCTAACATTCAGCATCTATAAGGAACTTAAACGAATTTACAAGTAAAAAACAAACAGCCCCATTAAAAAGTGGGCAAAGGACATAAACACACACTTCAAAAGAATACATACATGTGGCCAATAAGCATATGAAGAAAAGCCCAATATCACTGATGATTAGAGAAATGCAAGTCAAAACCACAACGAGATACCATCTCACATTAGTCAGAATGGCCATTAATAAAAAGTCAAAAAATAACAGATACTGGCAAGGTTGTGGAGAAAAAGGAACACCTATACACTGTTGGTGAGAATGTAAACTAGTTCATTCATTGTGGAAAGTAGTGTGGTGATTCCTCAAAGAGCTAGAAACAGAACTGTCATTTGACCCAGCAATCCCATTACTGGGTATATACACAAAGGACTATAAATTGTTCTACCATAAAGACACATGCACACAAATGTTCATCGCAGGATTATTTGCAATAGCAAAGACTTGGAATCAACCTAAGTGTCCATCAATGACAGATTGGACAAATAAAATGTGGCACACATATGCCATGTAAATACTATGCAGCCATAAAAAACAGAGATCATATCATTTGTAGGAACATGGATGGAGCTGTGGCCATGATTAAACTATTACAAGAACAGAAAACCAAACACCACATGTTCTCACTTATAAGTGGGAGCTGAATGATGAGAACTCATGGGCACAAAGAAGGAAACAATAGACACTGAGGCCTACTTGAGGATGGAGGGTGGGGGAAGCAGAAGATCAGATAAAATAACTATTGAGTATTAGGCTTAGTACCTGGGTGATGAAATGATTTATACAACAACCCCCTGTGACGTGAGTTTACCTATATAACAAATCTGCATATGTATCCCTGAACCTAAAATAAAAGTTTTAAAAAGCTGTTTTGTCTGCATTGAAGACTTGTTGTTTACTGTAGCCACCGTCAATAGTGATCTTATTTAAATATTCTGGATAGCTTGCTACAGTTTCTACATCAGCACTTGCTGCCCTACCTAGGTCTTTTATGTTTGGAGATGGCTTTTTTTTTCTTAAATCGCATGAAGCAATCTTCGCTAACTTCAAACTCTTTTTCTGCAGCTTCCTAACCTCTCTCAGTCTTCATATAATTTAAGAGAATTAGGGTCTTTCTCTGGATTAAAATTTGGCTTAAAGGAATGCTGTGGCTAGTTTGATCTCTCCAGAGCAGTAAAACTTTCTCCATGTCAGCTATAAAGCTATTTCACTTTCTTATCATTTGTGTGCTCACTGGAGTAGCACATTTCATTTCCTTTAAGAACTCACCGTTTGCAATCACAACTTAGCTAACTGTTTGACACAAGTGGCCTTGCTTGTGGCCTATCTCAGTTTTAGTCATGCCTTCCTTACTAAGCCTAATCATTTCTAGCTTTTGATTTAAAGTGAGAGACATGCAACTTTTCCCTTCACTTGAACACTTACAGGTCACTGTAGAGTTACTAATTGACCTAATTTCAATGGTGTTGTGTTTCAGAGAATAGGGGGGCCAGGAAAGAGTGAGAAATAGAGATATGAAGGAATGGCTGGTCATTAGAGCACTAACACACACGACATTTGTTAAGTTCACAGTCTTACATGTACATGTACATCTACATGTATACAGGTTACATTGTATACATAGGTATACAACTGCAATGGTAACATCAAAGATCACTGGTCATATATCACCATAACAGATGTAATAACAATGAAAAAGTTTTAAATATTGCAATAATTACCAAAATAGGCACAAAGACACAAAGTCAGCACAAGCTGTTGAAAAATTAGTGTTGATAGACTTGCTCAATGAGTTGCCACAATTCTTCAATTTGTAAAAAACACAGTACCTGATAAGTGCAATAAAGCAAATCACAATAAAATGAGTTATATTTGTACAATTCTCTTTCCATTCAAATTGAAAAGAGCTAGCAATGTCAGAGAACTGTGCACTATGGTTAGTAGTTCTGTATGATGCATATACATGGTGAAGTTTAATAATACTGAGTAGCAAAAGCCCAAGGAATTATAAAGTTAAGTCCAATTAAACCAAGTACACAATTAATAAAGATGACTGCTTATCCTGAAGGAATAAATAAATTACAAATGTGAATAAAGAATCTGAACCTTGACCCCCTCCCTCCCTTAGAAGGAAAGATGAAATGTGAAAAAAAAAAAAAGATTTGAGCTGATGGTTTAAAATGATTAGCTAGCCCTCAAAGTTTAATGCAGAAAAATATGAAGGATTACTTTTTTAGATATCAAGAATATATTAAGAGTATTTTAAACAACTTTCTGACAAAATTAAATTTGTACTTAAACAAATTTTAGTACAGAACCAGATACACTCACTGGTAAAATTCACCAAACATTTAAAGAAGAATTGATACCAACCCTTCTCAAACTTTTCCAAAATGTAGAAAAGGGAAAAATTTCTAACTAATTTTATGAGGTCAACATTAGCCTGATACTAAATACAAAACAAATCACAAGAAGCCACAAAACTACAGACTAATCTTCCTTATGAATCTTGACATAAAAATCCACAATAAATTATGAGACCGAATCTAACAATACATTAAACACTATGACCAAGTGAGGTTTACCTAGAAATGCAAGGTAAGAATATCAATTAATGTAATATATCACATTAATAGAATAAGGGGAAAAGCCACATGACTATCTTGATTGATACAGAAAAAGCATTTGAGAAAATCTAACATTCTTTCATGATAAAAAGACATTTATGAAAAACCCACAGCTAACATCAATTTCAATGGTAAAAAAAATTGAAAGCTTTCTCCTTAAAATCAGGAGCAAGACAAGGATGCCTAGTTTAAGTACCAATATTCAACATCTTACTGAAAGTTCTACCCAAAGCAACTAGACAAGAAAAATAAATAAAAGTCATTCAAATTGTAAAAGAAGAAATGAAACTATCTCTATTCACATGACATGACTCTCAATATAGAAAATCCCCAAAAATTCACCAAACAAAAGATTCAAATGAATAAACAAATTCAGTAAAATAGCAGAATATAAGCTCAACACACAAAGATCTGTTGTATTTTTAAACAACAGCAATAAACATGATAAAGGAGAAATTAAGAAAATAATTTTATTTACAACAGCATTCGAAGGAATAAAATACTTAGGTGTGTGTTTAACTAAAAAGATTAAAGATTTGTACATTGAAAATTATGAAACATTGCTAAAAGAAATTAAATAAAACCTAAATAAATGGAAAGACACATATATTTATGAACTAGAAAATTTAATATTGTTAAGATGGCAATAATATCCACAATTTTAAAACGATGTAATACATTTCATATTATATTTTAATGGTCTTTTTGCAGATATGAAAAAAGGTGATCCTCAAATTCATATGGAATGTAAGGGGCCCAGAATAATAAAAATGATATTGAAAAAGAACAGCCAATTTGGAAGTCTCACACTTCTCATTTTCAATACTTACTATAAAGTTACAGCAATCAAGAGAATGTGGTACCAACATGAGAATAGTCATACAAATGAATGAAATGGAATTGAGAAGCCATAAAGAGATTCATACATCTATGGTCAATTTAATTTTGACAAGGGTGAAAAGACTCTTCAATAGGGGAAAGAATAATATCTTCAACACATGACACTAAAACAAACGGTCATTCTCATGTGAAATAATGAAGTTGGACTCACATACATCATATAAAAAAATTGACCAGAAATGGATCAGTGACATAAATATGAGAGCTAAAACTATAAATCTTGTAGAAGAATACAGAGCACATCTCTATGATCTTATTTTGACCACAAATTCTTACAAATGGCATAAAAAGCACAAGCAAGAAAATAATAAGTAAATAAATTGGGCTTCATCAAAATTAATACTTTCTTGCATCAAAGGACATTATTAAGAAGGTAAAAAGATAACATACAGAATGGAAAAAAATGTAAATCATATCTAATAAGAGCCTAATATCCAGAAAGGAACTTTTCAATTCAATAACAAAGTCTATCAAGCTCAATTTAAAAATGAACAAAGACTCAAATAGACATTTCTTCAAAGAAGATATATAAAAGGCCAACAAGTACATGAAAAAATGCTTAGCATCATTAGACTTTAGGAAAATATAAATCAAAATGACAATGAAATATCACTTCACATCCACTAGAATGGCCTTATTTTTACCAAAAAAAGTGAAAAATAACAAATATTGAAAATGTAGAAAAACTGGAATACTTGTACATCACTGGTGGAAATGTAAAATGGTTCAATTGCCATGGAAAATATTTTGGCCATTCCTCAAAAGGTTACACATTAAATTACCATATGACCTAGGTTTCCACTGCTAGGTGTATACCTAAAAGAAATGAAAACAGGCACTCAAACAAATACATGTACATGCATGTTCATAGAAGCACCATTTATCATAGTCCTAAATTAGAAGCAATACAAATGTCCATTAACTGATGAATAGGTAAATAAATTCTAATATGTATGTGTGTGTATATATATATATATATATATATATATATATATACACACACACACACACACACACAATAGTTCAATGGTTTGAGTGTTTTTGTCCTTACAAAATTCAGGTTGAAACCTAATTGCCTCTAAAATGCAGGTGAGGCCAATGTAATGATGTTAAAGGTGGAGGAGCCTTTAAGAGGTGATTAGGCCATGAAGGCTTTTCTTTTGTTAATGGGATTAAGGTCCTTATAAAAGAGCCTTCACACAGCTTTAAGCTAGCTTACAAGCCTGACTTTTCACCTTATTCCATGTGACGACACAGTAAGAAGGTACTTACCAGACCAAATGATGGCCCCTTTATCTTGGACTTCCCAACCTCTAGAATCGTGAGAAACACATTTCTGTTCTTTATAAGTTACCCATTCGGTGGTATTCTGTTAAAGCAGTGCAAACAAACTAAGGCAGAAATTGGTACCAGAGAAAAGGGGTATTTCTATAACAGATACTTAAAGATGCGGAAGTGGTTCTGAAACTGGGTAATGGGTAGAAGCTCAAACAGTTTTGAAGTGAATGATGGAAATAGCTTGTAATGCCATGAACAGAACATTGTTACATGTGTAAACATTAAAGGCCATTCTGATGAGGCCTTGTTCCACATGGAAATGTGGAACAAGGTATGGGAAACTAGAGGAAAGGCCAACCTTTTTACAAAGTGGCAAAGAACTTGGCTAAATTATGTTGTGTCCTAGAAAATTTATGGAAGGAAAATCTTACGAGGATGAACTAGTTTTGGCAGAAGAAATGTCTAAGCAGCAAAGCATTCAGGCTGTGATGTGGCTTCTTTTGATGGTTTGTGGTAAAATGCAAGAAGAAAGAAATAATTTAGAGACAGAATTTATAACTAAAAGGGAAGAAAAATGTAAAGCTGTGAAAAATTATCAGCCTAGCTGTGTAAACAATAAATATGTATAGGAGAGAAAGCCAAGAATGTGGCCATAAGGAGATTATTACAGATAGAAACAAGCCATGTGGCTATTCATTAAGAAAATGAGGCAATGACACTGAAGATGTTTCAAAGACCTTTGAGGCTGGCCCTTTGATCACAGGTCCAGACTGTCAGATCCTTGAGGACAGAAAATCTTAAAGAGGTGGGTGCAAGGTACGTATGAGAACACAGGGCTCTCTGCCTAGGGTCGCCTCAGGTCTCTGCTCCTCACATTCTAGAATAGTGTATCTTGGCCACCCAGCTGTGGCTCAAACAGGGCCAAGTTCACTGAATTTTGGGAGCATCCATGTGGTGTTAATTCTACAGCAGAGTACAAGAGCTATGAAGATATAGCTTCCTCCACCTAGATTTCCAAAGATGTTGCAGACAGCCTTGGAACCCAGGCAGAGACTTGTTGCAGAGGCAGAGTCACCACAGATAGCCTCATTAGGGCAATGCCCAGTGGAACTGTGGGGCTGGTGCCATCATAGCAAGTCCTCACTAGGGCAATGCCTAGTGGAACCATGAGAGTGGGGCTGCTCCTGAGACCCCAGAAATGTGGAGCCATCAGTATGCCACTCCAGTCTGGAAACACTACAGGCAAGCACCCTCAGTGTGTGAGAATTGAAGCATGGGCTGCACGCAGCAAAGCCATGGGAATGAGGATGCTTAAGGTCTTGGAAGCTGAACCCCTACTTCAGTGTGTCAGAAGGCAGGACATGGAAGTCAAGATTATTCTCAAAACTTAAGATTTAATGTTGTTTGCCTTGTTGGGTTTTAGACTTACTTGGTGCCTGTTACCTCCTTTCTTTTTTCCTTTTTCTCCCTTTTGGAATAGAAATGTCGATTCTATGCCTATTTCATTGATAAAGTATGCCACAGCTGATAGACAAAATGGATTCTTCATGGCTACTGAGGTGCTTAAAGTTAAAACATAACCAGATGGCCATGGCTGGGTAAGGGAGTGAACACATACTCTGTGTTCTCAGAAAGATATTTTAAAAGTGTCACAGGACCTCCCTTTTCACAATCAAGCAAAATAAGTTCCTTTTGTTGATGCCAAGATAAATGGTGCCTAAAAAAGCCATCCCCCACTGGCTGTTTGAAAGGAACATCTGACAGAGACTTCTGGAACAAGTCTGAATTCTTCATTTGCATAAGTGAACCTGATTGAAAACTGGGGTGAAAACTTATTCTATATAAGCCAGACCCTCCCTTTTCCCTTTGCAGATCTCATGATCTGTTGTTGACATCACCATTGTATTTTGAAAGCATATAATTTGTTTAATTTCAAAGCTTCCATGGGAGAATTTGCATCAGCATGAATTACATATTGAGTCTCACCCATATGATGTTTAGATAAGACTGTACTTAGACTTTAAAGTTTATGCTGAAACTCGTTAAGACTTTTGGTGCTATTAGGATGGAATGAATGTATTTTGCATGTGAAAAGACCATAAAAATTTTGGAGGACCAAGGGGTGAAATGCCAAGGTTTAAATATTTTTGTACCGTACAAGATTCATGTTAAAACATAATCCTCTCTAAAATACAAGTATTGCCATTGTTATAGTGTTAAGAGGTCAGGACTTTAAGACGTGATTAGGCCATAAGAGCTCCTCCCCCATTAATGGGATTGAAGTTCCTAAAGAAGCTTCATACAGCAGCATTTGACTAGCTTGCTAGCTTGTCCTTCCACCCTCTGCCATGTGAGAATACTTCCTAACCCATTCTATACGGCCAGCATTACCCTAATGCCAAAAGCAGACAAAGACGTTACGAGAAAAGAAAACTATAGACCAATATATCTCACGAATGAGGATATAAAAATATCAATGAGATATTAGCAAATCAAATCCAACTGCATAAAAAGTCTTATATGCCAAAACCAAATGAAATTTATCCCGGGTCTAAAAGACTGATTCAATATTAGAAAATCAATTAATGTAATCCATCACAACAATGACTAAAGAAGAAAAAAACACACGATCTTATTAATAGATCCAGGAACAACATTTGACAAAACCTAACATCTCTTTTTTGATTACAAACTCTCAGTAAACTAGAAATAGAAAATAACTTTCTCAACTTGATAAAGAATATCTACAAAAATCTTTCGGCTAACAAACTTAATGGTGAGACATTTGAAGTATTTCTACTCAGATCAGGGACAAAGCAAAGATATATTACTCATTACTGATTTTAAACAGTGTAGTAAAAGTCCTAGATAATGTAGTAATAAAAGAAAAGGAAATAAGTTATTCAGATTGGGAAGGAAGAAATAAAACTGCCTTTGTTCACAGATGATATGATAATCTATGTAGAAAATCCAAAAGAATTGACAAAAATCTCCTGGCATCAGTAAGCTAAGTTGCAGGATACAGATTAATATATAAAAGTTTATTGCTTTCCTATATACCAGTAATGGACAAGTAGACTTTGAAATTAAAAACACAGTATCATTTATATTAACACCCTCAAAATGATATACCTAAGTATAAACCTATAATATATAAGGTCTATATAAGAAAAACTATTAAATTCTGATAAAAAAATAAATTCTAAACTGAGAGAAATTTTATGTTCATGCATAGGAAAACTCAATAATGTCAAGATGTTATTTCTTCCCAACTTGATTATAGATTCATTCCAATCCCAACCAAAATCCCAGAACATTATTTTGTAGATATTGACAAACTGATTCTACAGTTTATGTGGAGAAGCAAAAGACTCAGAATAGCCAACAGAATATTGATGCAGAAGAACCAAGTTGAGAGATTGACACTACCTGATATGGTTTGGCTGTGTCCCCACCAAAATCTCATGTTGAATTGTAGCTCCCACAATTCCCACCTGTTGTGGGAAGGACCCAGTGGGAGGTAGTTGAATCATGGGGGGAGCTCTTTCCCATGCTGTTCTGGTGACAGTGAATTAGTCTTACAAGATCTGATAGTTTTATAAAAAGGAGTTCCCCTGCACAAGGTCTGTCTTCCCTGACACCATGTAAGATGTGATTTGCTCTTCCTTGCCTTCTGCCATGATTGTGAGGCCTCCCCAGCCATGTGAAACTGTGAGTCAATTGAATCTCTTTCCTTTATACTTACTCAGTCTCAAGTATGTCTTTATTAGCAGTGTGGAAACAGACTAATACACTACCCAATCTCAAGACTTAGTATAAAGCTATAGTAATCAAGTGAGCATAATATAGCTAAAAAATAGAAAAAAAGATCAATAGAGCTGAATAGAGTCCATAAGTGGATGCATACACATACAATCAACTGATCTTTGATAAAGGAGCCAAGGCAATATAGTGTCTCAAAGACAGTCTTTTCAACAAATACTGCTGGAACAACTGGACATCCACATGCAAAATAATAATACTAATGATAAATCTAGACGTCGACCTTATACCCTTACAAAATTTCACTCAAAATAGATTTTATTCCTAAATTTTAGGCACAAAACTATAACATTTCTACACTATAACATAGGAGAAAACCTAAATATCTTAGGTATAGCAATGACTCTTAGATATAATACCAAAGGCACTATTCACAAAAGAAATGATAATCTGAGCTTCATTAATATTTAAAACTTCTACTCTGAAAAAGACAATATCAAGAGAATGAGAAGACAAGCCACAGACCGGGAGAAAATATTTTTTGCAAGAGACGTATCAGGTAAGGAAGTGTTATCCCAAATATACAAAACTCTAAAGTCCCAAAACTCTAAAAACTCAACAATAAGTAAGCAGATTAGAAAGTGAGCCAAAAACCTTAACAGATACCCCACCAAAGATCTACAGATAGAAAACTAGCACATGAAAAAATGTCGTACATCTATCTCAGGGAAATGCAAATTAAAGTAAAAGTGAGATACTACTGACATCTATCAGAGGGCCAAAATTCATAACATAACATTGATAACACCAAATGATGGTGAGGATAGGGAACAACAGAAACTGTAATTTATTGCTGGTGGGAATGCAAAGTGGGTTCAGCCACTTTTTAGGACATTTTAGTGGTTTCTTACAAAACTAAACATATTCTTACCATACAATCTAGCAATCATGCTCCTTAATATTTACCCAAAGGAGTTGAATTATGTACACACACAAAAAAACTACACATGGATGTTGAAAGTAGGCCTATTTGTAATTGCTGAAACTTGGAATCAATCAAGATGTTCTTCAGCAGATGAATGGATAAATCAACTGGTATATCCAGACAATGGAATATTATTCAGCATTAAAAGAAATTAGTTATTAAGCCATGAAAATACATAAAAGAACCTTAAATGCATATTACTAAGTGAAAGAAGCCAATCTGAAAAGGCCACATACTATATGATCCCAACTATATGACTTTCAGGAAAAGGGAAAAGCCATGTAGACAGTTAAAAAAAAAAAAGTGTTGTCAGACTGGGGTGTGGAGGTGGGAGGAATGGATATGTAGAGGATTTTTAAGGCAGGGAAAATACTCTGTATGATGCTAATGATGGATATGTGTTGTTAAACATTTGTTCAACTCACAGAATGTACAACGGCAAGAGTGAACGCTAATGAAAAACTGTGGACTTTGGATGATTATGATGTACCACTGTAGTTTCATTACTTTTCAAAGATTTTCCACTCTGATGGGGTATGTTCCTAATCGGGAAGGCTATATGTGGGAGTTACGCAGGGCACATAAGGAAATCACTATATTTTCTCTCAGTTTTGCTCTGAACCTAAAAGTGCTCTAAAAAAGGTTGTGTGTGTGTGTGTGCTTCTATTTGCTCATTGTAACAAAGTAACATAATCCCACATATGCTAAGGAAATGCAGAAGGAAAGTTTCCTCACTTTAATAGTTTTAATTCAAGAATTCCAGACCTAAAAGCTCACTTCGAGAAAGAACTTCAGTGTCTGCATATTGGCCCACCCATTCCACATTCCAGTCCTGGCTGCTCCAGTCTTTCCATGTGAATCACTCAGACTCTGTTCTTGGACTCCAGCTGGGACTTGCTTCCCTGAGCCAGACCATTCCTTTAGAGTAGGTCTATTGGAAAGTTCTTTCATGTAATCAGCTAAGATAGGCATCCCTGAGTGACAAATATCAGAAATAATGAACTTAATCTCCAGATACGAGTGGGGTCAACCTTGTAACCCCCTGGGGTGGTACTGATGATACAGTTTGCAAGTATCGTTAACTGTGTCTGTTATTCAAAAGCAAGTTCACATTCAACAATAATCACTCTGACTTTATCAGAGTTCAACAGGTTGTATTATACATATTCAGGTCAACCAGTGATCAAATTCATTATTTGATAATTTATTTTTAACTTAAATTCTCAACAGTTGCTCTGAGGACTCTCACTTGGAAGCCAACTCCAGGCATCACCTCTGATCAAAGATGAGACTGGAAAAATAGAGGAATGAACCCTCACATTTGTAATGTGAACTATGAGTCAAGTGAACCAGCACACCAGAAACAACAGTAATGAAAAAATTACAAAACCTCCAGTGAACACACACACTTGCACCCACACAAAGATACAAACAAATGCATTCTACTAAGTGTAGTACACATGCTATTTCATATAATCCTTTCAACAATCTCATGATGTAGATACTAGAATACTCCCATTTTATAGGTAAGGGAATTGAAGTAGATAGACTTAGGAATCTACCCAAGGTCATACACCTAGTAAACAGTGAACTGTGCCACAGTTTAGAAGTAAGGATTTTCACTATTGTGATATTCTGCCAGGCCATGGAAAGGACAAAAATGAGGAGTTACAGACCCTAAATTCTAGTTTAGTTGCTGCTATTTGCTTTGTTTCCTTTGGACAAAATCACCTATTTGCTTCTTTGTGCCTCTCCTTCTCCCCTCCTTTCTCTCCTCCTCTGTCCCCTTCCCCTCTTCTCCCGGGCTCTTTCCCTTGTCCCCTCTCCTTCCACTACATTCTCCAGTTCCTCTCCTCAGCCTCCTCCTTCTCCTTCTCCCTCTTTTACTCTAAAACAATAGAATTGCATTAGACTATCTCTTTGGTCCAGCTTTAGCTGACATGTTCTGTGAATCCATGCTACAAATAAATACAAGAATATGTATGGGGCAGGTGTCCCTGAGAATATTCTTAGAAGTCTCCTTTCTTAGGGTGAAATTATGTATATAAACTGAATTCTAATGGTTTACTGTTTTTATGGAAAGAGGAATGCAAAATTGCAAGAACTTGTGCCATCTTTGACATTCCCTGATCTGTGATTCAATTACATTCCAATATGAGGGTAAAACAAGTAAGCAAATTGACTGAAAACAATATGCTGATGTTATTTTGGAAAGTAAATGTTTTAAATTCATCTCAAATAAGCTCTACTATTGATGGACGTTGTCAGTTTTCAGTTCCCATTGCATAGCTTCTTCTCAGGAACTATTACTGAATATTTTTGTCTCTTTTGCATGAGAAACAATTGTCCATCACACAAAATGAGCACCATCTGACTCAGTGCTATGGCAGAGTGGTTGAGTCTTCAGTTCTCTTTCATAACTAATAACCACCATTATCATTTAATACCTATAGGGACGAGCCTCAAAATAAACATTCCTCCAGATTTCTCCATGAGCTATAATTATATTTCAAAATGAAAAATCACATTTTCATTTTGCAATATAATTGCCTTTGCTAAGATGTGAATAAATGATCAAAACACAGCTGTTTCTAAAAGCATATAAATGTATTTTCATACTTTTCTGTAGCAGTACTCTTTTTTCCACCTAACACATTTTTCAGTCACATCTCTTTAGTGTCCACAATGCCTTCTCATTGACAGACACAAATTCCTCTGATTTGCAAAGAGAAAAGGCAAACTATTTACAAAGTTCCTTTGCAACAAATATTGCTATTAGTGTCTATCAAAAAAATCTGTGTACATAGTTAAAGCTGTAAAAGAATAAATTCCAAATCATATTTAAAAGCAAAGCACTAAATGAATTATCTGTAATTGTTGAATGAAGATGGACACTGAGGGAGGAATTGTGTATACCTAGCAAATGCAGAGAACCAAAAAGATAATTCCAAACTTTTTAAACACCACCTTCAAATTGTCATTGAAGCACTTCCAAGCTGCTTAATCATGCTGTGCCGTAGACAAAATCTAGCCAGAAATTACACACAGGTGCAAAAAAAAAGAGGTGAGAAGCTGAGTAATGGTGTGATTACAGAGCACTAGGAAGACATTATTTGTCTCCTCAAAATAACAGTATTATAAAAACACTGACCAGCTATTGCTTCTGCAATACAAAAGAGTTATTTAGGTATTTATTGAATAAGTGATTAGCCAAATGTCAAAAGCTCAGTTTCCTTGTTATCAAATGGAGTAAAAATTTCAATCCTATTAGATTACTTTGAAATTAAATTAGGTAATAAATGTTTTAAAGAATACTTTGTAAATTATAACATGTCACAACAAATGCAAGGTGATGGAATTGTTAAGATGTTAAATTATACATTTTATAATGCATGTTATATTAGATATAAAATGATTGGCCAACACTACACGGGATCCATCTCCTGCATACCCTGACCCAACAACGGATGAATAACGTACACTGACATAGATATTATGCTTGTCAGTCCAGCTGAGAACCTGGGCCACTTACAGACTCCCAGGAGAATGCTGTAAAGAGTTGCAACCACGGCCCCAACTAGCTGGCCTTCCCGGCATTTATTCAGCACACATTAAATAACAGAAGTCTCAAGTAAACACCACTAGAAGCAAATTACCATTGCCGATCCCCTGAGTAGAGAGCAATAATGCACCTGCAGATGGTCAAAGGTTAGTCATAGGTCCACATGAGTAAACAAGCTATTTAGATAGACTCCTCTACATTCCTTTGTTACTTACCCTTGCTATAGCTCAAAGAGGATTAGGCTGCCTTCAGCCATAACTCTATCCTAAGGCTTTTGCAAAAACCTTCTGTCCTTCCAGGAAGGTTTATTTTACAATTTTTCCCACCATGCTGACTGAACACCTCCATCTCCCCCTTTTCTGCTTTCCGCATCGGCCTTATTGATTGGAGAGCACAGATGTATGCAGTAACAGGTTTGTCAGGCATGGTGGTCATTGCTCTTATTCTGGCTTTGCATCCTAGAATTAGCAAATAATGTAAGACAATCATGAGTATAATTAGCTCTGGCTGACTACCACAGTTACTACTTGAGACTGTCATTACAGCAGCTACTACTGTTACTGCTTAAGACCGTAATTACAGAAGTTACTACTGTTACCACTTGAGACCATCATTACGACTGAATGAATGGACAAATGTAGAAATGAAAACCAAGGAAAAAAAAACTGTTTTAAGGGAAAGGTAACATGGGGAGAAGAGAGCTCCCTGCTTCTAGAGAGCAAAGGCAGCCCATAAGCTTCTATTGCCCTTTGTATTTATTGGGTAGAATGAACCAGCAGGAGGAGGTAACAATTGGTCAGTTGCTTAATTGATCACAGGTTCATATTATTACTGACAGGCTTTAATTATGCCTAATCATAAGAAACATTTGTGTAGCCTCCAACATCTCCTTTGTTTTTAAATTAATTGGGCAAGGCAATTGCAGACTGTGCAGCCCTTAATTGCCAGTTTGTGATCCAGCTTCATTTTTCTTAGCCCTTATTCAAAATGGTGTCACTCTGGTTTGAATGCTTCTTACATATTTCCCCTTTCCCTTTTACAACAAGATCCTTAATCCTAAGGGTTGCAGAAGGATGAAGGTCTGTCTACTGCAACTTCTTCATGCTGAATAGGGGTGATGATATTTCCACATAGCTATTAATGTCTCTTGTATTCAGGGTAGAGAGGAACTCAGAAAGCATTGGTCTCTTAAGCATTGATTATATGAGTTCCAGCAAAAGGTGAAACCCTGGCATTCCAGCAGTTGCTCAGCTTCCTGTGTGGTTTTCTTGATCTGTCCCCATGTTATGGGGGTTGATGTCAACATGACTCCAGTCTGTCCTCGTTCTGTCTTCACATTCAGATTCAACTGGCTCATGGCTCGTACTGGGGTAACAAGGCCTATATTTGGAATCCATGGGTCCCTCCAGTCTCCATGGTTGCAAACATCTTGAGGGCACCCACATGGCTTGTTCATCTCCTGCAAAAACACAAGCATACCCTCATCCCCACGTTAGTAAATCTACTGAAAAAAAGGAAAAGGCTCTTGCGGCTGTAGCCAGGAGGCATGCCATTGCTGAGCATTTGTTCTATGAGCTGTAACTCAGTTTCTGCCTCTTTGGTTAATTACCATGGGGTAAAACTTTCCACCAGTAATGAGAAACAGGCTCTTTCTGATTAACAGCAGACACAAAAAAAGCAAATCGAGGCTTATCCTTCTTGCAAACAATCCTCAAGATCTATTACCATGAGAGACCAATCTCTTGCTCCTGTATCTATAAGCCCACAAAACTTTTCTTCAATATACACTGCACAAGTGAGTCTATGAGATGCTATGGGTTGTGATGGATAAATCTCCTATTTGTACTTCCAAATCCCTGACCTCCTCACTACTTCTTATGTAGAAAAGGGTACAATTTACAGGGAACAAGCAATACTTGAGCAACATATTCTCCCGGTTCAAAAACCCAAAGATCTTGTGACATTACCACTACCCGAATTTCTACTTCCCAATCAAAATCAACAACTCCCGGGCCTGTATGTTAAGACAGCTTTTGCCCAAAATTAATCCCATGTATCCTGTTGGCAAAGGTCTCTAAATACCACTGTGAATCTTGGTGAGTTTTTTCTTCCAATTAACATAGCCTGTTCTCTAACTGGGAGATCTAATCCTGAGCTTCTAGGTATTCCTGGGAAGAGGGAATCAATATGCCTCCAGAAACCCATCCCTGAAATGGAGTTGTGGCCTGGACAGTGAATGCCCTCATAGTTTGAGGTGCTCAGGTCCAGGCCCCCTTCTCGTTTCCAGACAGGGGTGTGCCATTTTGATGATATTTTGAGTGGCATTGATTAGCTCAATGATTTCCTTTATTGCAACAAGGGCAAAGTCCTGGCATTTTTTCTGTTGAAAGAGGAACTGTGTTATAAGATCCCTTCTACCCAGAGGTCTGACAGCATTCAAACATCCACTTTTTCTACACTTATAACATTTTCCCACTTTAGGGCTTAACCCTTGGCTTCTTTTAGATCTGTCAGTTACCAAATTAGCCATTGCCTGAGTCAATACTGCAGAACATTGAAGCTCAGTTCCCACATCTTGACAAGCTTTGAAAAAACCTTCCAAGTTCTCTGTACATCTCACAGGTGCCAGTGCACGTTTACAATCCACGAAAGCCAAAGCTAAAGTTGGCCTTTCTGTAGCCAAAAAAGATGATACAAGCCAATTTTCATCCTCCCTCTCCTGTTCACCACCCTCAATAAGTGCTGTAGGTAGGGCAAAAAATTTTCATAAACCCTGAAATAAAAAAATGGTATGTACCAAACTCCAAACAAAAAAGAGAAAAGAAATAATCAAACCCTTCCTTGTGTTACCCTGATTCAAAAACTTCCCATTCTTTGTACCTCTAGGGCACTGACCATTATTTGTGCCTGACCTATGCTTCTTTAAGACAAAACATCACGCTCACACCACACGCACACCACAAAACAAAGAACGGATAAAAAGGGCACACACACACTTTTGCAGTTTACACCAAACCAAAATCAAAACCAAAATCAGAGTATCCAGAAATCCAAGCCAGGTCAAAACCAAAACCAAAGTATTAAGCAATCCAAGTCAAGTCAAAAACAAAAACCAAAGTGCCGGTACAGTCATACCATGGGTGATCAGGCCATGCTTACACTCAAATGGAGTGGGCAAGTTCCCAAGACCAGTCCTGTCAAGCAATTCAAACCAAGTCAAAATCAAAACCAAAACCAAAGTGCTGATAAAGGCACGCCATGGGTGATCAGGCCACACTTCCACTCAAATGGAGTGGGCAAGTTCCAAGACCAGTCCTGTCAAGCAATTCAAACCAAGTCAAAACTAAAACCAAAACCAAACCAAAGTGCTGATAAAGGCATGCTGTGGTTGATCAGGCCATGCTTCCACTCAGAGTAGGCAAGTTCTAAAGACTAGTCTTACCAAGTTTCAGATGTCCGGACTCCAAATACCAGTTCCTTCCCGGTGTTCAGCCACCGTGTTGAGACTCCATGGGGGCCTTCCACACACTGCTCTGGTGAGGCATCCCACTGGGGCAAATGCCTACCCAGAAGCGCTCTCAGGATCCACGTCGCTCAGGCTGGTCAGAGTCCCCTGCAGGGATGTTCCACAGGGCAGGCTTTAGCCGCCTAAGGAGCTGCCTCGACCATCTGCCAATCACCTCGCTTCCCGGTCAGGGAACCAAGAAATGTAGCAGGACGAGCCGCAGACAAAACTCCTCAGACACTGAGTTAAAGAAGGAAATGGTTTATTCAGCCAGGAGCATTGAGCAAGACTTCTGTCTCAAGAGCTGAGCTCCCTGAGTGAGCAATTCCTGTCCCTTTTAAGGGCTCACAACTCTAAGGGGGTCCACATGAGAGGGTCATGATCGATTGAGCAAGCAGGAGGTACGTGACAAGGGCTGCATGCACCAGTGGTCACAGTGAAACAGAACAGGCCAGGAAGTTTCACAATGTCTTTTCTATACAATATCTGGAATCTATAGATAACATAACCGGTTAGGTCAGGGGTCGATCTTTAACTACCAGGCTTAGGTCAGGCAGGCCCAGGCCTGGTTTTGGGTCTGGTTCCTAGGCACCGGGCTGCATGCCTTTTGTTTTGCTTTTCTTTTCTGAGTATAAAACAATATAAAACCATATGAGAGCATCTGTCTCTCTTCTCTCATTATGACTAAAGAATGGATGAACTTAGAAATGAAAACCAAGGAAAAAAGAAACCGTTTTAAAGAAAAGTTAACATGGGGAGAAGAAGAGAGCTCCCTGCTTCTAGAGAGCAAAGGCAGCCCCTGAGCTTCTACAGCCCTTTGTATTTATTAGGTAGAATGAGTAGGCAGGAGGAGGTAATGATTGGCCAGTTGCTTAATTGATCACAGGTTCATATTGTTACTGACAGGCTTCAATTATGCCTAATCATAAGGAACATTTGTGCAACCTCCAACAATTAGCAACATTTTTTCCAGTCAAAGAATGACCCCCCCCGCCAGGAGTAGGGATCTAACCAGGAGAGATGATCTTGCACACCCTTCCATATGGCTGTTTTTTGGGTGTGTAGATCTATAGTGTGAAGGGATTCTAAAATTTTAGTTTTAAGTTGCTTTACATCTGCTGTTAAATTGTCATGGAAGTTTTCCTAGAGGTGTTGTTTCACGTCATCCTGATTATGTATTGATTGATTCCATGGTAGAGAAGTGACACAGATATGTTTATGCTCCCAGTTGCAGTTTAATTGCTGTCAGAATGCCAGTGCATCTTGTCGCTCCCCAGCATATTCCAAAGCAGCCTCGAGAGCTTGCAGACGTGCAAGAATTTTTTGATCTATACCCTGCTATCTATCTACGGCATTTGTAGGTCCCTGCTTGTCCTGTAGGGTCAGTTCCTTCATCTCTGGTACCGGGTTGGGTCCCAGACACACCATGGTATGGTTTGATGTGTCATGCTGGAATCCAAAGAGGACCTAAGAGGGTGTGAACACATGCATGCCCTCTTTCCCATTTAGACACATTTTTGACCAGATTATCTACAAAGGCAGCTGTTTGTACTGACTCAGTAGTAGGTGCAACAGCAACACTAGCCGTTGTCAGGATGACTATGGCTGAGACTATAAAGGCCATAAGTGTAACTATGAATCTTTTATGTCTGACCTGGGACAGGGCACGTTCTTAGGTGGCAAGGGCAGAGGAACCTTGCCAATCACATGTCAAATTGACTGATAGGAATGCCTCAGATTTTCTCCTTAATACCATGACACTAGTAATATTTAGATCAGATATATTGTAATTAGTGATACATGAGGCAAACCAAGCCTGTCACTGCACCTGTGTCACAAAGGCAGAGTTTTGGGGTGAAATAGAAATATTGGTTCCCATAAGGAAAACATACGGATGGGTAGTGCAAATTAGGCACTGATCCGTGTGATTATGAATAATGGTTATAGTATAGTTGTTAGTGGAATTATGATATGTCCCATGCCACGTGTCAAGGGAGGTGCCAAGATGTCCTAGGCACCTAGGCATCTTCAAGTGGCATGGATTTTACTTTGGGTTTGGGATATCCCATCCCCCCATTGGCCCAAATCATAGGGGAACGGGATGTGGCTACAAAACTGTGATTGATGCCACGACGGATGAGGACATTAGTAAGGCTGCCCTGCAAATGGCCATGCAGGCTCTAGTCTAAGATGTTATAATTGTCTAACTGGAGGCTATGGGCTTGTCCCCTGTGACAGACCTCCCAGCTAACGTGAAACCTGTTACTTCCCAGGCTTTGTTCTTTGGCACAGGAATGATTGTTTGGGAAAGCGGCATTGATTGCATTACCTGGTTTGAGGCTACATGCAGCTAAGGCTGTTAAGTCATTTCCTTTGCCATGATGTAGCCATAATTGTGTTTGGGAAGATACACAGTAAGGGTTAGAACCTTTATAAATTACACACAGTGGGAGGATAGTGAATTGATATGCAGTGTTACCTGGCACGTTAATCCAATGTGTGCCATTAATGACAGACCCCACTGGGGGTAAATCTATCCCTCCCAGCCAAGCAGTTACATTATTATAGGCTGGGAAAGGGGTGTCTGCCCAGGTGACAGTGTGAAAGAAAGGCAGATCTAAGATATGAGCCCAGTAGAGTGTAGCAGGTACAGTTGCAGACAAAGCAAGAGCATAAAAAGGATCAATACCCTACATGGGTTGCAATGTACAACAGAAAGCATAGCAAAGAACAAATTATATGGAGTAAATGGTGTCTGTGTCCAGAGCAGGATTTGTTCAGCCTCCTGAGTTGACCTCTTCAGCATCCCCCAGGTAATGTCTGGGGCTTGTGTCATCCATGGAAGCCACATTGTCTGGGCCTGCAGGTCCTGTAGGGTCAGTTCCTTCATCTCTGGTACTGGGTTGGGTCCCAGCCATGCCATGGTATGGTTTGATGCATCATGCTGGAATCCAAAGAGGACCTAAGGGGGTGTAGGTTTTATGCCTTCAGAGGTTTTAGCAAAGTGCTTTTCTAAAGATGATTGAAATTTGTCATCTAAATTTAAAAAATTAAGGGTAAAAAAGGCTTGTGCCAATAGTGTTGCAGGGTCTTTACCCATACTCCCCCTTTTCTGGTTTTTGAGCATATTTTTAAGGGTGGAGTGGGCATGTTCTACTATGGCCTGTCCTTGGGGGTTATATAGGGTGCCTGTGGAATGTTGGATATGCTATGTGTGACAAAATTATTGAAATTGTGAGCTGGCATAAGCTGGATCATTATCAGTTTTAATTTTTGTGGCCCGCCCCATAAATGCAAAAGTTAAAAGATGTTTAATGACTTATCGGGTTGATTCTCCAGGCAAAGCATGGGCACTAATTAAGTGAGAATTGATATTAATGGATACATGTATATACCTAAGTTTTCTAAATTTAGGGATGTGTGTAACATCTGTTTGTCATAACTGATTAGGTTCTGGTCCTCTAGGGATAACACCTATGGAAGGAGGGGATGTGCCTGTGAGCTGGCAATCTGGGCATTGTAGGATAATTTGTTTAGCCAGTCTCTGGGTAAGTCGAAATTGTTTAGATAAGTTTCTGCAGTTTTGGTGGAAAAATTGATGCGATTGAGTGGCTTGGTCAAGCAGTGATGTCATAACCTGAAGGTCTGCTTGTTCATTGCCATAAGCCAATGGGCCAGGCAGAGAGCTGTGGGCTCCAGTGTGTGTGATAAAAATAGGATGTATATGTTGATCTAGCAATTACTGAAGTCGAAGAAAAAGAGCACACAGGGTGGACTCCAGAGTAGACTTAATTAAGGCTGTTTCAAGGTTCTGCAATAAATAAACAGAGTAAGCCAATTCAATCACAATATTTATGGGCAGAGTGAAAAAAGCTTCCAAGGCCAATATCAGGGCCCCAGTCTCAGCTCTCTGAGTGCTAGTAAACCCAGATCAAGTGATTGAATTATGTGGTCTCCAGCAGACTGCCCTTTTCCATGTTTACCAGAACCATCAGCAAACAGTGTTAAAGCATTAGGTATGGGGGAGTGAACTATTTTTTGTGGGCAAGATTATTGGAGTATGAGATAGGATAAGAAATGAAGGAGTTTATCAGCAGGGAGGACATGCTCTATTTGTCCTGTGTATCAGAGAAAGCTATTTGCAGATTGATAGATACTGGCAATACTGCTTCGAATTGCTTTTTACTTAAAGGAATCCTGATGACATCAGGGTCATAATCTATAAACTGATTGCATCGTTTGTGGCCTGAATAGATGACTTTAGTAATTAACTGAATATAGGGAGTTAGTGTTTTAGTCCCAGCATGTGAGCAAAAAGCCCATTCTAGGAAGCGTAGCCTGGGGGCCATGTGTCCTATTAATCCTGTAGGGGACTGTTTGGTGGGAAAAAAAAAAAAAAAAAACAATTGAATTGAATACCGTGGATCAATGCGATTTAGCTGCCTCTGAGAGATGGCTTGCTCTATTTCCTCAATTTCCTTTTTGCCACAGGGGTTAAATATCTGGGAGAATCCAGGGCTGTATTGCCCTTTAAGATAGAAAACAGATTTTACGGCTTATCAGTAGATATGCCTAAAGTGAGGCAGAGCCAAGTAATATCACCTAGTAATTTCTGATAATCATTTAAGGTGTGTAAGTTGCTAGTATTTAATTTAACCTTTTGAGGTCTTACTGACTGGGAAGTTAGTATGTACCCAAGATATCTCTAAGGAGAAGACATTTGTACTTTCTCAGGTACAATGATTAAACCTTTTAGCTGTGTATTCTTTATGACAGGGGTGTATAAATTTAAAAGTATTGGCTCTGTTGGGGCTACTAGTAGAATATCATCCATAAAATGAATAATCTTGCAATCAGGAAATTCTTTTCTACTGGGGAGCAAAGCTTGATTTACAAGATACTGACACATGGTAGGACTATTCAGCATGCCTTGAGGGAGCACTTTCCAATGAAATTGACAAGCTGGCTTTTCATTATTGATAGCTAGTATTGTAAAGGCAAAATTTTCTCTGTCTTCTTCTGCTAGGAGAATAGTATAAAACCAGTCTTTTAAGGCAGTAATGATTATAGGCCAATCTTGAGGAATTGCCACAATTATGGGCTTTCTGTAATTTCTCTCCTTTGAGAGGTTACTCTTTTACTTAAGTTGGATTTGGAGAGAGTCATGTTGGAGAGGGTAGGAGAGAGATAACAACAGTGGCCATTATCAGAGGTCTTTTAAATTCTTAAATTTTACTTAAATGGTGCAGATAATTATAATTTAGTATGTATCTTGTATACAAGGAAGACATGAAATTTTGCTGTGAGCCACTGAGGAGCTGGAGAGCTGAGCAGGTGGGTCCCAGGGTGGCAGCTGCTTTGCATTTGCTTAGGCGCTGCTGCTTTTTGTTGGTGCTGGCTTCTTTCTGTGCCACTCCCTCCCCCAACTGCTGGGTGGTTGCTGCCAGCTGGGTGGACCTTTTTGCCAGCACCTCCAGCCCCTCCCTAGCAGGCCAGCTCCAGCACCCTGGAACTGGCTCCCTGTTGCCCCTGCCACCACCATGAAGGCCAAGTTCCCAGGAGCATTTGCTGGCTCGGGGTTTGCAAGCTTCCCTGCTGCTGAGCTTTCCCTTTTGCTTACTGCTCACTTGACCACGTTGCTCAGGCCTCTAATGCTTTTTCTCATCGTTTTATAAGCATTAAAAGAAATGGGTTTGTATACTTGATTGTCCTGCCAATCTTGCATTACCAGGCAGGCTAAGAGCTCCCCTGTTGATGCCGCTTGCTTAAGACAAGGTTTTATAGCTGGAGCATGTTTCTTGTCTTTTTTCCTACTTATTGGATGAGGGGGCTCAGGCAAAACTTCTGTTTCCTCTTTGTTATTTTGGCCCAGTGATATCTGGGCTGAGGGAAGAGGAGGCAGTAAGGCAAGTGGTGGTTCCTCCTCCTTTCCCTTTTTAGGCTTTTCTGTGCATAATGGAGCCAGGGCCACCTTAATTAAAGCCCATAGTGTTAGAGCTGTTACTGGGACCTGTTGCCCTTGTGCATAATGTTGTGTAAGATTTCTCCCAACTTGTTCCCAGAGCTCTATGTCATCATTCCTTCTTTTGAGAACCATGGATTATGGTTTACAACAATTTGCAGTAGGTCCCTTAATTAAGCCTGCGAAACTGAGGCTCCACTAGCTTTAAGCAACTGTTTCAACACTTTTATATATTGTTTCCATTGAGCTGATAACTGTTGCCCCATGATGAAACCTCAGCCTGAACAATTCCCCCCAGACTTGGAGATCCTGAGTGGGCACCAATGACTTACTGATTACTCACTGACCACGCAGTCCTTTTCACCTCTGTTTTTGGGGGGGTCCGTCGTGCTTCCTTTGCTGTGTTCCTCACATGGGGCACTAGCTGCAGGGATCCGTCCCACAGACCCTGACCCAACA
This sequence comes from Homo sapiens, assembly GCF_000001405.40. Taxonomy (NCBI): domain Eukaryota; kingdom Metazoa; phylum Chordata; class Mammalia; order Primates; family Hominidae; genus Homo; species Homo sapiens. The sequence continues at coordinate 57,456,593 of NC_000008.11, read as the reverse complement.
ACAGATGAATAACGTACACTGACACAGATATTATGCTTGTCAGTCCAGCTGAGAGTCGGGCCACTTACAGACTACCAGGAGAGTACTGTAAAGAGCAGCAACCACGTCCCGACTCACTGGCCTTCCCGGCATTTATTCAGCACACATTAAATGACAAATATCTCAAGTAAACACCACTAGAAGGTAATTACCATTACGACACCCTGAGTAGAGAGCAATCATGCACCCAGGGATGGTCAAAGGTTAGTCTTAGGACCACATGAGTAAACAAGCTATTTAGATAGACTCCTCTACATTCTTATGTTAATTACCCTTGCTATAGCTCAAGGAGGATTAGGCTGCCTTCAGCCATAACTCTATCATGAGGCTTTTGCAAAAACCTTCTGGCCTTCCAAGGTTTATTTTACAATTTTTCCCACCATACTGACTGAACCCCTACAACTGCAAGGTAGTGTTATTATTTATATTTAAAACAAAGCAGGTGAACAAGCTGAAGATCCATGCACATCTCCCAACCCAAGTAAAAAGTGATTATTTCTGGAAAATGAACTTTTAGTGATCTGTCATTTCCCTTTCTGTCATTCCCTTTCACCCACAATGCTGGTGCCAGGAGTAGGCAAAGCCAGGTTGTGATTCATCTTAGAAAATTCTGAGTAAGGTTTCAACCAACCCCTTTCATGAAGATGCTTGTTTTCACTTCATATAATATGTGGCTGAGAGTGAACACAGAACTCAAATGTACAAATTCATAAATCTCATTTTGAGATGCACTTTCAGTTGAGGGACATTGAACAAGTAAGCTCATAAACATAAAAGTAAACAAGGGCAATAAATGTAAATATTTGTACACAATTATAAGTAATATAGAAGCTATCAAAATCCAAGTTCTTCTCCTGTCCATTAGCACACAGCCAGGCAACATTTCCCATCCTCCCTTGCAGTTAGCCAGTACATAGCCATGGGTTTGAATTCTAGCCAATGGGATATGAGAAGTGATGTGCATTATTTCCGAACCCACCATAAATACCTCTCATATGATATCCTCAGGGCTCTTTATTTCCCTGGAATGGAGAGGCACTCAGGGAAACCTTGGAATAAACTTTCTAAAGTTAACAGAGCTTCTGACAGCCTGGTTCCCTGAATGTCTGCATGGAGAAAGCTTGTCCTTCCAACCTGTCCATCTACCCAATGCTGTTATATGATAAAGAAATATCCTTCTATTGCATTTGAACCATTGTAGATTTTACAGCTTACTTGTTATGGCAAATAATCTATGGTAACTAATACAGATAGTCATCTAAAAGTTTCCAAATATATTTATGCCCATTTTCTAGATTACCATAAACATTAAAACACCAAGTTACAGAAATTCTCATTGAAAATGCAAAGATTTCAGTGTAAGAACTATTATATTTGTACACGTGCAAAGTCCTGTGTGATCTGGCCCAAGCAGGCTCATTTCTCCACATCTTCCCACCTCATCCACTCCAAACCACTGAAAACAAAAACTCTGCTTTCATAGAAATCCTGATACCCCTGCCTACAATGTTTTGTTTCCACCTCCACTGATTGCCCACAAAGGTTATAAGTTCCTGTGATCCTGTGCCTAGTCGAAGAAGATTTATGTGTCTTTCTTCTGCAAAATCATTTCTGTGGGCCAACACCAATAATTTACAGCCCCTTCTATCTTATTTCTAACACACATGCTTGGTTTAATGAAAGTAAATACCTTTTAAATATTAGATAGTTTTTTTAAAAAATTCATGTAATGGGTATAGGATAAACAATGAATAGACTTAACTGGTGATCATCCCCCCCATCATCTCTTGCTAGAAAGACTCCTTTATGTCTGGGTTGGCTTTTTCTCCTGATTTATGTGGCTGAGAGAGAACACAGTGATTATTGTTCCTCCTGGATTGAGGTCTACTGCACAAGGTCTCACCTCTTTTCTGGACAAGGAGTCTTGAGTTCTATCCTAAGATACATCTATAACATGAAATGCACCAGCTCAGCCTATTTCCAACCTGAAGCCATTCTACCATACCCTTCCCCATATTCACATTTCTGTCTTCAGAGCAAAGCCAGCTTCCCATAGGCTCCTCTTACCAAGGAGGCTACATCAGATGGAGATATATCAAGCTGAGCTGTGATTCATGGGGAGCTGTCATGTCAGAATGGGTCTTATTCATTTGCTCGTTTATCCTATAATGCCACCAAAAGAGAAGTTGTCCAGATCCTCTTGGCTCAATGACTTTATATTGCTTAGGTCGATAACTCTATTAAGTCACATCACTTTGGGGCAGGATTTTTCTGGACATTTAAAAGTTGCTTATTGATTCATAAGATGTTCTTGAATCAACAGTCATTATCTGAGTATTTACTTTCCTCTTAACTTTGTATTATAAATTTTTCAAAGTTGAAAATTTGAAAGAATAGTACAATAAACACCTATATACTTACTCCTGATTCAATAATTACTAACATTTTGCAATATTTCATGTACTTATCTATAGATATGTGTTTTTGTTATCTTTGCTAAATCATTTAAAAATGAATTGCAGCCCTATGACATTTCAGTCTTAATATATTAGCAATCATTTCCCCCAGTTGAGGACATTTTCCCGTATAATCTTAGTACCATTTCACATCTAAGTTAATTAATTATTTTCTAAAGGTGTCTAATATCTAGTCTATATTCCAATTTCCCTAATTATTCTGAAATAGTTCTTAGAGATTATTCTTAAAAATAGGAACCTTATACCTTACATTTAATTATTTTCTTTTAATTAAAAATCTCACGTACAGCCATTATGAAAAACTATATGAAGTTTCCTCAAAAAAATAAAACTGGAACTACAAAATGACACATCAGTCTCACTATGGGTATTATCCAAAGAAAATGAAATTCGTATGCAAAAGAGATTCTGCACTCCCATTTTTTTTGTGGCACTATTCACTATAGCCATGGTATGGAATCAACCTAAGTGTCCATCAAGAGATAAATGTATAAAGAAAATGTTTTATATATATATATATATATATATATATATATATATATATATACACAAAAACAGAATACTATTCAACCATAAGAAAGAATGAAATCCTGTCATTTGTGACAGCGTGAATGAACCTAGAGGACATTAGGCCAAGTGAAATCAGCCAGGCACAGAAAGACACATACCACATGGTCTCACTCAAATGTGGAATCCAAAAAGGTGATCCCATAGAAGTAGTGAGTAGAATAGTTATTACCAGAGGCTGGGAAATGTGGTGAGGTGGAGGCATAGGGAAAGACTGGTCAAAGCGTACAAAGTTAGAGTGACATATAAAGCTTAAGTTCTGGTGTCCTACTGCACAGTAGGGGGACTAGAGTTAACAATAATGTATTATATATATTTCAAAACAGCTAGAAGAGAGAATTTTATATGTTCTTACTATTAAGAAGTGATAAACATTTGAAGTGATGGATATGCAGATTATCCTGATCTGGTCATTGCACAATATACACATGTATTGAAACATCATATCATACCTGATAAATTATAAAATTATTACATGTCAATTTAAAAAATAATTGTTTCAAAAAACAAAACATCTCCTTTGTCTTTTCATGGTGAATATGAAGAGACTAGGTTCTCTGTCTTACAGAACATTCTAAGTTTTTCTAAATGTTTCTTCATAGTATACTTGAATTGTTTCTCTATATTTTATTTCCTGTAAGTTAGTCTTGGTAGAAATACGGCATAAATAATGTTGAGTATTTCACACTGAATCATGAAATATATACCTTCATGTTGACCCACTCTTCTTAAAGCTGAATTGGATCATTGTCCTAAACTGGTGCCCACCAGAGAGATTCACTGTAAAGGTCATCTTCTTTGTGATTATGTGGAAACTTCTGCTGGGAACCTTGCCAATATTCTGTTTAATAGCTATCACTAGTGATTTTAATACATTTTATTGATTCTTGCCTGAATTAGTCATTTAATTGATTGTTGCAAATGATGATTGTCTAAATATTTAATTTCATTCCTTCTGAATTAAAAAATCCTACATTTATTAGTTCATACACTCACACATAATTTTATATTAATAACAGCTTTTGTTTACCCCGAGGAATAAACCATTTTATATTTTAGCTTCTCTAAAATTGAAGTGCTTCTGACAATCAACTGAATAGTTACTGTCAGCTAAGTAGCAAATATAATGCACTTTAGTGCAAATATTCTACTGACACTTTCTGGTAATATCAATGAAAGAATAATATCAAAACATTTTAGATGCTAAGAAATATATCCAATTGAGATGAACAGACTCTGACCAAACATGATAAAGTATCACAATTTATTTATTAAAAGCAGCAGAATGTCAATGTACTTAGACAAAGGTTTGGATATATTAGTTATAGTGACACAAATGTCCACCGGCCTTTAATAAGCACAATGAATATAATAATAAATCCATTAGAAGATATAATATATCAGGTCTGGAGAGCCTCGACTCAGCTAAAAAATTTTGTTGAGAAGAAAAGAAAAAATATTTCATCCATTTCCACCTCCACAAAGGTGTCTTGCATTAATTGACCATAAAGACGACACCCTTGCTTGCATTAATTGACTGTAAAGCCAACACCTCTTTGTGAAATTTTTTTTCCCTGCAATATGTAACATAACCTCAACAGAGATGTACATGGTCAATGTAATCAAGCCCAAAGAGCAAAACTCTCAACATTTTTGTATTCATGTTGATGACATTTGTGAGTGCGCACTTGGAGACATCTTTTACTCTGTGAACTGCGTGCAGTTTTTGCCCATGCATGCCTGTAATGAGTAGGACTGGGAGGTAGGAACGGGCCAAAGGAGACGCAGACACAGTCCCTTTGGGCAGAGCCCCCTCCTCATGTTCTTGCTTCCTGATCCTGTCTGAACTTTCCTAGGCACTGGGCGCTCACTGACTTGCCAGGCAGTCCACTCAGTTTGTGAAATGCTCAAGATATAAGGGTGTGATCAAATGCAAAATTATCTGTCTGTAGCTTTTGCTGATTCATTCAATCCTACTCTCTGGAGCAATACAAGTTTAACACTTCCATTTTATTTCAGAATGAATTCATGCCCCTTCACTGCTCTGCATTCTCAATTTTAAGCTGTGCAAATAAACTTCCTCCCACCATTTTTTATGGAGCATCATTTCCAGATGTTTCTGTGGCTTTGGTGGTCCCCTCAGGCTCCACCCTAGTTGGCCAAGGTCCTACCAACAACACGATGCCAGAACTGTGCCCACCTGGCAGGAGACAGGTTGCAGGTAGACAACCCATGGCTCCTGTTCTGTGCCTGGCTTCCCTAGAGCACATTCAGCTGTGTTGTGTTTTGTCAATGATGGTAACAAAAATGACTGAGCACTTGCGATTGATCAGACTCTGTGTTTTGCTAACTCTGGCTCATTTAATTCCTAAAATACTGTGATAAAATCGTGTAATCATTTTCTATTGCTGCTGTAACAAATTGACACAAATTTATCAGCTTAAAACAATGCAAAAAATTGTTTTACTGTTCTGTAGGTTGGAAATCCTGCAGTTCTCTCAATAAGCAAAAATTAAGGTGTCAGAAGGGCCGTGTTCCTTTGTGGAGGATTTAGGGGAGAATCGGTTCTCTTGCTCCTTGAAACTGTTGGCAGAATTCACTTTCCTTATGTTGTAGGACTAAGATCCTGTGTCCTTGCCAGTGATCAGCTGAGGGCCATTCCCAGCTTCTGGAGGCAGCCTGCAACTCATGGCCTGTGGACCCCTGACATTATTTTCAAGGCCAACAGCAGTGGGTCCAGTCCTTCTCCCACTTGAGCTCTCTCTTGCCTGTTCTGTCCTGGCATTTCTCTGACTGACCCTTCTGCCTTTCTTCTTCCAATATTAAAGGTCCATATGTTTACATCAGCATCACCCAGACAACCCAGGATAATCTTCCCATTATAAGATCAGCTGATTAACAACTGCCTTTCCATCTGTAACCTTAACTCCCTTTGCCATGCAGTGTAGCACCATCACAGGCACAGCACTGGGGGTGGAGAATATGGGGGCCAAAATGCTGCATAAGTCAAGGAGGTAGTAAACCGTCAGAAGTATCTGGAAGGCATTCTAGAAATACCTTTCTTGGACATGGATTTCCCCAGATCAAGGCCCCATTTAAAAAACTCTAGTTAGATGACAAAATTGATGAACTCTTACAGACCTAAAGTTGTAAGAAAAATCTTATTTATTAAACCTCTATCTGAGTTTGTTAGTATGTTTGTCCAATTATGGAAGAATCAGGGGGTAACCCAGCTGGGCACATCTGGAGGCAACTGTTAAGATCCCTGATTATGACGTGAGCTGCCACTAATGTGACTCTTATGCCTGTCATGGAACAGAGCACACAGCAGGGACTCTCTCTCTTTGGCGGAGTTGATATTGCTGTATATTCCGGGTCCTCCAAATGAGAACAAAGCTGTTCCTTGAAAAAAGAAAGCACAATTCAGCCCCCTGGGGGCCTACTGGATGCCAGTACAAGCTCCCATTTCTCTGCTTCTCCAAGAGCATGATCCAATGCCTGCTGTGCTGTTGAGATAACAGGGTACACTTTCATGTGCTGGAAGTGGTGACACAGGCAGGCTTGGGGTAATCTTGGAAGTGGTCATGTATGTATTCCTAGTCACAAGACACAAGCAACAGGCCTTAAGAAATGAATTAGCTCTTAGAGCCCTTGTTCATTGTAGGTGGGAATGTAAAATGGTGCAGCTGCTATTGTAAACAGTATGAAGGTTTCTAAAATATTAAAAATTAAAAATAAAATTACCACCTGGCCTAGCAATCACACTTCTGGATACAGATCCCAAATAGTTGAAAACAGAGCCTCAGAAAGGTATTTGCACACCCATGTTCCCTGACCCATTATTCATATTAACCAAAAGGTAGAAGCAACCCAATGTCTATTAACAGATGAATGGATTTTTAAGATGTAGTATATACATACACTGGAATATTATTCAGCCTTTGAAAAGAAGGAATGCTGTCAAATGTTACAGCATAGGTGAAGGGCATTACACTAAGTGAAAAAGTCAATCACAAAAAGACAAAAGCTATATGATTTCACTTATATGAGGTATTTAAAGTAGTCAAACTCACAAAAAGAAAGAACAGTGGTAGACAAAACCTAGAAAGAAAGGGAACTGGGAAGTTGTTGTTTCAGTTTTGCAAGATGACAAAATTCTAGAGATCAGTTGCACAACAATGTGAATACAGTTAACCCTGCTGAACTATACACATAAAAACGGCTTAGATGATAAATTCTATGTTATACAATTTTATTATAATTTTGGAAAATGTAAGGAAAAAATGCATTAACTCTTAATTATGCACTATGCAAACTCATTTATGCATGGGGATTTGACATTAATCATTTGGTTGATCCTAGAAAAGGATGTAAACTGAATCCTCTTAAATAAGATCACTTTTATTGTCAAAATTTTAATATTCTTTGTGTAAAACTGATTTAAAAGATTTTATCTCTTCTTCTGGTTATTTTTCCCTTTATAAGGAAACATGTATTTTTACATTTATATCAATTACTATATCTATTTGTTAACATTTTCTTAAAAGTGTTTTCTCCAGATATTGGCTGTAAAAAAAGTTGTTAAAAAGAAGAAGAGGAAGAAGAAGAAAGAAGAAGAAGGAGGAAGAGGAGGTGGAGGAGGAGGAGAAAGAGGAAGAAGAAGAAGAAGAGGAGGTGGAGGAGGAGGAGGAGAAAGAGGAAGAAGAAGAAGGAGGAGGAGGAGCAGGAGGAGGAGGAGGAGGGGGAGGAGAAGGAGGAGGGGGAGGAGGAGGGGGAGGAGGGGGAGGAGGAGAAAGAGGAGGAGAAAGAGGAGGAGGAGGAGGCAGTGGCAGGAAGGCAAAAAGAGAAGGAAAGAAGAAAAGAAAAGGAAGGAAAGAAGAAAGAAAGAGAGAGAAAGAAAAGAAAGGAAAGAAGGAAGGAAAGAAAGAAAGAAGAAAGAAAGGAAGAGAAAAAGAAAGAAAGAAGAACGAATGAAAGAAAGAAAGAGAAAAGAAAGAAAGAGAAAGAAAGAAGAGAAATAAATCTCGGGCTGAGAAAATCTGCAAATAAGCGCATAATTAGCTCTGAGTATCTTGAGGATGAAGTCAAAGAGGGAAGCACACTGGTTATGATAGAGATAGGTGGCAGCCAAGGCCTACCCCTCACAAAACCCTGCCTTCAAGCATAAAACACTTGACAGCTGAAAAACCGAACTGCCAGTCTGGAAGACTCTGCAACTGACCTGTGCACTGGCAGGACAGATTGGAGCCATGGGAAGTTCTCAGGTTTGCAAGGAGAAGGAGCCTGGCCCTTCTGTTCCTGGGTGGGAACCTGGAATTCAAACTGTGAGATGAGGGCCTGTTAACAGGAACCCCTCTCTCACTTTGCTGTATTGTTTTTCCTCTTTCCTTTTCGCCCAGTACATTTCGTCCCCCTCGCCCTTCAAAGTGTCTGTGAGCCTAATCTTTCCTGGTTGTGTGGCAAGAACCTGGATTTTCCTACAACAGTTACATATGTTTCATTGTCTTAGAAAATGAAACACTCTAGTCTGTCAAAAAGCAAACGTTTTCTGGCTCTGGTGTCTGCGAGCAAGTTCTCAAGTGGGTGGATATAGTGACTGGCATCCTGGAACAATGTCCCTCCAGTAGTTTCACAAAGAAGGCACAGAAGTTCTACTCACGACTGTTTCTTATGAAGCTGAGGCACGCTGCGAGGCTTTGCTTTTGTGATGAAGAAACTCGAGACTAGACCTGACACATGAATAGAACTCAGGGAACTTTGAGGAACAGGGCCCTTGGCAAATGTCAGTTGTCTCAGCTAGACTTTCGAAATGAACCATATTCAGACAGTTCACAAGTAGAGTGTCTAACAAGAAGCTGAAGGACTGATAAGCAATATTGTAACGGACAGGGTATCAATACACTCCCGTTACCAGATGTGTAAGCAGCAGAGAACCCTCTCATGAACATTGAGGTGCCTGGGTTGTATTCTCACCAGAGGGGAGGCCATCCCTTCCACCCTGGAGGTAGCCATGGACACAAGCAGGTACTTTACTCAGGTAGATTTCTTATTTTTCGAATTTGGATTTTTCCACTGGAATACTTGAAAGTCAATTTTACATCAGGGTGGATCTGAATTGAATATCCCTGGAGGTTATTTCCAACCTTTCCATCATTATTTAAAGTGTAATTTTCCAAACCTTCCTCTTAGGCTCATTAATATTCACCTTTTCACTAAGTGGTTTCATTTATTATACTTCAGTAGAATTTTATATTGTACCAAAAATTATCAATATTTTTATTATTAAAAATTATACAAGTGGTACATCAGAAGAATATTCAACATGATGCATTTTGAGAGACGATTGGTGATCAGCAATGTTTTGTGCCTTGTAAGGGTTATTGTGGCTTTGTCTTACTCACATGACTTCTAACTATTATCTTATTTCTCTGCTGGTTATAGGTACGTATACAGGATCCGCTAAGACTGCTGTTGTGTAAATGTGTTCTGGGTGTGTGACCAAGAAGTGAGTAGGATACAGCACCTGGTAAAACAAGATAACCGCTGCTTCTTAAAGAATCCCTCGCTTAGGAATGTGACCAGATTGTAGGGAACTCAAACAATCCCTTTAAGTGGAAAGCAAATAGATTAGGAAAAAACCACATGGTTTGACACACCATCAGTGGCTTTTCTTTTCTCCTTTTCTGTTTTCTTCTCATGATGTAAGAGAACAGTGTGCATTGCAAACGCAGAGATCTTCCTTGTCCTGCTGCCACTCTAGACTGCCTGGTATGTAAGCTCCCCCCAAATAAACCTTTAACCACCTACCAACCTGAAGTGGTCCACCTTTGTCTTTGGTCTGAGCTTGGTCTCTGCTTCCAGAGGGAGGTTCTCTGTTCTGGCAGGGAGTTTCCCCAACAATGGTGTTTTCCAATATGACAGTGATTACCAACATGTGACCATTTAAATTTAAATTAATTAAAATTAAAAATTGTGTTTTGCTAAAATTTAGTTGCACTAGCCACGTAAAGTGCTCAATAGTCCCCCGTGGCTAGTGCTAGAGTATTGGACACAGCAGAGATAGAGAGAGAGAGCATTTTTGTCATCATGGAAAAATCTATTGGACAGCACTGCTCTAAGAAATAAAATGGATGGGCTATTAGTATAAGAAATAGTATCTGTAAAGTTATAGGTATGAAGATTAGTGGAATTGGTGGCAATTGGAATGTACCAGAGACTCAAAGAGAAAAGATTTTGGTATAACAAGAAAACAAAAAATGGTTAAAACAGTAGTTCATTTGGGGCTAGGGGTAGAAGTAATGTCTATTAATTACAAGGACTGTAACCATGAAGATAAAGGTTCAGGAGAAGGGCAACCTTCTGACCAAAATGGAATAGGACAGGAAGTGCCTGGAAGGGTTACTTGATGGGGTTTTCTACTTATTGCACACAAAAATGTGTTCTGTGGTCCATACACTCAGGAAAGTATGGGCTAACCTGAGTCAGAAGGGTTTCTTTACTTTCAGATTTCCTCTGACTCTTTAGGATTTTGAGAGCCCTAAGATTTATCCAGGTTTTCCAAGCCTTATTTGAATTTAGGTTTTTTTCCTAAAGTAAATCACGTTCTGGGGAAATCCCCTGTTTTAGGGAATGGCTGAGGGCAAGCTCCTCTTTCAATTCCCCCTTGTACTACACTGACTCAGCCTAGCCCTGCTCACCCCCAAACATCTATGTAGCTTACAACACAGCAGGGGCACCACGGCAGTCAGTGAGGTTTTCTTGTTTTGAAAGGTGCTCATGTATCTGGTCATCACACTGTTGTAATCTCTCCTTCTGCCAATATTTCATGTTTTGGTGAACAGATTTGTCTATAGATGGTGCCCTGTCCAAATGATAGTGCTGCACATGTTGCCAAAGTCTCATGGAAACTTTTCAAGCAGGATGTCAAAAATCAAGTTTTATATTGAGAAGGAAAAATATAGTGAAGAGAGGTTAATGATAAGCAGGCAATTAAGGATGGTTGGAAGTCCTGCAACATCTTGAAGAATATCATAAAGTAGCTTGGGAGGAATGACCAAGCACATGAATAGTGGCTAGAGGTACCTATGGCCAGAGCATTCAGTGACTTCTAAGAGTTTGACAAGAACAAGAGAGCAGTTGCCAATATATAACGCCAGAACTCATCTTCACAGGGAATACACAACACTGCTCCCAGTCCCTTGTGGTGCTGGTTTACTTACAGTTCCCATTCCAGGAATGCATCCCCTGGGCTAAGTGTGGGACAAGTAGAACTCATGGGTTATACTTGCTCTCATTTACTGGATGTTTACCATGTGCTAGGACCCAGACTGAGTTCTTTTCATGAACTATCTCATTTGATCCTGACAACAGTACTATAAGGAATTTTTATTATATGCATTTTACAGAGAAAAAAACTGAGGTCAGTAAGACTAACTTGACCATAGCCAGACCTGTGGTAGATTGTAGAGCTAGGATTCAAGCCAAGTTTACCTTCAGAGTCTAAGTTCTTAACACTATACCACAGCATCTGATATATCATTCAACTTTTAGAGCTGTACCCTCCAACTTCCTTCATAGTATGGAGGTGAAGTTAACAAACTATTTGAACTTGATCATAGTGGGCATTTTGAGAGAAGGTTTGCCTCAAAAGAGATAGTTGAGAAAAGCAAAGACATTGGGTTTTTGAAGTATTAGGTTGGAGCAAAAGTAATTGCGGTTCTTGCAATTACTTAGAAAGAGGAAATATCTTTTTTCTAAGCTTGTAGGGGTGTTTAACAGCAGAAGAATGGCCCTGAGGAGACAGAGATGGGGAAATGCTCAGTGCCTATTTTATCATGACTCAACTTTCCTCCAGAGTATCTCCATTTGAATGTCTCTCTGACACCTGAAACTTCACATTTTGAAAACCAAGCTCATCATTTTCCTTTCAGTGACAGGAAACTGATTCTTCACTTCTACACGTTTCCAGAAAACTTTTATGCTAACTTAACCTTTTGACAACACCTTTCACATTCTCCAACCAGTCTACCATTTTTTCAATTATTTTATCATTAATAAAATTTTTAAAGTTTCTTCTTTACCATTTCCACTTTATCAAATTAACTCATGTCTAATGAGAAGTATATCAGCCTGTTTTTGAACTTAAGATAAAAAGACAAAGCACCATTTTACGTGCTGATGTCAGGAACTTACTGTATCACTGAACTGGCTCCTAGAAGCCGCTTATACTCTTAGTTCCTCCCTAGAAGGACAACTTATTATCAATTACCTCAAAGCCAAATCTATCTTTTTAGCATTCAGATAGTTAATGCCAATAATTCTACTTTGTAGATTCACTTGTTCATATGATCTGGAGGTTGATTTGTGAATAACTTATTGTACCAAAGGCTCCCAAATGCGGTCTAGTTCAAAGTTGTGTGTTTTAAAAATGTGCTGCATTAAGCTAGAAGTTACGCTTTGATATTCAGATTCTTTCCTAAAAATCTTCTAGGCCTTTCGTACTTTAGCGAGATAAACTTGGACTACAATCTAGAGATACTTTGAACATTTGAAGAGATTGAGGATAGGAACTATTTGTAAGTGTATGGCAGGGGCAATGCTACTAAAGCACAGTTGCTTATTTCTAATATTTGTTCAGATATTTATTGTTTTAGACACTTGGAATTAATCAGTAAATGAAACCAAGTATCTTTTCTTATGAAGCACCATTTCAAAGAGAAACTAAAAATAACTATTTGGAAAGGTACATTTTAAATAATAAAGCCAAATATTTTTTAAAATGCAGGAATTTTATATCCAGTGGTGTGTTTATAAGTATCTAACAATTGGCTCTGGAATAAAAAGAGATAGATCTAACTTGTAGTGTTTGCCAATTTCTATGGTGTAAATACTCCCCTATGGCCAATCTCAGCTAATAACAATGTCACTGAATGCAAAGTTAGAAATAGATGTGAAAATTCTGAAACCCTTCAGACTCATTTTAATATAAATTATATTGTTAACTATCCCTAAATTTTAGAAATATTTTTTCATCAATTAACAGTAATTACCATTTACTGAATCCTTAATATGTATAAGATATTTTAATGCATTATCTGTATAATAAATCTCCAAAGTAGACATTATCCCATTTTAGAGATGAAGGAACTGAGACTTAGAGAAATCGAACAATTTACCTGGAGTCTCCCATTAGTAAACTGACAATTTAGGATTCAAATATATACCTATTTGATTCAGAATTAATATGTTGGCTGGGCACGGTAACTCATGCCTGTAATTCCAGCACTCTGGCAACATAGGGAGACTCCTTCTCTAAAAAAACTGAAAAACTTAGCTATGCATGATGGTGCATGCCCATAGTCCCAGTTACTTGGGAGGCTAAGGTGGGAGAATCCTTTGAGCCTGGGAGTTATAGGTTACAGTGAGTTAGGATAGTGCCACTGTACTGCGTGACAGAGTGAGACCCTGTCTCAAAAATATATATATATATTTTTTTCATGTTGAATACCTTTGGCTTATGAACAGCTTCAAAACAAAATCTAATCCTCAAAAATGGTTGATTTAATTAATCAGTTCCCTAGAGATTTAGGGCTTAGGACTCCCCTCTAAAGTAGGTGGTAATTTCAAAGCAATGGAGTCAGGCCATCTGGTATAGGTTTATCTTCAGCTGCTCCTAGGAACACCATGACAATAAAGCACACCTCACTGGCCCGGCAGGTGGGACCCTTGCTGTTTATTCATATTATGATGGCTCCTGGGTTGTTTACTACTATCGTTGGTGGGCACTTGGCTGTGTAGGGTCAACTCTGGGCAGTAAAACAAAAATACCTCTCCCTAATCCTGCCTTTAAGTAGCTCAGTGATTCCTGTAGAATCGTAGTTGCAGCCCCTCACAGGGGCTTATAGCACAAAGGTTGAATCACTCTAGTGAACCCTCAAAGACAATTGATATTTTAAGCAATTATACAATAATATAATTTTATTACTGGATAAAAATTTAGAGGTTATCTAGTTCAATCCTTCGTTAGAGAAAAAAAAAAATAGAGGCTCAGCTGCTTCCTAAAGGTTCTACAAGGATCTGGCAAACCAAACTCAGGCGCATCTTGATCCAAGTCAGGCGCTCTTCCCTCCATGCCATGCGCCACTTCTTGATGATGTAACCAGCATGGGACAAGTCCCCAGTGACCACACATCTTACAATTTGTTACCTTGGGTTTATCAGGTAGAGCAGTATAGAAAGCTCTCTGGATTCTCAAGCTTTGACAACACAACTAATAAAAGGCACAGTGATAGTATCGCATAAGAGTTTTTACATAATTTGAAAATTCCTTTACATGCACTATGTTTACTAATAATAATTCTTTACATGTTTATAACATTTTATAGTTTGTGAAATACTTTTAAATGTATCATCTCATGACTATTAAATGTATTAAGTAACTAGGAATTATATCCCCATTTTATAGATGAGGAAACTGAAGTTCAAACCCCTCGCCACACAGTAAGTGACAAAGGTGGGGCCAGAGCCTAAAGGTCTGACTCCTAATCCAGTCCTCTTTTCTCACAAAATCTAATAAGAGGATTCAGAATAGCAAACTTTGATAGGTTCATGTCAAAGACACAGAGCTCTAATTTAGGGATTTTATCCAAGATTATATACATAATCTACAGCAGTTGGTCCAAGACCTAAATATTTCAAAGATATTCTTTTATTTACAACACAGGACTTCCCCACCCTTTGTTAATCCTGTGAACAATATGTTATTTATATATACTAAAAACATACTGGTCTCTCCAAGTTTGACAGCTCTCACTCTGCTAGGCGGTGCAACTGGAAAATCTAATATCTCAAAGGCGTTTCATACTCCTGCCAAATTCAAATTGCATGTGTCTGTCTATTTTTCCACCCCTTGTGCAATGGGTTTGAATCTTTCTTGAAGGTGCCTCTTCAAAAGCAGAAGTAATAGACATTCTTTCTCTTCTGAGCCTTATGATGAAATAATTACTTGGTGGTTAGCAAACAAAAGCTTTCCTGCCAATTTTGAATTACTCCAAGAAAAGAGTCAGAGGAAATTTCAAGTTGCAGCTCAGAATCTGACCCTCAAAATCTTATCTGAATAATAAAAGACTCTGGTTAAAGAAGAACATTCTATTTTCTTATAAAAGTGGACAGCGTATCTTCTATAGAGCATATGATTTTCTCTTTAATAAGGGTCTGGAGAGAGAAAATTTCTAATATTTACCTTTAGGAGATCATCACATAATTGAGGGTGGAATGACTAAATTCAATGTCAGAACGTTTTGCTGTTATTTAACTAGATGATAGTAATTTGTTTTACTATCTGTGAGTATATCAGAAATGTTTATTGTTGTAAGTTCCCAAAATTCATTTATATCTTTTGAATTTTAAAGGACTCAAAGCAGAATTCATTATTCCCAATGCAATTATGAAAGAAATACATAGATATTGTATAAAACGTGGAAATACAGAAAGACAAAAAAATAAAAACACCCCTGAAAGGCATCTGATATATTATAAGGATGCAGTTGAAAAAAGGTTGGATAAACAATCTTTCCTTTTAATTACATACTTTTTGGGGCTAGTATTTTTTTGTGGGCCAGCTACATTATGGAAGTAATTCTAACCTCCCAAATCTGAGTTGTATAGCATTTGCCATCCAGTATCTCAAGATACCTCAGCACCCCCGTTGCATAATATGTAGTTTTATCTCAAGGGTCAAGTTATGTTTATGGTCCCTATGTAAAATGTAGTTTTTAGACTAATTTCATACATGCTTATACACATATATTTCATATATATATGGGTGGGGCTTATAATCATGCAGTGTGCAGATTTTAATCAATTACCCCCAGCTTCCTCAGTGAGTTTCGTCTCAAAGTCTGGAGCCCCTGTCAACTGGGTGGATAGGAGCAAGTGGGGACTTGAGGACCTATCTGTTTATTCAAGCTTCCCAATGAGCGCTACTTCAGCAGAACCCCCTCCCGAACCACTTCCTGCTGTTCCTCACTAAAGATTAGATATGTGTGTATATATATTTATATATTAATATATAAATATATAATTTCATATATTTTCTATATTAATATACAAATATATAATTACATATATATTTATATATTCATATATTCATGCATATTGATATATATGATATATCAATATATAGGTATATTTTGATATATCAATAGGTATATTTTAATATATCTATTGATATATTTGATGTATCAATTTGATATATCAATTGATATATTTTGATATATTTGATGTATCAATTTGATATTATCAATCGATATATTTTGATATATTTGGTATATCAATATATAGATATATTTCATACATAGATATATAAATATATAATTTCATACATATTCATATATATTTCATATATATTCATATCCCAATGAGGATCACTTCAGCAGAACCCCCTCCCCAACCACTTCCTGCTGTTCCTCACAAGAGATTAGATGTATGTGTATATATCTATATATTGATATATAAATATATAATTTCATATATATTCATATATATTTTTATATAGTCATATAGAAAGATATATTTTTATATATATTTATATTTTATATTTATATAGATATACTAATATATACTTACATATAGATGTATAAATATATAATTTTTTATATATTCATATATAAATATATATGAATATATACAAATAGTGTATATTATTTACATATATAATTAAAGTATTATTTCATATATAATTATATATTATATATTTTATATGTTATATATAATTAATAATATATACTATTTCATATATATTTTATATCTATATCTGTACAAAATTCTGCTTTTGGACAATTTCCTCAAAAAGCACATAGAATCTCTACAGACACTTTGAATAACTTAGGAAGGTACATCATGGATCTGTTCTAATGGGGACAGAGCTGCAAAAGTCACTTTTACTGGTATGAGTCTGAGGCTCAAAAACATTTTTTAGTACAAAAACTCTGGAAATAGGCAAGGGAAACTCAAGGCTTACTAAGTTGATGAGATTATCTCAATGAAGCAAGCAAATATTAGACCTGAAATGAATATATGGGGCTAACCAATAGCCTAATTAAATAATAACTATAATGCATGGTTTTAAGTTGACAATATTTGGAGACACATTATGTTACCCTCTAGAATCCTTTTGGAACTCAAACTATTATACCAAGAGAAATAATTCTAAAACCTGTATAGAAAGCTGGCATTTGAATTGATTCTGCATGACAGAAATAAGTAAGGCCGTCTTGCTTGTCTAAATGCTTTGTTGAATTACACAGCCTCTTTCTCCGTGCCAGTTTGTTTGCCAGGTTTTATTGATTACTTGGTACAGTTACTTTGAACTTTAGTTTTTGAGATTTTCCTGCCAATAATGCTATCTAACTTTCCAAGAAATTCTTTATTCTATGTTTCAGATGTCATCAGATTTCAGGAGTTTGTTTGAGATTGAAAAGACCCTGAAAGATCTGTCTCTTTTAGCTACAATATGGAACTCTACCCAAGATAACTGAAAACCCAGTGGCATTTTCACCTGCAGTAAAGAGCAATTTCTGATTCAAGAAAGATTTGTGAAATGTAGTAGGTTGCTCTCCCAAGGGGACAAAATCCTGAATGTACTCATTATGTAATGATGAGTACACACCTTCCATTAAACTTTTCTGTGTCCTGCTCTTAAATATGAGATCTAACGATTGCTGTACATTTGAGGAAATGTTTCCACATGAAAGCATAAAGCTAGTAACTAAAAAAAAAAAAAAAAATCACCCAAACACATCTGATATATTCCTAAGGGTGCAGTTGGATTAACGATCTTTCTGATTACCCACTTGTTGAAGATAGCATTTTTCTCGGGGCCAGCTATATTACAGAAGTAATTCCAACCTTAGAGGCTAGAGGAAATGAGGAAATGAGTCAATTTTAACATGAGTTAATGTTAATATCCCCAGAGAGATGAGAAAAGATATTGTATCCACAAAACAAGAACAGAAATTTAATTTTAAAAAACACGTATAGTCAGAAAACAAGAAAGACTTCGCTTCTGGGAAATTAAAAAATAGTTTAAATTTTTTTTTAATGTCAGTGAGAAGTTTGTAAGATAAAGTTAAGATATCCCTCTAAAAGGAAAATGAAGAGATAAAGATGGACAAGAAGAGAAAAAGTAAGAAATGTAAAAGATCATCCAGGAAGTGGAACATCTGTATAATAGGAATTCTATGAAGAGAAAAGAGTAAGGAAGAAATTATCAGGGAAGCAATATTAGGAAATTTCCTCAAACCAAAACAATTTAGTGCTCTGAATGAAAGGATTCATTAAGTATTCAGTACAATACACACCAAGTTTAGAACAATACATATTATAATGAAAGTTCAAAATATCAAATAGAAAAAAAGAAAGTCATAAAAACTTCTGGAAAGATGAAATGAGGCAGATACTAAGGATTGAGATGCCATATTAGAATGGCATAGACTTCTCAAAAGCAGCAGTGAAGGCCAGAAGACAGTGGAGGAATGCCTTCAAAGTGCTGATTGAGGAGGATTTCTAAACTTGAATTCAAATCCCAGCCAAGCTATTTATATAAGGTTAAAAACAAAGAATCACGTAAAGATAAAAAATAATTTGTTTCCCATGCATTTTTTAAGGAAGCTTCTGGAGTCTATAGCCCGTCTAATTAGGAAGTAAATTAAAACAGGAGAAAATGGGATTCAGGAAGCAGAGGAACCAACAAAAGAGAAAGGCAATGGTAGTTCTCAGGACTCACTAAAGAGATTTCCTAGCCAAAATAGACAGGAGCAAGAGTGCTGAGGGCTCAAGGAGCATGTCAGAAAAAAAAAAAAAAAAAAAAAAAAAGGCTGGGAGCGCTGACTCACACCTGTAATCCCAGCACTTTGGGAGGCCGAGGTGGGTGGATCACGGGGTCAGGAGATCGAGATTATCCTGGCTAACACGGTGAAACCCCGTCTCTACTAAAATACAAAAATTAGCCAGGCGCGGTGGCTGGCGCCTGTAGTCCCAGCTACTTGGGAGGCTGAGGCAGGAGAATGGCGTGAACCCGGGAGGCGGAGCCGAGATCGCGCCACTGTACTCCAGCCTGGGCAACAGAGCGAGACTCTGTCTCAAAAAAAAAAAAAGCAGGAGGAAGATTATGTGTTTAAGCATTCAGTGTTCGGCAGAAGGTTTGGGTAGGAATTATTTTTAGGAACAAGAAATGTAGACTGGTGCACAGAAACAGATGCCCCAAAGGGATGTCTCCAGAAAAAAAATGGGAAGTGATAGATTAATTAGCTGATAGGTTTGGTCTTGCGGAAAGAGGGGCTATTGGAAGGTGTGGAAAGAAATAAATATAAATTCAATGAAATTAAAGAAATGGCAACAATAAAAACGAGGCTACTGTTAACTCTTGGAAAAACAAGGGCTTTTTTTTTTTTTTTTTTTTTAACAAGAAAGGAAACAGTAACTATATACTGCTTGGCTCAGCAGAGAACACATTTACCATAATAGTGTAAATACTAAATAGTGATGTAATCAAAGTTTGTCGTAAAACTATATTATGTTTTCAATAAATGGTGCTGGGACAATTTGGTATGCACATGTAAAAGAATGAAGTTGGACTCCTACCTCACACAATATATGAGAATAAATTAAGTCAAAGTGATTCATACATCTAAATGTAAGGGTTAAACTATAAAGCTGTTATAAGAAAGCATAGGAGTAAATCCCTGTGATCTTGGATTAAGCTATGGTTTCTTAGATGTGACACTGAAAGCACAATCAACTAAAGAAAAAGTAGATAAATTGGATTACACCAACATTAAACTTTTGTGCCTCAAAGGACACCATGAAGAAAATAACAAGACAATTTACAGGATGGGAGAAAATATTTGCAAATAATTTATCTGACAAAAGACTTGTAACCAGAATATATAAATAACCTTTACAACTCACACAACTCATAACAATAATAAGACAAGTAACCCAGTTTAAAAATGAGTGAAGGATATGGATAGACATATCTCCAAAGAAGATATACAAGTGGCTGATAAGCACATGACAGGATGATCAGCATCATTGCCATTAGGGAAATGCAAATCAAAACCATGATGAGATACCACCACATCCCTAATAAGATGACCAAAATAAAAACGACAGACAAGTGTTGACAAAGATGTGGAAAAATCCAAACCTTCATTCGCTGCTAGTTTGAATGTAAAATGGTGCAGCTGCTGTGGAAGACAGTTTGGTGGTACCATAAAAAGTTAAAAATCATTAATATACTAGCAATTCCCTCCTAGCATATATCCAAGAGAACTGAAAACAGATGCTCACAAAAACCTGATACAAATGTTCATAGCAGCAATATTCATAATAACCAAAAAGTGGAAATTACTCAAATGTTCATCAACTGATGAATGGACAAACAAAATGTAATGTATCTATGCAATGGAATACTACTGAGTCAACAAAAGGAGTAAAATTCTGATACATGCTATAATATGAATGAGCCTTGAAAACACTATGGTGAGTGAAAGAAGCCACATACAAAGTGCCACATATTGTATGACTTATCTGAAATGTCCAGAATAGGCAAATCCATGAAGACTGAAAGTAGAGTGGTTGCCTAGGGCTGAGGGGAGGGAAGAATGGCAGTGACTGTTAAAGGGTACAGTGTTTCTTGTTGGGGTGATGAAAATGATCTAAAACTAGATAGGGTGATAGTCATACATTTCTGTGAATATAATAAAAACCATTGAATTTTATACTTTAAAAAAGTGAGTTGCATGGTATGTGAATTATTTCTCAACAAAGCTATTATACAAAAAAAATTAGGAAGATGAAAGGAAGGGAAGGATGATAACAGAGTTAAATCCTTATCTATCATGATTAGACATCAGTGCATTATGTCTAAAATTTATGGATCGAGAGAATGCTGGTGTGCAAATTATTTTTAAATATGGAGATACGTTCCAGAAGGCACAGTTGGAAGGATCCGGCAATTGCTTCTGGGAACAGGACTATGGAGGGAAGGTAGGCAAGGGACTGTTCTCTTTAATCCTGAATCTTTCAAGGCTTTTGGAAACATTTTAAACTATATGCCTGTATTATTTTCATACAAGTAAAATGTTTGAATTTATGCTCAAAATTACTAACATTGCAATAATAATAATAGGAATAATTCCACTACTGCCTAAGCCTGGCTCCCAAAGTGGCAGGCAAGGGTTCATCAAGAAGGGGCAGTGCCCACAAAATAAGCACTTCCTGGAAAGCTTTCAATGAGCGGCAGGACAGCGTGGCTCTTGCTTGCTTTCTCCTCACAAAGGAGAGCTTTGCAGGCCCTAAGAACTTAAAAGTATTTCAAAGTCAGCTTCAGGTCTTATCCTAAGAATGGTCAGTTAATGATTGTTCAAAAGCATAATATAAGAAAAACAGACAGCCCTGAGTTGGAAATAGCACTGTGCCCCCTTTGCTGTTTCACTCTGTGTAAGTCTCTTCTGACTTCTGACACTTCACTGCTTCATCTGTACAATGGGGGAAATAAAACCCTTACACACTTGCTGTGATGATTGGATGAGATCATGTGTAAAAAGGGGTATAGCATAGCACAGAAAAGTGCTCAAAAATGTCCTTTTCATTCATTAATTTGTGCAAAATGAACTGAATTAGGATTTAAAAATATATCTAGATTCCCCTAAAAGGCAGATATGATCCGTGTGATTATTTTATTCTGCAAAACAAAAACAGAATTATATTCCACACATTGCAACTAATGTTCTAAGCAAGGGGAAAATGCTTGACCATTATGAGGCTTCAGTTTTCTTAAAGTTTCTCATATACAGTCAGAATAATTTATGATAATTTATGACAGCCCTAGAATTCTTTGAACCCCTTGGTTAGTTACTATAAATACAAATTATCATTAAAGAGAGGGAAATGCTATCTCTTCCAATCTCTTTTTGTGTTCCCTACTCCTTGGGAAGCACACAGAGAATTGCATAGTGCAAAGCTCCCCAGTCAAGAAGACCTGGGCTCAAAGTGGGCTTCCTCTGTGTACTTACCCTGAGCTACTATCCTGAGCTCTGATTTGCTCATCTGTAAATTTGAGATAATGTATTATTATGCCAAATGCTATGTATTACACCTTGCTGTGTTGTTTTACAGGTTCAGTTAAATATTGGGTGAGGTAGTGTCAACCATGTAAGAAACATTCAATAAACATTTATTTCAAAACTTCTTCTGAGTTTTTAATAACTACACCTCAGCCATCTTCCTTTCTTCTCAAAGAACCTAAAATATTTTCCAAGGTATAATTTCACATTGCATGCTCTTTCTTCTTGCTTTGAGGGATTTTTGATAATCTGTTACGATAATTATCCCATTTCCAATAATTATCTAAATGGCCTTCATTTCCTCCTTCCTTCCTTTTCTGTACTTCAGATACATAGAAAAGCATAGTAACGAAGCCACGTGCGGTGGCTCACACCTGTAAATCCCAGAACTTTGGGAGGCCGAGGCAGGCGGATCTCTTGAGCTCAGGAGTTCAAGCTAGCTTGGGAAACATGGAGAGGCTGTCTCTGCAAAAAATACAAAAATTGACCAGGTGTGGTGGTATGCTCCCGGAGTCCTAGTTTCTTGAGGGGTTGAGGCTGAGATCCAAAGATTGCTTGAGCCCAGAAGGTGGAGGTTGCAATGAGCAGTGATCATGCCACTGCACTCCAGCCAGGGTGACCGAGGGAAACCCTTTCTCAAAACAAACAAACAAACAAACAGACAAACAAAAACCAGAAAGAATAGTAACCATTACCTTTGTAACCCCACAAAATCCCATTATTTTCACATATTTGCCTCACATGTATCTTTTTTAAAACATCATATAATAAAGTTGAAGTCATCTATTTTGAAGTTGGAATACATCATTCCCAGGAATGTTTTTAAGCTTTCATTGCACATGCATGGATGTATTCACAATGCATACAATTGTTTTGCAATTTTTTTTAGGTTAAAGAAAATGCGTCAGCCGGGCATGGTGGCTCATGCCTGTAATCTCAGCACATTTGGAGGCCAAGGTGGGCAGATCACTTAAGGCCCCATGTTCGAGATCAGCCTGGCCAACATGGTAAAACCCTGTCTCTACAAAAAACACAAAAATTAGCTGGATGTGGTGGTGGGCACCTGTAATCCCAGCTACTTACATGGCTGAGGTGGGAGACTTGCTTGAACCTGGGAGGCAGAGGTTGCAGTGAGCTGTGATTGCCACTGCACCCCAGACTAGGCAGGAAAAAAAAAGAAAAGAAAATGTATCATATTCTATGCAACACTCTGGGTGACTTGTTTTGTTCACGCAACAGTTTTTGAGATTTATCCAAGTTGTTCCATTTTGGTTTCTGTATGAAATTCCATTGTATGAATATACAGCACTGCATTTATCATGCTCCCATGATGGACATTTGTGTCTGCACTTTCTCTATCACCAACAATCTGACTATGTTTTTAAACAATTTGCCTTGTGTCCATATTCCTGCATTTCTCTAGGGCAGCAGTTTACAAACATTTTTGTCTCAGGACCCGTTTACACTCCTGAAGCTTATTTAGGACCATAACAAGATTTGTATATGTGTCTTACAGCTATCAACATTTACCATATTAGATATCAAAACTGAGAAAATTAAAAAATATATATAAATTCATTCATTTTTAAAAGCACTAATAAACCCACTATATGTTAATTATTACATTAAAGCTGTGTATAGCTGTAAATGTATAGACTATTACCAAATTGTTCTCCAAAGTGATTGACAAAATGCATACCAATAGTATACAAGCATTTCTGTTTCTTTATATCTTCTACAACACTTGGTATAGTTAGGCTTATTAAATTTGATCAGTCAGATGGTTAGGAGAGAGTGTCTCATTATTGTTCTAATTCCTACTTCCCTGCAACAACAAGGTTCTTTATTAACTCTTCCCAAGTTACCAAGTTTAAGCACACTCAGGACTCTGATGTAGATTACTTTACAAAATTTTGTTTTAAAGTGATTGTTCAGAACTCAGAATACATTATTATTATTATTACCATTAAACATAGAGACAGGTTATAAATAGTGGGCACTGTTCCAGACTAGCCCACAAAGACTGAGTTACCCTAAGACGTAGAGGGTTAAGAAATCTAAGGGACATGTGGGGGGACACAACACATGCTGGGGCTGGCCAGGAGGGTAGGGGGAGAAAGAGCATAAGGATAAAGAGTTAATACATGTGGGGCTTAAAACCTAGGTGATGGGTTGACAGGTGCAGCAAATCACCATGGCACACATTTACCCATGTAACAAATCTGCACATCCTGCACATGTATCCTAGAACTTAAAATAAAAGTTGTTGGAAAAAAAAGACTAATAGCACAGCACAGTCAGGGGAGGGCTGGTCTTGAACTTAAGACGCAGTCTCAGATCCCGCTCTGTCAATACTCATCTGTGTTACCTCCCTGAATCTATTTTTCTCAACTATGAAATGAGTATAATAACACACATTCTCCTACTTCACAGAGTATTGCAAGGATCAAATGAGATGTAAAAATCCATTAAAACTCTGTGATGGTATATCCACACAATTGAGCACTATGCAGCTATAAAAAAAGAATAAGGAAGATATCTACAAACTGATACAAAGTCATTTCTAGGACATGTTGTTTAGGATAATAATAAAAGGACAAAAGATATATATATAAATATATATATATCTTTTGTGTATGAAAGACATACAGATATAGATGTTAGATATAGATATAGATACCTATATCTCTGTATGGCTCCATTAGCCTATTTTTGTAAAAAGAAACACAGGACAGAGAAAATTGAAACTGATGAGATTGGTTGCCTGTTGAGGTAGTCAGGAATTTATTGGAAGGGATACAGAAGAGAAAGTCAAATGTTTGAGTATATATCTGTATAGTATGGACTTTTTGAACCCATTAATGTTTACATACTCCAAAATTAAATAAAATTAAACTGAGTCAATAAAATCGAAGGGGGCAAGTCCTAAAAGGTCACACAAATGAAACAATTAAGCTTAATTGTATTTCAAATGGAGAGCATGACCACAGTGAAGAGGAGGGAAACTAACACAAATAATTTTGTTTTTAAAAAATCAATTTACTCTGATTTGTTTTTTGAACAGAATATTTTGACTATAAGAAAAAACTGATTGTGGACAAATCTTGAACTCTAGTAGGGTTTGTTTTAGCAGTGTTGTGGGTTAGCAATTCTGAACAACTTCCTATGTATCATAGGAGTTAGCAATGAGTACATGTATTGATGATGTTGAGAAGAGACATACAAATACATAATAGCAAAAGGCTAAGAAGAACCCTGTGGCATTGAATTGGAATTGGTGGTATTAGCCTGAACGCATGGTTTTTAAATACTATTATAGACATAGTCACACTTGTGAGTACGTGTGTGTATTCTCCAGGTTTTCTGCTGAAAGGACCTCAAAACAATGACACCCAAAAGCAATACACACATTTAGTATCCAAATGTCTATATACTGTCTCCCACTAAAAAGAAGCAGGACTTCTCCAAAAACAAAAAGGCTAGGGTAGGGAAAATGCTATACAAGCCCTGAACACTTTGTTATGTCATAACAAAGAAGTGCTAAAAAAAAAAAAAGAAATGCTAGGGACATGTTAAAAGGACATGAGGAAAAGCTTGAAGGAGCTTTTCTCGATCAAAGGCTGGGAAAAGTTGAGCATCAAGTTCAATAATATTAATAATAGATTATAAACCATTGGGTAAAATAAGAATCTGTTATTCCCTACTGATTAAACAAACAAAGAAATAAGTATATAAGAGAGAAGAGAAAGGTCTTCTAGTGTAATTAATAAGTTTAGGGAGAATGGTGGACGTGGAAAATTATCATTTTCCAACTGTTATACAAACAATTGATTTAGGCAAGAATCATCATCAGTGAATGCTCAAACTAGTTGTGGGAATGTCACCACAAACTTCCACCTTTGAGAAAACACTATGAGCTACGCAGTTTATGGTTAATCATCTCAGCTTGGTAAGGTGGCTAGGATTATGGTTTTCCTCATTTTATAGTTTAGAAACTGAAATTTAGCTATGAAGCAGCTAAGGCCACATGTCCTACAGACATTATTCAAATCCAGTCGGCCACAGCCAGAATTGTCCCTCTTCCCCCACAGGCTGGAGATCCTGGTGACGCCACCTGCTTGGCCACCTGGCTCTCTGGTGTCCTAAACTCTAGTGAGAAGAAATGTGTGGGTGAGGGTCCAATCTGTGAGTAGGGAGACACAGTGTGGCTTTGGGATTCCACATCACAATAGCAGCCAGGCAGCTAGGCAGAGACATGAGGTATGATGAGTGACAGCAGTTTGTGTAGGCCAGTGCACAGTTGTATTTCTCCACATCCATCTCTCCTAATTCAGGCTCAAGCCTCTTGCTTTTTCTTTAAAAGAAGCATTAGGGGAGAATAATGTTACCTGAATTAGCCAGATATTCATCTTGTCTCTTCATTTCTTTTGACCCATATAAACAAAGACCCAAAGTACTCCACTCAGAAAATATTTGCAAATTATGCAACTGACAAAGGTCTAATATCCAGCATCTATGAGGAACTTAAACAAATTCACAAAAGGAAAACAAAAAACAACACTAAAAACTGGGTAAAGGACATGAACAGGTACTTTTCAAATGAAAACATGCATGCAGCTAACAAGCGTATGAAAAAACCTCAATATCACTGATAATTAGAGAAATGCCATCCAAAACCACAATGAAATACCTTCTCACACAAGTCAAAACGGCTATTATCAAAAAGTGAAAAAATAACAGGCTGGCAAGGTTGCAGAGAAAAGGAAACATTTATACACTGTTGGTGGGAGTGTAAATTAGTTCAGTCATTGTGGAAAGCAGTGTGGCCATTCCTCAAAGAGCTAAAAACAGAATTACCATTTGAACCAGCAATTCTATTACTGAGTATATACCCAGAGGAATATAGATCATTCTATCATAAAGACACATGCCACGGAAATGTTCATTGCAGTGCTATTCACAATAGCAAAAACATACATAAGCAACCTAAATGCTGTGGATGATAGACTGGATTAAAAAAATGTGGTACATATACATCATGGAATACTATGCAGCCATGAAAAAGAATGAGATTATGTCTTTTGTGGAAACATAGATGGATCTGGAGGCTATTATCTTTAGCAAATGCGGGAATAGAAAACCAAATACCAAATACCACATGTTCTCACTCATAAGTGGGAGCTAAATGATGACAACTCATGTACCCAAAGAAGGTAACAATAGACACTGGGGTCTACTTGAGGGTGAAGGGTGGGAAAAGGGAGAGAAGCAGAAAAAATAACTACTGAGTACCGGGCTTAACACCTGGGTGATGAAATAATCTGTACAAAAAACCCCGTGACACAAGTTTACCTATGTACCAAGCCTCCACATCTACCCCCAAACCTAAAATAAAAGTTAAAAATAAAACGTGCTCCAGTCAGTGGAAATCTTGTAGGTCTTGCTTCCAAAAGTGGCTGCTGACCAGGGCTGAGCTCTTGCCTTATCTGTGCACATCAGGGCCTATTTATAAAGAGCCTCAGAGTCAGCTGTTGGATGTTATCTCTGACTAGGTTATATAAATAGCTACACAGATGCACTGACAGAATTTAAAAAAAAAAATCCTTCATACCACTTCATTTGTTAATTGGAAATATTTAAAGTATACCACAATTTTTATAATCTTGTTTCCTAATTATAATTATTTTGTTTGGCCGGGCGCAGTGGCTCATGCCTGTAATCCCAGCACTTTGGGAGGCCGAGGCAGGCAGATCACGAGGTCAGGAGATCCGAGACCATCCTGGCTAACACAGTGAAACCCCGTCTCTACTAAAAAAAAAATACAAAAAATTAGCCGGGGGTGGCGGGCGCCTGTAGTCCCAGCTACTGGGGAGGCTGAGGCAGGAGAATGGTGTGAACCCGGGAGGCGGAGCTTGCAGTGAGCTGAGATCACGCCACTGCACTCCAGCCTGGGCAACAGAGCGAGACTCTGCCTCAAAAATAAAATAAAATAAATAAAATAAAATAAAATATTATTTTGTTTATTTATTTGTAGTATATCAGAAGCCTCAGGCTGGGCAAGGTGGCTCATGCCTGTAATCTCAGCACTTCGGGAGGCCGAGGAAGGCAGATTACCTGAGGCTGGAAGTTCCAAACTAGCCTGACCAACATGGAGAAGGCCCATCTCTACTAAAAATACAAAAAAATTAGCTGGGCGTGGTGGCAAGTGCCTGTTATCCCAGCTACTGGGGAGGCTGAGACAGGAGAATCGCTTGAACCCAGGAGGCGGAGGTTGCAGTGAGCCGAGATCGCGCCATTGCACTCTAGCCTGGGCAGCAAGAGGGAAACTCCGTCTCAAAAAAAAAAAAAAAAGAAAAGAAAAAAGAAAAAGCCTCAAAAAATGGAAGTGATGCAAGGATTCTGTTTCTCTCTGGATAGTCCCCTATCTGTATGTCTGTTTTCTGCTTTTGAGTTTAACTTATTTTTGGTTAAATGAGGTCATATGATGGTCAGTAGAGGTTGTTGAATAAAATAATGCGTTTTTTTGAGACAGAGGTCTCACTCTGTTGTCCAGGCTGGAGTGCAGTGGCCCAATCTCAGCTCACTGCAACCTCCACCTTCCAGATTCAAACGATCCTCCTATCTCAGCCTCCTGAGTAGCTGGGACTCCAGACGCACACCACCACGTCTGGCTAATTTTTTTTTTTTTTTTTTTTGGTAGAGAGGAGGTTTTGCCATGTTGCCCAGGTTGGTCTTGAATGCCTTGGCTCAAGTGATCTGCCTGTCTTTTGACCTCCCAAAGTTCTGGGATTGCAGGTGTGAGCCACTGCTCCCGGCCAAAATAAAATCTTTTGCTGTTAATTTTTCAACCAACAGATCACCAATTTTATTTTATTTTATTTTTTGTCTATTACTTTGGATTCAGGGGGTCCATATACAGGTGTGTTACAGAGGTAGATTGTGTGATGCTGGGGTTGGGAGTATGATTGAACCTGTCACCCAGTGGGTGAGCATAGAACCCAGCAGGGTTTTTCAACCCTCTCACCTTCCCACTGTAATATTCCCCACTGTCTATTGTTTCCATGTTTGTGTCCGTGTGTACCCAATGTTCAGCTCCTACGTCTACAGGAGAACATAAGGTATTTGATTTTCTGCCTCTGCATTAGTTTACTTTGGATAATGGCCTCCAGCTGTATCTGTGTTGCTGCAAAGGATATGATTTTGTTCTTTTTATATGACTGCTTAGTATTCCACGGTGTATATGTACCACGTTTTCCTTATGTAGTCCACTGCTGATGGGCACCAGGGTTGATTTCACATCTTTTCTATTGCATATCACAAATTTTTGATGCCCTGGAAAAATCACACTAACAATAAGGAGAACAGAACTACTGTATAGCAAATGGAAACTCTAGCAAAGAGTAGTCAATATGACTAGCTGGCTTTAAGCCAATTTGATATTATTTTTTGCTGGAATATCTTTTTTCTGGCTTTGAAATAATCTTTCTTTTACTTATTCTTTTCATGCTGCCTTATTTACCTGAATTTAAAGTGGCATTTTTATTTAGAATTTGCTTATTTAAATAGTATTATAAGTATCTCATTGAATATATTTAAATACATTTTAAGTTCTGTTTACAAAATGCTCCTTGTTCTTAATAATGAATACTTTTACATTTTGCTATTGGAGGAAAAATTAAACTAACGTCACCTCTTAGGTCAATACAATTCATCACAGTAATTAACACAAGAGGGTGGGCACACCTAGAATGACCCTACCCTTGGAGTTCCATGTCAGAGAAAGACAATGTGGCATTGCAAGTGCATGACTATGTGTTATAAGGGGTATCCATCCCTCACATGCTACACAGAGTTGATGTATCTGAGATCACCAACATACTCACTCAGTATTACAGGATGAAATTTGGAAAAATCCATACATAAGGCCTGTGCACTTCTGTAATTTTAAATGTATTTTCTGTCAACTGTCCTCATCCCTACTACTTCCAAATTCTGATATTTTGCCAGGTGCTGAGGAGAAATTAAACAAAAAGAAATGTGTTTTCACTCTTTCTCCTAAGCTTGAATATATATATCTATATATAGTGTCAACTGATCTATAAAGTATCCCTTTTATAGTAAATTATTGCTTTTATGTTTTTGTTACTAGATAAGAAATTATTTACTTAATTAGGAGAAAAGTTAGAGACCCAAAAGTCAAATTTAAAATAAATATATTAGAAACATTTTTTGAGGGTCTATAATATACCATATGCATTTTTAATGAAAACCTTGTGAGGTAAAAATTTTCATTTTACAGAAGAGGAAAATGACATTCGGTAAAATTATTTAGAGTTTTACAGTGAATAAATGACAGAAACGGCATTTGAACCCAAGTCATTTTTGCATTTCCTGTGACATTGCCCCTCAGAAGTTTTTCCCAGATGCCTTCCCAGAGGGCAGTGTGTTGACAGACATTGCTTCTGTGACTCCCAGAGTCCCAGAGAGGAACGCAGAGATAACTTTATGCATCAGGGGTTTCCAGAAGCAGAGTGTGGGAACTCTGAATTACCTTCTCTGTTTCTCTCAAAATTCTCACCTGGGCTAGAGGCTGATTTGCCTCAGGTCCCGGTTTCCTTCCGGGTAGGCCGTGAGCTTAATTGGGATAATGCTGTCTGCAGGCAAGGCCAGCTGCTGGGGAGTGAGTTTATTTCAGGGGAAAAATCGTGTTCCCAGTTGCCACAAATCTAGGTTGCATGCTCATCCTGGTTTTTCACAGCAATCAAGCTGGTATTTCCATCAGGCTAGATTCTGTGTCTCTAGCTCAGCTGAACTCAAATTCTAGAAGGAAGCGTTCTGAAGCAATGCTGTGTATCTATCCCCTATAAAGTGTCAACAGGTGTGAAGTCTTGTTGGTTTCACAAAACACCTGCAACTGAAGACATTGGACTCTCAGCGCTCTCCCCCTCTGTCAGCTCAGTACTCTCACCTTCTCTTACCTGAGGGACCATGTTCCTTACCATCTGTGCTCTGGGCTAGGCTGCAGATGACCTGTTTGTGCCACAGTCAGCCGTGAGGCCCACAAGGGCAGATTCTTTTGCGTATAAGTGTCTCCAGTACCTGGCACTTAAAATGCACTCAGTAAACACGGATTTAGTGAATAAGTGTAAGGATTGTACTTCATTGCCTAGGCGAAAAGAGTAATCTCCTATTTGGGCATGAGTTTTGGAAGTCTCATGGCATCCATCAGTAGTGAATGAGAAGGTGTTTGTTTCTGCTTCCCCTTTAGAAAACAAGCAAAATATGTGGTTTCTGAACCCATGGATCTTACAGTTTTTTTCATACACAGACAGAAAAAGCAATAATGATTCATGAGTGTGTGTGAAAAATGCCAAGTCAATTGAACAAACAAAAAACGCTACAGATAATCCAAAGAGTAGTCTCTGCTGTGAAAGAGCTTTAAAATAAGTGAGTTTTGAAAGATGACTGGGGTTTATAGAAAGCAATGGAAGTGAGATTGAAGTGAGCGAAGGCGTGGTTGGTAGAAGAATGAGCCAGGTGGGTTTACAAATACAGAAGACAGCAGGCTGCTTGGAGAAAGGTTTTAATTAAGAATCTGTAAGCAATAAGCCTCAGAACGTGAATGAAGGCCAGATTATGGAGTGCTCTGAACACAGTTCTTACGAGTTTGAACTTTGTTTTACAAGAAATAAGCATGTATGTTAGGATGTCATTGGCTACACTCAAGCTAGCTTAAAGGGGAAAATAAATTTTTTTAGAGATTTTGGGATATCTTTCACATGGTAATTATCTTATATATAGTGGTGATATTGAATTGAACTTTTAGAATAACCTTCCTTTAAGATGGACGGAAAAAATAAAGAGAAGAACAGAAATGATGAGGAGAAAGAGGGTGTAGTTGCAAGAACATTTACTAGATGGCCTTGAGACAGTAAAAGAAAAATTGAGAACATTCTAGTTTAATAGTCCTTTGCCCCAGCCCTCATCCTTGGGGGGTGCCTTGATCAGTGCCAAAGGCATGTTTGTGACTAGAAGAAGAACTGTGTTTTCATGGCTGTGTTTTCTCCGTGCCTCTTCAACCAGGAACGAAGAGTTTCCTATTGAAGGAAAGCATTTTCACAGGAGCAGCTTTTTCCTTTTCCTCTCCACTGTGTTTTATTGTCAGCACACAAAATACTTTCATCATGTCTCATTCTGCACAAAGCAGGACAAAGTCAGGCACTGTTACTACTTTTAAAAACCAAGAGAGCCAACGATATGTTGTATGATAGATAGTATAGTTTTTATAGTGATTTTCTTTAATTGTACATATTGATCTTATTTTGAAAATTAATTCAGAGGGCAAACTCTACTCAGTCTATGATATTATACTAAACAGCTGTAAAAGCATAAAGTGTTTAAAAAGCTGGGGTTATAGGTCAGACAAAACCAACATTACTTTATTTGTTCAAAGAAGATACAAAAAAAAAAAACCATTGGCATGGACACAGATCTAATAGAGAAGCAGTTTGGGAAACACAAATGAGCAAATTTTCTCATTTTTTCTTTAAAAAAACAATTATGAACTTGCACAATTTTATAGAAAGAAAAAATGGAACATTGAGGTACAATGACTTATTTCAATTTAATTCACATTATTCCAATTTTACTTCCAATCTTTTCATGTACATCTATAAACTTTACATTGTTATATATAAGTACCCCTAGGATGTTGTCTTCTGGGATTTTTTTTTTTAATTTTTAAATTTTGTATTACCATGTCCATATATTGACATTAGTTAGCACGTTTGTCATTTTAATGTCCCTATAGCATCCCAGCATGTTGACATAACCCCTGTGTCCTTGGAAGCTGGAGAGTGAGTTAGGGGGCTTTAAGAGTTATAAGGCTTTTCTCCAACTATAAATTAACCTGGTGTGTATGCAAGTTCAGCAAAGTAAAGCACTATACAGGAGGAGCCAGGAAAGTCTTTAGATGAAAGATTATGTTATGGTTATTTTCAGTAAGATCTTCGTGACTTCTGCTTGTAAGCTGTTATTTACCTTAAAAAAAAACACAGGGGCAAGATAATAATTTATTGAACAGTGCTGGAAAAGCAGAATGAAGAAATATGTGTGCCAGTTGTTGAGTTATTATCTATTAGCTTGAAACTCACCCTTTTACACTCTGCTTTGTGACACTGGGGCTCAAACTCTGCAGACCACATTTCTGCTTTGCCAACAGCTCCATGTTTGACTCTGTCCATAAGGGTACGTGGGAAGGTCTACAAATCTGGAAGGGAAAAAGGGATTTCTTTCTTCCAACTTGCATCCTATGACTTTCTATCTACTTCCTGTCAGCTTTCTGTTCCTGTGAACGTTTTTTCAACAATACTTCCTCACCATAGTGGCAGTAGTTCCTTTCTGAAGTATCTGGATCCAGTTTGCTTGCAGAACCAGCTCTATTTTCTCTTCTCATCCCCATCCCAAGCTCAAAGATCCCACTATCAGCTGAGCAGTGCTCCTTCTCAGAGGTCTGGATTTCCATTTCTCATTTTTCTTTGCTTCATTTTTACTCTTCTTTGCTACCTTCTATTAAAATGAAAACTGTTTTAAATCCCCTTATCTTTTGCTCTACTGGTATTGATGTTGTAGATTCAATTTCTGTTCTTTTCATCATTGTGCTGAATTTTCAACATAAATAATTATGAATTTCTCTAATACAATATACAGTTATTTAGAATGTCTCTCTTCCTTAAGAATATGATAAAGACTTTAGCATACTTTAATTGCCCAATAAAACCCTGCATTTGCTTTGTCATTTTTTTTTACAATTTTTTACAAAAAATAGTTATTACTATCTTTCCAAATTAATTAAATTTATCAAAATTATCACTTTCTTTGCTCACCTTTGCTTCTTATAGCCCATCCTTTTCTCTGAGAGGTTGTGTTTCTACTAAGAGTGTTAGAATTTTATATTATTCTTATAATTGTATAGTCTGAAAAATGTCCTGATTGTAAGCTCACTTTTGAATGGTTATATAACTGGGTATAAAATTCTAAGTAAACACTTTTCGACAACTTAGTTAATTCTGTTTTGTTTTGTTTTTTGAGACAGGGGCTCGCTCTGTCACCCAGGCTGGAGTGCAGTGGCACCAACTCAGCTCACTACAACCTCTGCCTCCTGGGTTCAAGCAATTCTCATGCTCCAGCTACCCAAGTAGCTGGGATTACAGGGTGCGCCACCATGCCCAGCTGATTTTTGTATTTTGGGTACAGATGGGGTTTCACCATGTTGGCCAGGTTGGTCTCGAACTCTGGACCTCAAGTGATTTGCCCACCTCAGCCTCCCAAAGTGCTGGGATTACAAGGCGTGAGCCACTGCGCCTGGCCAACTTAGTTTATTCTAAGTTTACATTCTGAAGATATTCTTACTTTGTTTCCTGGCTTCTATTCCTCCATGAGAAATTTTCTGTTACTAATTACTATCACCTATCAGAAATTTTCCTTTTTTGCCTCCCTGGTAACTTCTAAGATTTTCTCTTTATTCTGAATGTCCTACACTTTCATCCTTGTGTGTTAAGGAATGAATTTATTTTTAATTAGCCTGCAAATTATTCAGAGTATACTCTCAATCCAAGAGTTATGCTTATTTCTTCAGTTTAGAAAATTTTTAGTCACTATTGTTTCATTTACTTTTTCTCTGCTGGTTCTTCAAAATTATTCTCTGGGAGCTCATACTGAGTAGGATAGGTTGCCAAGGAAGTGACCATGTCCTTTGGACACAACAACCGTGGTGACTGTACAATCAACACAATCAGCCTCAGCATTCACATTGTAATTGAGCTCACCCAAAGAAAGCTATCTTCAGTAGAAACTTTCCCCTGTTGAGATCATGCACACATTGATTTTACCTGTCCTCACACTGACCCTTTGCTCATTATAATAAAAAAAAAAAACACATCCCTAGGTAGAGATTTAAGATGCTAATGGAACATGTGACATATAAACAAGCATCTACAGCTTCTGCGCATGTGCACCCCAAAGACCACCCAAAACGTGCTTACCAGTGGCACCTCTTCCCACCTCCTTATGAATCATGTAAAACTTCCATAAAGGGAGTTTCTCCAGCAATATTTAGCACTGTCTCGTCCTTATGAGCAGCCTGCCCTAAACTTGCTCTCTTTTGGATATACTGTCTATTCTGCACTTAACTTTCAAAATATTTTCTTTTTCCTTTTACAATAAATTATGCTACGTCTCCTTTGCTGTGTGTCTCTTATTTAAATTGTTTCAAACTACAAAAAGAAGAACTGAGGTCTCTCACAACAGCTGTCAACATTTATGGTACCATGACACAGAGAAAGGTTTTTCCGCTTCATTGACTTCAGTTTCCCTTCCCCCGAGATGAGTAGATTACCTGGTTAACTGTCACCGCTCTTTCCAGAGCTGTTTCAGTGAAGTTCTGCCGGGGAAGTTTTAAGTCACCTATATTCTTTCTGTGAATATATGCGCTGCTCTCCTTTTGGCTGCAGCTTCTGTGCTATTTATACTAACCACATGGCACCATGGGTTGCTCTCAACATTAAATATTCGGGTTATTTTCTTGCTTAGTTTCACATCTTTCTGGCCTCATTTCAGACTCAGCTCGTTTGCTGCCTCTCCAGCAATACTCGCCCGCCACCTAGTGGCTATTTTGATTTATTTTCTACTCAGTTTTTCTGTTTACAATATTTTCTGTTCTGAGGGACACGTTAAAACCACCCCATCCCTCTAGGCTTTATGCATTTTCTTTTTTTTTCTTTTTTTTTTTTAATTATACTTTAAGTTTTAGGGTACATGTGCACATTGTGCAGGTTAGTTACATATGTATACATGTGCCATGCTGGTGCCTGCACCCACTAACTCGTCATCTAGCATTAGGTATATCTCCCAATGCTATCCCTCCCCCCTACCCCCACCCCACAACAGCCCCCAGAGTGTGATATTCCCCTTCCTGTGTCCATGTGATCTCATTGTTCAATTCCCACCTATGAGTGAGAATATGCGGTGTTTGGTTTTTTGTTCTTGCGATAGTTTACTGAGAATGATGATTTCCAGTTTCATCCATGTCCCTACAAAGGACATGAACTCATCATTTTTTATGGCTGCATAGTATTCCATGGTGTATATGTGCCACATTTTCTTAATCCAGTCTATCATTGTTGGACATTTTCAAACTCCTTGAGATTGTCTTTCAACAGGCTTTATTTGCTGAACAAAAGATGCACAGTCACGAGGAAGCCCTTTTGTGGGGATTGTATCCCGGCATTCCAGGTATTATAATTAGGCATCACAAATGGCAAACCAGTGACGTAGGGAAGGAAAGGCTTGGAAGAGAGACATCTGGGGCCCCCAGCCGGCAATGGGGGCCACTATGGTCAGGTCTAAAGACTTCCAGCGCCAGTGAGACCTAGGACGGTGCATGGAAAATGCCAGTGACCTCCTAGGGCCTTGATTTAATTGAGGTTCAAGGGGCACCCTCAACCCATTGTGGTCCATGTTGGCTCATGGGTACGCCCATGACCTCCTAGACGTTAGTATATGTTTCTGTCATCGTGGGATTCTTTCAGCACTACGGGAGCCACCGCTTCTACTCTCACTGAAACACCCCTGGGATGTATATTTAAAAACTAGAACATCTTTTGGCTAGATGAGCTAAAAAAAAAAAAAAAAGAAAAAACTTATCTTTTTTTATAACACTGTTTGGCCTGGGTACAAGTTAGCAGACAATGAAAAATGGCTGGAGAATGAAACCATGAACTTCAACACCAACCTATAGCTAGATCTTTTCTATAGAAATTAGGGAAAGTGGTCTAAGGTACCCTATTACAGGCCTTTATGGCCTGAAAACAGAACCCAGTTCTATGCAGCATCTGTGGGCTAAAACCCAGTAAGCCAGAAAGCCACCCAGACCCATTAGAAGATCCTCTTTTTTTTAAGGAGAAGGGATACTAGGCCCCATGGCCCAACTCCAGCTCCAGACAGGGGTTCTCAGAGGCCCACACCTCCTTCCGAGTCCCCAGCATCCCCTATGCTATCAGAGTCTTCTGTAGAATCTAATCCCGTTTCACCTCCCGCTTATGCTCATCTCTATCCTCCTTTGCCAAGTTCAACTGGGACTAACCCAGCTGGAGTGACACATAGTGGGACTTCATACCATCCAGGAACAGAGAAATGGCTCCCCTTCTGGGAATTCCCCAATGGAGAAGAGACTATCAGAGTACATGTTCCATTCTCAATAAATGTTCTAACCCAACGCAAGCAGAAACTCAGACAGTATTCAGAGGATCCCAGTGTATTACTGAGGCCCCCGGGCTCTAACTTTTGCCTTTGACTTAACTAGGAATGATATACAAGTTGTTCTTTCTACTTGTTGTATTCCAGATTAAAAACAGGGAATCTGGCTAGCCCATCATGGATACTCAGATAGCGGGGACACTGACCAGCCTGCTACCCGTGAAGTGGGAGCTCTTGCTGTTCCCTCCCAGGACTCAGATTGAGATTACAGCAGGTCCAGAAGAATAAAACAATAGAGACTACATGGTCCAGTGCCTCCTGGCAGGAATGAGACAATGTATTAAAAATCCTGTTGACTGTGAAAAGCTCAAAGAAGTCACAAAGGAAAAAGATGAAAACCCTGCCCTCTTTCAAGGACACTTAATACAGGCCTTCCAAAAGTTCACCAACATAGACCCTAGGTCTGCTGAAGGCCAAGTTTTACTGGGGCAACACTTTATCAGCCAGTCTGCCCGAGATATCAGGGAAAAATTTTACAAAAATTACAATTAGGGCCACAAACACCTATGCTGCAACTAATAGAAGTGGCTTTTGAAGTGTTTAATAATAGAGATCTGTCTGAGGAGAAAGACAGAGTCCAGCATGGGAACAGGCGCAATAAGGCCCAGACTTACATAGTAGCTGTTGCTGTCAGTAGTGTTCTACAACCTCATGGTCACCCCTCGGAACCTCAAAGCTTGGAAGCTGGTCAATGACGAGGTGACAACAATCAAAGGGCCTGCTTTAAATGCAAGCAGTCTGGGCACTGGGCTAGAGAGTGCACCTGGCTACCCCCCGGGGTCATGCCTCATCTGTAAACAAGCCACTGTAAACATGCCACTGGAGAGTGGATTGTTTCCCGAAGGAAAAGGGGATGTCCTCCCTTGAGATGGCACTGACCCAAGACTGAGGAAGCCCGGGATCTAGATGGCCCCCTCCAAAAAGAACATTCCAGTCACCAAACTGGAATTCTGGGTGACCCTTGCCGTGGCAGGTACAAATATTGATTTTTAAAAATTGATACCAGGGCCTCTTACTCTATCCTAACTTCTCATGATGGACATTAACCTCCACAAATTGTAACCAGAGTCAATGGGCAACACCATTCTTACTATTTCACTCCCTTACTCACATGTCAGTATAGAAATCACTTTTTTTTGCTTTCCTGGGTGTCCTACCCCACTCTTAGGCAGATACTTATTAAATATGGGAGTCCTTATATCACTCAAAGGCACCAGTTGCTACCAAATGGTCCTCACTGCTGGACCAACAGATTACCTACCTGTGTCAATCTTAGAACAAGTAAATACGGCCATCTGGCATGATGGAGTACCTGGAAGAGCCCTTCAGGCTCAACCAGCGGTCATTAAACTGTGGGACCCCAATAGGTACCTCAATAAAAAACAATATTCCTCAAAATTAAAAACAAACCAAAAGATTAGAGCCCTTGATTTCTAAATTCTTTCAGCATGATTTACCACTGCCATGTCAATCACCTCGTAATACTCCTATTGTACCAGCCATAAAACCAAACCAAAAATATCTACCAGTGCTGGACTTGAGATTCATAAACCTGGATTCCAGGATTTGTACTAATGGCTTGTCCTCTATATGAGGCCACTAAAGGGCCTCACACTGAGCCCTTACAATGAAAAAAAAAAAAAAAAAAAAAACCCAGGGGACCCTTATTGAGACTCCTGCTCTGGGAATTCCAAACTCACAAAAGCCACTCACCTTATATGTGAACTTTTCTCCCCAAATAACTCTGGGAACCAACCAAAACAAAGGCCCCCTCCTTTATTAATCCTTTTTCAGTGACAGGAACCTATCCTGAAAAGGACTGACAAACTCACTACACCCAGATGACCTCGTGTTGAGGATTTAAATATCTTTTAGTTTTTGCAAACGTCTTTACTAAATGAGTAAAAGCTTTTCCTACCAAAACAAACAAACAAAACTGCAAAAGTGGACAAAGCACTACTAAAAAAAAAAAAATCATACCACAATTTGGCCTCCCCAGTGCCTCACAGGGCAACAACAGCTCCTCTTTTGTTACAACTATAACCCAACGGATAATCCAAGCTTTAGAAATTAAATATCATCTCCACTCCTCATGGAGGCCACAAGCCTCTGGCAAAGTTAAAAGGACTAATCAAACTTTAAAACAGACCCTGGCAAAATTGTGCCAGCAAACTTCTAAGTCTTGGTACACTCTTATAGCCCTCATAAAAATAGGAGTGGCACCCCCCCCAAAAAGCAAAACTTAGTCCTTTTCAAATGACTGATGAAAGACCCTTCCTTACCTTAGACCTGTTAATCAAGCCAAAACTCAGTCTATTATAAAATATACTCAAAATCTACTCTAGGTACAACAAGCCATCTAAAAATATGACAATACGATGCTGCCCTTGCTTGGGCAAATAAAACATAACCCCAAAATCCTGCCTGGAGACTGGGTTCTATTAAAAACTTAAAAAGAAAAAGCTCCCCAACAGATCAACTTCTTCCTAAATAGATTAAAAAAAAAAAAAAAACTTTAACAAGTACTACTAGCACACCAATGGCTGTAAAGCTACAAAAAATAGCTAGTCGGGTCCACAGGACCAAAATTAAACTTTACAATAAACCTTTACAAACACCAGAAAAAGCTGCTAATTACACTTGCATGCCCATAGGGGATCGAAAACTTCTATTCAAAAAAACAACCCCAAATGGAGCCAAGTTGAAAAATAAAT
Source organism: Homo sapiens (assembly GCF_000001405.40). NCBI lineage: Eukaryota > Metazoa > Chordata > Mammalia > Primates > Hominidae > Homo > Homo sapiens. The sequence continues at coordinate 57,416,354 of NC_000008.11, read as the reverse complement.
AACATCTTCATTTTCTTGGCACTTGCCTGCCATGCTCTAATGGCTTTTAGAGACACTGACCTGTCTACTAGAAAAATAAATAACCATACCATCAGTCTATTAAACTTAACTCAACTTTGTTGGCTTTGCATGACCAAAAAGTTAAAAATATGCCAGACCTGTGCCCTTAAAAGACTGACCTAGCATCCCAACACATCTCCAGAGAAAAACTCACTGCCTCAGAGAATGGGGATATCAGGCCTAATAGTTAATACAAAAAAAAAAAACTGTGGGGTCAAGTCATAGGTTCTTTAAGTTCTTCCTCTTAACTATCAACAATAGTTCAAATGTCCCAAAAGAAAAAAAAAAGATTTCTTATTTTATCTTTTATCCAGAACTATTCCCCTTTTGCCTTTTCAACAATCATGTTAGCTCCACCACTTTCGTAAGAAAATTTCAAGAGTCAGTGTAGCTGAACTGTTGTCACTGGGTCATCTATCTTAGTCAATACCTCTACAAAAATTAAACTAATAAATAAACAACTCACTCGTCCAACCAATTTCCTGCTCTATCATGTCCCCAAACAGGTATGGCCTCTATTCCCTGTCAACAAAACTAGAATCTATAGCTTATCTGGGGCAACGCTCACATGTGAAGCCTTTATCCATCCAATCTCAATATATCTTCTGAGAATTGTCAACATATCCGATCAAAAAATCACTACACCTTGTAGTGGGACCCTTAAAACAAAACTTTATTCCAAACATGTATTAATGCCACCATCCAACTTAACCATTCATTAATAGACCTAATAACCACTACCAGGTTTTGTGTTAAATACACAAAACCTTTCATTTATAGACCACAAATATTTTTTTAAAAAAACCCTCCAGTACTTTCACCACTTTAATACAAAATATTTTACAACGCAAATTTCACCATCACAAAAAATGTGGAGAAGTTATAAATCTTCAGCATATTGACAACTCCCTCCACAGTGGAAGGGATGATGCGCCATTGCTTACATTTCCCCCTGATTTTCGCATAGACGGACACATCTCTCCTTTCCCCATGTACCAACATCACAAGATCCACCTCCGAGGAAAACCCTTTATTTCTTTAGTGTTAGTTCTATCCTCTCTATTAAAATTAGCAGGGTCAGCTACCAGAGGAGCAGACTTAAAAATCTAGCATTAACTGTCTTTAAAAATCACATTGACCTTCTGGCATACAGCAGAGGGCCTCACTAGACTTCAACAACAGCTAGACTCCCTGACCGCTATAATCTTACAAACCAAAGAGCCTTAAATCTTCTCACAGCCAGATAAAAAGAACAAAACAAAACAAGACAAAAACATATTTATATCTATTTATATCTTTTTAAAAATACTGCTTTCACATCAATCAGTTCTGTTTAGTCAAAAAAAATATTAAATATCATTACCCAGGCAGACAAAATTAAATCTTTAAAACCTTACATAAAAACTTAAAAACCATGACTACTGTCTGCCTTTCTCCCTGTAATGATGCCAGTCATCACCATACTTTTAACTTTTACTTTTGGTTCAACTTTGTTTAAAATACTAGCTAGTTCCTTACTGTCTCACTTACAACAATTCCAGGTCCACATGATGGTTTTACAAGACTTTCAACCTTTGGCTGCTAATGAGCTATCTCACATCTTGCTACCAGTCCCATAAATGCCATGGCTTACATCCCGTTAAACCAGACAAAAACAGACTCTAAGGACAAGGCTAGGCAGGAACAAGGCTCCACTCAACAAAAAACAATGCCAAAAAAATGACCTAGCCCCTCAACTTCCCATGTAATTATGGGCCCTAAAATCTCTTAGGGAGAAATTGGAGTAGAATAGGTAGTCAGGGAAGGGACAATGTCCTTGAGACACAACAAGCATGGTGACTGTACAGTCAACACAATAAGCCTAAGCATTCACATTGTAATTGAGTTCATCCAAACAAAGCTATCCAGTAGAAAATTTCCCCTGTAGAGATCATGCACACATTGATTTTACCTGTCCTTAAACTGGCCCTTTGCTCATTATAATAGTAAGAAACACATTCCTGGGTAGAGATTTCGATACTAATGAGACATGTGATGTATAAACAATCACGTACATCTACTGAGCATGTGCTCCCCAAAGACCACCCAAAACATGCTTACGAGCTTCACTTCTTCCCATCGCCTTATAAATAATCATATAAAACTCCCATGAAAAGAATTTCTTCAACAATATTCAACGCTGTCTCATCCTTGCGAGCAGCCTGCCCTAAACGCTGTCTCTCAGAGTGTACTGTCTTTTCTAACTTTTGAAATACATTTTTTTCCTTTTACAATAAATTACTATGCTACCTCTCCTTTGCTGTGTGTCTCTTATTTAAATTCTTTTAAACAAAAGAAAAACAAAGAACCAAGGTGTCTCACAACAGTTGACAACAATATGAGATGTATATTTGAGCTTATCAATTTATCCTCCACAGTTATTCATTATTGTTTTATATTTTTATGTATTTGCCTCACTGTGCTTTATTTCAAGTGAAGTCCTCTGTAATTCCTGTCAATTCATGGAATCTCTTTTTGACATTGTCCCTCTAGTGTTTATTCTGTATGTTTAATTTAATTTTTTAATTCAGTTTTTCAATTTGCACTTTAAAAATATAAACTGTTTATCATTTCTGGAAGCTTTAATTTAATAATTTTTAAAATATTTTAAAATTAATGTTATTCCTTGTTATCTCTTTGCAGATGCTAAAGATTTTAAAAGACTTGTCTGGATTGTTTTATAAAATTAAGTTCATAGGAGACAAAATTATGAGAAATATTTTCATTATTAATTTTGCTGGATAACTTTCTTGCCATTTCAATCTGTGTTTTAGAATTTTGATATGCAGGCTTAGTTTGGATTGGAATTTGTTGTTGCTGCTGCTTTGGTGGTTGTTTATTGTGGTGAGTTTTTTTTTTTTTTTTCTGTTTCCCTTTATGTTCTCTGTGCTGCTGTGAATTGAACATCTTTACATTGTATTTTCTAATTGCATATCAAATATATAAGAATAAAAACAATTTTTTAAACTTTTCATATCCTGCAGCTTCTATAAGCACTTTTATTCTGTTTGGTTATTTCCTCATATATTGTCTTTAAATTAGTTGTGTTAGAAATGACAGTTTTTTTCCTTTCTATGTTTATAGTTGTTATTTTTCTTCTTGAGTAGCTATGTCTGGCATTTCTAATGCTGTATCAGCCATGGTCTAGTCAGGAAAACAGAAGCCCCAGAAATAATTTAACACAAAGTTTGCCTAAATTGGTTAAGTTTTCATTCAGAGGTGGAGAATGTAGAAAGGGAACACTGAAGTAATGTAGAGATTACAACTGCAGGAAGAAGCTGGGGAAATAAAGAGAAGAGATTAGGGTAATTGGAACTGGAAACTTAGAAGAGGAAATCTACACAGTTGGGGTCCAGGCATCTAAGGAGGGGCATCATCATCAGCTGCTGCTATCTCAAGAACTTGAGGGAGGTGTCTTGTAGAGTGGGGCTCAGAAATTTGAGGCGAGACATAGGCTCACTGCTGTTTGTACCTCTAAATGGGTGTGCTGAGGGGGTTCCTCATGTGTCAGGAAGAAAACTGAATAGTGGAACTAACCACTACTGCTGGAGGGAAAAGTCATGCCTGAGCAAACCAACAGGAAGAGCAAAACAGGAAGGACCTACTCCCTTCTCTCTATTCCTGCCTTCCAATCCCATATACGCCTTCTAATGATAGAACCATGGAGCCATCTGGCAAAACAGCTGTTTTTTTTTACACTCTCAGCCCCACCAACACAGAGCAGAATCTAAAAAAGTATGTTTAGAGCTGAAAGAACTTGACTCATAACTGGCACAAACGCTTCCTAAAGAGGGTGATGATAGGCCATACAGTGGCTTTGTTCCTATATTTAAAAGAGAAATAGTGCTAGTAGTTTCCATTAAGTATAATGCTGAGTTAGTTTTAAATATGTATTCTTTATCATGTAAAGAAATTAATACTTCATTCCTATTATATTTAGATGTTTATTTTTAGTCAAGAAGAGATTGATTCTTGACATCTGTGAAAAAAATTATATAGGCCAGGCATGGTGGCTCACACCTGTAATCCCAGCATTTTGGGAGGCCCAGGTGGAAGGATCACTTGAGTCCAAGAGTTCAAGACCAGCCTGGACAACATGGTGAGACCCTGTCACTGCAAAACATATATACTTTTTTAATTAAAAAATTAACCAGGCATGGTGGCACATGCCTGTAGTTCCAGCTACTCAAAGGTTGAGGTGAGAGAATCTCCTGAGCCCAGGAGTTTGAGGTCATACTGAGGTCTGATCATGCCACACACTCCTGCCTGGCGAACAGAGCAAGATCTTGACTCAAATAAAATAAATAAAATGAAATAAAAATATTCAAACTCAAACCTAGAACAATTTGAGCAACAAAATAAATAATGAGAGCAATGGATTATAATGCATAGAATTAAAAAAATCCATGAGCCCATAGTGATAAAAAGATTAGGTCAGTGAATAAGTAATTGTGGTTTTTGTTTTGCACCAACCTATAACTAAATGAATAAATATTTGGCCAAGACTCTAAAAATTTAAAAATAAATAAATAAAATGATTTTATGTTTTACATTAATGTTATTGCCCTAGTTGACTTTATAAGTATTGTTTTAGTCATATATGAGAAGTAAACTTTTTGGGTCATCCTGCAGCAATAGGATGGAATTTCCCTTTGCAAAATTCGGCTTGGATGTTGAGACTGATGAGACCTCAGGCACTCCAAGAGTATACTAAAAGAGTTGCCACTCCCATAGTGAGGCTTTCTGGGAAGAGGAGGACAGGCTCCCAAGCAGATACAACAATGGATTGAGAGAGCAGGGAAGGGAGATCGGCTTGGTTTTTCATTGTGGTTGGAGGCTGAGCCTGAGGTGAGATACCCACATGTTGGCTGGGGCTTATGTGGTTTGAACTTGCTGCTGGTGCCAAAGGAGGGAGCTCCTGGGCTTTCTGATCAGCTTGCCCAGATGTGGGAAAGAAGGGAGAGGTGGGACATGAAATGCATCAACAGTCAAACATCAGAAATGGAATCAGGCTATAATATAAGTCTTACTTTGTGTTAGGGCTGAATTATGTTTCCCCAAATTCATCTGTTGAAGAACAAACTCCTAGTCCCTCAGAAGAGGATATATCTGATTTTCTTATCCAGGGAGCAAAACAGGAACCTTATTATAAATTTATTTTGTCCAGTTTAACGTTTACTTGGCAAGATACCCTAAATATTTTAGTTGCTCAGTTTTCTAGTGACATTAGAAAATAATTTAAACATTAACATTAGATGGGGAATATAACTGTTACTATTATTTGGAATTATTTGCCACCAAAAAACTCTGGCAGCAAAGAGTTAATGACAGAAGAGATGGAGTATTGGGAAGGGAATTGAATTCATGTTTCAGATAGATGCCATGACTAGATTGTGCTCATGGTGTCCTTCAGCACTGAAATTCTGTGTTCTCTAAGGTACACTGAAGCTCTCAAATTATATGCGATGCTATGGTACATTAAATTCCACTCTATTGCTTCTCCATCGCCATCTTGATGTTATTTCTAAGTAAATACCTGAGAGGCAGCATTACCAAAAGAGGAAACATCAGTTCTTAAATTGTGGCATCCTAGGATTAAAGCAAAACATACTCTAAGATGTTTATTACTTCAAAAACAAACAAACAAACAAACACACATGCTTATACATGCCAGGCATCTCTCGTTCTTCACTTCAAATCATCTGTCTCAAGCCGAGACCAGATTCACACAGATGCCATCTAACGAAGTCTTGCCTAAGGCACCCATATGTCTCACCTCTCACTTCCTGCCCATCACTTCCTGGTGGGGGAGAACTATGCCCTAAAAATATCCCTTGTGCTTTATGTATTTAAACTCCCATTACCCACTTAAATCTTTGACAACCACTGATCTCTTTACCATCTCTATAGTTTTGCCTTTCCAGGATATAATATAAATGGAATCATGTAGTATATCACTTATTCAGACTAGCTTCTTTCATTTAACACTATTTCTTTAACATTCATCCATTTTTTTGAGACGGAGTCTCGCAGTGTCACCCAGGCTGGAGTGCAGTGGCGTGATTTCGGCCCACTGCAAGCTCCGCCTCGTGGATTCACACCATTCTCCTGCCTCAGCCTTCCGAGTAACTGGGACTACAGGCGCCCGCCACCATGCCCGGCTAATTTTTTGTATTTTTAGTAGAGACGGAGTTTCACTGTGTTAGCCAGGATGGTCTCTATCTCCTGATCTCGTGATCACCCGCCTCGGCCTCCCAAAGTGCTGGGATTACAGGCGTGAGCCACCGCACCGGGCCAACATCCATCCATATTTTTGTGCGGCATAACAATGCAGTCCTTTTCACTTCAGAATAGCATTCCATTATATGAATATACCATAATCTGTTTAGCTATTTACCTGCTGAAAGACACTGGTTGCTACCACAGTTAGATGAATCTGCTACAAACATTCATGTGCAAGTTTTTGTGTGGACATGTTGGGTAAATACCTAATAGTGTGAGTAGTGAATCCTAAGGTAAGACTATGTTTAACGCTAGCATGGTGGCTCACACCTGTAATCCCAGCACTTTGGGAGGTTGAGGTGGGCAGATCACTTGAGGTCAGGAGTTCGAGACAAGCCTGGCCAACATGGGGAAACCCTGTCTCTATTTAAAAATATAAAAGAATTAGCCAGGCATGTTGGCGGGCACCTGTAATTCCTGGCTGAGCCAGGAGAATCACTTGAAGCTGGGAGGCAGTGGTTGCAGTGAGCCGAGATTATGCCACTGCACTCCAGCCAGGGCAAGAGAGCAAGACTCTGTCTCAAAAAGGAAGAGAGAAAGAAAAAGAAAGAAAGAAAGAAAGAAAGAAAGAAAGAAAGAAAGAAAGAAAGAAAGAAAGAAAGAAAGAAAGAAAGAAAGAAAGAGAGAGAAACTGCCAAAATGTCTTTCAAGGTATTCCCATCAGTAATGAATGAGAATGGGAACTTTGCATTCCCATCAGTAATGAATGAGAGAGTTCCTGTTGATCCAAATCCTCTTCAGCAAAATTCACTCTGGCTATTTAAACCAAACATGATTTTATTACATCATAGTGGAAAGCTCAGAGAACTCAACTCTGGAAACACAGAATCTTGGGCTTCGTGGCTCACTGCCTGGAACAATGCCTACTCATGCCATAGAAACTGCTCTAGCAAAACTTGATGGCTGCCATTGCTCAGTATGAAGTCTGCACACAGGGCTCTTCTACCATAGCCCTTGAAATCCATGTGCTGGCTTGGCATGGTGGCTCATGCCTGTAATCCCAGAACTTTGGGAGGCTGAGGCAGGTGGATCACCTGAAGTCAGGAGTTCTTGACCAGTCTGGCCGACATGGCAAAACCCTGTCTCTACTAAAAATACAAAAATTAGCTGGGCGTGGTGGCAGGCACCTGCCAACTACTTGAGAGACACCAATCCCAACTACTTGAGAGGCTGAGGCAGGAGAATCGCTTGAACCCAGGAGGTAGAGGTTTCAGTGAGCCGAGATTGCACCATTGCACTCCAGCCTGGGTGACAAGAGTGAAACTCTGTCTCAAAAAACAAAAGAAAAAGAAAAAGAAAAGAAAATAAATCCATGTGCTGCCACTTCTGCCCTTGCTGCCCTTGCTAGACAACCCACATCACTGTGCATGATGGGCTCCTTATATCTCCCAGTTCTTCTGAGGCTAGGGGCCACTGGGTGTATCTGAATCTATGTCCCAGGATTGCAACTATAGCCAGAAGGAGTCTGTTAATGAGAGTCTTCTGGCCTCTGCCTTCAAAAGTAGAGCTCAGAAAGTGGGAAATTACCAAATTATCCAACTATAGGGTTAGTGCTCAAAGATGTTGCATATCTTTGACACTTGTCCATTATAGACAGCCATTGCAATGTATAATGGCAAAGAGAGTGGGGAACAACCTAAGTGTGCAGTAAAAGCAATGATCAAACAAAATACAAAATAGCCATGAAAAAAAAAATCATGAAGCCAGTAAAAAATATGCCTTCCAAGGATTTCTAATTATTTTGGAATACAGTATACTCATGCTATGAGGCTACAAGGAATAAAGCAATATGCAATTTTGTTTATGCAGATAATCCAATTTCAAAAATAAAATTCTATGTGCATAGAATCAAGCTTGAAGAATATAATACAAAATATTGATGATGGGCTCCTCTGAATTGATTTTATTTTTCTTTTTACTTATTTTTTTAATTTTCAAGTTTTCCACGATGTATTAAATTTTTTAACATGAAGTGTTATCCTCCCGCTGCCAAAAAGATTTCCATATACTAGTCCAAAAAAAGATGCTGTCCCTCACTGAAATATAATCTACTTAAAGGTTCTCATAGATTTTAAAATAAAATCAATTATAACAGATTTTTTTAAGTAGGAAGATGTTTTAGCTTTATCTGCATATATAATTGATTTAAATTTCTTCACAACAGAAAGTTTGACTCAAGCTCTCACTTGCTAAATACAAGATATGGGTAAACTTCTATAACAAAAAGATTCTAAAACACAGTGGCTTTAAAAATTTAAACGTTTACTTATTTTTCTAGTAACAGTCCAGACGTGAGCAGTCTAGGATTAGCGAAGCAGCTCTACAATAAGAGGTCATTCCATGACTCAGGTTCCATTCTTCCAGTGTCTCTGCCATCTTCTAAGGCACTGTTCCTCATGGCGTGGTTGAAGCTGACTCACCTCCATCCATGTTTATGTTCTGACCCGTGGAAAGGGGGAGAGAGAAACACCAGGTCTCACTGCTTTGTCTCCAAGAGGATGACCCAGAAACCATTCAGAGCACTTCTGTTCACATCCCATCGGTTCAGGCTTAGTTATGTGACCACACCTAGCCACAAGGAGGCTGGGAACTGTAAAGTCTAGCTGAGTGGTCATGTGCCCTGCTAACACTGCCAGAGGTTCTGTCCCTACATGCAAGAAAAAGATAATGTGCCAGGGAGGTGGCACACAAGTATCTCGAAGTCCCAGCTACTCAGGAGACTGAGGCAGGAGGATTCCTTGAGCCCAGGACTTCAAAACCAATATAGTAAATCCCTGTCTCAGAATAAAAAGAAAAGAAAAGAAAAGAAAAAGAAAAGAAAAGAAAAGGAAAGGAAAGGAAAGAAAAAAAAGAAAAGAAAAGAAAAGAAAGAAGAAAGGAAGGAAGGAAGGAAGAAAAAGAAAGAGAAAGAAAGAAAGAGAGGAGAGGAGAGGAGAGGAGAGGAGAATGGGTGCTGGGGAACAATTAGGCATCTCAGCTATGCCGAGGTTGTTAAGATCCTGAATATTAATCTCTGGAGCAGGAAATTCCGCGGCCAAAACTCTTACCTGCACATGTCTCCATGGAGTTTCCCTCTCCCAGGTCCTTGCTTCCTACTTGCCCTTCCCAGCCTCAAATAATCCACTTCACAAAACCATTTCCTTTCTAAATCCTTAATCCCCAGCCTTTGAGTCCTTTGCTTTCCTGGGTAATAGAGCTAATTCCCTTTAGGGCATAAACCTTTCAAACACAAAACTCTGGGGTGAATCATTTCCAGGGTGTCCAGCTCACTCCCAGAATATTATCTTCTATTCTTTCAAATAGTAAAAATAAACAAGGACTCTCCCTCTGAGGGAAAAGAGAGCTCAGGCTTCCAGAAAATGGGAAAAAGTATTTAATTTCTTCCAGATAGTTCTATGGCAACAAAAAAGAATTGTAGACAAATAGCAATAGATCTCCATCCTACATTAAATTACAAATAAATCTCTATGCTGCACTTGTGTTATGGGCTGAATTGCACCCCCACCCCAAATCATATGTTGAAGTCTTAACCAGACTGTGACTTTATTTGGAGACAGGGCCTTTACATAGGTAACTAAACTAAAAAAAAATCATAAGGGTGGGCTTAATCCAATATGACCAGCATCCTTTTAAGAAAAGGAGATTGACACAGCCAGAGAGACAACCATGTGAAGACACAGGGAGAACGCCATCTATAAGCTAAGGAGAGAGGCCTCAGAGGAAACCAACCTGCCAACAAGATCTCAGACTCAGCCTACAGAACAGTGAAAGAATAAATTTCTGTCATTTGTGTATCATACGGTATTTATATCGTAGCCACCCAGTCTATGGTACTTTGTTATAGTGGCCCTAGCAAACTAATACAATGTGATTTCTGAGCATAATACAGATATCGTAGCAGGAGGCTTATAAATATTTGCTGATTTGTAAATATTGATTATTAACAGAGAGATTTAGCTTAAGAACCAGGGGCTGTGGGTCTGGACTTCTTGTTAAAACTGGACTAAGGAGGCTGAAGACAAGGCCCAAGGACAAGGCCTAGTGAGTAAGGGGGCTCAGAAGATCTTGACTAATATTTGGTCAAGGAGAGCATCTTTGTCACTGAGACTGTCTGCGTTAATTAATCATAACAAGCAGCTGCTGTGAAATCTTTATCATTCAGATTCTTTCAATTTCTCTGGAAACAATCTCAAAACAGTCTCATTTTCCAGAAAGGACAAAAGAAGGGAATCCTACATTTCAGGGTGATTACTGGCGTAATCTACTATAAAAACAGGAAGACATGCCTGGAGTTGGCTGGTGCAGAAGTCAAGCTGATTGCACTTCCCAATCAGCATTAGTCTTGCACGTGACTGGGCCAGGCAGCTGTCCCTGTTCAGAAGTTTCTCAGGCCATTTTGAACAACCCAGAGGAATTAGATGACATGGGAGCCCTTTTCTGTGGCCAAGAAAAGTCCAAAGAGTATTTCAAACCAGAGTGTTGCCATATCTGCTCCTTTTCTGTCTGTCACCTCATTTTGGTCACAGCAGTTGTGGGGTATTTCTATGGGAAGACAGCAGCACCCTGTTTCACTGAAACATGGATTCATGTTAGGTGAGAATGCTGTGTTCACCAGAAAATGTGGCAAAAACAGTGGTGGTGTGCTTTCCCCTCCAAAACTTCTTTGTTTCTTAGAAAGCTATGTATGACAAAGGCTTAAAACCTAATCAGAGTGGGATGGGGTTATCTAAACACTTCCTTTACATCTATACATATCCTAGGACTAAAACCAAGTTGTAAGAGAAATAAATAATAAGAAACTTGGAATGAATGTTAAGAACCACAGTGTTCAGTGATTTATACTCTTAGCTGGATTAGGCTCACCTGGGGGAATTTGAAATCTGCACGTGTTAGGAACCCTCCCTCCCCCACCTCTGAGATTCTGATTCAGTTGATCTTGGGAGGAGCACTCTGAGTTTTTAGAATAAAATACATATTATAGATCTCCCCCAGGTGACTTTAATGCCCAACCAGTGTTAAGAACATTGATCTATTTTTACCTCCATGCTTTGTGGATGAGGAAACTGAGGCCCAGAGAAGAAAAGTAACTTGTGAAAGGTCACGCAGCTAATTAGTGGCAAAGCCAAAAATAAAGCTGGTATTGTGCAGCACTGCAGGCCTTTAGAAGGTTACTTGACTTCACCTGGTAACCTCAATTGGCACACCTGTTTACTTAGAAAATAAACAACAAAATCTAGAAACTTTTAACCAGTATTTATGCAAATTAATTCATGATTTGGATGTGCTAACAGAATGTGAAATTGACTAAGTGTAATTGAGGGAAGAAGTTAATTCCAATGCTTGTGTTTAAATGTTTTAAAATACTTATCATTCTAGGTGTGAGGATAAACATGTATCATTATAATAGCATATTCTGAAGATAACTGATACTGGGAAGAATAAAGAATACAACAGGGATAAATTTTTATAGAAAAGAGTAAAAAAGATTGACTGGAGCTTTTTCTCAAAGATAAAAATATACCTTATGTTTATAATTGTGATGACAATCTGCTTCTTAGGATGAACAAAGAAGGAACTAAGTGTTGATTGCTTTTATTGGCATTATTACCCCATAACTACCGACCATATTCTTCACTTGCCATTTGCCTTACAAAAAATGATCTTAAAAAGAGGTGATATGGTTTGGCTCTGTGTACCCACCCAAATCCCATCTCAAATTGTAAACCCCACGTGTTGAGGAAGGAACCTGGTGGGAAGGGATTCGATCATGGGGGCAGTCTCCCCCATACTGTTCTCATGATAGTGAGTGAGTTCTCATGAGATCTGATCTTTTAAAAGTGTTTGGCAGTTCCTCACTAGCTGTCTCTCTCTCTCCTGCCACCATGTAAGACGTGCCTTGCTTCCCCTTCACCTCCTGCCATGATTGTACATTTCCTGAGGCCTGCAACCATGTGGAACTGTGACTCAATTAAACCTCTTCTCTTTATAAATTAGTCTCAGGTAGTTCTTTATAGCAGTGCAAAAATAGACTAATACAAGAGGCAAGTCTGCCAAAACATTCCAAGCTTCATGAATTTTCCCCATGGTTTATCTTAATCCTTTGTTTTTCAAACCCTTCTCTTGTCAAGCAGCATTCTTCTGCTCTTGTTCAGTCATTTGCCCATCTTCATTGGGTATCAGCCAATTCTCCAGAATCACTTTATCAGCTTCATAAAGAACCCACATCTTCTGAAAAAGTTTATAATACCACTGCACCAGCAATTTACATGTGTTTGCATTATATTTTCATATATAATTACAGTTTGTGAGATATTGGTGAAGATGTAGCTAGAGTTATCAAGGATAGATGCCCATATTAAGTGGAATGACATATGAATGGGGACTGGTTTTTCAAGTGGTCAGTTCTTTAGTCCTTTAATAAATATTTTCTGATATAACTAAAAAACATTTCTTGGTACAGTCTTTAAAAAACTGTGGTGCATGGAAACAATAGATGCTGCAGACTACTAGAAGGGGAAGAGAAGGGGATGTGGCCTTAAAAACTACACATTGGGTACTGTGCTCACTACCTGGGTGCAACATAGCCATGTAACAAATCTGCACATGTTCGTCCTGTATCTAAAATAAAAGTTGGCATTTGAAAAATTAATTAATTTAAACAAAAACTGGCACAACTTGAATAATGATCGCTCAGATAATGAGGCCACTCTATGCTAGATGATATGTTGTTCTAGTGGATTAATAGTGAAATGGACACCTGCCATCTTTGCAGGCAGAAAAAATAGGCTTAAAATCCCACCCACCCGTGGTGGCTATTCTTTGCCTACAACACCTCTCCTACCCTCCTGTGGTAAGAGACTCGCACCCCTGATTATAGGGGTTGGTATGTTACTGTCCTGGTTCAGTCATTATGCCCTTATCCTTTGAAGTCGGTTATTGGCTCATCCTTCTCCCGTAAGTGAAAGCTCCATTTCTACAGGAGCCATTTCTCGGCTGGCCTGTTGACCAGTAGTTGTCTATCCAGACTGAGTTCAGCCCCAGCTGCCTGAAACCTGAGCTGGTAGTCACAGCTTCAAAAGTTATTTAGTAATATCTCCTCTGCCTTGTGAACCAAAAATTATCTGAGACAAGTCTCAATCAATTTAGAAAGTTTTATTTTGCCAAGGTTAAAGACACACCCATGACACAGCCTCAGAAGGTCCTGACAAAATATGTCCAAGGTGTTCCAGGTACAGCTTGCTTTTATGCGTTTTACTGAGACATAATACATCAATTGGTACATGTAAGATTTATATTGATTCGATCCGGAAGGGCAGGGCAACTCAAAATGGGTTGGGGGGCTTCTAGGTCATGGGTAGATTTTAAAATATTCTGATTGGCAATTGGTTAAAAGAGTTATTATCAGTAGAAAAGAATGTCTGGGTTAAGATAAGGGGTTGTGGAGACTGAGGGTTTATAATGCAGATGAAGCCTCCTGGGAGCAGTCTTCAGAGAGAATAAATGATAAATGTTTCTTATCAAACTTAAGGTCTGTGTTGATCTTAATGCTGAAGGAGTATAATGAGGCATGTCCAACCTCCTCTTTCATCATTGTCTGAACTAGGTTTTCAAGTTAACTCTGAAATATCTTTGGTTGAAAGGAGGGATCCATTCACATGGCTGGGGAGCTGTAGAATCTTATTTTTGGCTTACACTCTTAAGGGTTGGCTATCTATGAGTTTCATCTTATTACTCAGCTTTATCTACTGCTTGGCAGGCATAGCAATTGTAGCTATTTGACATCTTGATGACTATCTCTGTCCTGTGCTTTTATCAAAAGAGAATGAACTGTGGCCTTCCCAAGGAAAAGGAAATGGGTATGTGTCTCAAAGATGGAAACTAGAGGCTCAAATACTCCAGCTCCCTTTCACTGGATGTTAAAGGGAAAAAGCAAAAACATTGGTCTTGTTGGTGCCCAGAAAATGATACCCTAAGTAGAGGCCTCAGAAGCAGCCTCAAAAGCAAAGTCTCTGACCTTCTCCTGCCCTCCCTTCCCTCATCTCTCATTCTCCCCTGAGGCAAGCCATAGAAAATGGAATCCCTCTTCCCAAAGCTTGGTAATAAAAAGCAGAACGCCATTCCCCCAAAGCCAGCCATAAAGCCCAAAAATATTACTCTAATCCCCACCTCCTTGCCCTTCTGTGTGATAGCTGGCCATAAAGAAATTAAGACCCTTATTCCAGAAAGGTCCTGCCCCATACCAGAGAGGAAGGAATGCTTCACAGAAAGGCCAAGAAGAATCTGAACAGACAGGCCTTTCTGGGTTTCCCCCCTCAGCCTATTAGCATTAGACCCTAGGCTTTTTGTCCAATCACCTTTCCACAGGCCTCTCTATACTTTATTGAACTTAAACATAAAAATAGATCAGTTCCCCTGTATCTTTTGGCCACTCATCCTGAAGGCTCCCATGTCACATAAAACTATAATCAAATAAACTTGTGCTTCTCTCTTGTTAACTCATTCTTGTTATAGGGGTGTTGGGCATGACCCTTATGATGGGGAGGAAAGGGATTGCCCACTTTCTGCCCCTTCAGTTCCCATCCCTCAATTTGGAATGATCTGAATCATTTAGGCTGCAATTGCTATGCTGCCCCAAGGGGATTTCATAGTGTTTAATAAAATTTATAGTGTAACTGCCCAACAGGTTCACCTTGACTGCTGCCTAGACAGAACCATTTTATCCAGACAGGGGGATTGCAATAGAGAAAGAGTTATTCATGCAGAGCCAGCTGTGTGGGAGATTCATGTTGTATTACTACTAAAATCAATCTCCCGAAGCATTCTGGCATCAGAGTTTTTAAGGTTAATTTGGTGAATGAGATCAGAAACAAAATCATCGGGAGTCAAAGCTGTCCTCTTGCACTGAATCAGTTCCTGGGTGGGGGCCACAAGATCAGATGAGACAGTTTATCGATCTGAGTGGTGTCAGCTGAGCTAACAAATACAGGGTCTGCAATATATCTCAAGCACTGATCTTAGGTTTTACAATAGTGATGTTATCCCCAGGAACAATTTGGGGAGGGTCAGAATCTTGTAGTCTCTAGCTGTATGACCTCTAAACCATAATTTCTAATCTTTCAGCTAATTTGTTAGTCCTACAAAGGCAGTCTAGTGCCCAGGCAAGAAGGGGTTTTGTTTTGGAAAGGGTTGTTATCATCTTTGTTTTAAACTATAAACTATAAACTAAGTTCTTCCCAAAGTTAGTTCAGAACTAACTTTGCCCAGAAATGAACAAGGATAGCTCAGAGGATAGAAGCAAAATGGAGTTGGTTAGGTGAGATCTATTTCACTGTCTTAGTTATAATTTGGCAAAGGTGGTTTCAAAGGAGGCTCTTGGTTTGAATTGAGCTCCTGCACTAGACACAACAGACGAAACCAAAATGGAGTCATTCATGCTGAAGTTTTCAACTGAAACTAAGCTGTTTATCTGTCCTTCTGAAAAATCAGGAGAAAGTTAACAGCAAAGTCCCCCAAACAGGCCAGTTTTAGTCAGCATGATAAGGAAGTCCCCTTCTGCTTTAACCTTCACAAGGAAAATAACTTTGCAATGACCAATCTCCTTTTTGTGTTCTGTTTCTGCTTTCTTCAGCCCTTTTCTCTCTATAAAGCAGCCTTCACTGCTTGGCTCATTGGAACACTCTATCTTATAGAATGAGATATTGCCCAGTCATAGAATTGCAAATAAAAGCCAATCAAGATGTATAAACTAGATGGGAATGGTGGCTTATGCCTGTAAACTTAGCACTTTGGGAAGCTGAGGTGGATGGAGATGGATCACTTGAGCCCAGGAGTCTGAGACCAGTCTGTGCAACATGGTGAGGCCCCATCTCTACAAAAAATACAAAAATTACCCATGTATGGTGTCATGCTCCTGTAGTCCCAGCTACTTGGGAAGCTGAAGTGGGAGGATTCCTTGAGCCCAGGAAATCAAGGCTTCAGTGAGCTGTGATTGTGCCACTGCATTCCAGTCTTGACAATAGAGAGACACTCTGTTTCAAAAAAAAAAAAAAAGAAGAAGAAGAAGAAGAAAGAAAGAAAAGAAAGAGAAAGGGAGAGAAAAAGAGAAAGGGAAGGAAATGGAAAAGGAAAGACAGGGAAGGGAAGGGAAAAAGAAAGCAAAGAGGAAAGAAAGAAAGAGAAGGAAGGAAGGAAAGAAAAAGAGGAAGAGAAAGAAAGAAGAAACAAAGAAACAAAGAAAGGAAAGAAAGAGAAACAGAGAAACAAAGAAAGAAAGAAGAGACAGAAAGAGAGAAAGAAAGAAAGATAAAGAAAGAAAGAGAAAGAAATGAAAGAAGGAAGGAAGAAAGAGGAAAAAGAAAAGAAAAAAAGAGAAGGAGGGAGGGAGGAAATGAGGGAGAAAGGAAGGGAGGAAGAAAGGAAGGAAGCAAGGAAGGAAGGGAGGGAGGGAGAGAGGGAGGGAGGGAGGGAAGGAAGGAGAAAGAAAGAAAAAAAGATTTTAAAGCTAAATTTGTTCTAATTTTGTCATTTGACAATAGAGAAATGATTTCTACTGAAATGCAGAAATGAACCTGAGGCTAAAGTCTAGATTTGCTTAGTGATATAAAATGTGCAGTTGACTTTTGATTAATCCAGTCATATAAACATTCTGTAAGTGCTGGGAGTGTTTTGTACCAAGTCCTTTCATGTCTTTCATGTAGTGAGGAGGTGGACACCTAAACAGAGTCTCCAAAGTCAGGTGCAGGTGGGGTATGAGAGTTTAAATCGTGGCTTCCTCACAAGAATGGCAGAGACAAGCTACTTTTCCCCAGGAGTCCTCAGCCTGGGCAGTGATACTATCAGCTGGCCAGCCCTTGGGGTTCTGGGAAACCCCATTTATAGCTGTGTGGCCTTCTGCCTTATATCTAACTGCTATGTAATTTTTTACCTTTTGCCATTAAATTAAGTTTGTAACTTCTTCTAACTGTACCTGTCCATTAGTCACATTGCTGTTCCTTTGTGATAACATGTCTGGTGGTTTAGACCACAGTTGGAAAAAGACTTTCAGATGATTAGGTCTGAGGTCAGGGATTTTTGCAGAAGTTCCCCTTTGTTCTGGCTCTTTAGGCCACATGCTAGAGATGATTTCTATAGTCAGTCTATTAGAAATTCACAAGCACACAAGGAATGGGCTTCTTCATTCTTTTCCTTTCAGAAAGGCAGATATTTATTGAATAAGCCAGCTGGCTCCACCGACCCTCACTGTATTAACCCTGATGGCACTATAAAATGAAATTTACAGAATAAGTCAGTTCATGTGACCAGCAAGTTCAGAAAACATCTGGATGGGTCTGACATGAAGCATAGTAACACAGTCACCTCATTCCAGCACTGCTTTCGGAAGTTCTCTCTCAGACTGGAGGCTTGCCAAGAGTTGTGAGTCCAATTTTCCACCTTGACGTATTACAAATTATCATGGTTGATACCAAAAATTATTACAGTTTTTGGCTGTATGCCAATGTAATTTCCTAGGAATTGAACAAAATGGTTCTTACAGCATTAAAAGGCCTATATTTTTTTTCTGTGGGTAAAAAAAGCCAAATTACTCCTCCCAGCCCTCATTGTATGGAACTCATACTATTGGCATTGTGACCCCAGTTAATTCATAAAAGCAGCACCATTTCATTTCTACCACCGTATTTCAGAAAATGATTCTGTAGAATGGTGTCCCCCACGCATGGAGCCTCAAACATCTGAGAGTAATTCAAAAGCTATTGGGCCCTAAACACTGAAGTTGCATCTATAAACTGAGATATTGAAAACTTAAATAAGCACCCATTTTGGGAGGATGTATCCCTTAATAGGCTAGGATTGTGTATAAGTGTCCCAGATAATTCAGTCACTATTAATCAGGACATAATGAATATAAAATAGCCAGTCCTCATAAAGACTCACACCTTGAGAGAGACTTATTTGTGTGCTTCAATTGAACGGTGGAGGTTTGAGACGCACATGAAAGTGTATCTTGCTTACATGATACTGAATTGCTGGTAGAATATTGCTAGGGTTTACCTCTCCCTTCGACTCCACTTACAAAAGCAAATGACTTGCCTTGCTAAGAGTTAAGGCAAAGAATGTGAAACACATAAACAAAAATAGAGCTCAGAAGGGAACTTGATAAAAGGAAGTGATGAAACTCAGGAAATTCAAAGGTGGAGGCACGTGGAGTCAGGAACGTTCAGCAAGTAAATGAGCGACAGGCCAATTTAAAACAACTCCCATTGAAAGGGAATTCTTGGAAGAGTCAAATAACACCTTAACAAAAAAGCACTGTGGGAATTCAATTAAATCACAAGATGATTTTGGAAATTAAAGTAAAAGAATTTTCAGATTTAGGAGTGCAATCATCAAACTCCAAGGAGAATATCCTCTGCACCCTACATCATGACCAGGCAGATGTAAAGTCTTCTCTAAATACAAAGCAAAGGCCGAGTGGGGTGGCTCATGCCCATAATCCCAGCACTTTAGGAGCCTGAGGCAGGTGGATCCCTGAAGTCTAGGAGTTCAAGATGAGCCTGGGTAACACAGTGGAATCTCATCTCTGCAAAATATACAAAAATTAACTGGGTATGGTGGTGCACACCTGCAGTCCCAGCTACTTGGGAGGCTGAGGTGGGAGGATCGCTTGATCCCAGGAGGCAGAAGTAGCAGTGAGTGATGATCACGCCACTGCATTCCAGCCTGGACAACAGAGTGAGACTGTCTCAAAAATAAATAAATAAATACATAAATACAGACCAAAAATTACAAAGAGTTGAAAATCATAATGGAAAAGAAAGATGCTCAAAGGGGAGAGTCTGGAGACTTAACAGGGAAAAATACAAATTTCAGGTGGTAAAAAAACAAGTGATGAAGAAGAGTAATGATCAAATAATAGAAACAAAGATCTCATTTGAAGATTAAAAGAATCCCTTAAATCAAGAAAGATAGAAGAAATGAGACACACATCTGAGCATATTCTCATAAAATCCTCATATTCCAAAGAGCAAGAATCATTCCAAAAAATGGTTTAAACCCAGGAATGCCTGGAGACTGGATTTTTTGTTTTTTATTAAAACAACCACACACTGAATACTCAAGAATGTGCTGGTATTGTTGGTACCTGTTGGTTGTCTTTGGAGTACATAATCAGATCTCAAGAATGGTTTGGAAGAACCAGAAGGGCATTTAAAAAACCTAAGAAAGGCAAAAGTGGGCTTCTTGTGCCCGGTGGATTGCCCCTCCATGAGGGCAGGGCCTTCAGCACTGGGCACGTCTGTGAGGATTCTGGGGGCTCTGGGATGCTACACATCCTGCTGTGAGGTGACTGCCTCATTTCCTCCTTATGTGGCCAGCTCTGCAGAAAAGTGTTCATGTCTTTTTCCACTTAGGAAACTTCGTATCCCATCATGGTATTCACTGGGATTTTCCAGACATTGATCACCATCCTAACATGACACACACAATTAAAAATAAAGTCTTCCAAGCTTCCAATCAGAAAGAATGTTATTACAAAGAAAAAGAATTAGACTTATTTCAGATTCTCATCTTAAACTCTAGAAGCTAGACAATGAAGTAGAATATATAGACTAATGGGGAAAAATAATAACACAATTCCAAGGATCCTATACCCAGCTGGGATGAACAAAAAAAAATATTGCAGGTATGGAAGAATTAGGGATTATACCACTGTATTTGTTAGAGTTCTTAGCTGCAGATAACAGAGTCTACTCTGGCTAGTTTAAACAAAAAGTTCTAGCAATAGCTGACAGAATCACTGGGAGCTCCAGAGAAATGGATAATAGCATTAGCTCCTGAGAAAAATCCTCTGACCCACACTAAAAAAATGGACCTAATAGGGCCCCCGCAGGGACATGCTGCTTCTACCTTGATCAGGAACTGCTGCTCCCACAGCCAGCCCCAGAAGAATTCAATGTTCCTGCCACCTTGCTTTTACCAGAGGGTCCCATTTCCTCACATGCTCAGCCACCATCTCACATTGCTCCTTCTTTGTTTCAAGTCTTGCAGAGGTACGATGGCCTGTGTGGTGGACAGGAGCCTAAGATGACAGTGTAAGATTTCTCACTCTAATCCTAGGAGTGTGAGTATGATAAAATATCAAACCCATGATTCTATTACATGACAGAGGGGATTTTTCAGATGTTATTAAGGTTACTCATCAGTTGACTTTGAGTTATTCAAAAGGAAGATGATCTGAGCAGTTTCAAACAAATCACACGAGCCCATTAAAGGCAGAGAGTTTTCGCTGGCTGGTAACATGAGGGCAAGTCAGAGATTTCAAGCAAGAGAAGGATTCAACACTCTATTGCTGCTTTGGAGATGGAAGAGGTGACATGAGGAGGATTGCAGGCAGCCTCCAGGAGTAGAGTAGCCTTGCCTAACAGATCAAGCCAACAAGAAAGCAGGGACCTCAGTCCTATCATCTTGAGGAAGTGGATCCTGCCAACAATGATGATCTGAATGAACATAGAAGCAGGTTATTCTGTAGACCCTCCAGACAAGAGCAGAGCCTGGCTCTAAAACCTTGATTTGGGCCTTGTAGGACCCTGAGCAGAGAACCCCTTCAAGACCTCCCAGCCTTCTGACTTACGGAATCCATGAGATAGTAAATGAGTATTGTCTTAATCCACTATATTTGTGGCCATTTGTTATGCATCCTGAAAAAGTAATTAATCTCAGTAAAACAGGTCACATGTGGAGCCTTAGCTGCACAAAAGCCTGGGAAATGTAATCTTTACCTTCTAGCATCTATTGTGAAGAAGGGATGCCAAAAGGAGAAAGGAGTGAGTGGTGAGTGAGGAAATCTGTGGCAAGTGTAACGATCACCCACGTACCTGTTTAAAATATAAAGAAAAGAGAAAATCAGGAGAAGAAACAGCATCTAAGGGGGCCCATGGAAGCCTCCCAGTATCCTGCACAAGCCAGCATCATGTGGGAAGCACCAAAATCTTTGAGGGCCACTAGAGGAGCATAGACAGGCAGAGAGGGACAGCGTGGTCAGTGAGGATAACACAGAACGCGTGGGCCTGGCACCTGACAACCTGGTAGAACCATGGGCATTGGCAGTAGATGCCCTTCTATACACAAGGTCCAGATGAGACAAGAGACATCTCAGCAGAGACCATGTGGACAGAGAATGATCAGGACCAGACACCCTCTCCCCTGGGTCACATGTGTTCAGCTCTCTGGAACTAACCAGGGGATAAGAGGGGGTAAATCAGAATGACTAAATTATTTACATGAATTTTAAATTGGAAGTGATCTGAGTTTATCCTGAATTAGCAAAATTAAATTTTCCATTATTAAATGTAAATGAGGACTTCAAGAGTTAAGTTTAATCCAGATATGCAAAAATAAAGTTTAATTTTTGCATACCTGAATTTTATGACTATAAAATTTTTATCACTATACAATGATTTGCAAACTTTTTTTAGGCATTTCCTAGTATTTTACCATCTACCTAAAATGAGGAATGAACTAAAAGAGTATAACTGGATTGTAACACTAAGGATAAATGCTTGAGGGGATGGATACCCCATTTTCCAGGATGTAATTATTACACATTGCCTGCCTGTATGAAAACACCTCATGTGCTCCATAAATACCTATTATATACCCACAAAAATTAAAAAAATATATTTTAAAATAAAATTAAAGCAAAAAACAACAAAATAAAAAGAATAATGTAATACTCAAAATCATAATTGTTAATCTATTCTTTAAATTAACATAATTGGCAAATAAATGGTGGAATTCAAAAATCAAAGAATGACTTAAGTAGTTTGCAAAGACCTTGAACTCCTTGGTTGCTTTCTTAGGGCTCTGAGGTCACTTGGTTTTTTTATTCATTTTTAATATAAGTTTGTTTCATGGGGAAATAACATAGTAAAAACTAGTCATTTGTTGTCCACTTACTCTATTCTAGACCTTATGTGTTGTTTTATTTAATCCCTGTGACAAACCTGGTCAGGGAGATATTGCCACCCAAATTTAAAACTGAGCCTCGGAAAGGTTATCTGCCCAGGGTCAAGCAGAACTGATTCTAAAAGCCCATAGTCTTTCCATCACACAGCACTTCCATTGTTTCCATTGGAAGAGAATTCCTTTTGATTTAATTCAATTATGATAGGACATTTCCCAAATTATTTGTTCCAATGAGAAGGAAATCAAATTTTTATCCCCAAGCATCCATAGTATTTTAATATCTCAGAGGCTCCTCCATGGCTTGGCCACCAGCTGATTCTGGCTAAGCCATCTCCACTCCCTGGGCCTCCTATTCTTCACCTGCCGAATGAGGTGAAGAATGCTGGATTCTAATACCCCACTGCTGCTCTGATACTCTTGAATTCTAAGACCCCCAAGAGCCTTTGAGAGGCTTCATATTGCCAAGAAAATGGTTCCAACCATATGAACTATTGGCTTATCATGGCCAGTGTCAGGGAGCCTTGATGTTTACCTGGCCACTTACCTATTCCCTGATCTTCTGCAGTTGCCAAGCTTCAAAAAGCTAAAGAGTGAATGTGTAGATATAATAGAAAGCAGACTTGTTCTGTATTTTTCCAGAAATCAGAATTAAGATAAATGAGTAGAAGTTACCAGAAAACAGACTTCAACTCATCATGAGAAAATACACTCTGTACACTACTAAAAATATTATCAATTACGTACTTCATATTACTTTGGACCTATTCCTGTGCTAATCACACTTATATATATTTATTCTTTATAACCAACCAATAAATCAGACGCTATCCTTATTTTTAATATAAGGAGATGGAGGCTCAGAGAGGTCAATTTACTTGCCCCAAATTATGTAGCTGAGTGGCAAAACTAGAATTCAGTAGTATCTTAAAAACTTTAAAAAACTTTGATCTAGACCACTGTGCTCTATTGCCTCTATAAAACCATCCAAAAATATCTAGGATTGACTGGGATTCTTAAATCTGCTCCTTGATGTTGTTCATTAGTAGCAGAAAATTTCAGACAATGCCTCTTTTTAAAAATGTTTTTAAAACAAGCTCTGGCAAGTTTTACTAAATAAAAATTTTGCATGGTTTATTTCTCACCAGCCTATTTTGGCATGCTTCTAATGATATCAGAATCATCTAGATCAATGACAGCCACTGTGCATAATCTGTAGTATTTTTCTCATGCCGTGCCCAATTCAATACTATTTTCACTATAGTGATGGACATTAGTTTTGGCCAACATTGCATAGTTCTCTATTTTGGATTTCCTCAAAGCTGGCCAATTGTTAGTGGGGATGACTAATTTTGCTTTGCCATGTCTGATCATCTTCAGAGTGTGCTTGTACCCCAGTACGTACTTTCCATTTTTCATAACCAGAGTTGATCAACTCCAGAGACTTTGTTATCTTCTTTGTGGCCACCATCTTCCTACCTTAGGTACAAGATGGCCCCCTAACCAAGAGCAGCCAGTAATACAGCTGGGAAGTGAGAAAGACACCAATAACTCTTGAGATATTATTATTTCCTATCCACTATTTTCCCTCTGGAATCTGACTAAATTTAAGTTAGACTTTCACACTTTAGCCTCTCTAACTTATTTACTGTATATCTTTTTGTCTTCCTATTCTGCATCCTGAATTTCTTCCGATTTAACTTTCAGGCCATCAATTCTCTCTTCAGTTGTGTTGAATTGGCTACTAAACCCATCCACTCATCCATTAAGTTTTACGTTTTGACTATTGTATTTTTTAACTTCTGGAAGTACTATTTAGTAATTTTTGAAATCTAACTATAGTTTTATCTTTTCAGAGATATCCTTAAACTTATCTTTACTTTTTAAAACATAGTAAATTTATTAGTTTCTTATTACTGTCCTAACTAGTTACCACAAACTCGGTGGCTTAAAACAACATGAATTTATTATCTTACAGTCCTTGAAGTATGGATTTTGAAATCAGTTTCACTGGGCTAAAATCAAGATATTTGAAGGCTTGCTTTCCTCTGGAGAGTCTAGTGGGGGACTCCATTCCCTTTGCTTTTGCAGATTCCTGAGGCCACCTACATGCCTAGGCTTGTGACCCCTTCCTCCATTTTCAAAGTCAGCAGTGTTACATCTTATCTCCTCTCTGACCTTTTTTTTTACATTCTTTCATTTCTTTCTCTCTGACACTGATCCACTTGCCTCCCTTTTATAAGAACCCCTGTTATTACATTGGACCCACTCGGATATTCCAGAATAAGCCCCCCAGTCTCAAAATCATTAATTTCATCATTTCCACAAAGTCCCTTTTCCCGTGTAAAGTAACATATTCACAGGTTCCAGAGATTAGAATATGGATGTCTTTCAGGGGCCATGATTCAACCCACCACAGTAAGCATAGTTACCTTATAGTCCATGTCCAATAATTTCAAGATCTAAAAGTATTCCCATGTTTGTGTCTGTTGTCTGTTTTTCAGATGGTTGTCACACATGCTGCTTGCTTCATTATATGCTGGGTTAAAAAAGGATGTCAAAAAATAACTTACTTAACATTTTTAGTTGTTTTTATTAGGAATGCTTGCCCTGAAAAATAGCTCACGATAACCAGAAATTAGAAGTTGAGTCTCCCAACAATCATGATAAATGTGTTGCACACTAAGATTATGGCTATCACTGTCCTCATGGTGTTATATACATTGTATCTAGAATGAAACCATGGAAGGGACTGCAGCCCTAAGTAGCAAGCTCCCAAACCCAGGACAATTCAAATAGGGATAATGAGAGCTGTTTCACTCACGTCCGTGTGAAGAGACCACCAAACAGGCTTTGTGTGAGCAATAAAGCTTTTTAATCACCTTGGTGCAGGCGGGCTGAGTCGGAAAAGAGAGTCAGCAAAGGGGAGATAGGGGTGGGGCTGTTTTTATAAGATTTGTGTAGGTAAAGGAAAATTAGAGTCAAAGGGGGGTTGTTCTTCTGGAGGGCAGGAGTAGGGGAGCTTTTTGAGCCAGGATGAGCCAGGAGAAGGAATTTCACAAGGTAATGTCATCGGTTAAGGCAAGGACCAGCCCTTTTCACTTCTTTTGTGGTGGAATGTCATCAGTTAAGGCAGGAACAGGCCATTTTCACTTCTTTTGGATTCTTCAATTACTTCAGGCCATCTGGGCATATACGTGCATGTCACAGGTGATACAATGGCTTAGCCTGGGCTCAGAAGCCTGACAAACTGAAAGGTACATCATGTTTACTGTGGAAGAAACATTTTAAATTTGATGTTATAAATGACAATGAGTCTGTGCAAATACTCTTACAATTATTACTAAAAAGTCTCACGCCCATCACACATTCCTTAAGTCACTTATTGGTCAGCAGGCATTTTATTGGACACCAATTATGTATCCGTTACTCCGCAGTGACTACAAATACAAAGATAAATAGAAGCAATCTCTGACCTTAAGGAGATCACCAATTACTTGGGAAAACACACTGAAACTGTTACAACAGCATGTGATTGTTACAGTGCAGCGATAAAGAAAAGCACACAGGAAGAGGTGCCTCATCAGAATTCTGCTGTGCTGATGTGCTGATTTGGGTTGATTTTCACTTGATTTGGACAAAGGACAAGTTCAGGGCTCTGGGCTACTAAGAATCAATGGCAAGCTCTTGTTCTTGACCACATCTGTGTGCCCATGGTTTGGCTCATGCCCTTCCATGTTCCAACTGCATGGAAGCTGTCAGCCTCCATTCTACAGTATCAAAGATGGCAGGAGGTGGCAGTCGAGTCATTTACCTGTGCACCTGCTGTGGCTGGCACCCAGGATGGCCACTCTATCTTCTCTGCAGGTCTGTGCCACATGTTAGGCAGTCGTCTAGGGAGAACAACACTTCCTCCAAGGGCTTTTGAGTCTTTGCTCCACAATGTCAGCAGCCCATCTGATTGATATCCTCTTTCTCTTGCCTCCAATCATGTGGTGACATTTTGTTTTCATAGGTCAATCTTAAGCCATGCCAAATGAGGGATGGACCTATTTGGTGAATAGGATCACTGTTTTTCCCTAGTCTTGCCTTCCCATGGCAGACGGGTTTGTGAAAGGCAGGGATGAGATCAGCATTGAAAGAGATGCCATTCTAGGAATGCAGCAATCATGGCCTAAGGCAATCAAGAGAAGACATGGCTGCAGAATGTATTGCACCATAAAATCTAAGATGGTAAGTTCAAGATGACCAGAAAACATTTTCCTGCACACTGAAGGTGAAACTTGCATTTGTAGTCATCACAAACAAAGCACAGTGACAACCTTTAGGGACCCATAAGAAGCCAATATTCACCAGGGCCATGATGGAGGATGCAGTGTCATGAGTAATGATGCACCCAGCGTGAAATAAATGACATCAGAGAACTCCAGAGGCAAGTTGATCTATAGTTTCAATACTAACAGGTCCTAAAGAGCCGTGGCATTGCCAGCAATAACAGCGTTGCTACTTTTTCCTTAAGATGAGAAATATGAAACAAGCCAGCCAAGGCACATTTTACAATAAAGAACATGACACAATGGCTCCTGAACCAGAGCCAGAAGAGATGGTGTCTGTACACTACAAAGACTTTTCATGTGCCCTAACTGCAGGATTAAGACATAATCCTCTCTTTTCTACCAATGATTCTAAATCTTTGTTGATAAGTCATTAAAAGTTATATGGCCCATGAATCTTATAACACATCTTTACTCAAATTGCTTTTAAACAGGGCCCTCCAAAAACATGTTTGAGATCTAGAAGGGTCCAATTCAGATGAATTCAAACTCTTACCCTGGTCTGAGCCCTGTCTTTTTTGTGGCCCAGGATCCAGCTGTAACTAACTCTTGCTGACTGGTTTCATTAAGATTCGGGAACCTCTGATTCACATCCAAAAGTGCATTCACTGTGATCAAATCCACGGGACAGAAGTCTGTTGATGTGCTAATTAATGAGCACACAGCTCTTTTTTTCAGTTGCTTCATCTTTGAGTGATTTTCCAAACATTCCTCTTGATAGCTAATATATCTTTTAATTTTTTTTCCTTTATGCCAATTAATGAGGTCTTGGTTACAATCTGATTCAAACTGAATTTTCTTCTCCCTTTTGGGGGCTGGATGGAGCCAACAATTCTGAACAGTTTTCTAACGAGGTGATTGGAATATTTAGGGCTTATTTTCATTTTTAGTGGGGGTAGATACACTAAAATACTTTAGATTCCAAAGTATACTCATAGGAATTGAGAACTGGGAGGAATGAATACACTTGATCTCTTGCAAAACATAAAACTGAGAATGGAGACTAGCTATGATAACTCACAGCAAATGCTATTTAAATCCAGCATTTCATTCAAGTCATGTTAATAAGCAGCCATGTGATATAGGACATGTGATTTTTTTTTAAAAGTACCTTGTTTGGATGGGTTTTAATTCCAGTTCCACCGCTAACTATCCAAGTGACCTTAACACCTAAGAACATTGAATCCTTATCAAGCTTCTGGTATGGGCCAGTCACTGAACAAAGTACTTATTTATGAAACGTATCATATTTAATTCTCACATCCTAAAAGAGAGAGGCTATTATAATATTTAGCAGCAGAAAATCTGTGTGGGTCTTCAGCAATCTCAATTTTTGCTCCTTAGAAAAAAGAAATTTGACTGAGGGGCATAAGGTAGAGTGAGAGACCAAGGCAACTTTCAGAGGAGGAGTGAAAGCTTATTAAAAAGTTTTCAAGCAGTAGTAAAAGAAAGTAAAGTACACCTGGAAGAGGGCCAAGTGGGCAACTTGAGAGTCAAGTGCATGGTCTGACCTTTGCCTTGGGGGTCTTATACATTGGCAAACTTCCAGAGAATTGCATCCCTTCTCCCCGATTCTTCCCTTGTGTCAGGCTGTCCACATGTGCAGTGGCCTGTTAGCACTTGGGAGGGGGGCTGCATGCGCAGTATGTTTCCTGGAGTTGTACACGTGCTCACACCAGGTGCTCCTCCCTTATCAGTAGAGTGTTCCTAGAAGAAGGTTATGTACTAATTAAACTCCACCACTTTCCCTCTTAGTGCATATGCTTGAGACCACTTGCCCAACTCCTGAGGTCTTATTTGGAAGCTGGTGATCATCACTTTCAGGTGTTTCTGTCTATTGGGAGACTGCCTTTCACTGGTGCTGCCTGCAACCAATTATTATTTTAGAGAGACAGCTTAACAACTGCCTATTGGCTGATGGTTGCCTGACATTCCTGGTTGGGTGAGGGGCAGGCTCTTCTGCACTACTTATGTCTGCCTGACTACCTACCTACTGTAACATGATCCCCATTCTATAAATAAATAAAAAATAAAAAAAGAGGCCTAGAGAAATAAAACATTATGAAGCTGTAAAGTAGAAAGGTCAAAAAAATTTTAACTTTAAATTAAAATATAACATGTGTACAGAAAAGAGCGCATACCTTAAGTTCATGTGATAGTTTGGTGAATTGTTACAAAGTGAACACACTCATGTAACCACTCCTTATGTAACCTCAGGAGCTGTGCTTATGGCCCTTCCAAAGACTACCTGTTGCTCCTCCGCAAACGTAACCATTAGCCTGACTTCTAACACCACATCTTGGTTTTTGCTTATTTTTGAGTTTTCATACAATTAAGGTTATACAAAATGTGGCCTTTTGTGTCTGGTTTCTTCCACCTACAGAACTGATTCTTAAATGTATTGGTTGTATACACCAACTTTCATTGTTTTTTCACCCATCACCATTTGTTGAAAAGCCATCCTGTCCCCACTACTCTGCTATGGTGCTTTCTCATAAATCAAGTGTGCATGTATATTTGGGTCTTCTGGACTTTCTGCGTTGTTCTGAAGATCTGTTTGTCTCTCCTGTGTCGATATGACACTGAAGTCTTTCCAAAGTCTTGGTATCCAGTTAAGAAATTCTTTCAATTTTGTTCTTCTTCAAAATTGCTTGGCTATTCTAGCCCCTTTGCATTATCACAAAAATTTTAGAATCAGCTTCTTCATTTTTACAAAATACCTGGAATTTTTTATTGGATTTGCATTGCATTGGAATAGATCAATTTGAGAACTGACATCTTGAGATAAATGAACCTTTAATCCATAAACATCTCTTCATTTATTTAGCTCTTCTTTTATATTTTTAACAATGTTTTGTAGTTTTCAGCATAGAACTCTTAAACGTGTTCGTTAGATTTATTTCTAACAAAATCTATTTTGTTAAATTTATGAGATTTTTAAGTGTTATCCTTTGAATATAACTTATAATTGTGATTTCTATAAATTGACTGTTTCAAACAACCTTGTTCAATTTATTTACTAAATCTAATAGTATGTCTTTAGGTTCTTAGGAATTTTTTAAGCACAAAATCATGTAATATGCATGTAATTTTAGCTTTATTTCTTCCTTTACAATCCTTATATGTTTTATTTCTTTTTCTTACCTTCTTGCACTGGCTATGACCTTAAGTAAAATATTGAGAAGTAAGGCACTATTCAAGCAAGTGTCTTTGTCTTATTCTGTTCTTACAGGGAAAAGTTAGAAAAATTCACCTTTATATGTTTGCTGTGAATTTTTAAAAACTGATTTTTTTTTATTAAGGAAGTTTTCTTCTATTACCAATATGCTAAGAATTGTTTAGGAATATGTGTTGCATTTTATCACATGCAGTTTCTACATTTATTGAAATAATTGTACAATTTTCTTTTTTATTTCATTAGTGTGGTGAAGAATTATTCAATGATAAACCAGCTTTGCTTTCCTGGAATAAATTCAATTTGGTTATGATGCATTCTTTTTTTTCATATAGTGTTTTTTTTTTGGTTTGCTAATATTTTGTTTAGGATTTTTGCATTTATCTTCTTGAATGAAATGGGCCTCTAAGTTTGCTTTCTTATAAGGTTCTTATCAAATTTTGAAATCAGGTTTTTCTGGCATCATAAAAATCTTGAGGAGTGTTTTTTTTTTTTTCTGTTTTCTGGAAGACTTATGTAAAATTGATGCCATTTCTTTTCTAAATGTTTGGTAGTATTCACCTGAGAAGTCATCTGGGTCTGGGGTATTCTTTACAGGAAGATTTTTAAATGATGCATTAATTATTTAGATTTTCTATTTATTCTTGTGTTTGTTTTGGTAACTCTTGTTTTTCTAGGAATTTATACATTTTACCAAAATGTACTGGCATAAAGTTGTTAATGATGCCCTCTTATCTTTAAAAAAATGCCTTTAAAATCTTTCTAGCAAGCCTCAATTTCACTCTGGATACAGAGTTGCAGTGGACAGCCAGCAGGCATCTTCTGTCATCAGCCCTCCATTGGGAAGACAGCTTCAGCAACAGTTCTGGGAGAGGCTTGGGATAGAAAAAGAAAGGATGTTGCTGTAGATTAAGCAAATGTTCCAAGATACTCCATTAATTAAGAAAATCTTGGAGAATATTATACAGTCCTCATGGTCCTAGATTGTAAAACCGTTGTGTTGAGCTGAAGCAAGTGTCAAAAAGAAACGTGGAATGTCACTACCAAGACTTTTAGATGGAAAGCATACTTAATGGAAACACCTCTTTCTTAACTCAGAACACTTTCTGTAGCATGCAGATTTCTGCTTTAATTGAATTAAGCTGTGTAGTGTTCTGAGCGCATTTTTGGGACATTGCAGAGACACTCTCTGTAGATTACATGATTTGAAAATATAGTTAAACAAAATTTAATGAAGTGGTGCAACTCTCAGAAATCAGACATGACTATGCTGTCCAGGTGCAGTAGCCCATGCCTATAATCCTAGCACTTTGGCAAACTGAGGTGGGAGGATTGCTTGAGCTTAGGAGTTGAAGACCAGCCTGGGCAACATAGTGAGACCACGTCTCTACTAAAAATAATTAAAAAAAAAAAAAAGCTGGGCATGGTGGTGGGCACCTGTAGTCTCAGCTACTTGGGAGGCTGTGGGAGGATTGCTTGAGCCCAGGAGGTCAAGGCCACAGTTAGCTGTGACCGTGCCACTGCACTCCAGGCTGGGTGACAGAGCAAGACTCTGTTTCAAATAAAAAAAATTTTTTTAAACCACGACTATGCAAAATAAATGACATTATTTTTGTATATTACTACCTCCAACTCTCCTGGGCCATTAACAACTAATCTCGGTCATATTGGAGTTCCCTTCCCCTCTTTCCTCTGGGATTCCAGTAAGTTCCAGGCACAGGGTAATGATGGCAAGACTTACATGGTTCTGAGGCTTTGGGAAAGGGGACCTCTCATCTTTACACATTAGTTTCAACTTGTATTATTAACAGAAACTTCCACTGTCCCAACTGGCCTGTGACCAAGCATCCACACAATTTGTCCACAAGGACTTCTCCTGATCTGTGTCCTCTCTTGGACCCATGAACATGATTCAACATCTCTTGTGTAATGGGAGGTGGACAAATGTCCAGTCCACCTAGTCACATCATACCATTTCTTCTCCTAGAAGCCATGACTTCTGAGTGTTGAAGGCTGCAAGCTTATTTAAGATTTGGGGCCTCCCTGAGGCTCACAGCCTGGGGAATGGGCTGCTTGTCCTGTTGTCTCCAGAACCTGTCCACCTGAACACCACACCTAACTCTTGATTCTGTCTCCAACCCCTCGCCTGGGAGGAGGCAAGAAAGCCTTGCGCTTAGCCATATCGTCTCCTCCCACATTTTCTGCCAGATATGTTGTGCATGCCCTGAGTCTTTCTTGTTCCTCTAAGAACCTGGACTTATTTTGTTTTGATTTGCATTTTTAAGTGTCATTTATACATAAGAAAATGCACAGATCTTAAGCATTCACTTTGAACAAGATACAGAGCATTTTCTTTAGCCCAGAAGGTTCCCAATAAAAGGGCCTAGACTTTTGAAAACTAAAAAAGCCAAAAAGATCTTCCCCTTTTTTTCCTCTACCCTGTTCTGCTACTCCTCTTTGCTGTGATAATGAGCACACCCTGGCCTACTTGCAGCTACCTAACTGGGCCAAGGTATATAAAGAAACACCAAGGGCAGAGGTACCCATGAGATCACATTTTAAACAGTATCCTCAATATTAATCACTCAATAACAAAGAATGTTTCTCATGACATTCATGCAGTACATTAGAGTCTACTAGGTGCTTTTCCACTGTTCATCTCATTTACCCTTATAATGACCCATTGTATTCATGTACAAATTATCATGCCTGTTTTGCAGGTGAGAAAATGGAGATCCAGAGAGAAGATGTGATTTTCTAATGCTCCAAAGGTGCTAGATGTCAGGGATGAGACAGGATCCTGGTTCAAGCTCCTCCATTTCCCTTTTCAGAGAATCTAATTATCACTGTCCCACAAAAGAGAGAACAGAAAAGACAGCCACTGATGCAGAAGAAGCTGAAGGGCTCCCAAGCTGCCTTCCCTTCCCCAGCCGCCCATTAAGTTTCCTAGGACAGGGCTACCTCCTTGTACTCTCCACTGGTTCTTCCTGTGTGGTAAAGCTTCAATGACCTCAATGAATTGCCCCTCTAGAGGGTGCCATGAAGACAGGGCCCAACAAATTTACTTCCAGGAGAGAAGGAGTGCTGGAAATGAAGCAGAATGAGATGGAGGTCCACAGCATGGTGCGGGCTGAACTCCCCAGGCCAAAGCTAGAGTACACACTTGTAAGCTCTGTGATTCTGGGTAATTTACCAAACCTCTTTATGCCTCTGTTTTCTCATACATAGAGAGAAGATAATAATCAAATCTCCCTCAAAAGGGTTAATGTGAGACTTACATGATATTATCCAGGTAAAATATTTCTCTAATGCAGAGTAAACATCAATAAATGCTAACAAATATTACTGCCACCAGGTGTGATAGCTCACGCCTGTAATACCAGCACTTTGGGAAGTCAAGGTGGGAGGACTGCTTGAGCCCAGGAGTTCAAGAGCAGCCGAACTGGGTGACATAGCGAAACCCCATCTCTACCAAAAATACAAAAATTAGCCAGGTTTGGTAGCATGCACCTGTAGTCCTAGCTACTTTGGGAGGCTGAGGTGGGAGAATCACCCTAGCATAGGAGGCCAAGGCTGTTGTGAACTGCACTCCATGCCACCACATTTCAGCTTGGATGACAGAGCAAGATCCTGCCTCCCTCTCTTTATATATATATATATATATATATATATATATATATATATATCCTTTCAATTATATATAATATATAATATTATACTAGATTATATATTATAACATTATAATATATTATAATGGATTATATTATATATACATTATATATATATATACTATATATATATATACTATTATATATACATTATATATATATATACTATATATATATATACTATATATATATATATATAGTACATATAATATAATGTACTATATAATGTATATATAATGTATATTATATATACATTATATAGTACATTATATTATAATATACTAGATTATATATTATAATGTTATAACATTATACATTATATATTATATATATACATTATACATATATATGTTATATATATATATTATACATTGTATATTATATATAATATGTATTATAATTGTATATTATATATATTACATTATATATAATATACTAGATTATAATATTATAATATATAATATATTATAATGTTATAACATTATAATATTATAATCTAGTATAATGTAATATATAATATATTATACATTATATTATATATTATACACATATGTAATATATATTATACACGTATATAATATAATATATATACTATATACAATATATGCTGTATAATAATATTATAATATATAATTCTAATATTATATACATAACTGAAAGGATGCTGTAAAAACATGCAGATACTAATCTTTCATTGGCGTGTCACTAACGCTACAGAAAGACATTACTGTTGTTGAAGTTGAATAAACTACCGACACAAATCTGTAAGTTAAAAATGTTTTATCTGGGAAGCAAGAATTGCAATTCAGGGCATACACACAGACCAGGTGGTCTTCTGTTTGTCCAAAGGGCAGAGAAGTTTGGAGGTTTCATAAAAACATAAATGTTACAAATTGTTTTGATAGAAAGTTCATTGGCACTAGTAAAGTTTTGGGGGCACTGGCAAACACTGATTGGTGAATGGTGGTGTTAGATTTCAGCAGATTATTTCAGTGGCTGTTAGAGAAAACTGGTTTGAGGTTAACAGCAGGCAGTTTCAGCAGCCAGGAGCACAGAGAATTGTATCCTTCGAGCAATGCTATGTGCCCTGAGTGTTTCCCCCCAGGCCTCTTGACTCTGTTTTAGTTGAATATGACAAGAAAGACCCAATTTGTATGATCAACTGTGACACTGTTTTGTAAATCCTCTTTGATGCACTGTTCTTTTGGGGAAGCTTCTGGGAGTAACCAGCCAGGCCAATCAGAAACAAAGGTGGAATTCAGTGGTTATGGGTGGAGGCCATCACTCTATTTTCCAGGGAGAGCAGACCAAGAATGAGCCTCATGGAGGACAGCAATGCTGCCCTCAGGAAGCAGAACAGCACTGAGCAGAGAGAACTGTGAGAAAAGCAGGCAGGTCTGAGCTGGTACCACTGGCCAGGCTGGGAGACATAGGGTGATGCATGGCTGGGTGAGCCACTCACCAGGTAAGAGCATTCTTCAGGGTAGCTCACCCCAGATGGAGATGGGGACTATAACCAAGGAGGGCATGAAGGTCAGAGTCATGTGTGGGGCTGAGGGGCCAGGTGGCTGCCTTTTGAGGTCCAAGGACAGGAAGCTTTGGAACAGGACAGAAAGGGGAGCCCAGGGTAAAGGGAGGGGTCCGAGCAGTTCTGACCTCCGACTTCAAGCTGTGCAGAAATGGAGAAGATCCTCTTTCATGTGGGTGTCCAGGGCACCCAGGCCTGAGGGAGCCAAGCTGAAGGGTATAAGGTTTCATGTCTGCATAGCAACTGGATGTTTAAAAGCAAAGATGTAGGTCAGATGCGGTGGCTCATGCCTGTAATCTCAACATTTTGGGAGGCCGAGGTGAGCAGATCACCTGAGATCAGGAGTCCAAGACCAGCCTTGCCAATATGGCAAAAGCCCATCTCTACTAAAAATACAAAAATTAGCTGGGTGTGGTGGCACACACCTGTAATCCCAACTACTCAGGAGATTGAGTCAGGAGAATCGCTTGAACCTGGGAAGCAAAGCCTGCAATGAGCTGAGATCGCACCACTGCACTCCAGCCTGGGCCACAAAGTGAGACTCCATCTCAAAAAAATAAAAATAAAATAAAAAAATAAAAATAAAAATAAAGCAAACTGCCCATTAAGCCCTTTGGGAGATTGAGGAGAATTGGTTTGCCATTTTAGGAATTGTTTGGTTTTGGCTTTCTTTTTTTTTCTTTTTCACTAAGATATTGAAATCTGAAAGAGTCTTTCAGCTTATTATTGAAAATCATCAGGACCTAAAAATTAGAGGCTGAGACTGAGATTTCAGCAGATTTGAACTCACTGGAGTGAGGTGGAAAAAATCATGGGAGGCAGATTGGCTAATTTGGAAAATAGGGAAAGGGAAGACAAGCTGTATCAGAGAAACACAGTGCCTATCCTCTCCTTGATGTAACCTGGACCACATGTAAATCTTTGTCCACTGAGGCTGAGAGGCCTGCTCTGGGTCTAACCACTCTACCTTGGGGCCTGACTTGGCCCTGCCCTTTGGAACATTCCACAAACACTTGTAGAAGGAGTGAACAAATGACAAGTCACTAAAGCTTCAATTCAGGAGTGTCACAAGAACTCCTCCAGGCAGCTAGTCATTTAGCACTGCACAGATAGCAATGTTTTAAATACTTTACCTTTAGTGATGGTAATTTCATATTTCTTTCTTTCTTTTACTTTAGCATACTGTTTTATGGTGTCTTAAACTATCACACAATTTCATGGATATACAGCACAAAGAATTGAGAAGCAGTTCTGCTAAGGAACAGGAAGATATCAATCAGAACTGACATCCATGTGACACTTTACAGTTTACAAAGTGCATTTGTTGCAATTCCAGAGTTTTCAGTTTTGGAGGAGACTGATGTGAGGGGCATAGAAAAGCAGACCATTATCTTAGAGACACAAAAATGACCATGATAAATTCATTTAAAGTAAAACCACATGAATTCTGTTACATCACCAAGCCCTGATCATTTCCAGCATCCAGGTGAGTGGATGGTGTAAATTCTCCACCAATAATTACAGAAGGAAACAAATAAAAGGGAAGGGGTAGGGGGAGAAGAAGCCCAAACCTACATTTATCTTCAGGGTCTCTTTACAAACAGGTGAGCTGGATGAGTTGGGAGTGAAAGCTCTTCTGAGTGTGGAAGATTTGGACCAGAAAAGCAGCCAGATGCCACGACTCAAGGCCAGGAAGCTCCGCTGGATGATTTGGTCTCCCCTTGGTGTGTGGCTGTTGGAGGTGAAGGGAAGCAAGCTTCCTGCGGGGTGAGGAGTGAGGCCATCCCCTTGTCACCTAAGCCTTCCTTTGATGTGCTTGGAAAGCAAGTTTCTCTCTCTTCACTGGGAGGGGAGAATTAATTAATGTTTGCAAAGACCTTTATGATCTTTGTCAAAAGGGGTTTGGCTGGCTCTAACTATCCAGGTTCCAGCTGCCACTGCTTCTATCTCAGCATGGCATCTCTGCCCTGGAAGATGTCAAACATGATTGCTGTTGTCAGGGGTGTATCCAACTCCTGTGGTTTTCTATCTGCATCACCAATTACTGCTGAGATTCCAAAGCCCTATAGAGAGAAGGCATCTTGTTTGGGGAGGTGGCGACACTAGACCTGTACCGTCATCTAGCTCCACCCCATGAGAAGGCAGCTGCCTGAGAGGTATACTTTGACAAGCTTCTCAAATGCCTCACACATTCAAAAGCAACTCCCCCATTACTTCTCATGGGGGCCAGAAATTTCTCCACTAAATATTCACTCCTTTATGGGTGTTGGATGCTTTTTTGAACAATATAGAATGTGGTCATGAAAGGAGAACTTGCCCAGGAGCCAGGAAGCATAGTCCTGAGTTTCCTCCCTTGTTTTTGGTGCTGGCTCTGCCCTCACTGGCCTGGTGACCTGGATAAGCGCATTCTCTTTCTTTCTCAGTTTTTTTTTTTTCCTATCTAAAATGGCAATGCTGATGCCTGTCTCAAAGCACTAATGTGAAGATTAGATGAGATAATGGATGTGAAAGCCAAGTGTTACAGAAATGTAAGCAGCATCATAGTTACTGAAATGTCCAGGCTAGATAATGCTCAGGAGGGATTAGCTGATGGCTCACCAGAACCACATGGGCACCTGGGGTGGTCACAACAGAAGAGGCAGAGGGACTACAGCGAGGAGAAAGACTTCAGGAAAAGGAAAGAAAGAGAACTCACTGCTGGCACAATCACGGAAGTTTTGTGGGTGGGGAGGGGCTCTAGAAATTTCCTCTTTTCCCCAGACAACTGTGTGCACTTACAGGGGAACCGAAGCTGCCCAGCCCAGCTCAGGCTTGACCCCTCGCCTTTCTGCTGCCCTGCATGTGCAGGATGAGGAGTGATGGCTGATGAACACCTGCTTGGTGAAAGAGCCAATAAGAAAAATAAACAAATGAACCTGAATCAATGCAGACACATCACTCAGGTAATTTAGACAAAAAAGCCCAGTTTGGGCACCAGTAACTGATGTATGTCAGACTGGAGTAATTGCTTTCTTTGTCAGAATTCCTGGATAATTTCTTCCCCTTTGTTTAGCTGAAAGAAACTGGCCTTGCATCTGGGAGCCTGCTTGCTAAACATGATTGGATCCTTAGAAACGAAAGACACAGCATGAGCTACTTTCTATAAACACATTGGCACATGGATTAATTACTACAAGGGGAATATAGGCCCCTATCTTTTATGTGAGAGGTGCATGGTGCCATGGGGCAGCAATGAGTGAAGGGAGGACAAATCCTCGTGAGATCACAGTAGCTACTTCTCACCAGGACCCCGCCGCAATCTAGGCTTTGTTCTGGATATTTTGCATTAAAAATATTAATCTTCACAACAGGCCTATGAGGCAGAATCCAGGAACGAAAAGAACTTGAGTTTAGAAGCCAAACATTGGTGGATTTGATTCTGTACTCTACCATTTACTGGGTGAACTGGGCAAGCTACTTGCTTGTTGGAGCTTCAGTTTTCTCATCTGTTAAATGGAAATAATGCTGGCCTCAGTGGGTTGTGAGAATTAACTGTAGCAATGACCATGAAGCAGCTGAAACCCTGCAGGCAGGGGGTAAAAGATAGCTCTTGTGTGACCCTTTACAAAGAAGCATGCAAGAAGGATAGGATGCTTGGCCAATGTCACATTGCTGGTAAACAGCAGAGCTAGGCCTGCCTCCCTCCCAAGGGCAGATGTTTTGCTTGGAGGCCACTGAACCCATACCTTTCATGACCACCTTTGCAGTGGCTGGATATAAGACTCTCCCCACTGAGAGTAAGACCATGCATTAGGTCTCTGTATCCTTAGCATCCTCTCACATGATACCTTCAGTATTCCTTAAGTGAATAGCAGAATTCAGGAGCACCTAGAATAGATGGACTAAGCTAAGTGCAGATAATTGCATAACAGGTGTTCACTGTGTGTGTAATAAATTCAGCATCTTCCACATTGGTGGGACACGAGGTCCCTTCACTCCATATCAAAAAATAGTCTGAGCAACTCTAAGGCTAGCTTGCCAGGATGCAAGACTCAGGACAGGAAGAGGGATGGACCCAAGGAGAATTGGGTCAGAGCTCAAAACTGAACCCACATAGAACTAGCACAAATGGGGATTCCATAAGGAAGCTTGTGACGAGCACACATGAGGAAGATCAAATGGCACAATGGATGGGAACATTCCTTAAAAATGCGAAAGCCCATGACAATGGAAGGGGTCACTGCTTAGATCAAGAGCAGAAGCCTGAAACAGTGGTGAACAGGAGGCTTGTTAGTGCTTCCCTGGGTTGTAGGGAGATGGCAGGGAAACAAAAACCAGGGCAGAATCCCGGTCAGTGACTCACACGGAGAAGTCTGTGTTTGAGAAGCAAAATCTGAAAAGTCTCCTCCCCACTCCTCTCCTGTTTTCTGTCACATCCTCTGGTCTGAGGCCACAGTGAGGCAGCTCCCTTGGCCCCCAGTGGAATGTAGAGGCCCTTGGCAAAAACCCTCCAGCTAAGCAAAGAGGGGCAGCATTGTGGGACTTGGTCATCCTGGGCTAGTCCTTGCCTCCCTCGAGCTGCCAACTTTCTTCAGAGAGACAAAACCCTCTCCAGGCAGGCTTTGATAAGTGGTATTGTCCCTGAACCCCTGCCCAAGTCCCTGGGCACCCCACCAGGCAGGCCACCACAGCCCCTGCCTGGCCTGGCACATGGCACATGGGGTGTCTTGCCACATGGAGTGGTGCCAAGTACCTGTAGTCATAGACTGGAACTCACTGGAATCCCGCCCCACCCCATGCTCCTGGCTGACAGCTTCCAACATGCAGGAGCTGAATCTGAAGACAGTGTTCTGACTGGAGCAGGCCTTATAATGAGCTGGTGATTTGATTTCCTCCCGACAGAAGGAGAAGTCTATCCCTCCCAGAAGGAACATCAGCTGACCCATGACAGGTCTGAGCCCCCAGAGGCCTGGCTTCAAGCCTGCTGGATGAACTCACACTCCTCCAAGTAGCTGCCACTGTGAGGCCTTCAGAGAGTGGCTAACTAGGGTCTCACCTGGCCAGCTCTGATCTGCAATCATGAACTCGTTGCCCAGCTTCCTATCCACGGTACCTTTGGGACCCTGCTGCATGTCTCACAGTTGGTGTTTGACTTCCTTCATCTTTGCAAACAAGAATTCTGCTTTATTCAAACAGAAATAATCGATTGAAGGATCTACTATGTACAACACACTGCCCTTGCACCTGATACAAGAGTTAGAAAAGAAATGTGATATCCTCTGATGTAAAGAGGTGAAGAACCCCGTGGGGAGGTAGCAGAAAACATCAAACAGTAAGTGGCTGTCAAAACAGAGATTGGGACATGTGTGCTGGTCAAGGAGGGCTTCTCTAGCAAAGTCATTCATGAATTGGGTCTTGAGGCACAGATGAGCAGGAAATGGCACAGGACACAGTTAGATGCCATTTTACCACTACTCCAGTGGCACAAATGGAAAAGGCTGACCATGCTGAGTGCTGGGGAAGAGGTGGTGCATAGCTTGTCTACCTGTTGGCTGTGGGAGTATAAAGGAATCAACCACTCAGGAAAATAGCTAAACAGCCTTCAGAGGAACAGTCTCATACACAGTGACCCAGCAATTCCACTCGTAGATGTATACCTTAGAAAAACTTTTACACAAAAATGTTTACAGTAGGACTGTTCAAATGCCTACTGATGGAAGAATGGATAAGCAAACTGAGG
Source organism: Homo sapiens (assembly GCF_000001405.40). Lineage (NCBI taxonomy): Eukaryota > Metazoa > Chordata > Mammalia > Primates > Hominidae > Homo > Homo sapiens. Next base: position 57,375,592 of record NC_000008.11, on the reverse strand, counting down.
GGTGTTCCTACCATGGAGTGCCATTCAGTAGTCAAAAGAGAGGAACTGCAGTGACCCCTAACAGTATGGACAATGCCTATCAACTTATTATTAAGTAAGAAAAGTAAGTCCTAAAACATTGCAAACAGCATGACACCTTCTTAAAGCAGGTAAAGAGAGTTAAAATGTAATATACACATTTTAGGACTCCAAGGAATAGGTAAGATGAGAGGACAGAAAAGGAAAATAGGAGAGGTGCAGTGGCCCACGCCTGTAATCCCAGCACTTTAGGAGGCCAAGGCAGGCAGATTACTTGAGCCCAGGCGTTCAAGACTGGCCTGGGCAAAATGGTGAAACCCTGTCTCTACAAAAAATACAAAAATTAGCCAGGCATGGTGGCATGCACCTGTAGTCCTAGCTACTCAAGAGGCTGAACCAAGAGGATTGACTGAGCCCAGGAAGTTGAGGCTGCAGTAAGCTGTGTTCACATCACTGCACTACAGCCAGGGCAACAGTGCAAGGCCCTGTCTCAAAAGAAAAGAAAAAGGAAAACACAGAAAGAAGGTACATGGGATTCAGAGCGTTGACTACCTTGGAGAAGGCGGGGATCAGGTGGGATGGGGTGGAACACACAGCCAATGTCAGCCATTGCTAAGGCCCTAGCTTTCAGGCTAAATGGTGGCTTCAGAGGTGTTCATCTTGTTACTTTAAAATGTGATCTGGCTGGGAGTGGTGGGTCACACCTGTAGTCCCAGCACTTTGGGAGGCGGAGGCAGGCAGATCTCTTGAGGTCAGGAGTTTGAGACCAGCCTGGCCAACATGGTGAAACTCCGCCTCTACTAACAATACAAAAATTAGCCAGGCATGGTTGCAGGTACCTGTAATCCCAGCTACTTGGGAGGCTGAGGCAGGAGAATCACTTGAACTCAGGAAGTGGAGGTTGCAGTAAGCCAAGATTGTGCCACTGCACTCCAGATTGGTTGACAGAGCGAGACTCCATCTCAAAAAAAAAAAAAAAAAAATGGGGCCTATAACACAGCTAAGGAAGTAGGGCCATGCCTGTAACAGCAAATAGCATTGTAAGCCACAGGGTTATCATTTCACCACCTCTTGCGTACCTGTAGTCCATTAGACTTCTTCTAGTGGGAGGGCATTCATTGAAGGGGAAATGGCATGAGCAAAGGAATGATTCTGGTTGTATGGGGGACCATAGAGGAGCCAGACTGGTGCAGAAGGTAACATGATGGTGACCTGGATACAAAAGGAGTCTTTATGCTTTCTAGTCACTCTGGTCAGCAGTTCAGGTGTGGGTGCTTGGAACCTCTCAAGTGCCAAGGGCCCAGCCCTGTGGTCTCAATAATCTTGCCCTTGGCTTCTAGGAGCAGAGAGCTCTGCAGCTGTCCCCCCTGCAGATAACACAGACTGGGTGTGAGCTGGAGATCTGGGGTCAGTGGCTGCAGGACAACACTCTCAGATAGGGTGGGAAGCAGGGGATTTGCCTTCTTGTGCAGTAGTTTACCCATCCCTAAGTCATGTCTCTGAATTGACATACCTTTCACTACAACAACTTAAATGTTCTAGGACTAGGGCACATCCTATCAGGCCTGAGATCCCACTAGGTTCTAGAATATGTGCTGCTTGTGAAGAAGGTGGAGCCTTGGATTCACAATTACTGGGCAGTGTTCTGTCCCCCTGGTCTCCAGGCATCCACCCTCATGACCTCCAGGGTCCCCTCTGTACCTAAATAAGAGGTGACTTGTTATCTGGCTCAGACCAGATTCCTGGAGCCCTGAGTTCTGGCTGTAATTCTCATGAGTGCCCACTTCCAGAGGGGCCACCCCACAGGCCTCCAGAAGTTCTGCAGCCTGGGCCGCCTTCCTCAGACCTCTCTGCCTCAGAGTGTGCAAGAGCCTCGGGGCCTTTCCACCCTCCAAGAACCAGGAAACAGCAGGGAGCAAGAGAAGTCTGTAGCTCCACTGTGGCAAAGAATGGCCTATTTAGGCCAATGGCGGGCCCAAGAGATCACAAACTTACATTTTCTTTGCCCAAAACGTTGAATTTAAGGCTGATTTAAAAGGATGTTCAGGAAAATCATGCTAGAAATTCCAAATATGATTAAAGAATCCTACATCAGAGGTGAACAAAGACCTGTCCCCATGTAATTCCCGAGAAAGTAGGAAGATAGCATTCCCTTTGCCCAGCTCAATGACAGGCCAGGGGACCAGATGTGGTTGTGCACAGGATGAAGCAGCAAGGGTGGAATCTTCCAGAACCCCAGGGAAGACAGGAGCAGAGGGAAGCCTTCACAGAGTACCCAAGAAGGGTGCAGGGAGCTAAACTCTTCTGCCAGAACCCAGCCATATTGCAGTCAAGGGCAAGGATGCCACTGCTGGGGCCTGCAGGGACCTGTGACTGAGGCTGCAGGAGTAGAGAATGCCTCAACACAGCATGGACAACCCCCTCAACACACTCATCCCTCTCTCCCTAAACACACCCCCAACCCCACAGGGCTGGTCCTTGGCAAGTTTATTGGGATTGAGCCATAACAGAGGGAAAGGAGGGCTAGAGGACCCAGGGAGGCTGGGAAGAAGGCTAGACTTGTTTGAGGTAGACCTCCCGCCCTGATAGAATGAGAACCAAAGCAGGCATTTAGACCAGTTAAATAAGAAAAATGAAAGAAATTAGCACAATGGCAAAGTGTGCGCTGGCTCTGGGGCCAGATGGCCTGAGTTTGTACCATGACTCCTTCACTTAGTATTAGTAGTGACAGGTCCATACAGGTCTGCAGCAACCTCAATTCTTGCCTCCTCAAAAAAAAAAAAAAAAAAAATTCAACCAAGCAGCATAATGCAGAGAGAGAGAGAGAGAGAAAGAGGGAGAGACTGAGGCAAGTTTTAGAGCAGGAGTGAAAGTTTATTTAAAAATATTAGGGCAGAAATGAAAGGAAGTAAAGTATACTTGGAAGAGGGTGAAGCAGGCAACTTGACAGAGTCAAGAGAGTGGTTTAACCTTTGACTTTGGGGGCACTTTTCTGAAGGGTTGTATCCCTTCTCCTCTGATTCTTCCCTCAGGATGGGCTGTTCACATATGCAGTGGTCTCTCAGCATTTGATAGGGGCCACATGCACAGTGTGTTTACTGTAGTTGTATACAGGCTCACTTGAAGAATTCCTCCCTTACCAGTCAAATGTTCTCAAAGAAAGATCATATACCAGTTAAACTCCACCATTTTTCCTCTTAGTGTGCATGTTGAGACCACTCTCCCAACTTCTGAGACCTTATTGGGAAGCTGCTGATCACCAACTTCAGGTGTTTCTATCTACTGGAAGACTGCCTTTTCCTAGTGCTTGCTGTGACCAATTATTGTGTTAGAGAGACAGTGTAACAACCACCTAAACATCACCTGGTGATTGCCTGATATTCCTGGTGGTGGGTTGCCAGGGGAGTCTCTCCTACCCTGCTTGTGTTTAACTAGCTACCTACTGTAACATCTCCCTTCTCAAGAGAACAACAGTCCAATTCTTTAAGACAATGGATGAAGTTCAGTCTTCTGTAACTGCTTCCTGTTGACAAAGGCATGGTGGTGGTTGTTTTGTGGGTCTTGGCCTCTTGCTAGCTGTCAGGGCAAAGTGGCTCCATAGGTTGTTGAAAGCAGTATCTGGTCAGGTCTAAGTGAGACAGGAGCAGGATTTCACCTCTGTCATGTCCCACTGATGGGCAGTCTAAAGGTCCCCTGTAAAAGGGTGACTCTTGAATATTGAGAGAATGTTATCCCTTACTAAGGATCATCTGGAATTTGATAGCACATTCCTCTTGTTTCTTCTGAGCTGCAGCCAGAGATCACTGGTTGGTTCACAGGAATAAACAGGGGTAGTCTAAATTGCAGAACAAAATTAAAAACAACTGTTAAGACTAGAATCTAGTAACAGATGTACCACAGTTTTTTAACATAATTGTTTTTCTCTCCAGTTCTCATTTTTATTAAAAACAAGTTATGATAGGACTGATTTCTCTACATAATAAGCTCTAGTCTTATTATATGTGGCCTGATTATTTGCAAAAAGAACAGCAAGAATAATTATCTGCATATATATATATATATATATATATATATATATATATATATATATACTCCTTTTTAAATTGGCTTTGATGAACCATCCTTTCATAAGGAATCTCAGACAAGACTTTCTAGAGCCTTAAGCCCAGCCATGGGTTTGTGCCATCAAATACCTGTATGAATTGGATAAATTCCTCTTATTTTGATGTCCCAAGATAACTTGAGGCTCCTGGACTTGTCAGAAAGTGACATTCTTTACTTACTACAGGTGAGAAACCCCATACAGGGACTGTGTAGACAATGAATTCGGCCAATTTTCCCAAGGGACTTTTATGGGCTTTATAAGTCAAATTTGATTCCTTAAAGGAAAGCAGGCCATTCCAGTCAAAGCCTTGGTAAAATAACCAGTTTATCTAATTGTGTCCTGTTACAAAAGAAAACAGATTCTTATTGTACTTGTGCAAATAACAATATTGTCATAAGTTAAGAATACTCACAAATAGTTTCCAAATTCTAGAGAAATCAGGTAGAGTGAAACAAATATGCTCTAAATATTATTTACAGGAATACTCTATTGTTAAATGCTGTAAATAGCTCAAAAGAAAAGTTTTCTTGACTTCAAAAAACAAAACAAAGAAGCAATGCTTTAAGCAAGAAATTAAAAAAGATTTACTTTGGTTAATTAATTCCTGTTTTGCTCAAAATTTATGAACATTTGTTTTCCAAGAGAGTCTTGAAACTTCTTTCATCTTCATTTTGATGTAACAATCTCCAAAGTTATCAGAAACCTGCAGCCAAAGCACCTGTCAAAGTTTTATAGCCAATTTTAAAACTACCTTTTAAAGAGAATCAAAATAAGACAACAATTGTCTGTGGATAACAAAATGTCTTAGGGAAGCCACAGTCAAAGACAAAATTAACAAGAAACTTTGTTACTTCTGTGGCACACAATAGTTTAACATAACACTTATAAATATTACTGATAATTAATAGTGATATATATCATAATAATTGGAGTTTTAAATAATTTTGGAACACATATCAATAACACATCTATATTATTGATATTAAACACAATTCTTTATGAAACCTTATAGACAAATCTATTCAATCTTAATCAGTTCGACCATAAGGTAAGATTCTCATAAACCTTTTATAACTATTTCCAATTATTGGTTAAGTGAAGTGCAATGTTATAAGAAAACATTATTGTGTTTTTTTCCAATGTTCAATGTATGGATAAACTGAATAATACCCCTTTAACTTTAGCCAATAGGTTTACAAACAGAATTTGTTTTACAACATTAATCCTTCACAAACCTTTCCTAAAGTACTCAAAACTTCAGATTTATTCTGTCTTACTTAAAACAATCCTTTAACCATCTAAACTAAGCAGAAAAACCCACATTTTCATGCTTTCTTGTAATCTTTTACCAAAAGCACATTCTACTTTCCTTACACACCTTGCACGTAAAACTGTTTTTCCAGTAGTCTTAAATACAGTTACACTGTTAACTCTTAGCAACTTTAACTTTTACTTTTGGTGAAAAACCTGGTAAGTTATTTTAGTTATGTACTAAATGTGGACCCTAGGACACCAGACAGAAATGCAGACAATCTCTGACACTTTTTAGCATAGCTAGGGGTCATGGGTAACTCTGTATGCCTCCAGCCTTATATAGCTTAAAAGCACACAAGTTGTACAGTTAAGAGTCACAGTAACAGCTTATGAAGCATTTAGTAGATCTCATAATCTTTAAAATTGTATAAGATTTCTTTTATAAATTCCCTTTCATGAGTTTTTAACTTACCCAGACCATCTATGACATGCTTGGACTTTCTGACTTTTCCTAAACAACCAGTTATTTTACTGTAGGACAAAAATTTACCATACAGGATCCTTTTTCATATAAAATCTCTTTTCTTTATACCCTTTCTTCCCAGAAATACCTTTACCTTTATAATCTTTGAACTAGACAAAAGTCATTTTCATTCTGTTAGGAAGTTATGGTTTGTACTGCATGTTGCTGTGTGAGTCCTGTGAAGAGGGAGCAAGTAAAGAGGTTGTCTGCATACCATAGAAGTTATCCACCCTCAAGAGATTGCGTGGTTAGATTTATTGCTAGGGCACATTTGAATGAGTGTGGGCTATTTTAAACCACTGAGGTAAGATTATCCAAATTAAAGTTATTGCTTAAAGATTTAGGTTGCTTTCCCAGAAGAGATAGGACTATTAGAGGGAGAGATGAAATTTAGAGGTTGGGTGAATATTGAGCAGGCACCCATCTTGGAAAGTATATTTTCACCCCAAAGGGGTGTGAATCTTTTCTTTTGGAGGGAGAGGGTGCTACTTGCCTCCATTATTGGGCCGGATTTGGAGGAGAATTGCTTAGAGAAAGAAATTAGCAGAGTAAGAAGCTCTTAAATGCAAAAGAGAAATTCACAATTTTACTTGCCACTTCGAGTTGCCCTTGGCTTTGTCCTATTGATGACCATGTCTGATCTGGGAGCCAGCTGGAGCAGAGGGTCCCTTCAGCTCAAAACCATCAGAGATTGGGGTTCTGTCCCAAGGGCCCTTCAGCCCTCAGAGCAGTCCTGTTTCCTGTGGCTGAGCTTGTGGCAGAGGGGGCATTCCATGCAGGACTTCTTCTTATTTATCCCATTAGGCAGTTTGCCTTCCAGTGGCCTGGCTTCCTGTACTGATTGCAGTTACCTGGAGGAGTGTCCTTAGGTCAACCTGGAGGGGGCTGTTGGACTAGCAGAGCAGCCAATAGTTGAAACTGCCTCTTCTCCCTGCATTTGTTTTTTTCCTTAGCCCTGTCCTTCTTGTTCTGATCTTGGTTACAAAAGACTCAGGAGGCTAATTTGAGGATTTTCTGCTTAAGAACCCTGGATTTTAAGGTTGACTTTTGTAATTTTTCCCAGTTCATTTTTAGGCCAAACAGTATTACCAAGGAAACCTAGCTTTTGTTTAGGTGATCAGACTTTTCCCAGTCCTTAAGGATTCATCTGAGGGGCATGGCCTGTGGTATGGAGATTGAATTACCCACCTGCAAAGGGAGAATGAGGAGAAATAAAGGAAAAAGGAAAAAGAAGGCCTCCCCTCTTACTGTTCTATTATCCCAAATGGGGTGTCCCAAATTCATCCTTAGCCTTCTGGAATGAACTGGTCTTACCATGTACCCTTAACCTTGGTACCATCTCATCATGATTACCCACTTGAGGACAGAAAACCTACTGGAGTGAACAAGGCGGGCCCCTCTTTATCTTTGGGGTTCTGGAATAAACCAGTCTTATTTTGTACTTCTCACCTTGCCTTCATCTCTGCTCTAATGGTCATGTGTTAGCCTGGGACAAACCTTCATCTCTGTCTTATGGGTCTCTTGTGCCTGTGGCCTTTGGCCAGGCTCCATCCTTGTCTCTATGACCTTAGAATGACCGTCACTCAGAGCATTTGAGCAACAAAATAATGATCTCTTTTCTCAGATTTCCATTTCCCATGTTCTTTAAGTAGATGAGAAGCCTGCCTTTTAGCTAACTGCTCCAAAGGGGCTGGACTTCCTTCCCTTCGAATAGGACTGTAAGGTCTTGATGTATATTAAGAAGGGCATGGAATTGATTAGAGAAACGAAGGCTATGATAGGAAATGGAAGGAAGCGAGAGGAATACTCACAGAAAGCCTTTCTATGCTCCCCAAGACAGCAGCCTTTGGACTCGAGAGGGTAACGTTTATTTGCCCTCCTGACATAAAGTAGTAACCTCTGGAGGACTTGGGGCTTAGGGTAAGAACCTGCAAATGGCAAAGAAAGAATTTCTTCTCCTCTCAAAGAGGTACTACCTCAAAAAAAAAAAAAATAAAGCAAATAGATGGGGTCCTTAAAAGGCTACTGTTTAAGGCCCTATGCAGGCAGACAAACCGCTTCAAAAGCCACCAAACAATTTAGCCCTGGAGCATAACAAGAATGAAAAGTGTGTGGTAAGTGATGATGCAATAGGAGAGCTGGGGTTCTGATTAGCGTCTGTTCTGGCAATGCACCATCAGACAGGTCTTCCAAGCTGGCAGGATAGAAACAAGTATAAATCTCAGGGGATATCAGCAAGGCAGCCCATGTATTTGCTGTCAAGCAAATGCAACAAGAGCCACAGGTACACAAATAACAGAGTGTGTATTTAAGAAGTCACAGGGCATTCAAAATGAAAGCAAAGGAGTCAGAGTTGCCCCTGAGGCAGATGGTCTGGTAAGTGTGCAAGGGCATTTTAGAATACACACAGAGAGAACAGAAGAATAAGCAGTGTGAGTTTTTGGGAAAGAGTCAATTTTAGTTGAAAAAGCAGAGGAAACCCCAGATATTGCATGGTATTAGGCTTTAGCCCTACCACTCCTGTCCAGAAAAGCCAGTAGTGTCTCAGGTCTACTTGGTATTGACTCCAGGGTTCTTCCCGCCCCTGCAAGTCACCGGTGAGGGTAAGCTGAGACATCAGCCAGCGGGAGCAGAGGCAGTGTGGCCAAGAGAAACAATTTTTAGGGTTGGTTAATAAGCAGGAGAGCAAAAGGAGAGAAGGAAACTCTCTATAGGGGTTGAACGCCTGCAAACAGAAAAGGTGAGGCTTAGATGTATCTTATTGCCAGGAAATGTATCTGAGTCATGCAGCAAAAAAGTATGTTAGCAGCAGTGAATCCACAGGGGTCTGCAGCAACCTCGATGCTTGCCTCCTCAGAAGAAAGAATTTGACCAAGGGGCATAAGACAGAATGAGAGACTGAGGCAAGTTTTAGAGCAGGAATGAAAGCTTATTAAAATATTTTAGGGCAGGAATGAAAGAAATTAAAGTATACTTGGAAGAGGGCCAAGCAGGCAACTTGAGAGAGTCAAGTGCATGGTATAACATTTGACATGGGGTCTTATATGTAGGCAGACTTCTAGAGGATTGCATCCCTTCTCTCCTGATTCTTCCATTAGGGTGGGCTGTCTCCACATGCCATGGCCTGTCATCATTTGGGAGGGGCCCATATGCAGCGTGTTGAGAAAAATACATCACAAATCTAACTGCAAGGAACTTGTAGCCAAAATAATTAAAATTGGTAAAAATGCATAATGTGTAGGTCTAGATGCCCCTCCAGGACATGAGCAAAGGACAAGTCCAGGTGGTTTTCTCAGAAGCCATTGTCACAGCCCAAGAGAGCCACACTGTGGCCTAGAGGCCCCAACTTCAGTAGTAATTCAGAGTCCACAGATCCAACTGCTTAATGAGCCTGCACTTATTTCTTCATTTGTAAAATGGGCATGATTATATCTACTTTGCAGAAATCTTATGAGGACAAATTAGACAGCCTGTCATTATAGTAAGTATACAAGAAATGGGATTATTCTATTATCAGAGGAATTATTCTAATAATTATTCTATTATCAGAGGAAGAAAATGCACAGCATCACTAGCAATGAAAGATGTGGAAGTGGTGACAATTTAAAGGTAAGATGACTCATTCATTAAAGTAGAAAGAGATATTCTAGTTCACAAAAAGACTTCAACAAAAACATTAGCAGCCGTATCCTTTATAACTTGCAAATTCTCAAAGAAGCCCAGATGTCCATTCGTAGATAAATAAATTGTAGTATATTCATGCAATAAAATGCTTCTCAGCAACAAAAAAGAGTAATTCACTGGTGCATGCAATAACGTGAATAAATTGCAAAGTCACTATGCTGGGTAAAGGATGGCTTATGCAAGAGATTTCACACTGATTTTTTTTAAGACAGGGTCTCTCTCTGTCACCCAGACTGGAGTGCAGTGGTACAATCACAGCTTACAGTAGCCTCAACCTCCTGGGCTCAAGGCATTCTCCCACCTCGACCTCCTCACTGCAGGTGTGCACCACCACGCCTGAATAATTTTTCATAGAGACAGGGTCTGAGTATGTTGCCCAGGCTGGTCTTTAACTCCTAGACTCAAGGGATCCTCCTGCCTTGGCCTCCCAAAGTGCTGAGATTACAGGTATGAGCTATAGTGCCTGGCTATAGGATTTAATCTGTATGAAATTCTGGAGCAGAAGAAACCAATCTTTCTTAGAAAAAAATCAAAACCCTGATTCCCGGAGCCCAGAAATTCTGATTTCATATTCAGATTGTATCTATTACAGAAGCGTATCATACACAAATATATCTACATAATACTTTTCACTTATCCTTCTTAAACATTTTCTGTAAAACATACCTAACCCCTTTTGGTTATAACTTTGGAATTCTGTTGTGTATGACTGCTTCAAGATCTTATTTTCTTCCTCCCACCTTTAATACTCCTTTTGGTACTGTCCAGTACTGCCTTGCCCAATGGAGAGATGGAATATTTGCTGGGTACTTCCATATTCCAGGCCCTGTATTAGGCACTTGGTATGTGTCCTCTTACTTTATCTTCACAATAGCCAGGTGGGGGATACATTATTTTTTTCCATTTTACAAATATGGAGACTAAGACTCAGATTGCTAATGTAACTTGACAAATGTAACATAGGTAATAAGAGGTGTTTTCTTCCTAGTGAATAAAGATAATTTTTTTTAGGCTAAGACCATTTTGAATTAATCTTATTTCAGAGTGAAAAAATTTCATTACATTAAAAATGGCAAACTCTTTCATTCTATAAGAGTAGAATTGGCGGTCACTTATTTGGTCTAGAATCTTAGGAAGCAAGATGCTTATAGTTTCAATAAAGAGCTAATTTTAATTAATTGATTGCTTCTCTGTTTTAATCCCACAGCTTATAAATGACATTAGCAGTGGCTTGGATTTATTGTTGTGGTCTCTGGAAGAAGTTGGACTTGGCATAACCTCCTGGGGTACAGATTTGTTAATCAGGTACTGAATTGCTGATGAAGGATGGAGCTGGTTGTGGAGGCAGTTGTCCTGGGATACTCTGCCTGGCCCATGAGAGCTGGCACAGAGGCAAGGCCGTGGCCTGTCTTTCCTCAGCCTATCCTCATTGTCCTGGACAGCTCCTTTCCTGGATCTGAGAAGAAGCTATGCAACACATAGAAAAAAAAAAGGAAGAGTCTTTTAAATACTTTTAATGAGTTATTTATTATAAAATAACACATGCCCACTGGAAAAATGAATTTCGTTTATCTCAGCAAAAAGTATAAAGGTATTTCCAGTTCTTAAGGAAGTTTTGAAAATCTTTTGTTATATGCATAGGTTGTTGAATCCACCACTGCTGATTTGAATTCCTGAAAGTGTTATCCATGAGATCAAAGGCAGAAACAGGTTTTGTTGTTGTTTGTTTGTTTGTTGAGATAAGGCCTTGCTCTGTTGCCCAGTCTGGAGTGCAGTGGCATAAGCATAGCTCACTGCAACCTCAAATTCCTGGGCTCAAGTGATCCTCCTATCTCAGCCTCCTGAGTAGTTGGGACTACAGGTGCAGGCTGCCATGCCTGGCTAATTTTTTTTTCTTTGAAGAGACGGGGGTCATCATGTTGTCCAAACTGATCTCAAATTCCCGCGTTCAAATGATCCTCCCACTGTGGCCTCCTAAAGCACTAGGATTACAGGCATGAGCCACTGCACCTGGGAGAAACATTTTTAAGGCTCTGAAATAATAGAAAATATTGCTAAATTGTCTTCCAGAAAGGTTGTATCAATGTATGCTTTTGTCAGCAGTGTGTAAAAACCATTTCACGATGTCCTCAGCAACACTGCACATATTAATTTTAAAGACAGAGCCAGATTGAGCCAGGTGCGGTGGCTCACGCCTGTAATCCCGGCACTTTGGGAGGCCGAGGCTGGTGGATTACGAGTTCAGGAGATCGAGACCATCCTGGCTAACACGGTGAAACCCCGTCTCTACTAAAAATACAAAAAATTAGCCCTGAGTCGTGGCGGGCGCCTGTAGTCCCAGCTACTCGGGAGGCTGAGGCAGGAGAATGGTGTGAACCCGGGAGGCGGAGCTTGCAGTGAGCCGAGATTGCGCCACTGCACTCCAGCCTGGGGGACAGAGCGAGACTCTGTCTCAAAAAAAAAAAAAGAGGACATAGCCAGATTGCAAAATAAAGGGTATTTAGGAGTAGCATGTTATTCATAATAAAGTCTTAATTTTTCTATATGCTTATTTTTGGCTTCTATGATTCTATTCACTTGAAACTGTAGAACATAGAGTTTTTATTTATTTATTTATTTCTGTAAGTAGCTTTACTTTGTAAGTCCTTTGCTCATTTTTTCTTACAGAGTTAATATTTTTCTAGTTGATTTTTATGAGTTCTTTATATATTAAACACACTAACTCCTTAAACACACACACATAGTAGAAGAAAAGGTAGAAAGTGGGTCATAGAGTGGACAAGGTATTGGTAGGAGAGTAGACAGCAACTTCAGTATGTATATTAGTTTTACACTCAGAGTTTTTTAATGCAGTTTTTAATTGGTGACTCAAAGATATGGGCTCTTTCATCTCACTTCCAGCACATGACTGCCAAGGTCATGGTGGAAGAAGGAGAAAGAACATGGATGGCCACTCAGGGCATGATGACCAGGCCTGGAAGTGGCATGCATCACTTCCAACTATTTTCTATGGACCAGAACCCAGTCAGATTGTCCAAGTCTAACTGCAGAAAAGGCTGAGCAACATGATCTTCTTGTATGCAAAAGAAGAAAAAAGGGGAACTGTGAGCATTTGGCCATTTCCTACCACCTTACCATGACAACCATCCTATGTTAACTTGTGAACCACCACAGCCCTAGCACTCTTAATCACGTTCCCTTTTTTTTGTTGTGTTTTTCTTTTGTGTAGCCCTTATTTTTGACATGCTGTATGTATTCATTTATTATTGCTAGTCCTCCCCCAAAGAACATAAGCTCAACCAGGTTAGGGATTTTTGTCTATTTTGTTCACTGACCCAGAAGAGCACCTGGCACTCCTATTAGTTAAGGAGATATTTCCTGATGATATTTCCTGGTACGAAGTCCTGGCATGTTTCTCACACTTTCTCTGTGGTGCATCCTTCCTCTATAGCCTGCTGCCAACACCTAGTCAGCCTTCAAAATTCAACCCAAGATCCTTATCCTGCATGAACTCCTCTATTACCCTCCCACCTCCTGCAGAATTGATTGTGACCTTCTTTGTGACATAGTCACACTTTGTACCAAACTACTCTGCATTTATCTCACTATTTTTCATTTGTGAACTTGTTTGTCTGCCCTATGCAACAGTAGCTCCTATGAGACCTGGCCACATTAAGGATGTCATAGTGTCAGTTGAATAGATGAATGAATGAATGAATGAACGAATGATTTGATAGGCCAACCAATTCTTTACAATTTGGACAGTTTTAAAAATGCCCCCAATGAAGTCGGAATATGGACTGCATATAAATGACACTGTTAAATTTGTTAGGTGTAATAATGACCTTAGAGTTATGTAATATATGTAACATTATATAATGTATATATACTGGGCTTATTTTGTTGTATAAAGTATATATTATATAACAGACATATATTATGTAATGTACTTTTATTGGAGATAAATCCTGAATTATAGGTGGACTGATAAAGTGCCTGAAATTTGCCATACAATAAAATAAAAGGAAATAAAATGGAATAAAAATAAAGTGTGTTGGAGGAGGAGGAGAAATGGAAGACAAGATGGACAAGAGACAAGTTGGAAAAATGTTAATAACTGTTCAAGTTTGGTAGTGAGTATTTGACATTCATTGTACTGTTCTCTCCACATTTGTATATGTTTAAAATTTCCTTAATAAAAATTAAAAACAAAGGAAGTGATATAGCCACTTATACTCTGCCAATATGAAGGAAAAAAGGTTTCCCAACCCTGTGACCTTGTTCCACACTTAGCCCAGTTCTGCATAAAATGCCTCTCGCCTCTCCTGGTGTTGACCATGACATCTCATACTATGTGTAGAGAAAGCCATGTGTATCCCCACCCTCTGTGGGAGGAAAACAGATGTATGTATTTGTAGCAAGAGGACACCTTGCCCCTGCATGTCATAGTGTATTCTTCTAGAGTGTTAGGTCTGGTGAGGGGTCTTAAAATCACTTAATTTAACTCCCTTATTTTACCAATGAAAGGAAACTATGAATCAAAGGTTGTGTGACTTTCCTAAGTTTACGCAGTGAAATAGCAGCAGCAAGATCAAAAATAAAATTCACCTCTGTAGACCCTTGAGCCAATCTCAGATATGTCTATGAAGAGTGGTTGCCTCACATACAACTATCAAATACTTTCCCTTCTCTACACCAATCAGAGAGGCAGGCCTAGAAAATAGATTAGTATGTTGTGGATAAATATTTGTAAAGAAGTGACTGTGGCTCAGACATACAATAAAACTTACTAAAACTCATCAGGTTAAAATTCAGAGTCCCCTGGAGACCCACGAGTTTATGGAGATGTAGCAGAAGGGTCATTTATGGAAGAGATGCATCCATCAAACAGCAGAATAAGCCTCCTTATTTCCTGCCTTCTATCTACGGGTCAGGTGAGACTGACTGAAGAGAGTCAGGTGTGTCTTAAGCAGGTCACTCAGCAATCTTCTACATAACCAGTGACCATTCATTGACTGTCAACCCTACAGCCACTTAGTGCTTGTCCTCTGGTGCACTCAACAACCCCACCAAGTAAGAATCATTATCCTTATTTGACAAAAACAAATAGGCTTAAAGAGAGTGATATAGTTTGGATTTCTGTCCCCACTCAAATCTCATGTCGAATTGTAATTGCCATTGTTGGAGGTGGGGCCTTGTATTAACCCGTTCTCATATTGCTATAAAGAACAGCCTGAGACTGGGTAATTTATAAAGAAAAAAAGTTTAATTGACTCACTGTTCCATAGGCTGTACATGAAGCATGGCTGGGGAGGCCTCAGAAAACTTACAGGGGCAGAGGAAGCAGGCACGTCTTACATAGCCAGAGAAGGAGGAAGAGGGAGCAGGGGGAGGTGCTACACACTTTAAAACAACCAGATCTCATGATAACTCCCTCACTATCAGGAAAACAGCAAGGGGGAAATCTGCCCCCATGATCCAATCACCTCCCACCAGGTCCCTCCACTGACACACGGGTTTACAATTTGACATGAGATTTGGGCAGGGACTCAAATCCAAACCATATCATTCCACCTCTGGCCCCTCCCAAATCTCATGTCCTTCTCACATTTCAAAATATAATCATGCCTTCCCAACAGTCCCCCAAAGTCTTAACTCATCCCAGCATTAACTCAAAAGTCCAAATTCAAAGTTTCATCTGAGGCAAGGAAAGTTCTTTCTGCCTATGAGCCTGTAAACTCAAAACCAGTTAGTTACTTCCAAGTTACAATGGGGGTACAAGCATTGGCTAAATACTCTCATTCCAAAAGGGAGAAATTGGCCAAAATAAAGGGGCTACAGGCTCCATGCAAGTTCAAAACCCAGCAGGGCAGTTATTACACCTTAAAGCTCCAAAATAATTTCCTTTGACTCTATATCTCACATCCAGGCCACACTGATGCAAGGGGTGGGCTCCGAAGGTCTTGAGCAGCTCTGGTCCTGTGGCTCTGTAGGGTACAGCCCTTGCAGCTGCTCTCAAGTCCTGGTGTTTAGTGCCTGCATCTTTTCCAGGTGCATGGTGCAAGCTGCTGATGGATCTACAATTCTGGGGTCTGGAGGATGGTGGCCCTCTTCTCACAGTTTTACTAGGCAGTGCCCCAGTGGGGTTTCTTTGTGTGGACTGCAACCCCACATTCACCCTCCCCGTTGCCCTAGTAGAGGTTCTCCACGAGGGTTCTGCCCCTCGTAGCAGAGTTCTTTCTGGATACACAGGTGTTTTCATACACCCTCTGAAATCTGGGCAGAGGCTCCCAAGCTTCAACTCTTACACTTAGAACACCCACAAGCTTAACACCACATGAAAGCTGCCAAGGCTTATGGCTTGCACCCTCTGAAGTGACAGGCTGAGCTTTTTAGCCACGGCTGGAGCTGGAGTGCCCATGATGCAGGGCACCAAGTCCCAAAGCTGCACAGAGCAGTGGGACCCGGGGCTTGGCCCCCAAAACCATTTCACTTTCCTAGGCCTCCAGGTCTACAATGGGAAGGGCTGCCTCAAAGTTGTATGAAATGCCTTTGGGGCATTTTCCCCATTAACTTGGCTATCAACATTTGGCTCCTCTTTACTCATGTAAATTTCTGCAGCCAGCTTGAATTACTCCGGAGAAAATGGGTTTTTCTTTTCTACCACATGGTCAGGCTGCAAATTTTTCCAACATTCACACTCTGCTTTCCTTTTAAATATATGTTCCAGTTTCAGATTATCTCTTTACTCATGCATAACAAAAGTGACCTTGGCTCCACTTCCCAATAAGTTCCTCATCTTCATCTGAGACCTCCTCAGCCTGGGCATCATTGTGCATATTATTGTCGGCACTTTGGTCATGACAATTTAACAAGTTTCTAGGAAGTTCCAAATTTTCTCTCATCTTCCTGTCTTCTTCTGAGGCCTCCAAACTGTTCCAACTTCTGCCCATTACACAGTTCCAAAGTTGCTTCCACATTTTCAGCTATCTTTATAGCAATGCCCCATTCCTAGGTACCAATTTTCTGTATTAGTTTATTCTCATATTGTTATAAAAAACTACCTGAGATTGGGCAATTTATAAAGAAAAGAGGTCTAATTGACTCACAGTTCCACAGGCTGTGCAGAAAGCATGGCTGGGGAGGCCTTGGAAAAACTTCAATTATGGCAAAAGATGAAGGGGAAGCAGGCACATCTTAGGTGGCCAGAGAAGAAAGAGAGGGAAGGGGGAGGTGCCACACACTTTTAAACAACCAGATCGTATGATAACTCATTCACTATCATGAGAACAGCAAGAGGGAAATCCACCCCCATGAATCAATGACCTCCCACCACGCCCCCTCCTCCAACACTGGGGATTTCAATTCAAAATGAGATTTGGAGAGAGATACAAATCCAAACCATATCAAGCCTGGTGGGAGGTGATTGGATCATGGGGATGGATCCTTCATGAGTGGTTTAGTACCCTCCCCTTAGTACTGTTCTCATGATGGTGAGTGATTTATCCTGAGATCTGGTTGTTTAAAAGTGTGCAGCACCTCCCTCCTCTCTCTCCTCCTCCTGCTCTGGACATGTGAACTGCTGGCTCCTTCTTTGCCGCCATCATGACTGTAAGCTTCCTGAGGCCTCCCCTGAAGCTGACACTGCCATGCCTCCTGTACAGCCTGCATATCTAATACCCAATTAAAGCTCTTTTCTTTATAAATCACCCAGTCTAAGATATTTCTTCATAGCAGTGTGAGAATGGACTAACACAGAGGGTAAGGGGCCTGCTGAAGGTCATGCACCTAATAAGTAATTAGTCCAGGGCTTGAATCATGTCTATCCCAACTTATAGCTTTCCCCTTTCCACTCTGCCAAACTGCATTTGAAGAATCCAAATGATTTTGGCCAAATTAAGATCACTCCCACAAGAGCCGGAGATGTCTGTAATCCTGAAACATGATGGACAGTGAAAGATGGAACGGTTACATTGTCCTGGATCTCCACATGAGGTGTAAGGCAGCAGCATTACACTCTACAGATTCAGGGGGCATTGCAGGCTACTACTGGAATAGGGCCATGGGGCAATAGGAAGTCTGTCCATGTTGGCTGACCCACTGATGGGTGATTCCACATTCACTTACCAAGTCACAGGGCCAAGCTGAGGCCTGAGCTTAAATTGCTTTAAATTCTCCTCTCCTGTATCTTTTGCTAGCTCAGCAAAAAGGAGCAGGAGAGGAGGAGGGGGGGTCAACAATTCATCACTCTTTCCTCCAAGAGTTACCTTCTGTCATGAGTGCCTCTACAGCTGTTCTCCTGACTAGCACCCTCTCTCCGCCCTCACCTAGCCAGGCATACAGAAAGACATACACCTGTCCTCTGCACACACACACACACACGTGCACTCACATACATGCACACACACAAACACACCTGCACACACACAAGCGCATGTACACACACTCACACACTCTGTGCTGCTCTTCCCAGACCCAACTTACAGACAAGGAACGTGAGCCCAAGCAGGTTTCTGGTTTACTCAGTGTCCTTGATGAGAGTCTCTATCACCATATTTGGCTTCTAGAAAACAATGATATAAAAATAAATAATTGAAAACACATGTCCACACAAAAACCTGCACACGAATGTTCATAGCAGCATGATTCATGATAGCACCAAGGTGGAAACAACTCATGTCCATTGACTGGTGAATGGCTCAACAAAACGTGACCTATCCATGCAATGGAATATAATTCAGCCTTAAAAAATAAGTGCTGATACATGCTGCGACACAGATAAACCTTAAAACTTTATGCTAACTAAAAGAAACCAGATACAAAAGGCCCCATATTTTATGACTCATTTATATGAAGGATCCTGAATTGGCAAATCCCTACAGATAAAAAGTAGATTGATGACTGCACAATGACGAGAATGGCGGGGGATTACTAGAGGGTATGAGGTTTCTTTTGGGCTGATGAAAATGTTCCAAAATGAATTGTGGGCAGGGCGCAGTGGCTCACACTTGTAATCCCAGCACTTTAGAAGGCTGAGATGGGTGGATTACTTGAGGTCAGGAGTTCGAGAGCAGCCCAACCAACATGGCAAAAACCCACCTCTACTAAAAATACAAAAATTCGCCAGGTTTGGTGGCATGCGCCTGTAATTCCAGGTACTCAGGAGACTGAGGCACGAGAATCGTTTGAACCCAGGAAGTGGAGGTTGCAGTGAGCCGAGATCACACCACTGCACTCCAGCCTGGGTGACAGAGTGAGACTCTGTCTCAAAATAAATAAAATAAAATTAAATTAAATTAAAAAAATAAAATTGTGGTAATAGTTGCACAAGTCCAAATATAGTAAAAAGCATTAAACTGTACACTTTAAATTAGTTAATTGTATTGTTTGTGAATTATATCTCAATCAAGCTGTTTCCCAAATAAATAAGCAAATGATGAAGCTTCCTAGACTCTCTAAGGATATTGCACAGCTACCTGCAGTCTCTCTAGCACAGCTCACTTTAGGAAGCCTTGAGACTTGTGGGAAGCTAAAACACAAAACTGGCCATCTTAAGCAATCTTGCTGAGTGGCCAAAACCCACAGAGAGCCCACCTCAGGGATCACACTGCACATAAGGCATGTCCAGCACAGGTGACAGGACTGACACTGTGGTGCCAGAAGGACCTGAGTTCCAGCCTGACTCTGCCACCTCTCAGCTGTGAGATGGGGGCAGGTCACCTAAGACAAACTCGCATCTGTAAAATTGAGGGGGTAATAATAGGGCTGTGGTGAGAATTAAACGAACTCTTCTACATGGCTCACACCAAAGAGTTAGTTGTTGCTATGATAAACATGACATCACCCAAAGAGAAGAGCTGGATAGTTAAAACTTGGCTGACAAGGGGCGAGTGCCTGTGTAGAACGTTCATCTCAGCGTTCCACACATCCACAAAGGGACATATTCAAGGGCACGTCCCAAAGTGAGCAGGCTCTGCCTCCTTCTTGTAGAAAACCTCAGAGCAGCAGAGTCCAGATGGCAAATCTGCACAAGATATCAGTGTGTTATGGAAAACCTAGTGCCAGTCTATCATTTCTGAGGCTTTGCCTAAGAGGTTTCCCCCATTATTTCATGTTGCAAATAATCAACAAGTATGCACTATTAATAATCAACAAGTATTAGTTTATTCTTGCATTGGTGCTGGCCTGAATTTCACACAGGTACAAAAGAAAGAAGTTCAGTCCTTGTTCTAAAGGAGTAACTCTTATAGCAATTCTTTGAGGTAGGCAGGACAGTTATTAGCATGTCCATTTTGCAGATAAAGAACCTGAGGCCCAGAGAGGCTAAATGCCCTGCCCAAGATCTTGTAGCTATTATAGTCACTGGCAACATTGAAATTCAAGCCTAAGGGGTCATGACCTCCAGCCTCATGTCTTTTTTATCTGGCTATGGATTCTCTAAGACATCAGGATTAAGGCTGTCTGAGGCACAAATCACCTCACAAATAATCAAGTGATGAGGACAACAAACTGAGACAGATGCTTTGTCGGGACCTACTATGTAATTTGCAGGGCCAAGTACAAAATAAAAATGCAGGCCCTTTGTTCAAATATCATGAAGATTGTGACAGCAGAGCATCAAAGCAAGCTCAGGGCCCTTCCATGTATGGGGACCTGTGTGGCTGTGACTGCACAAGTCACACATCCCTGGAGTCAGCCTGCCCCTTATCCCTGTCACACAAATGCCTAGCGCAAAGAAGATGCATCTGAGCAATTCTGCTCTCTGGCTCCAACAAAAGCAAACTCTCCTGGCAAGGCTGTGAGCTTGCCCTGACCCCACATCCAGCCACGTGCCAGGTGGACATGTATCTCTCCCGGCTGGCTGATCCAGCAGCCTTCAGCATTTCCGATTTTGCAGATTTGCAATCTCTTGGCTTACACTGCAGCCACCTTCCCTGCCTGAGAAACCCAGTCTTCCTTGCTAAGGTTCAGCTGCAGTGATACACAGGTCCATTAATGCTCCCCTGGGCACGGAGAAGTGGAAATGTCTACTTAAAGCTGGAGGGCTCTTTGGCCGGGGTGTCAGAGCTGCATTTTTCTTATGCAACTGTTTTCTCCCGGTTTGTAATAACTGTGACTGTCTTGCAGAAAACAACACACTACAGTGACAACCGGCTGATCTTTCTTTTTTTTTTTTTTTTTTGAGATGGAGTCTCGCCCCGTCGCCCAGGCTGGTGTGCCGTGGCACGATCTCGGTTCACTGCAACCTCCAGTTCCTGGGTTCAAGCTATTCTCCTGCCTCAGCCTCCTGAGTATCTGGGATTACAGGCATGCGCCACGATGCCCGGCTAATTTTTATGTTTCCAGTAGACATGGGGTTTCACCGTGTTGGCCAGACTGGTCTCAAACTCCTGATCTTATGATCTGCCCGCCTCAGTCTCTCAAAATGCTGGGATTACAGACATGGGCCACCACGCCCGGCCTGATCTTTCTTTCCATCTGTCATGTAAACCTTATTTTTCTGAATAACAGGGACACAAGAATGGCAGACAAGCCAGATGCTCCTAGAATTTCACGAGTAAGAAAGACAACTTGACATTAATTAGAAATAGAGGCAGACAGAAATGAGCCTTGGGTCTTCCAAAGATCCAATGAATTAGCTGTGAGATTTAAACAGAGCATATTCTCTCTCTCTTATGGCTTGAACTGTGTTTCCCCAAAAACATATCTTGAAATCCTACCCCCAGTACCTCAGAATGCGAGCTTATTTTGAAAGTATGGGGTTGTTGCAGATGTAATTAGTTAAATCAAGATGAGGTCATACTGGAGCTGTGTGGGACCTTAATCTAATATTTCTGGTGTCCTTATGAGATTAGACAAAGAGGCTGAGTGCAGTGGCTCATGCCTATAACCTCAGCACTTTGGGAGGCTGAGGTGGGAGGATTGCTTGAGTCCCGGAGTTTGAGACCCATCTGGGTAACATGGCAAAACCCCATCTCTATAAAAAGTACAAAAATTATCTGGGTGTGGTGGCGCATGCCTGTAGTCCCAACTACTTGGGAATCGAGATGAAAGGATCACTTGAGTGTGGGAGGTCGAGGCTGCAGTGAGCTATGATCATGCCATTGCACTCTAGCCCAGGCAACAGAGTGAGGCCCTATCTTAAAAAATAAATAAATAAATAAATAAAAAGTAAAGAGAGAGAGACACACCACGTGGCAATGGAGGCAGAGACTAGAGTGATGTTTCTAGAGGCCCAGGAACATTGAAGATGGCCAGCAGACCACCAGAAGCCAGGAGAGAGGCCTGGACTAGATTATCCCTCATGGCCTGTGGAAGAAACCTACTCTGCCATTACCGTGATCTCTGCCATTACCGTGATCTCAGGCTTCTGGCCTGCAGAGATGTGAGAGAACACATTTCAAGTGTTTTAAGCCACCCAGTGAGTGGCAGTCTGTTACAGCCACCCCAGGAAATGGGTGACCCCCTTTACCTGAAACATAACAAGGTTGGTCTGAGTGGTCTCTGGGTTCCCTTCCATCTACACATTTATGCTATTCTGACTTTGGTCACATAGCCACCTTGTCCCAACAGTCAAACTGCCACTCAAGTCAAACTTACCCAGTTCTTTCTACTGTTCCTTCATTCCGGGAGATTCTTAGGCCCCAGCAATTTGGGCCATCTCCCTCTGAAGCTCCCCAGTGAGTTGGCTGCCTCTTTCACACTCCACTGCACATCTGCTTTGTGTCTGGGCCTGTGCTGGGAAGTGGCGTAAAAATACAGACTGGGAACTTGACCTTGTGAAGGTTGAATTCTATTAGAGCCTGGCTTTGAACACATTATCCACTTGGCAGCCATCCCCCAGGATAGCTGCCAGTGAGCCCCACATCCTAGTGAGTTCATACTCCCATGGAGTTGCCTCCCCCATTGACACCGGGCTGGCCTATCAACCGATGAATGGATACATGAAGTGTGGCACATCCATACAATGGAATAGCACTCAGCTACAAAAAGGAACAAAATTCTGACACATGCAACAACATAGATGAACTTGCAAAACATGATAATAAGTCAAATAAGACAGGGACAAAAGGGCAAATACTACAGGATTCCACCTCCATGAGGTACCTAGAATAGGCAGGGTTCACGAGATGAGAAGCAGGCCATAAGTTACCAGAGTTGGGGAAGTGAGGGAGACGGGAGTTATTGCTTAATGGGTACAGAGTTTCTGTATGAAATGACAGAAAAGTTTTGGAAGTAGATGTGTGATGGTTGTACATTGTGAATATAATTAATGCCACTGAATTGCACATCTAAAATGATTAATATGGTATAATTTGCTGTATATATTGTACCACAATAAAATAAACATAAGTTCTAGACCAGCCTGGGCAATATAGTGAGACCTCATATCTAATTTTTTTTTAGTTAGCGGGGCATGGTGGCACACACCTGTGGTCCTAGCTACTCAGGAGGCTGAGGTAGGAGGAACACTTGAGCCTGGGAGTTTGACGCTGCAGTGAGCCGTGAGTGTGCCATTGCACTCCAGCCTAGGTGACAGAGCAAGATCCTGTCTCAAAAGAAGGAAAAAAAGAAATACAGGCAGAGAGGGGAATACCAGCACTGTAAAAGAGGTTAAAATGCTTACCTCTGAAGAGTGGGAATCAGGTGCAAAGGTATAAGGCAGAGATGGCTGTTTTTGTTAGAAGTGTAGTTAACTATTTGACTTTATAACTCTGCACATACGTCAGTCCAATAAAACAAAGAGGGAAAGGCTATATGTCATATCTGATACATTAACAAGCATTAAAAAAATTAGCATAAAATTGCGGTGAAACTAGAGCACTAAAATCCTGTTAACAATATAAATGAGTACAAGCCTGGTGGTTTTATTTCCAGAACACTCCAAGAGCCATTGAAATGCTGGGACCTTTTGACCAATTCTCTCACTCTAAAGCAAGGATCTGTGTGGGAAAACTATGACCCACAGACCAAATCCAGCCTACCACCTATTTTTGTATGGTACATAAGCAGGAATGATTTTTACGATCTTTTAATTGTTTAAAAAAAACCCAAAAGAGTAGCATTCCGTGATGCATAAAAAATGATAAGGTATTCAAAGTTTGGTGTCCATAAATAAAACTGTGTTCTCACACAGCCTGGCCCATGCATTTGTGGAGGGCCTATAGCTGTTTTGTGCTATAAGGACATCTGCAATAGAGACCACATGGCCCATAAAGCTAAAAATACTATTTGGTCCTTTGCACAAAAAGCCTACTCATCCAGGTACAGAGGGAGGCAGCACAGTCAGGGAGGGAAGCTGAAAGCCTGGACCCTCTGATGCCTGGTTATGTGACCCCGAGCATAACTTGTTTGTGACTTGGTTTTCTCATCTGTAAAATAAAGATATTATTAGTACCAACCTTCTAGGGTTGTTGTGAAGATTCAGTGAATGAGCCAGCCTAAATCAGAAGAGCATCTGCACTTGGTGCAAGTGAACTGCCATTGCTTCTCCAGAGAAATCATCAGGAAGCAACAGGATGTGCATAAAGGTTTGCACAGCTAGTGCTACCTAAGGCATGCTCCTGACACCTGGGCATCCCCACCCACAGCTCAGGCCACAGCACAGACCCATGGCCAGACCATGAATTCAAATATTTCTGCGATGCTGTGACACAGGCATCCCTAAAAATTATTAGGCTCTGCAAAATCATGTGATATGACCCGCAGGGCTATGAGAAAAATAGAGTTAGGGGCTTCATCAGCAACACATTTTTAAAAAAAGATTAGAACCTAATAAAAATGATAGCACAGGTTTACAGGTTAAATGTTTAAGAAATACGTAAATACTAAAATAAATATGGTATTTACCTTTAAAAAGACGAGGCTTGTTTGAGAAAGTGGGCATTGGGGTTGTAAGCTGGTAATCCGGGATTAGGAGGAACATTCTAGCCCCAGAGGTTAGTGGATGTAACTCCTAACACACCCTGTGAATGGAGGGACAGAAGATGCTAGGATTTGCATGGGTGCAGTATGTATTCATAGGGTATGTGCACGGATGTGGTTGTGTATCCCTTGGGTGTGCGCACAAGTGGGTTTGTGTATCCCTAGGGCGTTTGCACAGTGGAGTTGTGTATTTTTAGGATGTGTGCAGAAGTGGGGTTGTGTATCCTTAGGGTTCGTGCACTGGTGTAGTTGTGTATCCCTAGGGTTTGTGCACTGGTGTGATTGTGTATCCCTAGGGTTTGTCCACTGGTGTGGTTGTGTATCCCTAGGTTTTGTGTACAGGTGTGGTGTGTAACCCTAGGGTGTGTGCAGAAGTGGGGTTGTGTATCACTGGGCTGTATGCACTGGTGTGGTTGTGTATCCCTAGGGTGTGTGCACTGTTGGGGTTGTGTACCCCTAGGGTGTGCACTTGTGTTTGTGTATTCCTAGGCTCAGGTCGGCCAGGCGCTTTTCTCTGTATTAACCTGGTATTTCTGAGGACAAAATCATGCAGAGCAAATGTGAACTTTGAAACTCATGTCATGTTCAATTGTTCCCTAATCTAGCAATTGTATTGGAGAAAACTCATGTTTTAAATCAAGCCATAAAGCAGAGCTGAATATATCACATCCCTTGAGGACTCTGAACATGGTTGGAGTAGGGGAACTTTCAAGGAGGTGGCATTGCAGACAGGGACTCAGAGCCTTGACTCATTCCCTGATGTGGACGTCAGTGGTGGCACCAGAAAGGGTTCTGCAAGGCCACGTGGCAGCAGCTCCTTGCAGCTGCCTCACTCTCCGGGCTGTATACTCAGTGCTGAGCCCGATGGCCCATACCAGGTATACAACATGATGTGTACGAAGCCCTTCCACACACACACAGGGCACCTCACAACAGGCTCACAGGGGCAAAGTGCAGGGATCATGAATCCATATTTGACAGGGATGGAGAATGGGGATCAGATAAGTTGATGACTTGCCCAAAGACACAGAGCCTGAAAATGGAGGTGGGCGCTTCCACATCCCAGGCCCTGGCTGACCTGCCATCTGTCCTTTGACACTGTACGTCTTGGGATCCCCTAGCCAAACACTGGGGTAAACTCCAGGGGTCACGCTCAAGGCCACACGTCCAGAGGCATAGTCTACAAGAGGAGGGGTGCAGGACACCTGGGCGACATAAAGGCACCTGCCTCAGATGGGCTCACCTCCAATCCTGACACCTATTTCTCCTTTAAATGGAAAGGACAAGCCTCCATCTGCACTGCATCTTTAACAATCACAGCCAGCAAGGATGAGGAATGTTCCAGCACAGTCAGAACATGAACTTCTTTGTAGCAGGATTGCAGCATTTATTTCAATCCTGAGTCAGAAGGCCGAGCAAGTAGCTTGCATGATGTTTCAGGAGCTTAACATCGACTGTGGCAGGCAGTTGCTTCTCTGATTAAAACAGGCCTGACACCCTACCCCTGCCACATCTGTCCTCAACTCTCAGGATGCACCTGGGCCCTCAGGCTGGGTGTGCTCAGGGCCTCCGCGTGCCTAGGGAAGCCATGACACTTACGTGTGGTCATGTCAGTGTTTGGCAGGTGCGCCACCTGCTCACATTTGCCCAGCAACTTCCCCTAACCCAACAGAAACAAGGCATGGCCTGAAGAAAGCAGACCTGAAATAAGACCCCCCAACAGCTATTTCTCCTTCAGCGCTCTCCAGGCTGTATAGGACCAGTCAGTCACTGCACAACCCCACATGGCCTTGGGGAACAAGCTTACCCTGCTGGAATATGCTTTAAAGATGTGGCCATGTAACACTCATCTGGGCCAGTGGGCCTTCACACACACACACACACACACACACACACACACACACACACACACACACACACACACCCCTGGGAAGCAAAAACTGCTTTGTTCAGGAAAGGCAAAAATGCATTTATAACCCAATTCCAATGTCAGCTACTTGGAGCATAAAATGAGGTCACATTCTCTAGCATTTGGGATTACATCATCTCTTTCAAGGGAATCTCGGGGTCCTCCTTCTAAATAACTCCAAGAGCCCCCCAGCCCAATGGATGCTTTCCAAGTCCAAAAGGTCAAGTCCTAGTCACAGCACCTCATCTGAGGGTCTGTTGCAGTGGCCACTGTCACAGGGTGTCTCTGTAAGGAAAGGTGGCCTACCGGCCTGACATGGTCCCCCAAACTCATGGCCAGGCAGCCTGCAGGCCTCAGCTGCCAGGCCAGGAGCTGGCCTGTCTTATATTCCCAGCTCCTCTCTGCCTCAGCTGGACCCACAACATCTAACCCCCTGGTGATGGGGCACGGCATGCTGACCACTCTTCTTAGGGACGCCCAGTCACAGCCCCATGCTGTGTTCAGAAACCCACATTCAAGATCTCTAGCCAGGCTGGGGCGGGAGCCAGGCTCCCGTCTCAGTTTCAAAGCCCTTCCCTCAGTGCCCACCTTGTTTCTCCTGTGCAGAGATCAGTGATGCTTCTTTCAGGGGAAACCACAGTCATTCCATATCAAGTTTGAAAGCATGTAAATTACAGCTGTGTAGTGGAGGGCACATTTTCTTGTGAATCTTTGTAATTGCTATGAGAATCTTGCTCCCGGCTGCACTCCATCTGATGCCTGTTGGAGGTGTGCACTGCATCAAGTAAGGCCAAGATCCTGCCCACCTGTGATCCAAAAAATATTTGCAAGGAGAAGGGAGATCTGGATCAGCCTGCATGATGGCTTCCTGAGCCTCAGAGGCAGAAGTCAGTGGTGCAAACTCCAGGGCCAAGTTACTGCAGTGTGCATATATTTGCACACAGGTATGTGCCAACTCATGCATTTGTGCATACACACAGATGTGCACGTAGGCTGTGTGCATACATATGTTCACACTTAACATATAGCGTGTACAATATACTGCTCTGTATGTGTATGTATATGTATTATATCTATTTTAGACATATATACTGGTTTGTATGTATGTGTATATATACTAGTATATGTGTGTATACTATCATGCATGTATGTGTGTATACATATACAGGTATGTATGCACGTATATAGAGAGAGATATATGTGTGTTATGTGTGTACATATATCCATTTACTAGTATGTATGGTGTATGTGTGTGTACTGGTATGGATATGTGTGTGTGCACACACACATTTGCTGGTATGTATGCCTGTTTGTGCTTATAATGCACAGGCAGAATGTTTCTAGTGGACCACACAGCCTCTAGTTCTCAGTCCCCAGCCCTCCCTTTTGCCCTACACGCAAGGCCTTTCTGAGCTTCATTTACATGTAAGCATGCAAGTTCTGACCCAGCAGCACCACTTCCTGGCCACCTGGCAGAGCCTAGCCAGGAGCACTCAGAGGTCAAGATGAATCTGACCCATATCAGGGATGGGACGCTGAATGAAGTCCCCAGGGTCACAGGGTTCTCAGACATCCCCAGCAGTTCATTTACAACTCCGTAGATGGACTCCAAAGAACTAGGACCCTTAATAAGTCAAGGAGTCCTCAACCCTACAGCGGGGAAGGCTCAACCCCAAAGGCGTACAAGTCTGAGTGACCTCAGGAAGGGCGTCTGGCTTTGTACTTCTGCAGTTTTCATGGGAGGCTGGCCCCAATCCCATGCTCACCCCCCATATCCAACCTCGTGGCCAGGCGGCGCCTCTAAAGAGGGTGATGACCCAGGATGAGGGAGAGTGTCTCTTGCAAGGTGGAGAGAGAGGGTGGTGGGAGCAGTAAGCCAAGGGAGGGGAGGCTCCAGACGGTCCAGAGATGTGGTGCTCAGGACTCAGGAGAGACAGCTGGCGGCAGGAGAACCTGGAGTTGAAGAGAGTTTTCAAATAATCAAGCCAGAGAACCAGGCTGTGTAAAGACCAAGGACCCTCCAGATCCTCAGGGTGATCGGCTGGGGCAGGGGTGGGCTGATCTTGGGGGTCAGAGCTGGAAAGGAGCTGGAGCACCCTGGTTCCACCAACCTCTCTAAGCAGGAGGCTCTTCCAAGGCAGCAGCCCCGCAGGGAGTCAGACAGTGGGCCCACACCTTGCAGAGCTGCTTGTTTCCAACATGGGCTCTCTGCCTGTTACGAAGTCCTTCCTTGCCTAAAGCTGGATCTGCTTTCTCAGGATGTCCTCCCACTGGTCCTCAATCTGCCTTTGGGATCATCCTGGATAAGCCCACTCCTCTCCCAGAAGACAAACTCTGTCTATCTGAACACAGCCTTCTTGTCCTTGAAGGTCAGTTCAGCCTCGCATATTTTCCACCTCTCCCTCAAATTCTTCCCTCCTGGCTAGGTGTCCCAAGACTTGGATCTTGTCACTGCCATACTGCGGGTCTCAGATCCCTAATCTGTAAAATAAAGAGGTTAGACTGGGTGGTTTTGAAAAGCTTTGACATCCATAGTACTCTGAAAGTGCGAAAGTCATCTAGCAGACAGATTGGTAACATAAAGGGGGCTTGATCAAATAAGTAAATGTTTGATCTAAATATATGAATGTATAGCTACATATAGAAATATACCTGTAAATATTATGTCTACATATACATACACATAAATGTGTGTTTATCTATACTTACACAGACATACATTTCACTGAGGGGGTCTGGAAACAGCACCTCCCCCAGTAGCAATGAGCACAGCTCACACTCACATATTCTATTCTCCATGAAAGAAACTGGGGCTCCTTGAAGAAATGGCTGACTCCAGGGATGCGATAGTGAAAGCACAAGTTGAACTCAGGGTTTTTTGTTTGTTTGTTTTGTTTTTGTTTTTGTTTATTTGAGACAGGGTCCTGCTCTGTTACCAAAGCTGGAGTGCAGTGGTGCAATCATAGCTCACTGCAGCCTGAATTATTGGGCTCAAGTGATTCTCCCACCTCAGCATCCTGAGTAGCCAGGACTGCAGGTGCATGCCCCCATGTCTGCCCATTTTTGTTGTTGTTGTTGTTGTTGTAAAGACAAGGTCTTGTTATGTTGCCCAGGCTGGTCTTGAAATCTTGGCCTCACATCTCAGCCTCCCAGAGTGTTGGGATTATAGCCATGAGCTACCATACCTGGCCTGAACCCAGGATATCAAGATACCTTGCTGAACCAGAAAGCAAGTGAACACTTAAAGAACAAGGGAGCATGTCAGAAGGACATAGAAGCCAGCTTCAAGGGACTCCCTGTTTGCCAAATCTGAGACAATTTGAGCATCAAATAAATCATGAGAGTAATGGATTAGAACCTATTGACTTAAATAAGAAACCACAAGTCTACAGTGAAAAAAATGAATAAACTGAATGTCTGATGAGAAATGGAATATTCAGTCTCAATATACCACCTCACAAAATATTTATTTATTACAAGAGGAAAAGAGTAACTTTACAGAGAACTCTGGAAGACACCACTTTAAACGAATAATCAAAGTGAACATTAGCATTCAAGATGAGCCTTGGCATCACAGCAAGACCCCACCTCTAAAAAAAATAGCTGGGTGTGATAGTGGTGCATCTGTGGTCCCAGCTCCTCAGGAGGCTGTGGCAGGAGGATCACTTGAGCCCAGGAGGTTAAGGCCGCAGTGAGCCATGATTGTGCCACTACATTCTAGCTTAGGTGACAGAGCGAGATTCTGTCTCAAAAAAAAAAAAAAAGAAAAAACAGAAAGAAAAAAAAAGAATGCTTACACAGGGCAAACTGAAATCAAGTGCAGTGGAATAACGCTTCTGCCATGTTCCTGCCATCAAATCCCAAGGGATCAGCACACACTCAAGTGAAGGGACAGTCCACAAGATAACCAGTCCTTCATCTTTGAAAGTGTCAAGGTTATGAGACTCAAGTAAAGACTGAGCACAGCCTCAGACTGGAGACTAAGAGATGTGACAACAAAATGCTGCATGCCAACTTGAACTGGATGCACTTACTGTGAAGAAATCACTGGGCTTGGGGAGACTGAGCGGCAGTGATGCACCATGTGACCTTCTCAGTTGTGACTGAAGGTTGTTCGGACTGACCATGTAGGAGAAGATCCTTATTTGCAGGAAATACACAGGAGTGTTGGGGGTGATGACGCATTGGAGAGTAAGTGTTGATAACTCGCCCTCAGATGGTTCAGAAAACATACATTATTTGTGCTGCAATTGAAGCTTTTCTGTAAGTTTGAGATCGTTTTAAATTTAAAGAAAATTATACACACACCCACAAAACTATCTCTTGTAAATGCCTGAGAAGATCAGGACTTTCTTCCTGCAATGAGCAATTCTAACCAGGAAAAGCTCTCTAATCTGTGTGTACCTGTCTTCAGAATCTGGCCCACAGGGTGTGCTTCCCTGACCCTGCCCCATCTTCCCTGAAATTCTAACAGCATGGATGTCAGGGAAACAGGATATCAGCACACCTGGCTGCCCAGCCCTAAAGAGCACCAGTACATAGAGTCATGGCTGGCTTTTACTGAGCCCTTATTGTATGGATGGGGTTTGATGTCAAGCTGACCAGGCATTGGATCTTGGTTCACATTCGCTGTATGATCCTGGACAAGTCACTTCACCTCTCTGAGTCTCTGCTGTCTGCTGGGTAAATTAAAGACAATAGCCTCTGTCTTGCCAGGTGGTGGTGCGGATTAGAGAGAATTGTGCAGGATGTCAGGTACAGTGATAGTTTCTAGACTTTAGGCCTTTGGGAAGTCAGCCTCATAATCTTTTGGGAATCTCCTTATCAAATACAGATTCCTGCAACCTACTCCCAGAGTGATCCCAGCTCACCTGTCCTGTTTCAGCTCCAGCTGATTCACTTCCCCCGCCTCAGGCTTAGACCAAACACTTCACAATTTCCCACATGCACCATAGCACCTCTTGCTCCCATGCCTTTGTACACACAGTTCACCCATCCGGAATGCCCTTCCCCCTTTGATTGGAAAACTCCTACTCCTCCTTCAAAACCCAGGCGAAATGTCTCCTGATTTTTGAAGCCTTTTCTGATCACGCCCCACCTCCCAATTCCCAGTGCTCTCTTCTTTGACCAGTTGTTATGACATTAATAAGTATAATTACCTCTCATTTAGTGAATCTATTATATACCTGCAATTTCACACGCGGTATGTATTTTAAGCCAAGGACTAATCATTAGCCCTGTTTTCCTGTTTGCTCATGAAAAAGCTGAGCCTCTGAGAGTTTAAGTAGCTTGCCCTGGGTTTCCTAGCTGATACGGGACAGAGCCAGAACCCCAGGCCGGAGTCTCTAGCTCTGGCTGTTACGGTTTTGGCTCTGCCTCCCGCCCAGCGCACGCGCTCTCAGATGCAGGGTTCCCATCAGCCAGCACAGTCCCTGAAGCACAAACATCAGGGAGCAGTGTCAGTCGGTTCCTATCTCCCAGGTCCACACTTCCTTCAGTCACACCAGGCTCTCTCTGGGCAGGCTGAGAGAATGGAGCTAGGAGCCTCTGAGGCTGGTAAGCCAGGTGCCTTTGGGAAGTGGCCAGGACTGAGAGTGGGTTAACCAAGCAGGACCTCTCTTAAGGAGGGTATTGGCCTTCCACGGGATGCAGCACTGAGGTCTGCCACCAGGGGGCGCTGCTGCTTTATTTCAGGAGCTGCCTCTGCCCGGCGAAGGACGGGAGCGTTTTCCACTGTGTGTGTCTGGGGCTGTGATTGTCAGAATCCTCCAACTTTAGAATTCACAGACTGAAGAATTCATGCTCACATGACTGAACAAAAATATGTGGAGCATGAAATTTTTACTCAAGAAGTAGGGAACCTCTCTCTCCCTTGAGGAAAAGCGTCCTCCCTACTTTCCTGGGAGTTAACTTGCTGAGGCTCGCAGGAGATTCCACGCAGCTATGCGCTCTGCTCTCTTGTTAGAAAAAAGATGCCAAGATTGTAGAATTTGACCACAAACAACCGAGCTCCACAACGGAGTGTCGCTAATGTGCCAGGCCCTGTGCTGGGGGGTGCAAAAAACCCCAGTGTTTAGATTTGCAGTGGTAACTTCAGGGTCCCTTCAGCAAACTTTAGCTACAGTTGTTAAATCTTGCTGACTGATATATTCTACAACTATAGCTCCATTTTTCCAGCCCAAATTTAGTACATATGAAGTGACAAAGCATCCCAGAGGCAAACTGCTTTCTAGGAAGTGTAGCTCAGGCACCTAAATGTTGGCATTTTAGGGATAACGGCTTATGGGACCTATGAGCAGAGCATTTGAAAATAGACCTGTCTGAAAAGCCCAGGTCAGAGGCTGCCAAGAGCAGAGCAGGGCAGGCCCCAGACCACATGGCTCTGGGGTCTTTTACCCTCATAGACCCTTCTCCAGGAAGCTTCTACCAGGGGTCACAGCAAAGCCCCTCTTCTGTCTGGCATTCCACTCCAGGCCTTCTCCTTTTCTCTCTCTGCACCTTCTCCTGGGAAATCTCATCCAAATCCATGGCCCTAAGTATCTATTAAAGATGCCCCTAAGAAACCATTACTGAACATATAGACCAAGAAATAATACTGATAAATGATTGCTGCGGTGATTACACAAATCTACACACGATAAAATTTCATAGAACCAAACCACACACCACACACACACACACACACACACACACACACACACACACACAAACAATAAATCCAAAAGTATGAGAGAGGTCTCAATCAATTTGGAAAGGTTTTTTTGTTTTTTGTTTTTTGCCAAGGTTAAATGTGTGCCCATAACACAGCCTCAGGAGGTCCTGACCACAGATGCCCTAGGTAGTGGGCGCACAGCTTGTTTTCCTACATTTGAGGGGGGCATGAGATATCAACCAATATTATCAGATGTACATTGGTTCTGTGCAGAAAGACAAGACAACTCCAAGTGGGGCCTTCTAGGTCATAGGTGGACAGGAAACCTAAGGTTGCATTCTTTGAGGTCTTTGATCAGCCTTTCCCTGAATACACAATTTACATGTGGGAGGGGATAGAATAATAGTCACTTATGCCTTAATCTGACTCAGTGAATCTGCATCTTTACAAAAGCAATAAGGCAGAGGAAGCAATTAGATATGCATTTGTCTCAGATGAGCAGAGGGATGACTTTGAGTTCTGTCTGTCCTTTGTCCCACACCTGTGAACATAAACTATCAATTCACATTGCCAGGGTGAAATTCAACAGAACTGTTTTCAGGTAAAGATCTTGCGATCTACAAAGAATTTCCTTGTGGGCAAATCGTGATGGAAGAATGTAGCTTTAAAAAAATATATTTTGTAGCTATCTTATTTAGGACTAAAATGGGAGGCAGGTTTGCCTGACTCAGTTCCTAGCTTAGCTTTTCCCTTTGGCTTAGTGATTTCGGGGGTCCTGAGATTTATTTTCCTTTCACAACACACACACACACAGAAACACACACACACACACACACACACACACACACACGAGGTATTAAGCTGGTAAAATATGGATATTGCGTAGGAGTCCTGAGGCTCACCTTGATTGGACTTCTTGGATCATATGCCCAATCCCAAACCAATGACCATGGCAGGGGGAATGGAACAGCTCAATCAACCAGGGCCCTTCCAGCTGGGAGTGGAGCAGGCTCCCCTCAGGCACAGAGATATCCTGGCTGGGATGGAGGAAGTGGTGAACAAATACCAGTGGACAACCAGCCATTCTGGCCACTCGCCCTAATCTGCATTTGAAGCTCACCTTTTCCTCTGGTCTCCAGAGCTGGACACTGGATATCCAGCACTAGACGTTTCTTCAATGCTGCACAAGCATTCACATTCAACAAGTCTAGAAATGAACTCTTGCCCTCAAGCTCACTCCCCCTCCTTCCAGATTTTCTGTCCTGGTTGATGGTCCCACTCACCATCCTAGTTCCCCAAAACCTGGGAATCAAGTCTGGTCAATTCTGTCCCCTTGGCAACTTTCATATCTGGCACCATTTCTTCTCTTCCAGTTGCCACCAACCAGACCCAGATCCCAATACCCTGTACCCCCAGGCCACTGTCTTCAGGCCAAATATTTGCTCTCTAGCTCTTACCAGAAGCTTGCCAACCCCCACCTCAGTCATGGCGATGGCACTGTAACTGGTTTCCCCACGCCTGTCCATTCTCCACGTCTGACTGCATCATTTAACAATGTCAGGTATGTGGCCCCTAGTGACGACCCTTCCTTTGATTGTCACCCACAGCCTCACCCTACAGCTTCACACCCACCCTGTGCTCAGGCACCCTACACCAGCAAAGGCTCCCAAGCACACCATGGTTTTTCGCTTTTGCTTTTTACTTCAGGTACAAGAGGTTGAGTTACTCATATTCCTCAATATGATCATTGCTCCATGTAAGATCCCATCTTTCTAATGATCAATTTTATCTCTTCTATTTCCATAGACCACTCCCACTTCCCTTCTTCCCAAAGGCAATAATGTGTAATATGTATCTTTCATTTGGGTCTTGCAAAATATATATTGCTGAGTTTTTTATTTGTATTATGTGTCTTTTAATGCCTATATATAGTGTTGTTTTATATATTACATTCTGGGTTTTTTTTAACCATTTCTCTCAACACTGTGTTTTAAGACACATTCCTTTTGCTCTTTGTATGACTCATTTAACAATTTTTATTGCTTTGTAGTTCTCCAAATTGTTGATTAAAACCACTTTATGCATTCATTCTTCTGGATTGCTTTTGAATTGCCACCAGTACAAACAAAGCTGGAGGGCATAAATTTGTATATGCCACTTATGGATGTAGGTGAGAATTTCTTTGAGAACTATTCCCAGGAGTAGAACAACTGGGTCACAGAATAAACGTGCTTGATTTGGCACATGTTTATTCTTCTGCAGAAGTGCAGCTACATTCTCTCTTGAAGACCAATGTGGCACTTCCTTTATTCCCTCCCATCCTCATCAACACTTGCGTATATTCAGGTTTCTAAATTTTTTCAGTTGAGTGGTTTTAAAATATTATTTCATTATTGCCTTAATGTACAGTATATTTCTGTTTACTGTAATTTGGGCATCTCTTGATATGCTTGTTTGATATGGGGGAATCTTTTATAAATTACATGTCCCTATCCTTTGCCCACTTTTCCATCGTGGCTGCTGATTTTCAGGAGTTCCTTTGCCTCTCGTTCTTACCCCTGTCCCCGTGGGCCTAATCCATCTCTGGTCCTTTTAAGGTGGCTGTGTGCTCACATGGCACACTGGAAAGCAGGCATTCCCAGCCATAGACAAGCCCCTGCCTCAGGTGGTGATGTGAGATCACTGCTGTGTTCTTCTTGAGTTTTCTGCTCTTCCATCCTGGACCTATGCTCTTGCTCAGTGACTTCTGGGATCCACCAGGCTCATTCCCTTGATCTTGTCTCAATAAAAAGCCTTGCTTTCCCTGCCTCCATTCAGTTCTGGCTGCTGTCTCATGCCCTCCTTTCCCCTTGCCAAGCCAGGGTGGGGGCTGGGTACAGCCACCTCGGCTACTGCTCCTGCGGCTCTGCTGATTGCTTGGCTGGGAAGTTAGAGGGGGTCCCCTGGTTATTTATGTTGCTCATGTCCAGGAAATTGTTGGGTTAAGCCCCCTTTGGGAGGACCAGCCCGGGATGGGCACCTACCTGTGAAGAACCGGTGATGATAATCAGACAAAGCCTCTGGGCCACTTTCCTGTCTCTAGGGCAGCCCCTAGTTGGGGGACCCTGGTGATGCTCAACAGCTCTGGGCTCTGTGTGTCCTGGACAAGGCTGACCAGCTCCTGCCTGCCCCCAGCAGCACTGCCCCATTGGTGGACTCCCCCTACCCCATGAAACCAGCTACAGAGGAAATGAAGCTTGATCTCTGGCTGGAATAGGCCAGGGATCCTGGCTTTCCTACTTACAAATAGAGTGATTTAGGGCAATTTACTTAAGCTCCCAGTTTTCTCGTTAGTGTGGTGGGAGCAATAGTGCCTCCTCCAGGGCTCTGTGGAGACTCGCTATGATATGTTTGAGGTACTGGAACAATGGCAGGTAGAAAGTCCTCCGTGTCTGTGAAGTGTGATTGTTCTATAGCCAGTGCGCGATGTTTGGATGGGAAAGGAAAAGAGTCAAGGCCATCAAGGGAAGGGAACCAGCATTTGTCAAGTCCACATATATTTGTTGAGTGCCCTGTGGTTAGGCAGTGATCAAAACTGTGCTCAAAATGGTCCCAGCTCTCAGAGCTCATGGTCTAGTATGGAAACTAGATACTTGGGGCTGAGAATGGGGCTAACTCCAGTGAGTATAAAACCACAACCTGGACAGTATGCTCTGAAGGAGTGGAAGAGTGTTCTGAGGGACTAAGGCTCTGTGAGGTGGTGGGGGCTGGGCTGGGCTTTCCTTTCCTGGACACCACACCAGGCATTTCCAGGATCATTATTCACTGAATCACCTCAGCAGTCCCCTGGGGCAGGTCTCTTTGATGCCTGTTCTACAAGTAAATAAACAGTGGCTTAGAGAGGTTGAGCTACTTGCTCAGTGTCACATAGCAAGGGTGGACAGAGTTAGGAGGGTCAATCGCAAACCCACCTAAATGGAATTCAGTCCACACCTTTCCTACCACTCCTCACTATGCTGACCCTTAGAATTTTGGTTCACAGGGGTCACCATCAGTCTCTTTATCCCGAGGGGAACAGGCTGTGATGGCTGCTGAGGCAACCTGCATTTCTGTCCCCCACAGCTGGCCATGAGGGGACAGCCCTTGGAGAGGCCTTGGGGAAGGCCAGGTTATCCAGGTCCAGAAAAGAGCCAGCCATGGACTCTGTGACTCAGCCTAGGGACGAAGGACCCTTAAGGGTCTCACTGACACAAGGCTGCTGGCGGAGTACCTGGAAAGGATGAAAGTTCAGCAGCTCTCAGGTGGCCACATCTGTGCCCCAACACTGTCTGAAAAAGATGTGGAACCCAAGGGGGCAAACTCCAGGAATAAAATTACACTTCGCAGCAGGTGGGGGCATAATATTCAGAACTGACCGTTCCTTTTATTTGTCCCAAATATGACAGAAAATTCTACTTTAAATGACTGCCACTGGGGCATATTTAATCCATTCTTCATGTATTGACCATCAGAGTGCAGTGACCTGGCACGAGGCACCCACTTGAGGCACTAGAGCTTCAGAGAAACAGGGGAGACTTCTGTCCCCAGGGAGCTCTCGGGCTATAGGGAGACAGGGACAGACACGCCAGCAGTCATTCTGAAACAGCATCCGTGTTGAAGATATAGCCCTGCACGAGATATCATGGGACCCTGATGGGGAAATTTAGCCCAGGAAATCCACACA
This sequence comes from Homo sapiens, assembly GCF_000001405.40. Classification (NCBI taxonomy): domain Eukaryota; kingdom Metazoa; phylum Chordata; class Mammalia; order Primates; family Hominidae; genus Homo; species Homo sapiens. The sequence goes on along the minus strand of NC_000008.11, from coordinate 57,337,820 downwards.
GGTTTCCTGGAGGTGGTGATGCATGAGTTAGTATTTGTCCAGCTATGAAAGGAGAGCCCAGATGAGAACAAGAGGCAGGAAACAGAGGGCCTGCGTGAGGATGCTGCAGACAGGTGTGTGTCTCAGAGAGTTGGTGACGGGGTGTGGAGAGCGAGGTGGAGGCGGACCGGGCTCCACACCTTCCTGAGTCTTACTGAGGAGCAGGCCCTGGAGACTCACTCTGGGGCTAGAAGCATGGGATGTCCTGATGGATTGGGTGGACATGAGGGAAAAGAGGGAATCAAAAACTTCACCTATATACCAGGGCCGGCGATGCACACACCTGTCATTTCAGCTACTCGAGAGGCAGATGCAGAAGGAGTACTTAAACTCGGTAGTTCAAGCCCAGTCTGGGAAACAAAACAAGATTCTGTCTCAAAAAAAAAATTATTTTAATACCTGGAATTTTTCCCACAGATACCATGGATATTTGTGAAATGATGTTTATTAAAGCATTTTTATAATAAAAACTAAATGCCAATCAATGAAGATGAGGTTAAATAATGATGGTGCATGGAACACTACACAAGCATTAAAATACATTCTTTTTAGAACTACTGTGGGATACTCTACAGTGGCCTCCAATGACCCTGGCCTTTTGGAGTTGACAACCTCATGTGAAGGTGAGCGATGTCACTTCTAAGACCAGGATACAAACTGTGGCTTCCATCTTGCTCTCTCTTGACTGTATCCGTGCTCACTCTGAGGGTGGCCCTGTGGACAGGCCCAAGTGGCAAGAAACTGATGTCTATGGCCAGCAGCCATTGAGGACCTGCAACCTGCAGACTGCTACTTGAGTTAGCATGCAGTGGATGCTTCTCTGGCTTCCCCCGATTGCGGCCAGTGAGAGATCCTGAGCCAGAGGGCTTGGCTAAGCCCACCATGTTACCGACCTGGAAATGACAGTCCCCATGCAGCCCTTCAGGTGGCACCAAGAGTGAGGGACAGGGAAGGGTCAGGGACTCACCCTGGCTCCAGCAAGCACCTACTTGCAATTAACCTAAAGCTACAATGCCATGGTGACTAACAAGTGAGAAAAAATATGTAAATATACCTGAAAGAATGCCCAGGAGGCCAGGTGTGCTAGGTCATGCCTGTAATCCCAGGACTTTGGGAGGCAGAGATAAGAGGATAGCCTGAGGTCAGGAGTGTGAGACCAGCCTGGCCAATATGGTGAAACCCTGTTTCTACTAAAAATACAAAAATTAGCCAGGCATGGATTAGGTGGTAATCCCAGCTACTTGGGAGGCTGAGACTGGAGAATCGCATGAGCCTGGGAGGTGGAGGTTGTAGTTAACCGAGATTGTGCCAGTGCACTCTAGCCTGGGAGACAGAGGAAGACTCCATCTCAAAAAAAAAAAAGGAAACTGGTAATACTGCGTGTTTCTTCAGAGGGAACTGGGAATACTTAAGGTCATTGGGAATTAAGGTGAGGAAGAAGTTTTTCACTGTATACTCTGGTGCCTTTGAAATATTGAACCATGTGAACATCTAATCTATTCAGTAAATATGCAGATATAATTTAAAGAGGAAAAAGATTGAACTTTCCCTCTAGACAAGGGATTATGAAAGCATGGGGAACAGGGCAGACTGATGATGCCTTGCCTCTCACTCCATCTGGGACTGACCATCAACTAATCGATGATGGATGGATCCAGGAAGCTGCTCAGAACCCACAGAGACAAATTCTCAGTGCTCCCACTGTACATACACCCACCACACACACCCCAGAGCGTTGTTTCACCTCCTTCTCTGCCTACTTGCCCATTTCAATGTATTACACTCATGAGGAAACAAGGACCATGTATTTGAGTGCTGCAATTAGGGAAGGAAATGGCCCCAATCACCCGTCCCAATCCCCTGTTCTGGCTGGTTCACTAATAGCAACTCTTCAATCTGAGGATGGATGGAATCGGTTGGGGGTACAGTAGGGTTTCCCATCTGAGTAGAGCTTGGGAAGTAGGGATTGCCTTCCTCACAGGAAGTGTTTGTCCAGCTTTGAGAGGAGAGCCCAGATGAGAACACGAGGCAGGAAACAGAGGGTCTGTGTGAGGACCCTCAGAGGCATGGGCTGGCCAGGGTGGGTCTAGGGTAGTGCTCCCAGCCCTAGATGGCCCTGGTAGAGTGCTCCACCTCCTCCAGAGACACCCTCCTGCTTCTTGACAGCTCCAGCTCCACAAGCATGGGGAGAGGAAAAAAGAAGGAAGGGATCTCCCTCTATCTGCTCATTGTCCCCAAGGCCCAATCAGAATACAGAGGGTGTATAATGACTAAATAGCTCAATTGCTTTAATTAGATTAGGGAAACAAGGTTAGTCAAAGAAAACATCCTTTTAGTGATCTTTTCTTGACCAACACAAGGATGCCTTTTTTCATGGCATCATCTGGACCCCAAACAAGTCAATATAAATGTTGCTTCTCTACAGAGGCGGAAAACAGCATGCACAAAAGACCTCGCAGACATGACTGACCCCTGCATTTCCTTTGTCAACTCATTCCCCATCATTCAATCATTATAAGAAGACCTTTCACAAATTCCCTATGCACTCTATTCTGCAGAAGGAATTTATATATATTGTGTAATTTAATTCTACCAGGTGGAATTGTCATCTCCATTTACAGAAGAGGGCTTCGGGGACGTTAAATACTCTTCTCCAATTGGACCAGGTCTTTGGACCAGAAACCTTTGGTCAGACCAAAGGTTTCTCTGCCCCAGGTCTGTGCTGTCCTCACCCTCTTCAGGAAAGCAGCCCTGCCAGATCCTGCAGGCATGAGAGCTGCTGGCTTCTTCCAGGGGCAGCATCCCCTGCCAGTGCTCTGTGCTGCTTCTGTCTCCACCTGATAGCATCTGACCTGTTTGGAGCCAGTGTGAAATAAATCTATCTAAAGCCAAGGGGAAGAGATCCCTTTCACTTTGTTAAGTTGTGCTCCTTTTGTAGGTTATTTAAAAAAATTGACAAATCAAATGCTTTAAAAATAAAAAATAAAACTATTTCATTCAAATAGCCTCCAATTGTACAATGCCTTGTTGTTCTAAAGGGGGAGAGGTGGAGATATTTAGGGTTTCAAACCTGATGGATGAGTTGCTGGACAGAGTAACTGGACGGAAATTGCTCAGCAGGCATGGCGCCTGCAGGAGCTCATAAGGCACCTGTAGTTTCTCCTAGGTGCTTGGCCACTAACTCATCACCAGGGCATGCTGGCACATGCTAAGGAGTAAACCAAGTCCTGGGTGTTGAGCCCTTTTCTTCTCCTGGCTATTGGTGGTCATTATCTTTTCTTCTGAACTAGTATCTTATGACTGGGATTGAGAAAGAGCAACTTAATAATCATTTTCCCTTTCTTCCTTATCAATCAAACCTAGATTTAATTCAAGAAAGCAATGTGTCCTACTAAAGAGCTACATTTTCCAGCCACAATGCTGTGTGGTCCTGTGACAGTTTTTAAAATAAAATTAAATGGAAGATCTTGGGTGAAACTTCTAGGAAATCTCCTTCTGCCCTTTAATGTTTCCTTTCTTTCTTCCTGGAACAGAGGTAGGATGGCTGGAGCTCCAGCAGCCATCCTGTGACTACAAAGGGCAAAAAAACACCCTTGCTAGGGATGGCTGTAAGGAAGCACAGACGGAGAATGGGTCTCTGACCAGCTGCCAAATCCATTATGGAATGCCCTTTACTGGACTTCTTTTGCCTAATATAAACATACATCCCAGTCTTCTTTAAGCTACTGTTATTTATATTATCTGTATATATAAACAACATTACATTAAGGAGACATCAAGATGATAATAGCATATTAAATAGAAAAAGGGGAAATTACAAACCCCAGATGTTGTGCCTCAATCTTGGAGCCATCATCTGTAACTGGCTCTTCCATTGACTCTTTTGGCTTCATGTTAGCTTCCAGGATGACTCCTTCCCTCATACCTCACAAGCCGGGGAATCTCAAAGGGAGTCCTTGAACACTCCCCAGGGTATGCGGGAGCCAGGATGCAGCCACTTGCCAGAGCCAGTGGTGTGCCTCTCTCCCCACTATATGTTCCATGGGTGGGTAGCCTGAAATCAGTTGTGGTGGGAGCATTTGCGCCACAGCAATGGAAAATGCTTCACATCAGGGCTGGTTCCTGGGAGAACTATTCATAAACATTTACCAGCACACCACCAGCTGCTCCTCTCCGTAGATCACCAATATGACCATAAATGGTCTTTGGAAACAATACTCAGATAGTGGTTTCCAAACTTGGCCATGCAACAGAATCTGAGGAGCTGTTTGAAGACAGCATCTTCAATCCTGCCTCTAGTAGTTGTGAACCAGCAGGCTCCATCCATGCACCACAGACAATGACAAAATGGGGATCATTTTGGGTGTGTGCTTGAGTGGATGAATGGGTGGAAGAAACTTTGAATAACGCTGCAGTTCCTTGGAGGAGTTATACAGCATCACCAAACTCTCCACCTATTATGATAATTGTACCTTCCTGAGCTCTTCTAGAAGTAGACAAAGCTCCTTCCATTTGGCAAAGATGAGATATACCTAGGGAAATTCTTCCCTCAAGCTATCAAAGCATGACAAGTTGAAATAGATTTTCCTGCAAAAGCGTGATGGAAGAGAAAGACCCCCTTAGTTCAGATTAGACCAAATAAAAGCTGTACTTCCTTCACATGTCCCAGTTGTAGTCTGACTACATAAGAAGTTTCATCTGGGACCCAGGATGTTGGACTTCCCCTGGGAACTGGTTCCTTCCAGTGGCCACATACACCATATATTTGATCCTCCTCTTTATCTCACAGACCCTACGCAGGATAAAAGTGCTCACGGGAATTCAAAGGATAGAATAATCAAGAAAAAGTGGGCCTCATCTTTCATGGAAGAGGTGACTTTAAAGGATGGTAACAGCGTCCAGGAAGAGGGAACCACTAGGGCACATTGAGCGTTCTGGCCCAGATACGGTAAATAATGTTATTTGGGGCTAGACTGGTGTGGGCGTAATTTGTGTAAAATAATGCTGTCCTTTAACTTGCATAATCTCCCCCTACCCCCAAAACATAGAATCTTAGACTACTAGAATTTCAGGTTTAGATATTTTATTTTAGCATTGTCACAGACAAACTGCATGTTTTATTGCTGGGCCGGCCATGCAGGGGCTGAGAGGCTGTCACATGGCCAGGGCCACACAGCCAGTCAGTGATGGAGCCAGGCTGGCCCTCAGATTTCTTGAGGCCTCCTTAGCTCAGGTTTCTTTCCTCTGTCTAACAGCAGTGGCTTCATGCCTGTTCTTCCTTCTGTGAAGCATCAGCTTCAAACTCTATCCTGTGAGGACCTTGAATGTCTTGAATGTGCATGAACTTGGAGTGAACTTGGTCTATGCATGGAGGTCTGTGGCTCAGCCTGCCTGTCGCCTGTCTCTGCCTATTCTATCCTTTTGTCTCTAGAGGGGACAGCAATGCTTTCCCCATATAGTAATTTTCATTTGGTGCCTAATGGATTTCATACTGATAAACTGGAGCCACGTACTGCGGTTTGTCCTATGCTTAGATGGACAGTAATTTGTGGGCTATTATAAGGCCCTGTCTGCTCCACATGATTCCTAGGAGTTGTTAAGATTGTCCTGTAGGAAAGATTGCTGAGGTCCTCTGGATAATTCCTGGGAAGGAAGTGACAGGCTGACTCGTCACACAGGCTCCATATCTGTGACTTAGCAGGGTGGAGCATGCACACGATGGTGTGGAGGACAGAGAGTTCACAGCCTGTGTGAGGGCGGGTGCTGGGCTGGGGTTTCTGGCACTGGCTAAATGCCTGTTCGTCTCCTCACACTGTAGGCAGGTGTACCCAGGCTGGTAGTGGAGCTGGACACAATGCCATCCGAAGAGGACAGGGCCTCCTAGGGATGCTGCAGAGGATCCCCGAGGGGCATAGCCAGAGAGAGGCCAGCCTGAAAACACTCTTGTAAGTTTCTAAATTTTTGTTTTGGGCTGATCTTGCTCAGGATCTGTGAGAAGAGTGTAGGAACATTGGGCTGCCCTCTCCTGCCCATCAAAATGCTTCATGCCATGGCAGAAGGAGGACAGAGTTTAGGGTCAAGTCTGGGTGGACATCTCTTCCCATCTGTCTCATTTTCTTATTTGGAAAATTTACTTACTCACTTGAGCCTCAGTTTTACCGTCTGTAACATGAGGAAAATAATACCTACCTCAATTGCTTCATAGGGTTTTATAAAACTAAAATGAAATGCATGATCTCCATAGGGGCAGAAACTCTGAATCATTTTCAGCATTTAACATGCTGACTGACACAAAGTGGGCATGTAATGTTTATTGGCTAAAACTCTGTAAACTGTAAGGAATGTTACACACATAGTAATTATCAGTGATAATTCAGCTAATGGTATTTGACCACAGACTTCTTGCCTAGGCACGGGGAAAGAGAAGGAAGAAAGAAGATCTTTGCTCTGTTTTTCCTAGGGCACACAGAGTTTCTCATGATGCCCCAGGTACCACCCATGACTTTGGAGATGGGAGTGGGGGATTAAGGATGCCAGACACAGGACCCTTGGGCAGGGAATGGGGCCCTGGATCTTTAATCATTTACGAAGGCCTGGAAGATATAGAGTGCTTTCTCATTCCTCAGGGGCTACAAAAAGATGCAGGGCACATTGCGTGGCCCCCAGGGAGAATGCAGCATGGTGGTCTTTCATTCAAACCAAGGCCACAAGTAACTATCAGATGAGGTTGGAAGCAGAAAGCAGAAAGCAGAAAGCAGAAAGCACCCAGAGAGGAACAAGGAAAGGGCTATGGAGCTCAGGAACTCAATCAGAACCATGATGGAGTGGAGGTGTCTCCATCACTGAGATATTGCAGTCTTCTGTTAATCTGCCTGATAGAATTAAAGTATAATTATTGGAGCGGAAAAGGGTCAAAGAGATGAAATTCAGCACAGCCACCATGGGCCAGCTGTGAGCAGTGCTGGGTCCAGCAGAGTGGAAATACAGAAATAGAGAAGACACAGGCCTTACCTTCAGGGAACTTAAAACAGTAAGCTATAAAAAAGGCAAGGTGACAGTTGTATTTCTTATGGAGACATGATGGGATCCAAGAGTGAGTAGGCTGACCAAGGAGGTGGCATTTGGATGGATCTTGAAGGATCTGTAGAGTTTCAGTTGGAGACAGATTAGAAGTGAGAAAATGCACTGTGTGTGGAAGCCCACGCGTTCTTCAGGGAATAAGAGGATACGAATGGAGTGTGGACGGCTGACAAAGGGATTGTGAAGGAGAGTTGGGAAGGAGGAACAGGGCCAGAGTGTTCATTGTCACATCAGGAGTTCATTCTGGGAGCAGAGGTGGGCCTTGGTGCTTTCCCTCCATTCACTGGATTTAAAGAGAAGGGGACTGAGGCCACGAGGCCGAGGTGGCGCTCGACTTCAGTCCTGCTCCTCCCCACCTTCCGGGCTCCATCTGGCTCAGTGCTCACCTGTGACAGCCGTAGGGGACCTGTCCTCCCCATGGGTGCCCAGACCTCAGGAATCTGGCTGAGGCTGGCTGGCTTGCTGTGTGGGTCTGGGCACAAACATGTGGAAAAATTGAGAATCTCAAAGCAGAACAGCTATCCCTAATGTCCATCAAGTGGGTTTCATATGTTTAATGAATAGGGATAACTTATGCATTTTGGGCTTTGGAATGCATGACCTCATCTGATTTTCCCTTTCCTCCATCCAAGCTGGTGGGTCCGGGACTCACTGACCCTTTGGAGGAAGTGAAGGGAGCAATGAGGGAGCTCACCTGGTTGAATTCCTGGGGTCTTTCCTAGGGACCTTTGTGTTTGTGATGGGGAAGTAGAATGGCTGGGAGGACAGCGTGGCAAATGGGTTGCCTTCGGGAATGACACAGGAGGAAGGTGGCTGTGGCCGAGGGTAAGGAAAAACTGCCAGGAAGGAAGACTGAATGGGAGTTTCCTGGCAGTGATAAACAGGAGCAGAGATGGGCCTGAGGCCACTGAGAGGAGGCTTTAAGAATGGGAAGTGTCCCCATCTCTACTAAAAATACAAAAATTAGCCCTGTGTGGTGGCAGGTGCCTGTAATCCCAGCTACTCAGGAGGGTGAATCAGTAGGAGAATCACTTGAACCCAGGAGGTGGAGGTTGCAGTGAGCCGAGATCACACCACTGCACTCCAGCCTGGGTGACAGAGCGAAACTCCATCTCAAAAAAAAAAAAAAAAAAAAGGTGGGGGGTGGGTGGGAAATGGGAAGTGTGTGCTAGCATCACATATTTTTTCCTTTTCTCAAAAAAAAAAAATAAAAAATTATCATCTTTAGCTCATTGAGTTTCTTTCATCAGCTTTTTGTAATAAATCAGATGTCCCTGGGCTGTACTGACCAGTAGATGTTGGAGTGTTCACCTGCAGAACACTTTCCCTCTGGGAAATGCTGGAAGGGGAAGCCTCATGTCAAGAAAGCCATTAACACACACTGTGTAGACACTGACACACACACTATGGAGAGAGGTCACTGGGGCCAGAGAGGGCAGACAGCCATCTGATGCCCTCAGCTGGAACTGCGCTGGGGCAAGGTCACTGAGCCTCGGAGATCAAAGAGCAGATGACAGCTAAGAGTAATTGATGAACCAGGGACTGTAGGAAGAGTTATTTTACGTAAGGCCTTTGGGAGATACTTAAAGAATTTAGGAACCCAAACTGATGGTGCTTAGGCTGGATCCCTGGTCTGGCACCAAGCATACAGACTTTTGGTTGTACATGCCACACCTCAAAATCCGCCCCTGCTTCCCTGAGCCACAGTCAATCCTGAGGTAACAAACAAACAGAAGTCATTTTTTTGTTTATAAGAAAGTTTTTAAAATCAGCTAAATGGAGGTCTACTCTACATATAATAAAATCCACCAGTTTCGAGTGCACAATTTAGGGGGTTTTGTGAATTGTGTAAGCACTCCTATGGTTGTAATAGAGCAGAGTGCCATCACTCAGAATGGCAATTTGTTTTCAGTTCACCTAGTGATAGGCACGTGGGTTTTTTTCTAGTTTGGGGTTATTATGAATATAGCTGCTATAACCATTTTCTTGGAAGTCTCTGTGTAGGTATATGTTTTATTTTTTGACATTAGGACATACACAGGAGTGGGATTGCTGTGTTATATACTAAGTCTATGTTTAACTTCTAACAGTATGCTGCCATGCTGTTTTCTAAAGTGGCTGTATCATTTTTCGTTTCCACTGACAACATATGAGAGTTCTAGTTCCTTCACATCCTCATCAGGGCTTGGTATTATCAGCCGTTTTAGTGGGTTGTGTAATGGAATCTCATTGTAGTTTAATTTCATTTACCGGTTAACTAATGATGTTCAGCATCTTTTCGGGCGCGGTGGCTCATGCTTGTAATCCCAACACTTTGCGAGGCTGAGGTGGGCGGATCACCTGAGGTCAGGAGTTCGAGACCAGCCCGGCCAACATGGTGAAACGCCATGTCTACCAAAAATTCAAAAATTAGCTGGGCGTGGTGGCAGGCACCTGTAATCCCAGCTACTCTGGAGGCTGAGGCAGGAGAATTGTTTGAACCCAAGAGGCAGAGGTTGCAGTGAGCCAAGATCACACCATTGCACTCCAGCCTGGGCTCCTGGGCAACAAGAGTGAAACTCCACTTCTAGAAAAAAAAAAAAAAAAAGAAGTGGCACTCTCGTTGGTAGATGGTGTCCTTTATGGAGCTCAAACCACTCCCCAATTTTACAGAGGTGAGGGAGCCTAAGATGATGAAGGAAGTCTGGGGCAGAACTGATGCAGGCACGCTGTGGCTCTCCAGAGGTTTTTCAGGAGACAGCCTTACCTCCATGGCAGTTTTATCTTTGAAATTCTCAACAATTTTTAACAAGTTTTCAAAAACAAATTTATACTCTAATGTTTGCAGCCGATAGCAGGGAAGTGATCTCACCAAAATTTTTCAAACTTTTTTTTTTGAGACTGAGTTTTGCCCTTATTGCCCAGGGTGGAGTGCAATGGCACCATCTCAGCTCACCGCAATATCTGCCTCCTAGGTTCAAGTGATTCTCCTTCCTCAGCCCTCCGAGTAGCTGGGATTACAGGCATGTGCCACCACACCCAGCTAATTTTGTATTTTTAGTACTGACGGGACTTCTCCATGTTGGTCAGGCTGGTCTGAAACTCCCGACCTCAGGTGATTCACCCGCCTCAGCCTCCCAAAGTGCTGAGATTACAGGCGTGAGCCACTGCCCCTGGCTAACTTTTTGAACTCTTGATAAGCAGTACCCTGGGGGTGCAAGGTCATCCGACTTATTTGCATGCCTATTGGTAGCACATTAGGCATTGAGGGACTTAAGAACTGGGATTTATAAGACAGTGGTAAACTGGGATTCCTCAAGTGATCTAACTCTAAAGTTTAGTTGTTTTTAATGCCTTGTTTTGATGAAGAAATATGTGTAGACCTGAATTAATAGAATGACCAATGCATCACTACAGTCTCCCTAACCACTAATGTATTCATATGTTCAGACATTCATAGAAATGGCAGGAAAAAGCTGTTCTAGCATCTCCTACAAAAACAAAGCAAGTAATTGTGGCAGCCCAATTAATTTATTTAATGAGTATTTATTGAGTGTCAATTATTTGCCAGCTCTGGGATGATGAAGAAAAAAAATTAGCACATCAGGCCAGGTGCGGTGGCTCATGCTTGTAATCCCAGCACTTTGGGAGGCTGAGGCAGGCAGATCACGAGGTCAGGAGATCAAGAGAATCCTGGTGGGGGGTGGCGCCAAGATAGCCGAATAGGAACAGATCCAATCTGCAGTTCCCAGCATGAACGACGCAGAAGAGGGGTGATTTCTGCATTTCCATCTGAGGTACCGGGTTCCTCTAACTGGGGCTTGCCAGACAAATGGGTGCAGCCCACGGAGCAGGGCGGCGCATCGCCTCACCCGGGAAGCGCAAGGGGTCGGGGAATTCCCTTTCCTAGCAAAGGGAAGCCATGACAGATGGCACCTGGAAAATCGGGACACTCCCACCCTAATACTGTGCTTTTCCAACGGCCTTAGCAAATGGCACACCAGGAGATCATATCACGTGCCTGGCTGGGAGGGTCCTATGCCCACGGAGACTCCCTCACTGCTAGCACAGCAGTCTGAGATGGAACTGCAAAGCAGCAGCAAGGCTGGGGGAGGGGCGTCCGCCATTGCTGAGGCTTGAGTAGGTAAACAAAGCCTCCAGGAAGCTCGAACTGGGTGGAGCCCACCACAGCTCAAGGAGGTCTGCCTGCATCTGTAGACTCCACCACTAAGGGCCGGGCATAGCTGAACAAAAGGCAGCAGAAACTTCAGTCTTAAACATCCCTGTCTGATAGCTTCTCCCAGCACAGAGTTTGAGATCTGAGAATGGACAGACTGCCTCCTCAAGTGGGTCCCTGACCCCCGAGTAGCCTAACTGGGAGGCACCTCCCAGTAGGGGGCTGACTGACACCTCATAAGGCTGGGTGCGCTCTGAGATGAAGCTTCTGGAGGAAGGGTTAGGCAGCAACATTTGTTGTTATGCAGCCTCCGCTGGTGATACCCAGGCAAACAGGGTCTGGAATGGACCTCCAGCAAACTCCAACAGACCTGCAGCTGAGGGTGCTGACTGTTAGAAGGAAAACTAACAAACAAAAAGGACATCCACACCAAAACCCCATCTGTATGTCACCATCACCAAAGACCAGAGGTAGATAAAATGACAAACATGGGGAGAAACCAGAGCAGAAAAGCTGAAAATTCTAAAAATCAGAGTGCCTCTTCTCCTCCAAAGGAACGCAGCTCCTTGCCAGCAACGGAACAAAGCTGGACGGAGAAAGACTCTGACGAGTTGAGAGAAGAAGGCTTCAGATGATCAGTAATAACAAACTTCTCCGAGCTAAAGGAGGATGTTAGAACCCATTGCAAAGAAGCTAAAAACCTTGAAAACAGATTAGACGAATGGCTAACTAGAATAAACAGTGTAGAGAAGTCCTTAAATGACCTGATGGAGCTGAAAACCATGGCATGAGAACTACGTGACGCATGCACAAGCTTCAGTAGCCGATTTGATCAAATGGAAGAAAGGGTATCAGTGATGGAAGATCAAGTGAATGAAATGAAGCAAGAAGAGAAGTTTAGAGAAAAAAGAGTAAAAAAAAAATGAACAAAGCCTCCAAGAAATATGGGACTATGGGAAAAGACCAAATCTACATCTGATTGGTGTACCTGCAAGTGACAGGGAGAATGGAACAAAGTTGGAAAACACTCTTCAAGATATCATCCAGGAGAACTTCCCCAACCCAGCAAGGCAGGCCAACATTGAAATTCAGGAAACACAGAGAAGGCCACAAATATACTCCTCGAGAAGAGCAACTCCAAGACACATAATTATCAGATTCACCAAAGTTGAAATGAGGGAAAAAAAGTTAAGGGCAGTCAGAGAGAAAGGTCGTGTTATCCACAAAAGGAAGCCCATTGGACTAAAAGTGGATCTCTCAGCAGAAACTCTACAAGCCAGAAGAGAGTGGGGGCGAATACTCAACATTCTTAAAGAAAAGAATTTTCAACCCAGAATTTCATATTCAGCCAAGCTAAGCTTCATAAGTCAAGAAGAAATAAAACCCTCTACAGACAAGCAAATTCTGAGAGATTTTGTCACCACCAGGCCTTCCCTAAAAGAGCTCCTGAAGGAATCACTAAATATGGAAAGGAACAACCAGCACTAGCCACTGCAAAAACATGCCAAATTGTAAAGATCATCAATGCTAGGAAGAAACTGCATCAACTAATGAGGAAAATAACCAGCTAACATCATAATGACAGGATCAAATTCACACATAACAATATTAACCTTAAATGTAAGTAGGCTAAATGCTCCAATTAAAAGACACAGACTGACAAATTGGATAAAGAGTCAAGACCCATCAGTGTGCTGTATTCAGGAGACCCATCTCAAGTGCAGAGACACACATAGACTCAAAATAAAGGGATGGAGGAAGATCTACCAAACAAATGGAAAACAAAAAAAGGCAGGGGTTGCAATCCTAGTCTCTGATAAAACAGACTTTAAACCAACAAAGATCAAAAGAGACAAAGAAGACCATTACATAATGGTAAAGGGATCAATTCAACAAGAAGAGCTAACTATCCTAAATATATATGCACCCAATACAGAAGCACCCAGATTCATAAAGCAAGTCCTTAGAGACCTACAAAGAGACTTAGACTCCCAGACAATAATAATGGGAGACTTTAACACCCCACTGTCAACATTAGACAGATCAATGAGACACAAAGTTAAGAAGGATATCCAGGAATTGAACTCAGCTCTGCACCAAGCGGAACTAATAGACATCTACAGAACTCTCCACCCCAAATCAACAGAATATACATTCTTCTCAGCACCACACCACACCTATTCCAAAACTGACCAGATAGTTGGAAGTAAAGCACTTCTCAGCAAATGTAAAAGAACAGCAATTATAACAAACTGTCTCTCAGACCAGAGTGCAATCAAACTAGAACTCATGATCAAGAAACTCACTCAAAACCGCTCAACTACATGGAAACTGAACAACCTGCTCCTGAATGACTACTGGGTACATAATGAAATGAAGGCAGAAATAAAGATGTTCTTTGAAACCAAGGAGAATGAAGACACAACATACCAGAATCTCTGGAACACATTTAAAGCAGTGTGTAGAGGGAAATTTATAGCACTAAATGCCCACAAGAGAAAGCAGGAAAGATCTAAAATTGACACCCTAACATTACAATTAAAAGAACTAGAGAAGCAAGAGCAAACACATTCAAAAGCTAGCAGAAGGCAAGAAATAACTAATCAGAGCAGAACTGAAGGAAACAGAGACACAAAAAACCCTTCAAAAAATTAATGAATAAAAGATCAGCAAAATTGATAGACCACCAGCAAGGCTAATAAAGAAGAAAGGAGAGAAGAATCAAATAGATGCAATAAAAAATGATAAAGGGGATATCACCACTGATCCCACAGAAATACAAACTACCATCAGAGAATACTATAAACACCTCTATGCAAATAAACTAGAAAATCTAGGAGAAATGGATAAATTCCTCAACACATGCACCCTCCCAAGACTAAACCAGGAAGAAGTTGAATCCCTGAATAGACCAATAACAGGCTCTGAAATTCTGGCAATAATTAATAGCCTACCAACCAAAAACAGTCCAGGACCAGATGGATTCACTGCCAAATTCTACCAGAGGTACAAGGAGGAGCTGGTACCATTCCTTCTGAAACTATTCCAATCAATAGAAAAAGAGGGAATCCTCCCTAACTCATTTTATGAGGCCAGCATCATCCTGATACCAAAGCCTGGCAGAGACACAACAAAAAAAGAGAATTTTAGACCAATATCCCTGATGAATATCGATGCAAAAATCCTCAATAAAATACTGGCAAACCGAATCCAGCAGCACAACAAAAACTCATCCACCATGATCAAGGGGGCTTCATTCCTGGGATGCAAGGCTGGTTCAACATATGCAAATCAATAAATGCAATCCAGCATATAAACAGAACCAAAGACAAAAACCACATGATTATCTCAATAGATACAGAAAACACCTTTGACAAAATTCAACAGCGCTTCATGCTAAACACTCTCAATAAATTAGGTATTGATGGGACATATCTCAAAATGATAAGAGCTATCTATGACAAACCCACAGCCAATATCATACTGAATGGGCAAAAACTGGAAGCATTCCCTTTGAAAACTGACACAAGACAGGGATGCCATCTCTCACCACTCCTATTCAACATAGTGTTGGAAGTTCTGCCCAGGGCTATCAGGCAGAAGAAATAAAGAAAAGGTATTTGATTAGGAAAAGAGGAAGTCAAATTGTCCCTGTTTGCAGATGACATTATTGTATATCTAGAAAACCCCATCGTCTCAGTCCAAAATCTCCTTCAGCTGATAAGCAACTTCAGCAAAGTCTCAAGATACAAAATCAGTGTGCAAAAATCACAAGCATTCTTATATGCCAATAACAGACAGAGAGCCAAATCATGAGTGAACTCCCATTCACAATTTCTTTAAACAGAGTAAAATACCTAGGAATCCAACTTACAAGGGATGTGAAGGACCTCTTCAAGGAGAACTACAAACCACTGCTCAACGAAATGAAAGAGGATACAAACAAATGGAAGAGCATTCCATGCTCATGGGTAGGAAGAACCAATATTGTGAAAATGGCCATACTGCCCAAGGCAATTTATAGATTCAATGTCATCCCCATCAAGCTACCAATGACTTTTTTCACAGAATTGGAAAAAAACTACTTTAAAGTTTATATGGAACCAAAAAAGAGCCCAGATTGCCAAGTCAATCCTAAGCCAAAAGAACAAAGCTGGAGGCATCATGCTACCTGACTTCAAACTATATTACAAGGCTACAGTAACCAAAACAGCATGGTACTGGTACCAAAACAGAGATATAGACCAATGGAACAGAACACAGCCCTCAGAAATAATGCCACATATATACAACTATCTGATCTTTGACAAATCTGAGAAAAACAAGAAATGGGGAAAGGATTCCCTATTTCATAAATGGTGCTGGGCAAACTGGCTAGCCATATGTAGAAAGCTGAAACTGGATCCCTTCCTTACACCTTGTACAAAAATTAATTCAAGATGGATTAAAGACTTAAATGTTAGACCTAAAACCATAAAAACCCTAGAAGAAAACCTAGGCAATGCCATTCAGGCCATAGGCATGGGCAAGGACTTCATATCTAAAACACCAAAAGCAATGGCAACAAAAGCCAAAATTGACAAATGGGATCTAATTAAACTAAAGAGCTTCTGCACAGAAAAAGAAACTACCATCAGAGAACAGGCAACCTGCAGAATGGGAGAAAATTTTTGCAATCTACTCATCTGACAAAGGGCTTATATCCAGAATCTACAATGAACTCAAACAAATTTACAAGAAAAAAACAAACAACCCCATCAACAAGTGGGTGAAGGATAGAACAGACACCTCTCAAAAGAAGACATTTATGCAACCAACAGGCACATGGAAAAAATGCTCATCATCACTGGCCATCAGAGAAATACAAATCAAAACCACAGTGAGATACCATCTCACACCAGTTAGAATGGTGATCATTAAAAAGTCAGGAAGCAACAGGTGCTGGAGAGGATGTGGAGAAATACGAACACTTTTTCACTGTTGGTGGGACTGTAAACTAGTTCAACCATGTGGAAGTCAGTGTGGTGAATCCTCAGGGATCTAGAACAAGAAATACCATTTGACCCAGCCATCCCAGTACTGGGTATATACCCAAAGGATTATAAATCATGCTACTATAAAGATGCATGCACACGTATGTTTATTGTGGCACTATTCACAATAGCAATTACTTGGAAGCAACCCAAATGTCCAACAATGATAGACTGGATTAAGAAAATGTAGCACATATATATCACGGAATACTATGCAGCCATAAAAAAGGATGAGATCATGTCATTTGCAGGGACATGGATGAAGCTGGAAATCATCATTCTCAGCAAACTATCGCAAGGACAAAAAACCAAACACCACATATTCTCACTCACAGGTGGGAATTGAACACTGAGAACAAATGGACACAGCAAAGGGAACATCACACACCAGGGCCTGTTGCAGGGTTGGGGGACGGGAGAGGGATAGCATTAGGAGATATACCTAATGTTAAATGATGAGTTAATGGGTGCAGCACACCAACATGGCACATGTATACATATGTAATAAATCTGCACGTTGTACCCATGTACCCTAAAACTTATAGTATAATAATAATAAAAAAAGAATGTTCAATATTGGCCCCACTCTCTTCTGGCTTGTAGAGTTTCTGTCAAGAGATCTGCTGTTACTCTGATGGGCTTCCCCTTGGGGGTAACCTGACCTTTCTCTCTGGCTGCCCTTAACATTTTTTCCTTTGTTTCAACTTTGGTGAATCTGACAATTATGTCTCTTGGGGTTGCTCTTCTCGAGGAGTGTATTTGTGGCCTTCTCTGTATTTCCTGAATTTGAAAGTTGCCCTGCCTTGCTAGGTTGGGGAAGTTCTCCTGTATTATATCCTGCAGAGTGTTTTCCAATTTGGTTCCATTCTCCTCATCACTTTCAGGTACACCTATCAGACATAGATTTGGTCTTTTCACATAGTCCCATATTTCTTGGAGGCTTTTTTCATTTCTTTTACTCCTTTTTCTCTAAACTTCTCTTCTCACTTCGGTTCATTCATTTGATCTTCCATCACTGATACCCTTTCTTCCACTTGATCTAATCAGCTACTGAAGCTTGTGCATTCATCACATAGTTCTCTTGCCATGGTTTTCAGCTCCATAAGGTCATTTAAGGACTTCTCCATACTGGTTATTCTAGTTAGTCTTTCATCTAATCTGGTTTCAAGGTTTTTAGCTTCTTTGTGATGGGTTCGAACTTCCTCCTTTAGCTCGGAGAAGTTTGATCATCTGAAGCCTTCTTCTCTCAACTCATCAAAGTCATTCTCCATCCAGCTTTGTTCCATTGCCGGTGAGGAGCTGTGTTTCTTTGGAGGGGGGAGAGGCGCTCTGATTTTTAGAATTTTCAGCTTCTCTGCTCTGTTTTTCCCCATCTTTGTGGTTTTATCTACCTTTGGTCTTTGATGATGGTGACATAGAGATGGGGTTTTGGTGTGGATGTCCTTTCCGTTTGTTAGTTTTCCTTCTAACAGTCAGGACCCTCAGCTGCAGGTCTGTTGGAGTTTTCTGGAGGTCCACTCCAGACCCTGCTTGCCTGGGTATCAGCAGCGGAGGCTACAGAACAGTGAATATTGTTGAACAGCAAATGCTGCTGACTGATCGTTCCTCTGGAAGCTTTGTCTCAGAGGGGTACCCGTCCATGTGAGGTGTCAGTCTCCCCCTACTGGGGTGTGCCTCTCAGTTAGGCTACTCAGAGGTCAGGGACTCACTTGAGGAGGCAGTCTGTCTGTTCTCAGATCTCAAACTCTGTGCTGGGAGAATCACTACTCTCTTCAAAGCTGTCAGATGGGGACATTTAAGTCTGCAGAGGTTTCTGCTGTCTTTTGTTTGGCTATGCCCCCAGAGATGGAGTCTACAGATGCAGGCAGGCCTCCTTGAGCTGCAGAGGGCTCCATCCAGTTCGAGCTTCCTGGCTGCTTTGTTTACCTACTCAAGCCTCAGCAATGGTGGGCGCCCCTTCCCCAGCCTCGCTGCCGCCTTGCAGTTCGATCTCAGACTGCTGTGCTAGCAATGAGCAAGGCTCTGTGGGCGTGGGACCCTCCAAACCATGTGCGGGATATAATCTCCTTGTGTGCCATTTGCTAAGACAGTTGGAAAAGCGCAGTATTAGGTTGGGAGTGACCTGAGTTTCCAGGTGCCATCTGTCACAGCTTCTCTTGGCTAGGAAAGGGAATTCCCTGACCCTCACGCTTCCCAAGTGAGGTGATGCCTCACCCTGCTTCAGCTCATGCTCGGTGGGCTGCACCCACTGTCGTGTACCCACTGTCCGACAATCCCCAGTGAGATGAACCCAGTACCTCAGTTGGAAATGCAGAAATCACCCATCTTCTGCATTGCTCCCACTGGGAGCTGTAGACTGGAGCTGTTCCTATTCGGCCATCCTGGAACTGCCTCTAAGAAATTATTTTAAGCAGATAGTAAGTGTCAAGGTTCTTGGTGGAAATTTTCCTGTAATAAGAGACAACCCCCAAACCATCCTTTTCTAACAGAAATGGCAGCTTGAAGGGCCAGGCCAGCAAGCTTTGATAAGTAAATGCCAACCCTTTGAAAATGGGTTTACTCAATATGGTAATTTCTGCCATCTTCTCTTTGTCACCAAGGTGTACCAAGTGTCATGACCACCTCCAGATAACACCATGTGTTCAGAACGTCATGGTGATCCACATTTGCATATTAAAGAGCTAAGGTGGGAGGACCAGGTTTGTCATGGGCTACGTAAATAACACACCTGGTGAAACCAATCCCTTGGACCATATGCAAGCCAGACACCGCCTCTTCCAGTGTCCCAATATAATCAACTACTTTTCTGCTGCACACAGGGTTTTCTCTTTGACTGAATCCCTCCTCCGTCTATGTGGGGAGAGCTGTTTTCTTCTTCCTTCCTCCTATCTTGCCTATTAAACTTTTTGCTCCTTAAAAACCACTCCTTGTGTCTCTGTGTTGTTAATCCTATTGACTTGAGACCAAGGACCCTGGTATTCCCCCAGTCATCCGAGCCATATAAACAACATTCTGGCTAAGAAACAGACAAGCTTCACTTTTATGGTTATGCCTTCTATCTTTATTTCTCTGTTTTCTTCCCTTCACTCCTCAGAGTAAACACATAGCAGCATTAAATCTTGTTTTTGTTTTTAGGACTCAGCATTTTGGAGTGTGTAGGTCCATGCTTATTGTGCCTGCTGATGGGGTCCTCAGGCCCTTTAGTGAAGTTTCTGGGATTGCAGTCTCTAAAAGTCACGTGATCTTGTTTGCATCCTTGTGCTTCTTTTTTAGAAAACAATCCCTGCTGCACACAGAGATTGGCTTTGTGTGGCTCCTCAGCAACAGGAACTGAGACACGAATGCCAAAGAAATAGCAAGACTAAAGATAGCAGTGCTTTCAAAAACCTAGGACATTCATGTTTCAGTTCCTGTTTCCCATCCAAAATACTTGGCCCCATTCCCCTATGATGGAATGGGAAGCAGAGAGGAGAAAAACCCAGAATGGGGAAGGGAGAAGAGAGGCAGGAAGGAACCACCAGTCTTGCTGAGGAGCGACACAAAGCCAATCTCTGTCTTCCTGCTTTGGCCATGCCTGCTCCCACTTTGCCTTCCGCCACAACTGAAAGTTCCCTGAGGCCTCCCCAGAAGCTGCTATGCTTCTTGTACAGCCTGCAGAAAGTGAGCCAATTGAACCTCTTTTCTTTATACATTATCCAGTTTCAGATATTTCTTTATAGCAATGTGAAAACAGATTGATACACATTTGAAATGGTTGAAAACAATTATTTTCCTCGGAAATACTTGAGACACATCCTCACCTCTTGTTTTTGTGAAAAACCTACTCTGTGAAACTTATTTTACAATCTGAAGGTCCGCCTTAGCCTGGTTCCTCAGAATTAATGAGGTTTGGCCAGATGTGGGCTGCTGTGCAGGTCCTGCTCAGGTCTTCATGATCCGTTGGATTCTTGCCTTTGTTTAAAGTTTTCACATGAAAGTTCTGGTAAAGTCACCTTTTCCTGCCTCTCCTAGCTTGAGTGCAATTTTCATTTTGGGAGCAGGTGTAGGTGAGTGCCTGGTCTGCTTGGAGATCTCGGCCTAATGGATAGACACCTTTGCTTCCTGGAGACTCTCAAGCTTTGTTATTTTTCATTGCTCTAAGATTCCAGTGCTGTTTTTTAAAATTTATTTTTTATTTTTGTGGGTACATATTAGGTGTATATATTTATGGGGCACATGAGGTATTTTAATATAGGCATGCAATGCAAAATAATCACGTGAGGATAAATGGGGTATCTTTAACCTCAAGCGTTTATTCTTTCTTTGTGTTACAGACATTCCAATTATAAATTTTTTCATTATTTTTAAATGTGCAATAAGTTATTGCTGACTGTAGTGTTGTGCTATCAAATACTAGGGCTTATTTATTCTATTTAACTATATTTTTGTACCCATTAACCATCCCTACTCTCCCCTTCCCATCCCCACCTCAACTACCATTCCCAGCCTGTAGTAACCATCCTTCTACTCTCTATCTCCATGAGTTCAATTGTTTTAATTTTTGGCTCCCACAAATAAGTGAAAACATGCAAAGTTTTTCTTTCTATGCCTGGCTTAATTACCTTAACATACTGATTTCCAGTTCTATCCCTGCTGTGGCAAATGACAAGATCTCATTCTTTTTATGGCTGAATAGTACTCCATTGTGCATAAGTACCACATTTTCTTTATCCAGTTATCTGTTGATGGACACTTAGGTTGCTTTCAAATCTCGGCTATTGTGAATAGTGCTGCAATAAACATGGGAGTGCAGGTAGCTCTTTGATACACTGATATCCTTTCTTTTGAGTATATACCCAGCAGTAGGATTGCTGGATTCTGTGGTAGTTCTATTTTTTGTTTTTTGAGGAAACTCCAAACTCTTTTCCATAGTGGTTGTACTAATTTACGTTCCAACCAACAGTGTACCAGTGTTCCCTTTTCTCTACATTCTCACCAGCATTTGTTATTGCCTGTCTTTTGGATGTAAGCCATTTTAACTTGCGTGAGAAAAGTTCATAAGAATTTTTCATAAACCTGTTTGCCATTAGTATGTCTTCTTTTGAGAAATGAGTATTCAAATTTTTGGCCCATTTTAAAATCCAGTTATTAGATTTTTTATTGAGTTGTTTGAGCTCCTTATGTATTCTGGCTATTAGTTTCTTGAAAGAGAGATAGTTTGCAAATATTTTCTCCCATTCTATGGGTTGTCTCTTCACTTTTTTGACTGTTTCCTTTGCTGGGCAGAGGCTTTTTTAACTTAATGTGAACCCTTTGTCAGTTTTTTCTTTGATTGCCTGTGCTCATAGGGTATTACTCAAGAAATTTTTACTCAGACCAGTGTCCTGAAGAGTTTCCCCAATGTTCTTTTGTAGTGGTTTCATAACTTGAGGACTTAGATTTAAGTTTGTAATCTTTATTGTTTTGATTTTTGTGTATGGTAAGAGATAGGGTTGTAGTTTTATGCTTGTGCATGTGGATATCCAGTTTTTCCAGCACCATTTATTGAAGAGACTGTCTTTCCCTCAATGTATGTTCTTGTCACCTTTGTTGAAAATGAGTTCATGGTAAATGTATGGATTTACATCTGAATTCTCTGTTTTATTGGCCAATGTGTCTGTTTTTATGCCAGTACCATGCTGTTTTGATCGCTGTAGCTCTGCAGTATAAAGTTAGGTAATGTAATTCCTCCAGTAGTGCTCTTTTTGCTCAGGGTAGCTTTGGCTATTCTGGATCTTTTGAGGTTCCGGATAAATATTTGGATTATTTTTTATATTTCTGTGAAGAACATCATTGGTATTTTGATATAGATTGTATTGAATCTGTAGGTTGCTTTGGGTAGTATGGACATAGTAAAAATATTGACTCTTCCAATCCCTGAATATGGAATATCTTTCCATTTTTTTGGTGTCTTCTTTAATTTCTTGCATCAATGTTTTATAGTTTTCATTGCAGAGCTCCTTCATTTCTTTGGTTAAGTTTATTCCTAGGTATTTTATATTATGTGTAGCTATTGTAAAAGGGATTATTTTCTTGATTTCTTTTCCAGATTGTTCACTGTTGGCATACAGAAATGCTACTGATTTTCATATGTTGATTTTGTATCCTGAAACTTTAATGAATTTGTTTATCAGTTCTAACAGTTTTTTGGTAGAATCTTTAAGTTCTTCCCAGTATAAGATCATGTCATCTGCAAACAAGGATAATTTGGCTTCTCTTCCCATTTGAATGCCATTTATTTATCTATCTCATTTTTATAGCTAGGTCTTCCAGTGCTGTTTATAAATATAGTTGGAATAAGAGTTTTTCTAGCACTCAGTCTTTTTTTTAAATTTTACTTTAAGTTCTGGGATACATGTGCAGAATGTGCAGGTTTGTTACATAGGTATACATGTGCCGTGGTGTTTTGCTGCACCTATCAACTCATCATCTAGGTTTTAATCCCTGCATGCATTAGGTATTTTTCCTAATGCTCTCCTTCCCGTTTTCCCCCATGCCACGACAGGCCCCAATGTGTGATGTTCCTCTCCCTGTGTCCATGTGTTCTCATTGTTCAACTCCCACTTATGAGCACTCAGTCATAAACAATCATTCTAGCTTCCCCTCCTGACCAAGTTTAATCTTAAGTATCTATAAATATGCAGCATAACGAGGTATGTGTGTCTTAGTAGTTAGCCAATTGCTCTTCCTGCTTGCAATTTTAATTAAAAATTGCCTCTGTCACCTAAGACACCTCTATTTCCAATCTATTTAACAATGTAGAAAAGCAACAGTTAATGTTTATGCATGCCTCCCTGAGTTCAGGAAACACTCCTTTCCCTTTAGTAACAAAGGTGGAAGATTCCATAAGGTGACATATTTTTATAAGATGTTTATGCAGTAAATGATCAGGGAGGAGTGTATCCCATGATGTAATATGGGAGGAATTTTGTCAGAGTTCACTTGTGTTGAGTGCATGTTGTCTCTGATCAGCTTTCCACATTGAAATATACCACCATTTCCAGTTATATGTTTTTTGTTTGTGTGTGTGTGTGTGTGTGTGTGTGTGTGTGTGTGAGTGTGTTTACAGGAAGGGTCATTCTCTGTCATCCAGTCTAGAGGGCAGTGATGTAACCATGGCTCAGTGCAGCCTTGAACTCCCGTGTTCAAGCAATCCTCCCATCTTAGCCTCCTGAGCAGCTAGGACTACAGGTGCATGCCTCCATTCCTGGCTAATTTTTATTTTTATTTTTTGTAGAGATGGGGTCTCACTATGTTGCCCAAGCTGGTCTCAAGCTCCTGTCCTCAAGCATTCTTCCTACATTGGCCTTCCAAAGTACTTGGATTACAGGTGTGAGCCACCACACCTAGCCTTGTCCTCATGTTTTTTTTAGCATGGTTGAGCCAAACTCCTATAGGGACAAGATCACTCTGTCACCTATGGGAGTATCAGAGGCAGGATAGCAGAAATTTG
Source organism: Homo sapiens (assembly GCF_000001405.40). Classification (NCBI taxonomy): domain Eukaryota; kingdom Metazoa; phylum Chordata; class Mammalia; order Primates; family Hominidae; genus Homo; species Homo sapiens. The sequence continues at coordinate 57,314,041 of NC_000008.11, read as the reverse complement.
GCAAAGGCAGAACATATCTCCCTGGTTGGCTTTTCCAGAGTGTCTGCTGTCCAGCATTAGCCTCGAATGGCTTTCGAAGCATGGGTTCCAGCCATTTTCCTTATCTGTGGGTAGCCTCTCCCTGAATGCTTTTCCTACTGCCCTGATCTGTTACTCTCCCAGTGGCCTGAGTAACCTTCAAGCACAGCTCTGCCCTCTCCCATCTGGGTGGCACCATTGCCTGGAATTTGAGTCCCTGTCTGTCTTTTGGGCTCATATTCCTTTACTTAACTACTTCTTGAGTCCTGTTCTATGGCAAGATCTCTAGTAGGCATTGGGGATACAATGAAAAAACATCAGTTGCTGACCTTAGAGTAGAGCATAAAAAAAAAAACTAAAAAGAAGCAGTAAAATTAATTTTATTGATAATTTCTGCAACCTAAGATATCTGATATAGTATTTTATCATGAGCCACTAAACACATTCCAAGTGCTCAGAGGACACATGTGCTAGTAACTATTATAGTGGACAGAGCTGGTCTAGAGGCAGAGCTGGACAAGTAAAAAAGCAGTGCAGCATATGTGGTGAGTGCTGGACTTTTGTTTTCCTAGTGAATTTGTGTTTGTGTAGGAGATCATTTTTTGCTACATTGTGAACTCCATGAAGGCATGGGCGTTGTCCTTTTTCCTCACCCTTGTATCATTAATACTTGGTGCATAGTAGGTGTTCAGTCAATTTTATTATATGAAAGTGCTAAGCACAGGGCATTATAGGATAATCTAGGATGAGTACCTGCCTACTCTGGAGTGGGAGAAGGGTGGCATCAGAGACATTCTCAGAAGGAGGAGACACCTCTGAGTCAACTTGCAAAATCAGAGTATGAGTCTGGGGTCAAGAGGAGGCAGGAAGGATATTCTAAGGAGAGAGGAGTGTGTACAAATGGTGGGAATTAAAAGAGAAGACAACAAGTTGAGGGGGAGCCCCAAGTAGTTCATTATGAGGAAAGCTCAGGAAAGTGGAGGAGAACATCAGAAGATGACATTGGAGAAGCAAGCGGTGCTCAGATGATGTATTAGTCCATTCTTATATTGCTATCAAGAACTACCTGAGAGTGGGTAATTTATAAAGAAAAGATGTTTAATCGTCTCACACTTCTGTAGGCTGTACAGGCTTCTGCTTCTGGGAAGGCTTCAGGAACCTTACAATTATGGCAGAAAGCAGAGGGGAAGCAGACATGCCTTACGTGGCCAGAGCAGAAGGAAGAGAGTGAAGTAGGAGGTGCTAAACACTTTTAAACAACCATATCTTGTGAGAACTCACTCATTATCATGAGAACAGCAAGGGAAAAGTCCAATCCCATGATCCAATCAGCTCCCACTAGGCCTTTCTTTGACATGGGATTTGGACAGGGACACAAATCCAAACTATTTATTCTGACCCTAGCCCCCTACAAATCTCATCTTCCTCTCACATTACAGAACACACTTATCCCTTCTCAACAGTTCCCCAGTCTTAACTCATTTAATTATCAACTCAAAAGTCCACAGTCCAAAGTTTCATCTGAAACAAGGTAAGTCCCTTCTGCCTATGAGCCTGTAAAATAAAAAACAAGTTAGTTACTTTCAAGATACAATGGGAGTATGGGCATTGGGTAAACATTCGCTTTCTAAAAGGGAGAAATGGGCCAAAACAAAGGTGCTACAGGCCCCATGGAAATCCAAAACCCAGCAAGAAAGTCATTAAATAATATCCTTTGACTCCGTGTCTCATATCCAAGCAACACTGACAGAGGGGTGGGCCCCTAAGGCCTTAGGAAGCTCTACCCCTGTGGCTCTGCAGGATTCAGCCCCCATGGCTGCTATCAAGGGCTGGTGTTGAGTGCCTGTGGCTTTTCCACGCTCACGGTGCAAGCTTTTGGTGAATCTACTAGTCTGGGGTCTGGAGAATGGTGGCCCTTTTATCACAGCTCCACTGTGCAGTGCCCCAGTGGGGACTGTGTGGGGGCTCCAACCCCACATTTCCCCTCTGCATTGCTCTTATAGAGGTTCTCCAATGAGGGCTCCGCCCCTTCAAGACTTTTGCTGGACATCCTGGCATTTCCATTTCTGTTGTCAACCATGCAATTTTCTCAGCGGTTACTTCTGCTGAAACTGCAGTCTTCTGAAATTTTCTTTCTGCAAAACAGTCTATTGTGACAGATGTTTCTTTTGACATTCACACTTGTTGGATGTTCCTTCTATCAAGCATTCAACATTGTCAGATGTCTAATCTTCTTTCTGTTGAACATGCAATCTTCTTAGATAGGAGTTCTGCCAAACATTCCATTGAGGCCTGTGTTTCTTTTCCAAAACATGTAAGCATGTTAGATGTTCTTTCTGCCAAACCTGCAATATTGTCAGATGTTTCTTCTGCCAAATCTGCCATCTTGACATGTTTCCTATGCCAAACATGCACTCTTGTCAGATTTTCCTTCTGCCAAACATATACCCTTGTCAGATGTTCTTTATCTATAATATGAAATATTCTTACATGGAACTCCTGCCAAACATTCCATTGCATCAGATGTTTTTTTTTTTTTTTCTTTTTTTGGCCAAGATTCAAAACTCTCTAATGTCTCTTTGTCAATCTTGCCATGTAATTTGTGGATCAAACACCCAGGCTTGCAAGTGTTACTTTTGTAAGACATTGAATGTTGTCAGATGTTACTGCTGCCAAACATGCAAGCTTGTCACAAGTTCTTTATGCTAAGCCTGCAATCTTCATAAGTGTGAGTTCTACCAAACATTCCACTGTGGCACATGTTTCTCTTGCCAAACATGCAAGCATGTCAGGTGATCTTTCTATAGAATATTAAAACCTTTCAGCTGTTTTTTTCTCTCAAACATTAAAACTTGTTAGATGTAGTTACTGCAAAACATGCACTCTTGACAGATACTATTTTCTACCAAACATGCACATTTCTCAGACTTTTTTTCTGCCAAATATGCCATTTTGTCAGGTGTTTCTTCTGCCAAACATGAAACCTTGTCAGATATTCCCTTTGCCAAAGATGCAATCTTCTCAGATGTGCCTTCTGCCAAACATACAAGGTTTTCAGTTGTTCTTTCTGCCAAATATGCAAGCTTTTCAGATGTTTCTTCTGCCAAACATTCAGTCTTGGCAGATGTTTCTCTTACCAAACATAAAATCTTACAAGATTTTTCTTGTGCCAAATGTTCAATTGAGTCAGAGATTCTCATGCTAAATTTTTAATCTCATCAGATGTTGCTTTTGCCAAAAATCCAACCTTGGCATATAATTCTTCTGCCAGAAATTCAGCCTCCTCAGATGTTTCTTCTGCCAAACATGCAGCCTTGTCAGGTATTTCTTTTGCCAAGCATGCAAGTTTGTCATATTTTTTTTCTGCCAAACATGCAACCTTGTCAGATCTTCCTTCTTCAGTCCATGCAATTCTCCAGGTTCTTGGAGTAGCAACTCCAAGAGTAGCCCTCTCCAGCATCTCAAATAAGGAACTCATTGTCTCCTGCATGGCAGAATGGAAACTCAATGTCTGCAGTCTTGCAGAAGAAGACCTCAACCTCTCCAGCCTCTCAGAGGAAGAGATCGCCATCTCCAGCATCTCTGTGGAGTACCTTGCTGTGTGCAGCATCACAGAAGTGGACCAGGTCCATGGGGCTAGGACAGTGCACTTGCTCCCACCCTACTTTTATATTTTCTACCCTCATCCTCACTCCTCCATAGTTCCCAAGCTGTGAATTTGGTGCTTCTCTCACAGCTGCCAGCTACTCCTGCAGTCCCCAGCCCCCAACAGGCAGTTCCTTTTACCTCTTTCCATTGTCTGTTTCATTCAAGTGCTTCCATTGAGGACAAGGATCTGCTGCACCTTCCATCGTTTCCCCTGGATGGCAGCTTTGTGAAGCTTCCCAAGATCCTGATCTAGGCTCCACAACCAGGGGTCTAAGTAGACACAATTACTGAAGAAGTTCAGGGGCACCTGGCTTTTCTGGCTTTCCACAGCAAAGATGTTCTTTGTGGCTTTGGCTACCAGCTGAAGACTCTGCAAACTCACCCTCCCCTTCACCACACTATCTCCAACCAAGCATCAGCAATCAAAGCTCTCCGGCCAATAGCTCCAACAGAAACATTGATCATGCCTATCCTTTCAGAGAAAAGAGTCATCATCAAAACCCTCTCAGAGGAGGATCTTGTTGTTAGAGGAGACTCTCGGAAGAGAAACCTTTTGTTTCCAGCCTCTGACGTTAGGACCTCACCACCTCCAGTCTCTTAGAGAAGAAATTCACCATGTCAAGCATCTCAGAAAAGGACATCAGGGTCCTCAGCATCTCACGGGAGAAACTCACCATGTCCAGCCTCTCAGACTAAGACCTCACTGTCAGTCTCCTGTCTCTCAGAGAAAGACGTCATCATCACCAGCCTCTCAGAGGAGCACCTTGTGGATCTTCCATCCTGGAGGTAAAATTTACCATCTCCAGACTTAGAGGAGAACCTCATTGTCTCTGTCCTCTCAGGGAAGCAACTCCCTCTCTACAGTTTCCTAGAGAAAGACTTCAACCTCTACAGGCTCTCAGAGGAAGACTTCACCATCTCCAGGCCCTCAGAAGAGTACTTTGCCATCTTTAGCCTCTCAACAAAAGACCTGGCCATGTGCAGGATCTCAGAAGAGAATCAAAGCCCCGGAGGCCAGGAGTGCTTCCCTGCCTCCACCCCATTTTTCCACATCCTTCCCTCACCACCACTCCCCAAGGGACCCCCAACTCTGAAAAAGGTGTTTCTCACACATCTGCTCACCTCTTTCAGTCCTCAGTGCTCAGCACACAGTTCCTGTTATCTTTTATTATTGTCTGTTTCATTCCAGGGCTGTCTTTGGCACATACAATTGTGTACCCTCCGTATTTTCTCCCAGACGACACTTTTGTGACTCTTCCAGAGATTATCAACACAGCTCTAGTACAAAGGGTCTCAGAAGACATGGTAACTGAAAAAGCTCAGAGGCAACTGGTCCTTTTGGTCCTCCACAGCAAATAACTTTTTTATGGCTGTGACTACTGGCTTCAGAGACTCCACACTCACCCTCGGCCTTCCCATCTCCCCAATCCTGTCAAGCACCAGCAGAAACCCAGTCTGGCCAAGACATTTGACAGGGACATTCACCATCTCCAGGCTCTCAGAAAAGGACCTTGCAGTCTCCAGTCTCACAGAGAAGGACCTCACCATCTCCAGCCTCTCAGAGAAAGACCTAGACATCTCTAGCCTTTCAAAAGGGAACCTCACCTTCTCTACACTCTCAGAAGGGGGACTCCCAGTCTGCAGCATCTCAGCAGAAAAACCTGCAGTCTCCAGCCTCTTGGAGGAGGACCTCACAGTCCCAGGCTTCTCACTATGTCCAGCTTCTTTCTTTCTGCAAACATCAAACCTTCTCAGATGTTGTCTCTGAGGAGAAACTCACTGTTTCCAATTTTTCAAAGGAGGATCTCACCAGATTCTCACAAGAATGTTTTGTGGGTTTTATTTTTTTCATCTCTGAATATGACTTCACTGTCTTTTGCTTTTTGGCAGGGAAACTTCCTTTCTCCAGGCTTTTAAAGCATGATTTTTTTTTCTTTCACATCTCAGGAGAGTCTCACCACCTCCAGCCTCTCAGAGGAAGACCTCACTTTCTCCTGCCTCTCAGATGAGAAACTTGCCATCTCCAGTTTCTAAGAAGAACTCACAGTTATCAGTTTCTAAGAGAATGACCTCTTATCTCCAGTTGGTTAGAGAAAAAACTCACCTTTTACAGCCTCTCAGAAATAGACTTCATTATCTCCAGACTCTCAGCAATGAAACTTGCCATCTGCACCTTTTCAGAGCAGACGTTAATTATCTTCCACCTTTCACAGGACAATTCAAAATTTTTCAAATAATTTATGGGAAACATGCAACCTTGTCAGATACTTTTTGTGCTAAACATAAAAGCTTGTCAGATTTGTCTACTGCCAAACATGCAAGCCTGTCAGATTTTATTTCTTCCAAACATGCAAGCTTGTCAGATGTTTCTTTGGCCAAACATGCAATTTTTGTCTATTTTTTTTTTTGTCTAATTGTTTTTCTGCCAACATAAAAGCTTGTCACATTTTCTACTGCCTAACATGCAATCCTGTCAGATGTTCTTCCTGCCAAACATGCAATCTTCTCAGATGCTTCTTTTGGGTAACATTGAAACTTGTCAGATGTTACTTCTGCCAAACATGTAATTTTTTCTTCTGCCAAACATGAGACTTTATCAGATATTACTTCTGCCAAACATGTAATATTATCAGATGTTCATTCTGCCAAACATGCGATCTTTTCAGATATTTTTTCTGCCAAACTTATGCAATGTTTTCACATGTTCATTCTGCTAAACCTGCAAACTTATCAGTAGCTCCTTCTGTCCAACATGCAAGCTTGTCAGAAATTCTTTCTGCAAACATCAAACCTTCTCAGATGTTGTCTCTGCCAAACATGCAGTCTTCTCAGATGTTTTGTTTTCTGTTAAACATGCAAGTTTGGGAGATGTTTCATTTGCCAAATATTCAATCTTGACTTTTTTCTGCCAAACATGCAGACTTGTTAGAAGTTCCTTCTGCCAAACATGCAACCTTCTCAGATGCTCCTTTTGCAAAACGTTCAAACTTGTCACATGTTCTTTCTTCCTAATGTGCAGCCTTGTCAGATGTTCCCTCTGCCAAATGTGCAATCTTCTGAGATGTTCCTACCACCAAACATGCAGTTATTCTGCTAAACATGCAGTCTTGTAAACAAATTTTGTGCCAAATATTCAGTTGAATCAGATCTTTCTCTTGCTAAATATTCAAACTTCTTACATATTCCTTTTGCCAAACATTCAACCTTGTCTGATGATGTCTGCCAAATATTCAGCCTTATCAAATATTTCTTCTGCCAAACAGAAACCTCGTCAGATGTTTCTTATGCCAGATGTGCAAGCTTGTCAGATGTTCTTCCTGCCAAATGTGGAAACTTTTCAGATGTTCCTTCTGCCAAACATACAACCTTGTCAAATGTTTCTTCTTACTAACATTTTTTATCAGGTGGTTTCTTATGTCAAATATTTTATCTTTTAAGTTGTCTATTTTGCAAGCCATATAATCTTCTTAGGTCTCTCTACTGCCCACCACACAATCTGCTTAAATGTTTCTGCTGTCAACCATGCTATGTTTTAATATGTTTTTTTTTCTGCCAAACCTTCAGTCTTCTTAAATGTTCCTTCTGCTAAACCTGAAATTTTCTAAAATGTTTCTTCTGCCACACATTCAGTTGTATCAATTGTTTCTTTTGTCAAACATTCTAATTTGTCAGATGTTTCTTCTGCCAAACATGCAACCTTTGTCAGATGTGATTTTTTGCCAAACATTTAAACTTTTCAGATGTATTTTCTGCCAAATATTCAAACTTTTCACTTTTCAGATGTTCTTCCTCTTTAACATGCAATCTAATCAGTTGGTCTTACTTCCAAGCTTGTGAGGTTGTCAGATGCTTCTTCTCCAAACATCCAACCTTTACAGATATTTCTTCTGTCAGACATTCAATCTTGTTTGCTGTTTCTGTTACAGTAGTTAGCTAGTCAGATATGATCAGGACATAAAAGCTTTTTCATCCCCACCAAAAATGTCGTCCACGAGTTGATGGTCAGGTAGTTGTTAAACTGCTTCTATGAAATAATAGTTAGTTGCACCAAGGAAAAGCAGTCTTTCAATAGATAGAAACACCTACACTTGTTGATCAGCAGTTTCCCAATAATCTCAAGAGTTGAGTGAATAGGCTTATGCATGCACACTAAGGGGCAAAATGGTGGAGTTTAAAACATTTATGACCTTTCTCTGGGAACATTCAACTGGCAAAAAAAAAAAAAAATCAATAAAAAATGATTAAAAAAGAATAAAGAAACTTAATTGAAGGTGCATACAACTCCAGTAAACACACTGTACATGTGCTGATAGGCCACTATGCATGCAGACAGACTGGTCCAAGAAAAGAGTCAGAAAAGTAATGCAACTTCAGAATCCTGCCAGCCTATACATCCCCAAGTAAAAGGTCAAATCATGAACTTGATATCTAAAGTCACATGTTTGGCCCTCTTTAAGTGTACTTTACTTCGTTTCTTTCTTGCTCTTACTTTTTAATAAATTTTACTCCTGCTCTAAAACTTGCCTCGGTCTCTCACTTTGCCTAATGCCCCTCAGTTGAATTATTTCTTCTAAGGGGGCAAGAATTGAGGCTTCAGCAGGCTTCTACTGATCCACAATCACTAAAATTCCTATTGCCAAACATTAGATCTTGTCAGCATTTTTCCTGGGAAAATATTCAATCTTGTCAGATGTTTTCTTCTGCCAAATATTGAATTATTTTACATGTTTCTTTTACAGGTCATGCACATTTTCAGGTTTTCTCTCTGCCAACCATGCAGTCTTCTTGGATACTATTTCTGCCCACCATGAAATCTGTTTAAATGTTTCTGCTGTGACCATGCAATCTTCCCAGTTGTTCCTTCTGCCCAATGTGCAATCTTCTTAAATGTTCCCTCTGTCAACCATTCTATTGTCAGTTGTTTCTTCTGCCATGTGTTAAATTTTATCAGATGTTTCTTCACCCCAGCATTCAATCTTGTCAGATTTCTTTTAGACCAAACATACAATCTTGTCAGCTGTTTCTCTTGCCAAACATTCAATCTTGTCCAATGTTTCTTCTAACCAACATTCAGTCCTGTCCAGTGTTTCTTTGGTCAAACATTTAATCTTGTCAGATGTTTCTTCTGCCAAACATTCAATCTTGACCAATGTTTTTATTACAGTAGGTAGCTAGTCAGACATTAGCAGGGCAGAGAGGGCCTCTTCTCACTAGGAATGTCAGGCAACCACGAAGTGATGGTCAGGCCTCTCTAAAATAATAATGGGTTGCCACCAGCACCAGTAAAAGGCAGATTCCCAATAAAGGGAAACATCTGAAGCTAGTGATCAGTTTCCTGATAAGATTTCAAGAGTTGGGCTAATGGGCTCATGCATGCACATTAAGAGGCAAAATGGCAGAGTTTAACTGGTATATGACAATTTTCAGAAAAAATTCAACAGATAAAGGTGGAATGCCTCAAGTGAGAATGCATAAATCTCTAACAAAGACTCTGTACAAGTGGTCCCTTCCAAGTACTGACAGGCCACTGCACATGTGAGAGCCTGCTCTAAGGGAAGGATCAGAGAAGTAATGCATCCCCCAAAGTCTACCAACCTATAAAAACCCATGTCAAGGGTCAAACTGTGCACTTGGATCTCTCAGGTTGCATGCCTGGACCTCTTCCAAGTGTACTTTACTTCCTTTCATTCCTTCTCCAATACTTTTTAATAAACTTTCACTCCTGCTCTAAAACTTGTCAGTGTCTCTCACTCTGCCCTATGCTCCTCAGCTGAATTCTTTCTTCTGATAAGGCAAGATTTTAGGTTAGGGCAGACCTTTATCCATCCACAGACACTAAAATTCCTCCTTCCAAATATTCAGTCTTTTCAAGTGTTTTCTCTGCGAAGTATTTAATCTTATCACATGCCTTTTCTCCTAAGTCTTCAATCTATTCAGATGTTTCTTTTGTAGACCATGCTATTTTCCTAGGTCTTCCTCCTGTTAACCATGCAATCTTCTAAGATCTATATACTCCTTCTGTCAAACAATGACCCTTTTCAGGTGTTTTTTTTTTTTCTCTCAGCCATTCAATATTGTCAGCTGTTTCTTTTGTCAAAAAATTACTCTTGTCAGATGTTCTTTCTGACAAACATTCAATCTTGTCAGCTTTCTTTTGCCAAACATACATTCATCTCAAATGTGAGCCCCTCTAGTGTAACACCAAACCTGGAGGTGGTCTTAGGAACCCCTGATAAAATTGCATTATGTGAGATTTCTTTATTTAATTAATTTGATGTGTTAAATGTGACTACAATCAGAAGGCTATTTCACATAATACTTTTAAAATCCATTTTTCTTGATATTTGCCTCTCAAATTTCTGCCTTTCTATATTTATTGCAATAGCAGAATAAAAGGGATAAATGAAACAATGATGTATAAAAAAAGGGAAACATGCACAAATCCTATTTCAACCAGAAAAAAAATTTTCCTAATGCACAGTATGTTCTACAGTATAAACATTTGTACTAAAAAGTGTGAAGATTAAGTCAATAGTTTACAACTCAGCAGGGTTAATTTCCTTTTCATAATAATTGTGCATAAGAGCAGGCATGGTGGCACATGGCTATAGTTTCAACTACTTGACTGGCTTAGTTTGGGGAATGGCTTGACTTTAGGAGTTGAAGGCTATAGTGCCCTATGATCACTCCTGTGAATTGCCACTGCACTCCACCCTGGGCAACATAGCAAGATCCTGTCTCTTAAATAGTAAATAAATAAATACATACATACCTACATATGTACAGCAATAAGTGTGCTTAATTTAGATAGGTGAGATAATTGTAGAAAAACATATATCCACTGAATAAAGTATAATAGTGTTTAACTAATAATAGAAATCACTTTGTTTTTAATTTTTTTCTTAATTTTTTATAATACTAAAAACACAGTGGACCTGTTTAAGGCAGTTCTTCTCAGAAAAGTCAAAGAGTCAAAAGAATTCCTTCCACAATGTAAGATGATTTATCTACTGCTCCCCATAAATTGTGGATTTAACCATCAAAAATCAATCAAACTTTCAACTTACTTATAAATATGGTAATTGAATTTTACCTCATAATCTAGTTAAATCACAGATTACCAATTTCTGAAGAAATATAATACCAGAAAAAAACTTCATATTAAAACTATTTCAGATAAAACAATTTGAGCTTGACAATTGAGAAGACACTTAAAATCTTGGCAGAGCATTATCAGTGACACTGTCACTATGGTATGCATATAAAGAAATTCAGTTTTAGAAACATAGAATACCAGATATACTTTAGGATATGGAGTATATTATTTTAAAAGGAAATAATACACATTTGTCAAACATACATATCTTAAAAATGTGTTCTAAAAGTACTTTCTTTAAGGATGAAATTCAAAAGGAAGCAGTAAAAGCAGAGATAACAGAAGATAGCAAAATAAAGGGGAATTGCACTAACAAAAAGACAGGTACTAACTTTTCTACAGATATCCCTAAAATTCCCAGAATACTGAAAACTAGTATATAAAGCATATCTCCATATTTCCCTCCATATCTCCCCATATGACATTATATTAGTTGTCTGCAATATATTATTATTAAAATGTCAATTTCTCCAAGCTGCTGGCTTGTAAACTACTTCTGATTCAAATGTGAAACTCTCAAAACACGGTTGTATTGAGGAGGGGTATATGTGCATCTGACAGTAGCTTCTAGTTGTTGGTACCAGGTTTTTCTTTTAGAGTGACTGAAAGCATTCTTTCTTTCAGGAAATACAAATGAAGTATTTCCACAAGAAGCAGCTAAGAAAGACAAGATCTTTCTTCACACCTGATCCTTAGGTTTTGACAGTCCTGGAAAATGTTGACACATGTACTCATTAGTCTAAATAACATTCTCTGACCCTGTGTATGTAGCTGCAAAGAAGTTGGTAACTTTTGGCATCTTGGTAGATTCTTGACCACCAGAAGTATCAATCATATTAATAGTACACCTAAGAACTCTAAATTTTTTTTAAAAAAGGGTACCACCAAAGAGCTTTTAAAAGCTAAATCCAATTTACTTATTGCTGTTAGTATTGATACTTCATGCTTGAAATACTCATCTTTCCAAAAATGTTTGCAACATCACTCCCTCTGACTTTGCTCCTACTTTTCTCTTGCCACTGCTCAGTCTCTTTTACCAACTCTTTTTCCTCTGAAAAATGTTAATATTCCCTGGGTTTTGTCAAGGGCTTTCTTCTACTTCTTCTACATATTCTGCATTATGGACAAGCTCATTAAGATCTATGGCTTTGTCTAATAATTATAATAAAATCATTCTAAGTCTGCAACTTCAACCATAGAGTCTAGCTCCAGCTCTAAATGCCTATTATCCAATTACCAGCTGAAAATATCCTACATGAATATTTCTTTGACCTCAACATGTATAGAAATAAGTTAATCTATCACATTGTACCAATTATTATTCATATTTCTTAAGTTAAAAAAATTCAGCAAAAAAATGAAAATAGAATAATGCCAAGAAAAAATCCCACATGTTTAAATGTATAATCTTAGCTTCTAACTTATTTATTTTACCCTGGATGGGTCAAAATTTTATAATAGATTGATACTAATGCACAAACTGGTGACACAAAACAAACAAACTATAGCATGAACTACTGCAAAACTTCCTTTGTTTCTCAACCTCTTTACATGGCTACCCTCCATATGAAGAGTCAGAAAACTACAGGCCAAAGGTCAAATGCAGCCTTCAATATAGCCTTGTATATGAAGTTTTACTGGAGTACAGTTATGCTTATTTGCTTACTACACTTTATGATTTTTTTCACACTGCAATGGCAGAATTGAATAGATATGACAGAGACCAAAAGGTCTAAAATGTTTCCTATTGAGCCCTATATGGGTAAAGCTTGCCAATCCCTACTTTATACAATGCCAAGAATGCCTTAATACTCAAACCTAATCTTGTGACTCCCCTGCTTAACATTTTATTAGATTATTCTTAGCTAATTAAAGTGACTACATTTGCTTTCATATTGACTGGTTTAGGAATTAGCATATTGTGCACTAAATTGTTACAGGAAGATCACCGCAAGCTTCTGACTTTACTCCCTATTTAAAAGAAACATGAAGAAAAGCAGACTTTCCAGCCTTCACATATTGTCTTGAGAGAACATGATGACTGGAGTCATTGCTAATTAGCCAACCATGGACAAAACACTGCCAATAGCACAGCTGAAAGAGGAAAAGTAAGTGCTATGCTATGATATCCTTGAACCACCAAAATAACTTTGGTTCCCATGGTTTTAGCCACTGTTATTATAGTTGGGTCAACTAGTATTCACAGCCAGAAGTATTCAGAGAATTTTTCCCTGGCCCACAGAATAAGGTCTACTCATTTATATACTCTTAAAAGGCTTTCTGAAGTTTGCCTTATGTAGATATTCATTCCGCACCACTCCCATGCCACATTATTTCCACTAGCAAAGTGTAACTGCTCATAAACACTACAAAGTTGAATCAAGCATACAACACTTTGCACTTGCTCTTCCTTCTGTCAAATGTGAAATCATCTCAGACGTTTATTCTGCTTAACATGCAAACTTACCAGATGTTTCTTCTGCCAAACAGTCAATCTTGTCCGATGTTCCCATGACATTGGGTACCTAGTCAGATATGAGCAGGACAGAAAAGCCCCCCTCCCACCTTCACCAGCAATATAAGAAAACCATGAAGTGAAGATGAGGTGGTTATTAAACTACTTTTTTAAAATAATAATTAGTTGCAGCCAGCCCAGGGAAAGGCAGTTTTCCAATAAATAGAAACACCTAAAATTGGTGATCAGCAGCTTCATAATAATATCTCAGGATTCGAGCTGGTGGGCTTAGATGTGTGCAGTAAGAGGCAAAACGGTGATTTTAATTGATTTGTGACCTGTCTCTGAGAACACCTTACATTTTGAAAAAACAACACCCTATCGCTTCTCAGCCTTTTGGCTAAGATCAAGTAAAAAAACAACACCTTAAGTGAGCAGGCATACAACTCCAAAAAACACACTGCAAATGCATTCTCCCAAGTGCTGGCAGGCCACTGCATGTATGGACAGCACACCGCAAGGGAAGAATCAGGGGAGAAATAATGCAGCCTGAGAAGGCTACCAATGTATAAAACCCCAAGTCAAAGGTCAACCATGGACTTGATCTCTCAAGCCACCCACTTTGCCTTCTTCCATGTGTACTTTATTTTCTTTTGTTTTGCTCTAATGCTTTTTAAGAAACTTTCACTCCTGCTCTAAAACTTGCCTTTGTCTCTCACTCTGCCATATGTCTCTCAGTTGAATTCTTTCTTCTGGGGAGGCAAGACTTCAGTTTGCTGCTGACACATGCAAATCTGCCACCGCTAACCTTTTTACTACCAAACATTGAACCTTGTCAGATGTTTCCCCTGCCAAATATTTAATCTTTTCAGATGTTTCTTTTGCAGGCCATGCACTCATCCTAGGTCATCCTTATGCAGACAGTGCAATTTTCAGATACTCCCTCTGCCTACCATGCCATCTCCCTTGGGGTTCCTGCTGACCATGAAATCCTCTTAGATGTCTCTTCTGCCAAATATGACATCTTAGATGTTTCTTCTGCCAAAAGTTCAATTATGTCAGATGTTCTTCTGCCAAGCCTTCAATCTTGTCAGATGTTCTTGTTACGGTAGGTAGCTAGTCAGGCATGAGCAGGGCAAGAAAGGGTGTCCCACCACCAGGAGTGTCAAGCAACTAAGAGATGATGGTCAGGCAGTTTTTAAGCTGCCTCTCCAAAATAACAATTGGTCACACTCAATGCCAAGGAAATGCAGTCTCCCAATACACAGAAACACTGGAAGCTGTTGACCAGCAGCTTCCCCATAAGATCTTAGGAGTTAGTTGAGTGGGTTCACACATGTGCCCTAAAAGGAGAACTGCCAGAGTTTAACTGCTCTCTGACTTTTCTCTGGGAACATTCTACCAGTACAAGAATGTTTCAAGTGAGCAGGCATACAATCCAGTAAACACGCTGTACATGTGGCCCCTCCCAAGTGCTGACAATCCACTGTGCATAGGGACAGCCTGTCCCAGTGGAAGAATCAGGGGAAAAATAACACAAACCTAGGAGCCTGGCAATGTATAAGACCCCATCAAAGGTCAAACCATGCAATTGATCTCTCAAGTTGCCTGTGTTGCCCTCTTCCAAGTGTATTTTACTTCCTTTCATTCCTGCTCCGAAAATTTTAAGAAATTTTACTCCTGCTCTTAACTTCGCCTCAGTCTCTCACTCTGCCTTACACCCCGCCGTTGAATTCTTTCTTCTGAGGAGGCAAGAATTGAAGTTGCTACAGAACTTTACAGATTCACTGCTACTAACAATGCTGTGTTGTTTTGACTCAAGTACAGTCCCCTATGGTGAGACACTTCTACACCTCATCTTCTTCGGACAAAGGAATTCAGCTCATATACTTGGGTTTTGTCTCTCCTTTCAATCTCCTGCTTTCTAAACCACCCCTAGAACAATTCCACTGGCCACAAGTGGCTCTGCTCCTCCCGGCCAATCTCAGCTCACGCTGATAAGTGGCTTACAGGAGTGGGAAGGAACTCGGAGTCTGTACCACGTAGAACCAAGGCACTAATGGCCCTCCTGGACAGGATGCTCATGAAAGCTGTGAAGCTAAAGCCTAAGACTGTGCAATGTCTGGGGCTTCCTCTCAGCTTTTACAACTAAAATCAGCTCTTTCCAAAAAGTCCACACCACCTATTCCCTCCTTTCTCTGTGTGTATTCTGCAATGGCCTTGTCACCCACCATACCTTTTCCCACGGAGGCCAGTCTGCCTTTTCTCTGGTTTCACTTTGCATACCATGTGACTTCTCTGCCTGAAATACACATGCTCCTGGTCACTCGCATGCCCGTGACTCTTGCTGTGTTGGCTCGAAAGCAGAGACATGAGCTCTGCTCATGAGATATTCCCTTGTGAATATTCCCTGAGATTTATATTTGTTTTCCCCAGCTCAGATGATGTTCAAGCCTTTCCCTATCTGCTGGCACATTGCTGGGAAAGACGTTAACTGGAACCCCGGGGCTCTGCCAGTTTCTTATGACTTACCACATGCTTTTCCTTGCTGTTATGCTCACGGCCCAGTTCTTCAGTGGCTTTTGAAGCCATTTGTTCACCTGCATACAGCCTCATTCTGTGGCCTTTTAAGAACCCTACCTACTTGCTTTTTTTGGAAATAGTACCCCTATGGGAGGAGGGAAATTCTTCCTCTACCCTTTCGGAGTTTTTACCCTAAGGCCCAAATCCTCTGGAGGTTACTACCTTACGTCAAGAGGGCAAATACATATAGCCCTCTCAAATTCAAGGGTGGCTGTTTTGGGGAGCACAGGGAGGCTTTCCATGAGTATTCCTCACTTGCTTCCTCCCACTTGCTCCTGTAGCCTCCATTTCTCTAATCACTTCTATGCCCTTCTCGATATGCATCGAGGTCTTCAAGGTCAAATTCAAGTGGAGTAAAGTCAAGCCCCCTTGCAGCAGTTAGCTGAAAAACAGGCTTCTCATCTGGTTAAAGAAGATGAGAAATGGGAATTTGAGTAAAGAGATCATCATTTTCCTGCTAGAATGCTCTGAGTGAGGGTCACTCTAAGGTCACGGAGACATGGATAGAGGCCAGGCCAAGATTGAGGGCATTGGTCCCAGGCTAGAAGATGAAGGCAAGGTTAGTGGTACACAGTAAAACTGGTTCATTCTGGAACCCCAGGAATAAACAGGGAGTCCTCTGTTCACTTCATATGTTTTATGTTCTCAAGGGGGTAATTGTGATGAGATGGGACCAAGGTTAGGGACACACAGTAAGAACGATTTGCTCCAGAATACTAAGGATGAATGGGGGATGCCCTATTGAGGATCATAGGAAATTTAAGAAAGTTCAAGCATCTTGTAGATAGTCTGTGTGAGTCATGAGAAAGCTTTGTGAAAGGAACCTTAGGAAAGAAATACAACTTTAAATGTTGTTATGTCTATCAAATGCTTCAGGAAAGGAAGCTTTACTGGAGCACAATCATGTCTATTTGCTTCCATATTATTTCTGACTCCTTTCACACTGCAACAGCGTGAAAGGGTTGAAAACATACAACAGAGACCACAAGGCCTAGAAATGTGTGCTATGTGGCCCTTTACAGGAAAAGCTTGCCAATCCCTGCTTTATACCGTAACCAGAATGCCCTAATACTCACACCTCCTCTTGTGACTCCCCTGCCCAAAATCTTCCCATGAATCCCTGCAGAAAACCTCACTGGCTCCCTATCTATGGCCATTCTTCCTTCTTTCTCACTGGAGAAACACAAGTTTATTTGGATACTTATCATTCCATTATCCCACCTCAGTTCCAAAAAAAAAAAAGAAAAATGATTGTTCTAAGCTAATCATAGGAATTACGTTTGTTTTCCTACTGACTGGTTTAGGAATGAGCATGTGGTGTCATCCGGCCACTAAAGTGTTACAGGAAGATCACTGCAAACTTCTGAGTTGGCTCCCTGTTTTAAAAATAAAAACAAACAAAAAAATCATGAAACAAAGCAACCCTTCCAGCCTTCAGATATTGTCTTGAGAGAACATAACGACTGGCTACTCATTGGCTACTTAGCCAACCATGAAAAGAGACATTAACAAAATACTGCCAATAGCACAGCTAAAAAAGGAAACATACATGTGACACTATGATATCCCTGAACCAACAGAACAACTTTGGTGCCTATGGTTTTAGCCATTGTTAGTTAGGTCATCTAGTATTTACAGCCAGATGTATTCTGGGAACTTTTCAATGGCCTACTGAATAAGATCTACTCCGTTCTATACTATTCAAAAGTCTTTCCTAAGCTTGCCATATCTAGATATTCACTTCATTTCCAACAACTCCTATACCACACTATTTCCACTAGCAACACTGAATTTAACATAAACCCTACAAAACTCACTCAAGAGTCTGACCTTTCGTACTTGCTGTTCCTTTTGCCAAACATGCAATCTCGTCAGATGTTCCTTCTGCCTAACACAAAATCTGGTTAGATTTTCCTTTTGCCAAATTTCGTTCTTCTGCCTCCTTACCTGGAAAACTTCTACTTACACTGCATGCTTTCCTTAAATCCTACCAATCTTTTTAAATCTTTAATTCTTTGCCTTGGACATAAAGTGTCTGTCCCACATTAAATATGACAAATACACAATAAATAATAATTGTAAACTCCCAGCAAGCAACTGACAGAGTAAGCACTGAATATGGTAGTAAATAATAAAAAATGACAATGATAGTAACAAGATAAAAATGCTTAGTACCTTAAAGATACTTTACAGTTATGTCTACGCAGAGAAGTGGATAGATGAATAAAGGCATTTCCTTTGACAATTCTATTGAAAAAACATGAAAATTAAATAGGGAAAGCTCTATTGCATTATGAGCACATTAAAGATTCGGACTATGTGTATTCTTTATCCCTGCGACATGCAAAACCTTACTTACAGAAGTTTCTTTGATAAATATATAATAGAGGTATGGTCATACAGTTCATATTGTACAATGTACATTGTATATTGTACATTGTATTACATCCAGGCAGTATAATACCATTTTTCTTGTTGTAAAATATTTTGTACTTTTATTGTAATTTATTGAGCCTAGAGTTGGGCTATTTTAATATTCATTATAATAATATTTTGGCTAGTAGTAACAGAACATATCTTGTTGTAACAAAATTACTATTATGACAATTACCCACCAGATAAAACAACACATCTTGTTTTAATGAAGTAAATATTATCTTAGTTGGTTTCAACTGAGGGGTAATGAAGCCAATAATAATGAGACCTTCTTGGTACAAGAGTATGTAACACAACCTGTGCTTCTCAACAAAATATTGCTCTTCTGACTTCTGCACTAAGCAGGTATCTTTAAAAACTAATTTCTTATTGGTACTTATACACCCTGAATAAGTTTAACAATTCTTACTGACATATGATTATGGTACCAGAAAATTATTATTAAGTTCCAAGCTCTAAAGAAATTTCCTTTTTTAGTGACACAAATCATGATGTCATACAGTTGATCCTTGAACAAGGGTTGGAATTGCAGGACCCCCCTTATAATATATAGATTTTCTTCACTCCCACTGCCACACTAAGAAAGAAAGACAAATTTCTCGTCTTCCTCATCCTTCTCAGCCTACGCAATGTGAACACAATGAGAATGAAGACCTTTACGTATGATAATGCACTTCCACTTAGTGAACAGTAAATATATTTTTTCCACCTTATAATTTTCTTCATAAGTTTCTTTTCTTCAGATTGCTTTATTGCAAGAATACAGTGTACAATACATATGACTTTATTGCAAGAATACAGTATACAATACATAACTGTTTATGTTTTCAGTGAAGCTTTAGGTCAATACTAGGCTATTAGGAGTTACATTTTGGGAGAGTCAAAAGTTAAATGCAGATTTTCAGCTACACTGGGGATCAGCACCCTAATCCCCATGTTGTTCAAGAGGTTACTTGAACATTTGTAATTCTCATTTGTTAAACACTTGTAATTCTCATTTGCTAAACGTAAACCATTTATTATAAAAATTAAATAGAAGATATATTGTACAACAAGCCTAATTTTTTATGACTATAGAGGAAACATACAACATGAGAACTTAAAATTTTTTATTTATACAAAAAAACTATATAGAATTTTAGGTACCATAATTAAATATTTTTTTCAGACAATACTGCTTGAGATTATAAACTATCTAAAACAACATTGTTAACTAATTGTGAATTGTAAGCAAAAAATTAAATCAAAGAAATTTTTATATGTCTATATATATTTAAATTTACACACCCACATGCTATTTATACATTTTTAATTGCTCTTTTGTGATCAAAACTTCCATAATATTATGGTAGTGTCACAAAGAGTAGTTTACTGTCAGAAGTCTTACCTGGGTTGAAATTTTGAGGATGTTTAGACATATTTTATATTCCAAAAGTTGTTGGTGAATACTATGTAAAACTGTCTCTCAGACCACAGTGAAATCAAACTAGAACTCAGGATTAAGAAACTCACTTAAAACCATTCAACTACGTGGAAACTGAACAATCTGCTCCTGAATGACTACTGGGTACACAACGAAATGAAGGCAGAAACAAAGATGTTCTTTGAAACCAATGAGAACAAAGACACAACATACCAGAATCTCTGGGAAACATTTAAAGCAGTGTGTAGAGGGAAATTTATAGCACTAAATGCCCACAAGAGAAAGCAGGAAAGATCTAAAATTGACCCCCTAACATCACAATTAAAAGAACTAGAGAAGCAAGAGCAAACACATTCAAAAGCTAGCAGAAGGCAAGAAATAACTAAGATCAGAGCAGAACTGAAGGAAATAGAGACATAAAAAACCCTTCAAAAAATCAATGAATCCAGGACCTGGTTTTTGAAAAGATCAACAAAATTGATAGACCACTAGCAAGACTAATAAAGAAGAAAAGAGAGAAGAATCAAATAGATGCAATAAAAAATGATAAAGGGGATATCACCACCGATCCCACAGAAATACAAACTACCATCAGAGAATACTATAAACACCTCTATGCAAATAAACTAGAAAACCTAGAAGAAATGGATAAATTCCTTGACACATACACCCTCCCAACACTAAACCAGGAAGAAGCTGAATCCCTGAATAGACCAATAACAGGCTCTGAAATTGAGGCAATAATAGCTTACCAACCAAAAAAGCCCAGGACCAGATGGATTCACAGCCAAATTCTACCAGAGGTACAAGGAGGAGCTGGTACCATTCCTTCTGAAACTATTCCAATCAATAGAAAAAGAAGGAATCCTCCCTAACTCATTTTATGAGGCTAGCATCATCCTGATACCAAAGCCTGGCAGAGACACAACAAAAAAAGAGAATTTTAGACCAATATCCTTGATGAACATTGATGCAAAAATCCTCGATAAAATACTGGCAAACCGAATCCAGCACATCAAAAAGCTTATCCACCATGATCAAGTGGGCTTCATCCCTGGGATGCAAGGCTGGTTCAACATACGAAAATCAATAAAGGCAATCCAGCATATAAACAGAACCAAAGACAAAAACCACGTGATTATCTCAATAGATGCAGAAGAGGCCTTTGACAAAATTCAACCACCCTTCATGCTAAAAACTCTCAATAAATTAGGTATTGATGGAATGCATCTCAAAATAATAAGAGCTATCTATGACAAACCCACAGCCAATATCATACCTAATGGGCAAAAATTGGAAGCATTCCCTTTGAAAACTGGCAGAAGACAGGGATGTCCTCTCTCACCACTCCTATTCAACATAGTGTTGGAAGTTCTGGCCAGGGAAATCAGGCAGGAGAAGGAAATAAAGGGCATTCAATTAAGAAAAGAGGAAGTCAAATTGTCCCTGTTTGAAGATGACATGATAGTATATCTAGAAAACCCCATCGTCTCAGCCCAAAATCTCCTTAAGCTGATAGGCAACTTCAGCAAAGTCTCAGAATACGAAATCAATGTGCAAAAATCACGAGCTTTCTTATACACCAATAACAGACAGACAGAGAGCCAAATCATGAGTGAACTCCCATTCACAATTGCTTCAAAGAGAGTAAAATACCTAGGATTCCAATTTACAAGGGATGTGAGGGACCTCTTCAAGGAGAACTACAAACTACTGCTCAAGAAAATAAAAGAGGATACAAACAAATGGAAGAACATTCCATGCTCATGGGTAGGAAGAATCAATATCGTGAAAATGGCCATACTGCCCAAGGTAATTTATAGATTCAATGCCATCTCTATCAAGCTACCAATGACTTTCTTCACAGAATTGGAAAAAACTACTTTCAAGCTCATATGGAACCAAAAAAGAGCTCGCATTGCCAAGTCAATCCTAAGCCAAAAGAACAAAGCTGGAGGCATCACACTACCTGACTTCAAACTATACTACAAGGCTACAGTAACCAAAACAGCAAGGTACTGGTACCAAAACAGAGATATAGACCAATGGAACAGAACAGAGCCCTCAGAAATAATGCCACATGTCGACAACTACCTGATCTTTGACAAACCTGACAAAAACAAGCAATGGGGAAAGGATTCCCTATTTAATAAATGGTGCTGAGAAAACTGGCTAGCCATATGTAGAAAGCTGAAACTGGATCCCTTCCTTACACCTTATACAAAAATTAATTCAAGATGGATTAAAGGCTCAAATGTTAGACCTGAAACCATAAAAACCCTAGAAGAAAACCTAGGCAATACCATTCAGGACATAGGCATGGACAAGGACTTCATGTCTAAAACACCAAAAGCAATGGCAACAAAAGCCAAAATTGACAAATGGGATCTAATTAAACTAAAGAGCTTCTGCGCAGCAAAAGAAACTACCATCAGAGTGAACAGGCAGCCTGCAGAATGGGAGAAAATTTTTGCAACCTACTCATCTGACAAAGGGCTAATATCCAGAATCTATAGTGAACTCCAACAAATTTACAAGAAAAAAACAAACAACCCCATCAACAAGTGGGCGAAGGATATGAACAGACACTTCTCAAAAGTAGACATTTATGCAGCCAAAAGACACATGAAAAAATGCTCATCGTCACTGGCCATCAGAGAAATGTAAATGAAAACCACAATGTGATACCATCTCACACCAGTTAGAATGGCGATCATTAAAAAGTTAGGAAACAGCAGGTGCTGGAGAGGATGTGGAGAAATAGGAACGCTTTTACACTGTTGGTGGGACTGCAAACTAGTTCAACCATCGTGGAAGTCAGTGTGGCGATTCCTCAGGGATCTAGAACTAGAAATACCATTTGACCCAGCCATCCCATTACTGGGTATAAACCCAAAGGATTATAAATCATGCTGCTATAAAGACACATGCACACGTATGTTTATTGTGGCACTATTCACAATAGCAAAGACTTGGAACCAACCCAAATGTCCAACAATGATAGACTGGATTAAGAAAATGTGGCACATATACACCATGGAATACTATGCAGCCATAAAAAAGGATGAGTTCATGTCCTTTGTAGGGACATGGATGAAGCTGGAAATCATCATTCTCAGCAAACTATCACAAGGACAAAAAACCAAACACCGCATGTTGTCACTCATAGGTGGGAACTGAACAATGAGAACACATGGACACAGGAAGGGGAACATCACACACCGGGGCCTGTTGTGGGGTCGGGGGAGGGGGGAGGGATAGCATTAAGAGACATATCTAATGTTAAATGACGAGTTAATGGGTGCAGCACACCAACATGGCACATGTATACATATGTAACAAACGTGCATGTTGTGCACATGTACCCTAAAACTTAAAGTATAATTAAAAAAAATTCAGTGAAAAGGCTGAGAAAAAAAGAAATATGCAATCAATAAAAGTACTATTTTAACACTGATATGAAAAAATTTACTGAATATGTTAAATTATTAGAGTATTCCAGACAATATTAGAGCTAATCTGAGAACTTTACTCATTTCATAGGCTTCAAATTTGTGAGCTCTGTGAACTTCTTAAACTTTTAGTTAAAGAAGAAAGTAAGGTGAAATACTCATGAATTGAAGGCAATATAGCTCAGTAAATGAACTAGAGTTAGGCTGACGTAACGGAAAATGTCCTCAACTCAGAATAAATCTCAGCTCTGCAACCAATTCGTTCTTGATTAAGTTGCTTCTCTTAGGCTCAATGTCTTCCTCTAAAAGTGAGACTTGTAGTGCCTTATTTAACTAGGTTATTATAAAGACTTCACAAGACAGCATTTGAAAAAATGCTCAGAGAAGTAGTGAAGCGATGGAATAATTTATTCTTGAACCTTACTGCTGAAACTATTTTAAAATCCCAAATAAAACCCAATGTGTTTGTCAGATGCAGAGGCTCATGCCTGTGATGCCAGCACTTTGGGAGGCTGAGACAGGAGGACTGCTTGAGCCCAGGAGTTCAAGACCAGCCTGGGCAACATAGAGAGACCCTATCTCTACAAATTAAAAATAAATTTTAAAAAAAGTGTATTTCTTCATAGGTTCTACTATTCAAATGTTGCAGTTTTCAGAAAATGTTATTAAGTCCTACTCTTGATTATTAGATGTTCTTTTTTTATGGCTTGTAATTCAGGGCATCTATTTCATAATTTGTAATAAAAATTATTTATAAATATGTTAATTCATCAAATCAGACAACATGATTATCTCCTGTTGCTGAGTTCATCAATCACACCCAGGGCAGAAAACTGTTGAATGTCAAGACCTGGCTTGGACTCCTAATATTCTTTACCAAACTTCCCAAACTCTGAACCAATAAATCTTTGTTGAAATAATGCTTACTCCCCATGTTCATCTCCAACTGCTGTGGAAGAAAAAACCTTACCTTTATTTTTTTTAAGTTCCATGATGGGGATGGAAGCTGTTATTTTCTCATTTCCTAGATGCCTACTAGCAATATATTGCACACAACATCCCATGTGTTTCCCGGCACAATCTCATTCCATAGATCATCTTACATAAATATTTTTGTGTGAAAATCACAGTTTCAATATTGGGTGTCACCATTTTTCATTGACTCACACCATTTCCTTGGAGCTAGTAAGATAGTAGTCCAAGGTCCTTTTGGGGACTGCAAGAAATATAGAACACCTCACAAATTTGTGTGTCACCCATGTGCAGGGATCATGCTGATCTTCTCTATATTGTTTCAATTTTAGTGGATGTGCTGCCATCTATTTTTTTTTTTAGAAGGAGTCATGCTTTTATTGCTCAGGCTGGAGTACAATGGCACGATCTCAGCTCACTGCAACCTCCACTTCCCGGGTTCAAGTGAATCTCCTGCCTCAGCCTCGGGAGTAGCTGGGATTACAGGTGCCCACCACCATGCTTGGCTAATTTTTGTATTTTTAGTAGAGACAGTGTTTTGCCATGTTGGCCAAGCTGGTCTCGAACTCCTGACCTCATGATCCACCCACCTCGGCCTCCCAAATTCCTGGGATTACAGGCGTGAGCCACTGTGCCCAGCCACAAACTTCTACTTTCCTACATGGATACTGATGAGTCATGGATGAGGCTTAGCTCTGTTTAATCTAACTTACTTGAGATTTCATGAATTCTTTCGAATGGCTTCATTGTGAGGTAGAATTTTAAAATATTTTAAAAACTCAAGATACAAACACAAGTAGTTTGGGAGATTTTTACTTTTACGGAAAACAGATCACTTGAGGGAAGAACCACTACTCTGGGGAAGCAGAATATTGGTCCTTCCAGAATAATATGGGACCCTCCACTACCTACAAAATGGTGCCACACAGAATCTAAAGGGGCCAAGAGCATAGATCTGGTAGCAAAGAAGAAAGGAATCTCTGATTTCTTCCTGTAACATTATTTAGACCTCACAGTTTCAAACTATTCCAAGGGATTCAGAGGATAATTTACCTTGAAGGTCTAGGACAAGTCCAAGCTAAGACGTGGGTTTCATATCAGGTTTTGAGTGTGAGAAGAAGGGTCACTATGAGTGTGGCTAAAGCTAGGAGGCCCAACTGTCAGAGCAGGCGTACAGGCACTTTGGAAATAATGGCTGAGAATATCTATGTGAACTAAAACAAAAAGTAATAACTTTGAAGTCTATATGTGAATCACCAGGAAGACTGAGGGATCCAGATAAGTGAGGTCATCCTGGTAGCAAAGGTCAATTGTTAACAGACTGAAGAAGCAGTTTCAGTGGCAACGATGCAGCAACAGAATCAGAGGGAACAACACAATGATTAGAAGGGTCTTTTCTCCCCCCTCATCCTGACTGTAAAAGAAGACTGTCTTCCTTGGACTTAGGGAACCCCTTAAGTTCCTTTAAAAATTCAAGGAGGAGGGTATAGAGGATAGCGCCCAGAGGCAGTACTAAATTTTTTGCTAAAGTGGACGTTTTAAGACCCAAATTACTAATTACAAAAATTGAAAATGTGACACTATGTTTATCCCATGCATTGGGATTATACTTGGGATCAAATAGACAACATTGGTATCTGTAGGGATAAATGTGTTAAAAGCCCTAAAATAAAGAATCCTGGACCCGCTGCTCCTTCTAACTAGTTTAGCTTTTTGCCTGATTTCTGGCTGATGAAGTGAATTAACTCACTGCCCTTCAAAAACTACTTGAGCCAAGCTATGAAATCTCACCTAGACTTTACATGTACAAACATAGATTAAAAATATTAACAACAGCGTAATCTTCTGCAGTCATTCCACAAATACTTGAGTAAATATGTCAATATTTTTCTGAAGAAGAATGCTATCCCTGATGATCCATGACATACTGCAAGCATGAGGGCTGTGCTAAACAGAGAGAGAACTTCATTCTTAGAAACTTTACAAACTTAATATGTGCCTGTCAGTGTAGAATTAAACATTTACGTGAACTAACAAACATAAGCATCCTGGGTGCTCAAGTGTTCATCTTTGTAAATAACCACAAAGGCTTAAAGGAAGGGACAAAAAAAAAATTCATGTCCCACTGGGGTATGGCATAGTAGAAGTGGTTAACATAAAGTCCTTTGATGGGCAAAAGACTGTGCTCAGGTCACTCATCTACAGGAGGCAAAGATTTAAGTGAAGAATTATCCATTTCTTCTCTAGTCTGATATATTGTAATTCAAAATCAGTTAGGAGTAAGATAAATAAGAGCAATCTGCAGGCTGAAAATAATAATGTAAAGAATAATGATAGTAGTAGTTGTTCAGTTAATGATACTGATAAGCATGTGTGAAGAACTGAATTAAATGCTGTATACACATAATCTAATTTCCACACAATCACCCCTGAAAGAAATATTATTATCCTCATTTTCATATAGGAAAGCATACTTGGTACTAAGTAATGTATGCAAGGTCACCCCTAACAAATGAAGAAGCTAGAAATTAAAACCTGTCTTTTGTGAATCTAAGGCCTCTTTTCTATCACTCACCTACAGCTTATCTTCATTAAATAAAAAGTTAATTTAATTAAACATATCTTTCTTCCTTCTACACATACCGATTACAAATTAAAAAATTAAAATACACCATAAGTTAAAAAGAAATAAAATGATGAATTCACAGTGGTGGTAACAATTAATAGTCACTTAGGGATAACCTGACATTAATATTTTTCAAATAAATCACCTTAAAGCAAACAGTCATCCAAAACACAAAATAATTTTCAATTCCTATTTATGATTCATATTACATTTTATAGAAAAAGTATATAAAAAGCAGAAGGTAGAGAAATACTATAAAATAATAATTCAATATTGAATCAATAAGCAAACTGAAAGTTAAATTTCATATTTTATAAAACTAATACAAAACCCTTTACTAATAGAAGATAATGTGACAAAAACATCAGATTGTAAATAACATCAGCCAATATAATAAGAGAATATAAATCCTATCATATACATATGTTCTTTATGTTGCCCAGTCCAAGTAATTGCTTTTCTACCTAACTGGTGATTTGTTTTGATATTTTCCACTATAATCCAATAAATATAAGCTAATCTGCTGATTAACTTAATATTTCCAACTTGAATGTTACGACTCTAGAACAACACTCACTTTAAAAAAATGACTAAACCTTTATCAACTGCATTTACATTTGCATTTTTTGTTAGTAAAAATTATACCATTTGCTGTCTTCTTTTAGTTATGGCAAGTAAAAGTGGTATGAGGCCATCCTGTAAAATGGCAAAAACAATTTATAATTCATAAAATTACATATTTGTCAGCTGAACTGAATACCTTATATAAGGTCTTATGAACTTAAACACATAAAATAGAAAGCAAATAAAATCTGTCCCTTCCTTCTCACTCCTCTGTGCTTTCCCATGCACTCCTCCTCCACTTGAAAACATCCGGCCTCTGACTCACATTAACTCTGGTCAGCTCCAAAAATGATTTGAAACAGTCACTGGTTTCAATAATCTTTGTTTCTAGCACAGCATTTCACATGGTATATTGTAATAATTTTATTGATTTCTATCTAAACCAACAGATTCTTGAGGGCAGCTGCTGTATCTTTTATCTGTTTATCCTCAAACCCTATGACATAGTAGTAAATACTTTAAGTATTTTTATTAAATCAATGATCTAAATTATTACCTCTAGAGTAGTACTTCTTAAACTGTATTCCAAAGAATATTTACTTTGCCAGAATTTAAAGACTGTACCTGAATAGGAAGATCCTATGATCATCTATGTTTGAGAAATATTATAAAACTGTGAATTATATGTCCAGTATTCAAGAAATGTCTTGAACTTTGCCTAATCCTTATTTGACAATAGGTTTTGTGGCAATATTAACATTTGAGGAATTAAAGTTTCAGGATTACAGTTTTTAAAGCTTTCCAATAAAGGTAGAGGTTTCCTCCAAGTGATACAAACTCACTTGATTATTTTCTATCAATGGGCCCAGGATCCCAGCTGCCAAAGTCAGGTGCTCCTGCTCCAAGTAGATCACTAAGGAAATGGTCTCTAAATTAAAAGAGATAGGCTTCAAATGAATTTTGATTGCTTATTATTAAATGGTCCATTGGGTTTCTCCTATTACAGAGTCACAGAATTTTAGCTGTTACAAAGTTCAGTATGAAATTTTATTCTCAATTTTAATGATATTTATAATCCTAGGACCCTAATGCAAATCTACTTCTTAAAATGCATTAATCCATTTTTATTCTGGTTTCCATTTTCATTGCTACTTAAAATTATTTTTTATTTTTGGCAAAATATCAGAAATACAAATGCAATGGCTTATCAATACAATTTCTAGCTGAACTATATGGGTTATTTTAGCATAATAAAAGCCACTAAATCACTTCCATTTTCAGAGACAATGCTGAGGAGAAAGATAAAATGTGTTCTGCAATATGCATAACCTATCCAAATATAACCATAATTAACCTAAAAAGGCCTATAGGCATTCCAATGTGATTATTATTTATGGTATATATAAAGAAAAATCATTATTTAAAAAACAACTTCTAAATTCTAAAAGTCAAACCCATTATTAAGGAATTAATACAAAATATAGGCTATATATTATAAATAACTATCAACTGTCTTGAAAACCTTGAAATCTTTACCAAAATATACTATATGACAGGAGTTGTTAACTAAAATATTTACAGAGGCAAAGGGTATGACCTGAGTAAGTCCCTAGGTGGGCACAATGGCAAACTGGAGACCACAGACTTTGCGTGAAGCTACAGCCTCTTCATAGCACACCAAACAGTAATATGGGCTCAAGGGAAACCAGATTTCACTATTTAAGAGGAGCCTGAAATACAGATTTTTGCAGGTCTCCTAAATTTTACACGTTGGCTTAATTTATGCAGGCCAACTTTGCTTTCCTGTGTTGTTGTACACTACTTAGAAAGAAAAAAAAATACTTCAGTCAAAAAAAAATTGAAAACAAAAGTTTTACCTATAACAAATTCAAATATCTACCATAAATGCATAAAAGAAAGCCATACTCTCTAATACTTTTTTAAAGATATTAGTATTTAAGGTAAAATCTTAGACCATTATTTCAAATTATTTTTATTCAGGGATTGCTTAAGCTTCCAAATAGCAAAAACTGACCCTTACATATGTCAATGTTAAAACAAGTGGATTTCAAATATTTTGAAAATAACATTGGTTGCTCTACATTGTTTTTCACTTCGATGTTTGTCTTGTGTGAAAACAGTCTTGCTACCATTGACATATTCTCATTATAGACAGCATATGGAGAGCAGTGTTGCCATAGACATCGGTAATATTTGGATCAGCACCAAGGTCTAGCAGAATAGTTTCACATCTTCTTGGCACATTATAGCCTGTCAGTATTAGAACAAGAAATAAATTGTAAATTGTAGGAAATTAAAATAAGTATTCCACAGGTTTCACAAACTAGTTATATTTCAATGAGACAAATTCATTTTTATTCTATGTATTTAAGCCAAATCCATCTCATGCTGAAAGAACTGGCTACTATATACCTTCGTTAGAGGTGTCTTGTTTTCACTGTCACAGATGTTAAGCTGGCATTTTCTGTGCACCAGAAAAGTTACCACTTCTGGGCAGCCATTGGCACAGGCCAAATGTGGAACCATCCTACAAAATTGAGAAGATATTGAGAGAAGTTTAGTCCACTATCTCAAAACATACAATGATTCACGTAATTGCAAACAATAAATAGCATGCTATTCCTCTGCTTTCAAAACAAATATTAATTTCCTCCTGAAAAGGGACAATATTTATTAGCTCTTATTATTCACTGCATCAATGAAAGAGTGACCTATTTGGACAGAAAGAGCTTGGCCTCTCGGTTTAGTTGATCTTGCACTTGAATACTATTTTAAGATCTTTCGCTTGCTAGATATTATAATTATTACTACTACTTAATAAAGACAACATTTTAATTAGGTAAAATGGTACCATTATACTTCCTTTGTGTTATGATTTAAAGGTTCGAGATAAGACTGTATTTCAATGATTCTAAGATTCTCATTTTCTCATATTTCAACATCTCTGACATTGAAATGCTACTTATAATTCATTATTTATTACAACTATATTTTTCAGCATTTTAAACATTATTTTATTGATACATAAAATAAGGCAGCATCACACAATCCATGGTGGCTACATCAAGTGGAATACGGTATATACAATAGGACAATGGAAGTCCTAGTCGTATGATTAACATTTAAATCAATTTTAAGCACTTAAATGTACTACGGAAAAGGAGCGTTGAAATAAAAGCAAATTTTTAAAACAAAACAATTCCTTAATTTTTAAAAACTTTAAGCCTAATAGAAGACAGGATTCAAATAAATAAATATGGCTCATTTAATTAAATATTTAGATTTACAGAATCTAAATGTATGCATGTATGTAAATTAGTATTTACATGTATAAAATGCATGTAGGGTAAGTATTTATGATAATTAATATCACTGTTTAAGACGTATACATTTTCAAAGTGGCCACTGATGTTATCTTGCATTACTTTCCCACATCAGAAATGATTTTATTTTTTTTGAAAGATGAGAGGACAAGCTTCAGTTGAGATTCAGTCCTAATTCTCTAATTTTAAATCTCTCAGCTTGCTCAGGGTGGGCAGGTACACATGAAATTTTTAAGAATGGAAGGGTCTTGATAGTTAGTATAATGTGCCTTTTACATAACAGGTATTCAGCTTGTATTTGATGAATAAATAGATTTTAAAAATGAATAAATACAGTTGGGAAGTTTAATATTTTTAAAACAGCTACAAATAAAGTGATATTTTTGCAATGGTAATAGTTACTTATATTCACTATTTTTATTTTCATAATAATAACACTAAACTAAAATGATTAATATGTAATTATTGGCATATATGTAATAAATCTATACATAATAAAAATATGTTTAATAAAATATGTACATATATAAAACCACTATCACAGATAAAGTTTATCTTCACTTCTGAAGACACTGAAAGTTCACAGACTATACTAATCCATAGAAATAAAAATTTAAAAATAGAAAGTGAGAAATTACTTTTAGCTGCAAAATTAATATTTCTGCTCTTCCTAAGGATTATTTCATTAGTAATAATTATGCTATATGCTATATACCACAGATCCCCAATCCCCTGCTCAGTGAAGAAATCACAAATCTTAAAAAGGAAAAACAGTTCATTATAATACAATTGTCCCCAAATAACAAATTTTATCACATTTGGTACATATTTTCAGATAAAGCAAGAACATAGTCAGTTTGTATGTGTAATCAAACTGAATGTTATCTTCACCTGATACACCAAAATACATTTTCATATGTCAACATACTTTTGTAGATATTACTTTCAGTGGTCTCATATTATCCCATACTATATATTCACTGAAATTTATTTATGAAATTTGTTATATGGATTCTCTTTAATACAATCATATTTTAAGCACTGCTGAGAAAAACAAATTGCATGTATCTCTCGTTGTTTCCTAAATGTATTTTACTATAATGGAATTGATCAAGAAAGGGCATACGCATAGTTTAAACATGGTACTTACCACCAAATTGTCTTTTTGAAAAGTCATCAGCAACTTAACTTTAAGCAGAAGTGTAAATATCACTGCTCCTCATCTTCACAAACTTAGGACAGAAAACGGCATTTTATTCCTTT
The DNA here is from genome assembly GCF_000001405.40 of Homo sapiens. Taxonomy (NCBI): domain Eukaryota; kingdom Metazoa; phylum Chordata; class Mammalia; order Primates; family Hominidae; genus Homo; species Homo sapiens. The sequence goes on along the minus strand of NC_000008.11, from coordinate 57,282,101 downwards.
TTTAAATTAAAGTCCTTCTCTTATCGGACACATTAAGTATTTTTTTCCTATGTGCATAGGTGACTTGCAGAGCTGGAAAAAGTACTTTGCCCAGTTTTAGAGGTATTTTCATGTTGATTTGGAAGAATTCTCTGTAAAATGAATAGCCATTTTTAATATGTACACACACAAAAACACGTGGTAAATATTATATAAGTATGATGTCTTTTATTTTATCTTTTTCTCATATTCAGTGTGATTTAATTTTAATTTTGCTAAATAAACTTTCAGAATGCTTGCTTGAGAGGTTCCTAGGAAGGTCTTTGTCAACACAAAAATGTATTTGTATAAATAGGCATTTGCGTTTTCTTCTGGTATTTTTCTCATTTTGCATATTTAAAATAATCTATATTCAATGAGAAACTTATTTTTGTGACATAAAAATCTAGCTAGTTTCTTCCAAAAAGCAGGCATTTCATTTATAAAAATAACTCTTTTCTTATTAGTATAAAGTCTCACCATTACCCTGTTATACGTTCTTACATATATTTGGGTGTTCCTGGATTTTCTATTCTCTTGCATTCATTTATCTATCTTTTCAGCTGTTAGCAAACTATTTATGCAAATTAATAGCACATTTTGAAAGGCAAGACTTTTTTTCTCCATTACAAAAATGTTAAGCCATCTTAATATTAAAAGACAGCATGTGTAATTCAAAAATGTTAACTTTGATAACTTTGATTTATGTAAAATTAATAAAGATCTCACACCTCGAGAAAAATGAGTCTTCTTATTCAAGAACGTGAACCTTCTTCCTACTTCAAAGTTTCCTTCTAAGGTCTCTCAGCAAAGAACATATTTACATAGGTATTCATTGATATAAAATATTGGATTTTAGCCAAAAAATTATTAGCCCAGAAGGTGATATATTATGGGAATTATTTCTTTCATTATGTACCTTTCCATAACGTATCTAACATTATCTTTTAAAATGTGTGCATTAAAAATAAAACAATATATACTTAATTTTATTAAATCACTTTAAAGTTCTCTCTGAAGTGCTCTGTAAGAGGAACTGTGGGTGGAGGAACCAGCTAAAGTTTTGGGTTTATTTTGCTGCTCATAAAGATGGCCTGGGCCCTCCACCCCCAAGGCGTCCACATCCCAGGCTCTGCGGAGTCCTCCTAGGAAGAAAGCCAGCGCCCTGGGGACGAGGACGGCCCACCCCGCACACACTATTCTTTCCACGCCTCCCCTGGCCCCCACTCCCCAAGCCCCCAATTCTGAAGGAGGTGCTTCTCCCCACCTGCCCACCTCCTCCCTCAACCCCCAAGCCTGCAGCCCGCAGTTCCCGACACCTGTTCTTGTAGATTTCAGACTGGTCTTTTCTCTTCAGCGGGAGCCTCAGCTGCAGCTCCCACGCGTTCCCCTGGACGCAGCTTTGTGTATCATCCCGACATCCTCATCTGGAGTCTGGTACCAGGGGTCAGAGAAGATGCAGTTACTACTCCAGGAGCTCAGGCGCACCTGGCCCTTCTGGCTCTCCACAGCCAAGATCATCTTCATGGCCCAGCTATTGGCTTCAGAGACGCCACAACTCGCCCTCGCCCTTCCCCCAGCCCAGCCCCCACCCGGCCCCCATCCGGCCCAGCACCAGAAAGCAAGGCAGTCTGGCCCAGACCTCAGACAGGGACCCTCCAACTTCTCGGACAAGGACGTCTCCAACCTCTCGGAGAATAAATAATATACGGAGCAGAGCAGTTGGGCCCCAGCGCCCATGGGACCTCAAAAGGCAACCGCCTTGCGCGTGGCCAGAAACTGCGTGTGGCCAGAAACCGCCCTGAGCCGAGCACTCGCCGGCACCGCATGCAGGTGGCAGCTGCTGCTGAGACGCCTGTGGACTGGCCGAGCTCCCTAGAGCCGAGCGCGCGGTCCCAGCTGTCTCAGGGCCCGCCTAACGACGCTGCCCCCTGCAGCTGCTCCTCCTGTGCCCTCTTTTGAGCGCGAGGTCTTGAGTGCTGGGCACTGTGCAGCCGCCTACATGGGGCTGAGCCACTGGTTCCCCCCTCCTGCAGCTGAAGGGCCGGCCGCCCGAATTAGGCGCTGCTGGGGCATCTGGCCAGGGGTCCGCGCTGCTGGTGGCTCGGGCAGCGTTGAGAGTTGCCACCTCTGCTGCCGCGCGCCATATGCAGATGACAGCTGCAGCTGAACCCAAGGCGGAGGCTGGCAAGGCTGGTCCCAGAGGGCCTTCAGGTCTCCGAGTGCACCACCCTCCCAACTGGGGTCCTCTCTTCCTTGCCCTGCGCCCAGAGAACGAGGTCGCCAGTGCTGGGGACTGTGCAGCAGCCTAAATCCGATGGCTGAGCAGCGAGTTCCCGCCCTGTAGCTGCCAGGCCAATCGCCTGAATTAGGCTCCTGGTGACGTCTGGCCCTGGGTTTCACGCTGCTGGTGGCGTGGGCACGGTGAAAGGTTGCCATCACTGCTTCCCCGCACCGTGTGCAGGTGGCAGCTGCAGCTGAGCCCACGATGGAAGTTGGCAGGGCTGGTCCCACACAGCTGAGGGTCGCTTAGTGTACATCCCTCCAACCCCAGGTTCCACTCTTTTTTTGTCCCACGCACAGAGTGTGAGGTCCTGGGAGCTGGGCAATATGCAGCAACCGGGATGGGGCTGAGTGGACCTTTCTCACTCTCCTGAAGCTGCAGGGCCCACCGGGTGAATTATGCGGCCGACCCTGGGATCCTCATTGGTGGTGGCAGTGGGCAGGGCAGCGGTTGCCACCGCTGCTGCAGGGTGCCTTGTGCAGGTGGCAGCTGCAACTGAGCCCATGGGGGAGATCGACTGGGCTGGTCCCAGACGTCCTGAATGTCACCGACTGCATGGCCCTTTCACCATAGGGTCCGATATGGAATCTTGGCCAGCTCCGAGAGCTCCGCGTCGTGGGTCCTGGGCACTGTGCAGCCACTGGGATGGGGCTGAGCACCGGTTCCCATCCTCCGACAGCTGCGGCACGGACCACCTGAATTAGTTGAAGTGGCAATGTCTCTCCCTGGGGTCCAGGGCTGGTGGTGCGGGCAGGGTATTGGATTGCCATCTGTGCTGCCGCGCGCCATGTGCAGGTGGCAGCTGCAGCTGAGCCCAGGCGGAGGCTGGGAGGCCTGGTCCCAGAAAGCCTGAGGGTCGCCGAGTGCACCTCCCTCCCACCCTACGGTCAGCTCCTCTTTCTCCCGCGCCCTGAGCCCCGGGTCGTGGGCGCTGGGAACTGTGTGGCCGCCAGGTTCTCTTCCTGCAGCTGCGGGTTCCCTTCTTGCAGCTGTCCTGCCAACCGCCTGAATTAGAAGCCCTGGTAGCCTCTGGCCTTGTATTTTTCACTGCTGGTGGGGCCGGCAGTGTTGGGGGTTGCCATCTCTGTTACCGAGCCCTATGTGCAGGTGACAGCTGCAGCAGAGTCCTTGGTGGAGGCTGGCAGGGCTGGTCCCAGACAGCCTTAGGGTCCCCGAGGACACCAGCCTCCCATTCTAGGCTCTGCTGCTCCTCCCATTCTAGGGTGTGCCCAACCTCCCATTCTAGGGTGTGCTCTTCCTTGGCACGAGGTGGTGGGTTCTGGGCACTGTGCAGCTGCCAGTATGAGGCTGAGTGGCCTTTTCCCGCCCTCGTGCTGCTGCAAGGCGGACCACCTGACTTAGGCGCGGCAGTGGCATCTGACATGGGAGTCTGCGCTGCTGGGGCCCAGAGGGGAAGCGGGAAGTTGGAGGCTGCAGGGCCACTTCTATCAGTGCGCAACCTGCACGTAGCGGCTGTAGCTCAGGTACTGGCTCCGGATATGGGGCTTCCCTCAGAAGGCCTCCAGGTAGCTAAGTGTGCCTGCTGCCAGGCCTCAGGGTCCACTCCTCCTTGACCTGCATCTGGAGAGCGGCCCTGTTGCTGGGTAATCTGCAGCCAAAGACAATGGGGCTGAGCTGTGGTTTTGCCCATTGTTCCACAGCCCAGCCAGCTACCTGACTTAGCAGCCTCCATGGCATCTGGTCAGGGGATCAGTGCTCCTGGGGATCACTGAAACTAAAGTAACAATTGAATATGAGTTACCACCTACCTGCTTGGAGGTGTGAAAGAATGTTTATAAAGCAGTTAGGAGATCTCCAGAGAAAGCCAACTTAACATAAAGCAAGACTTTCTTACTAATGGGTCAGAGTCTCACCTTTAGGAAGTCCATGAATTTTCTCTGCAGTGATGCAAGAAGGGAAAAACAAGGCAGCTCCAGAAAGGTGAGATGTGTGAAATTAAACTGGTTATGAAGTCAGCCCAGTTTCAGGAGTTCTTTTCCTCTTCGCAGATGGATGTGAAAATCCTGGAAAGTCTCCAAGGTCCACCTCTGTACTGAGAAGTGGCTTTCTAATGGACAGGTTTCGGAAAGGTTCATTATAGATATGTAGTCTCTGTCTCTGATGTCAGAGATTTTTAGTGAAAAATGTCCTTTGATCTGCAGAACCTGCTCTACCTGAAGACCAGCAACAGTTTGAAAGCAGGGGCCAGTGGGTGTTGAGCTAAGGATGGAGTTGCAGCATGAGATCCGAGGTGACAATGGGCTGAGGAATTTCCTCAACTACATGGAAAGAGGAACCTGAAAGCTCTACCAACCAACATGTGTATCAGTCATCATCTGTTTCTTTCTTTTTTTAATGCAAATGATGTGAGTTAGAAGACATTATAGCTAACCTTACCAGGGAACTAGTAAGATTCTATTGGGATGAGCCATAGCTTGTGGCTTTGTCCATATGTGCTGTGTCTAGCAGAGAGGCATCCTTGCCTGGCTCCATTGGTAGTGGTACAGCAGGACTCTCTGCCCAGCACTGTCAGGCTTAGGTTAAGTATGAACTGATTCTCATTTTTAATAAAGCTTATCTCATCACTTAATATAGAGATCTAGCTAGCAGAGATTCTCACCCTCAATACTTCCACAGACTTTTTAACTTCTTTTATTTAAAATGTCTTACATTTTTAATAAAAGGCCATTCAGCCCCATACTGGCAGCTGCACCGAGCCAGGCGCGGGGGCTCACGGCTGTAATCCCAGCACTTTGGGAGGCCGAGGCAGGTGGATCATCTGAGGTCAGGAGTTTGAGACCAGCCTGGCCAACATGGTGAAACCCCATCTCTACTAAAAATACAAAAAATTAGCCGGTTGTGGTGGTGGGCACCTGTAAACCCAGCTACTTGGGAGGCTGAGACAGGAGAATTGCTTGAACCCAGGAGGGGGAAGTTGCAGTAAGCCGAGATCTCACCATTGCACTTCAGCCTTGGCGACAGAGTGAGACTCTGTCTCAAAAAAAAGTCTTATATTTTTTAATGTATTACATTTTATATTGAACAATAATCACAAGTTCATCTTTTTGGGAGGAAGATTTAAGTCACTGTTTTGGGCATAAACTAATGAACTATGCTGAAATCTAGAGACATCCCAATGGCTTATTGTATATGGTAATATCTGCCCTTAGATTAGTCCTGGACTATTTGACTTCCATTTCTGACATTTGTTTGTTAATATTCTGACTCTTTCCTAGTGGTTGCCCTTTTTACTGCTATCAATGCTTGCCTCTAATGTCTCCTGTTTCACAGTGCTATGAACTGAAAAACAAGATGATGTGGCTTGTTAGACTTGTGTGCAAATTAGGAGTCCATAGGCTTCGAGTGAGGAGGACTTGAGGGCTAGGGCACTTCTATAGGAAGAGAGAGACAGAACATGAATAAACTTGCTGACAGTCACTTTGGACACCGAGGATACCCAGAAACCTCTGCCATTTATGTTTTAGTATGGCTTCATTTATAGTTGGAAATTCCTTGTCTAAGACTCAAAAGACTTAAACACTAAGCTGTGTCCTATACTCATGAATCTCTTAACTAAAGATGAAAGCACATGCTTACCTTGATCAACACAATGAAGAACAATAAGGCTGACGTCAGAGATCTATGTTTTGATTGTAGCACAGCCACGTAATTAATAGGTTTACATTGGACTTCGATACTATTTCTTTTGGGGGTTGGGGCAATGCTATGCCATTGTAACCCCACTGTCTCCACTGAGAGGCTGGAGGTGGGGAGCTTCTTCTCTGAGTAGCAGGAGATGGTAAAGCCCTACTTTGAGAGGCTGAAGACAGTGAGCTCCTCCTCTGAGAAACTGGACATGGTGACTCTCTCCTCTGAAAGGCTGGAGACAATGAGTTTCTCCTGAGAGGCTGGAGATGGCAAGTCTTTTTTTTTCCTGAGAGGCTGGAGAAAATTATGCCCTTCTATGAGAGACTGGAGATGGTGAGTTCCTCCTTTGAGAGGCTGGAGGCAGCAAGTTTCTTCTTTCAGAGGCTGGAGATGGTAAGTTTATTTCCTGAGTGACTGGAGATGAAGATTTCCTCATCTGAGAGGCTGCAGACAGTTTCTTCTTCGAGAGGCTGGAGATGGCAATTTTCTCCTTTGAGAGACTGCAGACTGCAAGGTACTCTTCTGAGAGGCTGTAGATTGTGAGTTTCACCTCTGAGAGGCTGAAGATGATTAATTTATTTTCTGAGAAGCTGGAGATGGTGAGGTCCTACTCTGAGAGGCTAGAGACAAAAAGTTTCTCCTCTGAGAGGCTGGAGACAGCCAGTTTCCCTTCTGAGAGAAGGCTGGAGATGATGAGTTTCTCCTCTAAGAGGCTAAAGACTACAAGTTCCACCCTCTGAGAGGCTGGAGAAGGAGAAGTGCTCCTCTGAGATGCTGGAGATGACCAGATTTTCTTCTGAGAGGCTGGAGACTGTGAGCTTTTCTTCCAATAAAGTGGAGATGGTGAGTGTCTTCTCTGAGAAGCTGAGGATGACAAGTCTCTCTTCTGAGAGTCTGGAGGTGGTGTATCCTCATTCTGAGAGGCAGGAGATGGCCAGTTTCTTTACTGGGAGGTTGGAGATGGTAAGCTTCTCTTCTCAGAAGCTCAGGATAGTGAGTTTCATCTCAGAGAGCCTGGAGACTGTGAATTCCTCCTCTGAGAGTCTGGAGACATTGAGGTCCTCCTCTGAGAGGCAGGAGATGGCCAATTCCATTTCTGAGAGGCTGGAGATGGTGAGGTTCTTTTCTGAGAGGTAGGAGATGGCCAGTTTCTTTGCTGGAAAGTTGGAGATGGTCAGTTACTCTTCTGAGAGACTCAAGATGATGAGTTTCTTCTCTTAGAGCCCAGAGACTGTGAGTTCCTCATCTAAGAGGCTGGAGAAAGTGAGGTCATCCTGTGAGAGGCTAGAGACATGAAGTCCCCCTGTGAGAGGCTGGAGATAGTGAGATCCCTCTGCAAGAGACCGGAGATGGTTAGTTTCTTTTCTGAGAGGCTGGAGACAGTGAGTTTTTTCTCTGAGAGGCGAAGACAGTGAGTCTCTCCTCTGAGAGGCTGGGGAGTGTGAGTCTCTGTGATTGGCTGGATATGGTGAGTTCTTCCTCTGAGAGGATGGAGTTGGTGAGTTCTTTTTCTGAGAGGCTGAAGACAATGAGGTCCTCTTCTCAGAGGCTGGAGATGGCCAGTTTTTTTTCCAAGAGGCTGGAGACAGCAAGATTTTCTTCTTCTAAGAGGCTGGTGACCGTTTCTCCTCTGAGAGGCTGGAGACAGCAAGTTTCTGTCTAGGAGGCTGGAAACAGTAAGTTTCTTCTCTGAGAGGCTCAGGATGATAAGTTTGTCCTCTGAGATGCTAGAGACTGTGAATTCCTTTTCTGAGAGGCTAAAGACAACCAGTTTCTCCTCTGAGAGGCTGCAGATGGTGAGTTATTTTCCAGAAGCTGGACATGGTGAGTTTCTCTTGTGAGAGGCTGGAGATGGAAAGGTCATTCTCTGAGAGGCTGGAGACAGCCAGTTTCTCCTCCAAAAGCTGGTGATGATGAGTTTCTCCTTTGAGAGGCTGGAGACATTGGGGTCCTCTTCTTAGAGGCTGCAAGACGTAAGTCTCTCATCTGACAGTCTGGAGACAGTGAGTCTATTCACTGCAAAGTAGGAGATGGCCAGACTCTCCTCTGAGAAACTGGAGATGGTGAGGTTTATTTATTTATTTATTTATTTATTTATTTATTTATTTTTTCTGTGAGAGGCTGGAGACTGTGTGTTTCTGCTCTGAGAGGCTGGAGATGGTGTGTTTGTTCTCTAAGAGTCTCAAGACGATGAGACCTCTGTCAGAGATCTTGGCCAGAGCAAATTGCTTGCTGGCATTGGGGTCGGAGGGGAGGTGAGGAAGAGTGAGGGTGAGCTGTGGTGTTATTGAAGTTGGTAGTCACAGCCATGAAAAAGATCTTTGCTGTAAAGAGCCAGAAGTGCCAGGTGCCCCTGAGCTCCTTCTGTGATAACATCTTCTTATAACATCAGTGCAAAATTCCAGTTGATAACTTCAGGAAGATTCACAAATCTTCCATCCAGAAAAAAAAGTACGGAAGCTGAAGCAGATCCTTATGCTCAAGAGAAAAAACTTGTATGAAACATACAATAAGAAGAGGTAACAGGAACTGCCAACTGGGGGCTGCAGTCAACAAGAGGAGCTGGGTGGATGTAAGAGAAACACCCCATCAGAGTTGGGAGGCTTTGTGGGAAGAAATAGCAAAAGAAACATCTGACAAGATTCAATATTTGGCAGAAAGAACATTTAAGAAGATTGCATGTGTGTCAGAAGAAACATCTGAGAAGACTGCATCGTCAGCAGAAGAAATATCAGACAAGATTGAACATTTGGCAGAAGACACATCAGATTAAATATTTGGCAGGAGAAAAACCTGACAATATTGAATGCTTGGGAAAAGAAACATCTGACATAATTGAATGTTTGGCAGAAGAAGGGCATCCGCCATTGCTGAGGCTTGAATAGGTAGTTTTATCCTCACAGTGTAAACAAAGCCACTGGGAACTTTGAACTGGACAGAGCCCACCACAGCTCAGCAAGGCCGCTAAGGCCAGACTACCAGATTTCTCCTCTCTGGGCAGGGCACCTCTGAAAAGAAAGGCAGCAGCCCCAGTCAGGGACTAATAGATAGAACCTCCATCTCCCTGGGACAGAACACCTGGGGAAAGGGTTGGCTGTGGGCACAACTTCAGCAAACTTAAACGTCCCTGCCTGATGACTCTGAAGAGCATTCAGTGAACCTCCCAGCTCAGCGTTCGAGCTCTGCTAAGGGTCAGACTGCCTCCTCAAGTGGGTCCCTGACCCCTGTGTATCCTGACTGGGAGATACCTCCCAGTAGGGTCTGACAGACACCTCATACAGGAGAGCTCTGGCTGGCATCTGGCATGTGCCCCTCTGGAACAAAGCTTCCAGAGAAAAGAACAGGCAGCAATCTTTTCTGTTCTGCAACCTCCACTGGTGATGCCCAGGAAAACAAGGTCTGGAGTGGATCTTCAGGAAACTCCAGCAGACCTGCAGCAGAGGGTCCTGACTGTTAGAAAGAAAACTAACAAACAGAAAGGAATAGCATGTCCACTCAGAGGCCCCATCTGAAGGTCACCAACATCAAAGACCAAAGGTAGGTAAATCAACAAAGATGGGGAGAAACCAGCACAAAAAGTCTGAAAATTCCAAAAGCCACAACATTTCTTCTCCTCCAAAAGATCACAACTCCAGCAAGGGAACAAAACTGGATGGAGAATGAGTTTAATGAATTGACAGAAGTAAGCTTCAGAAGGTGGGTAATAACAAACTCCTCCTAGCTAAAGGAGCATGTTCTAACCCAATGCAAGGAAGCTAAGAACCTTGATAAAAGGTCAGAAGAATTGCTAACTAGAATAACCAGTTTAGAGAAGAACACTAATGACCTGATGGAGCTGAAAAACACAGCATGAGAAATTTGTGAAGCATACACAAGTATCAATAGCTGAATTGATCAAGCGGAAGAAAGGATATCAGAGATTAAAGGCCAACTTAATGAAATAAACTGAGTTGTGGAGAATGGAACCAAGTTGGAAAACACTCTTCAGGAGATTATCCAGGAGAACTTCCCCAACCTAGCAAGACAGGCCAACATTCAGATTCAGATTCATGAAATACAAGGAATACCACAAACACACTCCTTGAGAAGAGCAACCCCAAGGCACATAATCATCAGATTCACCAAGGTTGAAGTGAAGGAAAAAAGGTTAAGTGTAGCCAGAGAGAAAAGTCAGGTTACCCACAAAGGAAAGCCCATCAGACTAACAGCAGATCTCTGCAGAAACCCTGCAAGCCAGAAGAGAATGGAGGCCAATATTCAACATTCTTAAAGAAAATAAATTTCAACCCAGAATTTCATATCCAGCCAAAGTAAGCTTCATAAGTGATGGAGAAATAAAATCCTTTACAGACAAGCAAATGCTCAGAGATGTTGTCACCAACAGGCCTGACTTACAAGAGTTCCTGGAGGAAGCACTAAACATGGAAAACAACAACTTGTACCAGCCACTGCAAAAACATACCAAATTGTAAAGATCATCAACACTATGAAGAAATTGCATCAACTAGTGGGCAAAATAACCAGCTAGCATCATAATGACAGGATAAAATTCACACATAACAATATTAACCTTAAATGTAAATGGGATAAATGCCCAAATTAAAAGACAAAGACTGGCAAATTGGATAGAGTCAAGACCCATCAGTGTGCTGTATTCAGGAGATCCATCTTACATACAAAGACACACATACGCTCAAAATAAAAGGACGGAGGAATATTTATCAAGCACAAGGAAAGCAAAAAAAAAGCAGGAGTTGCAATGCTAATCTCTGATAAAACAGACTTTAAACCAATAACGATCGAAAAAGACAAGGGCATTATGTAACAGTAAGGGGATCAATGCATCAAGAAGAACTAACTGTCCTAAATACATATGCACCCAATGCAGGAGGACCCAGATTCATAAAGCAAGTTGTTAGAGACCCACAAAGAGACTTAGACTCCCACACAATAACAATGGGAGACTTTAACACCCCACTGTCAATATTAGACAGATCAATGAGACAGAAAATTAACAAGGATATTCAGGACTTGAACTCAGCTCTGGATCAAGCAGACCTAAAAGACATCTACAAAACTCTCCACCTTAAATCAACAGAATATACATTCTTCTCAGCGCCTGATCGCACTTATTCTAAAGTTGACCACATAAGTGGAAGTAAAACACTCCTCAGCAAATGCAAAAGAACAGAAATCATAATAAACAGTCTCCCAGATCACAGTGCAATCAAATTAGAACTCAAGATTAAGAAACTCACTCAAAACCACACAACTACATGGAAACTGAACAATCTGCTCCTGAAGGACTATTGGGTAAATAACGAAATGAAGGCACAGATAAAAATGTCCTTTGAAATCAATGAGAACGAAGACCAGTGTACCAGAATTTCTGGGACACATTTAAAGCAGTGTGTAAAGGGAAATTTATAGCACTAAATGCCCACAAGAGAAAGCAGAAAAGATCTAAAATCGACACCCTAACCTCAAAATTAAAAGAACTAGAGAAGCAAGAGCAAACAAATTCAAAAGCTAGCAGAAGACAAGAAATAACTAAGATCAGAGCAGAACTGAAGGAGACAGAGACATGATAAACCCTTCAAAAAAATCAGTGAACCCAGGAGCTGCTTTTTTGAAAAGATCAACAAAATACAGCACTAGCCAGACTAATAAAGGAGAAAAAAGAGAAGAATCAAATAGATGAAATAAAAAAGGATAAAGGGGATATATCACTACTGATCCCACAGAAATACCAACCACCATCAGAGAATACTAGAAAACTCTCTATGCAAATAAACTAGAAAACCTAGGAGATATGAATAAATTCCTGGACACATACACCCTCCCAAGTCTAAACCAGGAAGAAGTTGAATCCCTGAATGAACCAATAATGAGATCTGAAATTGAGGCAGTAATGAATAGCCTACCAACCAAAAAAAGTCAAGGACCAGAAGGATTCACAGCCGAATTCTACCAGAGGTACAAAGAGGAGCTGGTACCATTCCTTCTGAACTATTCCAAACAATAGAAAAAGAGATAATCCTCCCTAACTCATTTTATGAGGCCAGCATCATCCTGATACCAAAACCTGGCAGACACACAACAAAAAAGAAAATTTCAGGCCAATATCTCTGATGAACATCGTTGGGAAAATCCTAAATAAAATACTGCAAAGCTAATCCAGTAGTGCATCAAAAAGCTTATCCACCACAATCAAGTTGGCTTCATTCCTGGGATGAAAGGTTGGCTCAACATATGAAAATGAATAAATGTAATCCATCATTATATGATAGAATCGATGACAAAAACCACATGATTATCTCAATAGATGCAGAAAAGTCCTTCAATAAAATTCAACACCCTTTCATGCTAAAAACTCTCAATAAACTAGGTGTTGATGGAATGTATCTCAAAATAATAAGAGCTATTTATGACAAATCCACAACCAATATCATACTGAATAGGCAAAAACTGGAAGCATTGCCTTTGAAAACCGGCATAAGACAAGGATGCCCTCTCTCACCACTCCTATTCAACATGGTGTTAGAAGTTCTGGCCAGAGCAATCAGGCAAGAGAAAGAAATAAAAGGTATTCAAATAGGAAAAGAGGAAGTCAAATTGTCTCTGTTTGCAGATGACATGATTGTATATTTAGAAAACTCCATCGTGTCAGCCCAAAATCTCCTTAAGCTGATAAGTAACTTCAGCAAAGTCTCAGGATACAAAATAAATGTTTTAAAATTACAAGCATTCCTATACACCAATAATAGACAAACAGAGATCGAAATCACGACCAAATTCCCATTCATAATTGCTACAAAGAGAATAAAATACCTAGGAATACCACTTACAAAGGATGTGAACAACCTCTTCAAGGAGAACTACAAACCACTGCTCAAGGAAATAAGAGAGGACACAAACAAATGGAAAAACATTCTATGCTTATGGATAGGAAGAATCAATATTGTGAAAATGGCCATACTGCCCAAAGTAATGTATAGATTCAATGCTGTCCCCATCAAGCTACCATTGACTTTCTTCACCGAATTGAAAAAAAATTACTTTAAACTTCATATGGAACCAAAAAAGAGCCCACATAGCCAAGATAATCCTAAGCAAAAAGAACAAAGCTGGAGGCATCATGCTACCTGACTTCAAACTATACTACAAGGCTACAGTAACCAAAACAGTATGGTACTGGTACCAAAACAGATATATAGACCAATGAAACAGGACAGAGGCCTCAGAAATAACATCACACATCTACAACCATTTGATCTTTGACAAAACTGACACAAACAAGCAATGGGGAAAGGATTCCCTATTTAATAAATGGTACTGAGAAAACTGGCTAGCCATATGCAGAAAACTGAAACTGGACCCCTTCTTTACACCTTATAAAAAATTAACTCGAGATGGATTAAAAACTTAAACATATGACCTAAAACCACAAAAATCCTTGAAGAAAACCTAGGCAATACCATTCAGGACATTGGCATGGCCAAAGACTTCATGTCTAAAACACCAAAAGCAACGGCAACAAAAACCAAAATTGAAAAATGGGATCTAATTAAACTAAAGAGCTTCTGCACAGCAAAAGAAACTATCATCAGAGTGAACAGGAAACCTACAGAATGGGAGCAAATTTTGCAATCTACCCATCTGACAAAGGGCTATTGAAACACTGCTCTCCATTATGCTGCCTATAATGAAAATGTGTTAATGGCAGTAAGACTATTTTCATACAATGCAAACATTGAAGTGAAAGGAAAATGTTAGAGATCAACCAATGTTACCTTCAAAATATTTTTCTTAATATTGACATATGAAAGAAACAGTTATTCATATTTGGAAGCCCAAACATTACCTAAATGAAAACATTTTGAAATAACTTAATTTCAAAGATTTTACTTTAAAGATTAATATTTTTAAACAAGTATTAGAGAGCATGGCTTTCTTTTATGAATTATATAAAATATTTAAATTTGTTAAAGGTAAAACATTTTTTCAAATATTTTTTACCACTCAATTTTTTTCTTTCAATTTAGTTTAAAACAACACAGGAAATAAAAATTTGCCTGCATAAAGAGAGTCAAAATGTAAATATTTTGATATTCATTATTAATTAAATACATTGTTTGGCAATTTATGAAAATTTTTAGTGTGTGTGCCCTTTGACCTAGAAATTCTTTACCCAGGAATTTATTCTAAGAAGATAATCACAAAAGTTTACAAACATGAATAGAAAAGAAGAGTCACTGCAGAGGAGTCACTTGTAAAAGTGAAAAATAGCAACAGCCCAAATGTCATGAATAGGGAATTAATATATGGTACATCTATGCAAAAATACTGTGCAGCTATTAAGGCTATAAACCCAAAGTTTCTGACACGGATAACAACAGACTAGAGAGTGAAAGCAATCAGGTTATAAAGCATCAGCATAAAAGATCTATTTATACAGATTAATTTTTTGAGTGCATACATAGGGATATATAAAATATATCTAGTTAAATGCCAAAGTGGTTATCTTCACTTAAGTAAAATTTAGGGACAATTTTACATTTCTTTTATATATATTTTCTTATATTGACCAGCTTTCTTAAAAAGTATGTGGTATTTTTATGATCATAAAGGAGCAACAGAGGATCTCTCCCACATTCCTCATTCACAGAAGGTCTGTATTACATATTTCACATAGTGAATTTCTTTACAAAATTAATATTGAAGAAAAGGTTTCATGGCTTCAAAATAACAACCTGAAAGCTACTCTTCTAAATTAGATTCTGGGCAACTAAAATTTTAGACACCTAAACAATAGCAGGCACTTACGGCTTGAGAGCTTTAGTTTGAGAAAAATGGCTGAACAACTTTTTGTCTTCACCCTTGAAATCTGGACCATTGAACAATTTTAAATATTTTTTTTTTGGTAGAGATGGGGTCTCACCATGTTGCCCAGGTTAGTCTTGGATCCCAGGGCTCGAGAGATCCTCCCGTTTCAGTCTCCCCAAGTGCTGAGATTACAGGCATGAGCCATGGTGCCTGGCCTTTTAAAATGACTTAATGGAGCCAATCTAATTCACTTCAGAGTTGGATTCTCAAGTAAGTGCATTTCAAATGCACTTTCTCACCTATGGAAAGCTCTTCACAGCTCATGACCATTTGGCTAACTTCTACATTTTATATCAGATGTCTTCTCCTCTGTAAACTGCAAGTTCACTGTTAGATTAGCTCATCTCAGCTTTTTTGCTGCATATAGCACGTCTCTCATTAAACTAAAACATTAGTGCCTGATCCCTCCAGCTGTCAGCTCTGCAGAAGCAGGGGCCCACACTGCTTGGGGAATGCTGAAAAGTTTGCCAAAGTCTATGACTTATCAGCACCATCTACGTGGTGTGTTTTCATTAAAATAAATTACCTAATCAGTCAACAGTATCCAGTCACCTGGACACAGAAGAGGAGAAGTAATCACTGCAAGGTGCATAACCCAGAAAGCAATGATCGGGAACCAGTTATTTCTCAAGTCAAGGCTATGATCCTAACATGTTACATGAATTTCAAAATTTAATAAACATTTTAAGTAGTCTTACAGAATTTAGGTAAATAGATTTCATACTAACTAGCCCAAAAAAGCATGACCTAAACACGTACACACACCCTTTCAAAATTCATTTTTTGTAAAACACTACTACTTAATTTCACCCTAATTTTTTTTTTGAGATGGAGTATCACTCTGTTGCCCAAGCTGAAGTGCAGTGGCACTATCTCGCCTCACCACAACCTCCACCTCCCAGGTTCAAGCGATTCTTCTGCCTCAGCCTCCCAAGTAGCTGGGACTACAGGCGTGCACCACCATGCCTAATTTTTGTATTTTTAGTAGAGATGAGGTTTTACTATGTTGGCCAGGCTGGTCTCGATCTCTTGACCTCACCTCATGATCCACCCTCTTCAGCCTCTCAAAGTGCTGGGATTACAGGCGTAAGCTACCATGCCCATCTCACACTGATTTTTAAACATTGCTCCAGTACTTAATTAGAAACAATACTTTGTGGTTTCTCAGTCTCTGTCTCATACTGTCTCACTGATTTCCACATCATTCTGTGAAGTAGGCCAGGAAGGTAGTATTATATGTGATGTACGTTTACCAAAAAAGTATAAAAACATCCATTCTCCTAAGTACAAGAATCTTTGAGTTTCGTTAACTTTTTAAATATTCACTTGATGAAAAAGCAGTAAAGAAGGAATAAAAGAATTAAAAAATACATGAAACGTTAAAAATAAAAAGGAAAATAGAAGTAAATCCAAGCATATCATAGTAACATTAAATGTGAATGGATTAAACAATACAATCAAAAGGCAGAGATTGTCAGACTGATAAGAAAAATGTGATCCAACTATATATATTATTTATAAGAGACACACAATAGATTCAAAGATATACATGGGTTGAACATAAAAGGTGCAGATAGTAGCCAAGACAGCTAAAGTGGTGATATGGTTTGAATGTGTTCCCCAAAAGTTCATGTGTTGAAAACTTTGTCCCCCAAGGTAGCAGTGTTGAGAGGTAGAACCTTTGCGAAGTGACTGGTAGAACCTTTGGGAAGTGACTAGTAGAAACTTTGAGAGGGAGAACTTTTGAGAGGTAGAACCTTTGGGAGGCCAAGCCCTTATGAATGGATTAATTCATTCCTGGTTGTCTCTTGTGAGGCCACCACCAAGTAATACCCAGCACTACCCTGAGACTCTGTAGAGTCCCCACCAGGGAAAAGATCCTCACCAGATAAGCCCTGTAACCTTGGACTTCCCAGCCATCAGAGCTGTAAGAAATAAATTTATTTATAAATCACTTAGTCTCAGGTATTCAGTTATAGCAACAGAAAACAGAGTAAGTTAATATAGTCAATCTTATAAATATGTTTAAATATAAATATATAACACATATATATTTATATTACCATAAAAATACATGATAAATATGTATATATATATAAAGGCTAAGCTACTCTAGCCCTTAAAAAACCAAGCACCCCAAATCAAAAAGTGCCTCCTGGATTCGTTTTGCCATTAATTGCTCACAGTGAATCAAGAACTGGACAAAATCAGTTTCAATGCCTGTCACTGATATCACCTATGCATTTTGTAGGTAAAATCTAGGTTTGTTCTCAACAAATGCAAAAGATCTGAAATCATAACAAAAAGTCTCTTGAACCACATCACAATCTAATTAGAAATTAAGACTAAGAAATTCACTCAAAACTGCATCATTACGTGAAAACTGAATAACCTGCTCTTGAGTGAACATAGGGTAAATACTGAAATTAAGGAAGAATGCAAGAAGTTCTTTGAAACTAATGAGAACAAAGATGCAACCTACCAGAATCTCTGGGACACAGCTAAGGTAGTGTAAAGAGGGAAATTTATAGCCCACAAAGAGGGAAATGAAATGCCCACATCAAAAAGCTAGAAAGATCTCGAGTCAACAACTTAACATCACAACTAAAAGAGCTAGAGAACCAAGGGTGAACAAATCCTAATGCTAGCAGAAGACAAGAAACCAAAATCAGAGCTGAACTGAAGAAGATAATGACATAAAAAATCTTTCAAAAGATAAAAAAATCCAGGAGATACTTTCTCGAAAAAGTTAATAAAATAGACAGACTTGCTAGCTAGTCTAATAAAGAATAAAAGAGATAAGATTTGAATAAACACAATCAAAAACAAAGGGGATATTAACACTTACCCCCAAAAAATGCAAACAATGATCAGAGAATATTATGAACACCTCTTTGCACATGAACTAAAAAATCTAAAAGAAATGGATACATTCCTGGACATATACACCCTTCCAAGGCTGAACAGAAAGAAATTAAATCCTTTAATGGACCAAAAACAAGCTCTAAAATTGAGGAAGTAATAAATAGCCTACTAAGTAAAAAAAGCCCAGGAATAGATGAATTCACAGCTGAATTCTATCAGTTGTACAAAGAAGAGCTGGCATCATACCTACTGAAAGTATTCCAAACAATTGAGGAGGAGAAAAATCCTCCTTAACTCATCATCCTGATACCAAAACCTGGCAGAGATAACAAAAAGAAAAAAGAAAACTTCGGCTAGTATCCTTGATGAATGTCAATGCAAACATTCTCAACAAAATACTGGCAAACTGAATCTAGCAGAACGTCAAAAAGCTTATCCACCAAAAGCAAGTAGGCTTTATCCCTGAGATGCAACAACAGTCAAGCTAAGAGCCAAATCAGGAATGAACTCACATTCACAATTGCCACCAAAAGAATAAGATACCTAGGAATACAGCTAACTAGGGAGGTGAAAGGTATCTGCAAGGAAAACTACAAGGCACTGCTCAAAGAAATCAAAGATGACAAAAACAAATGGAAAAATATTCCATGCTCATGCATAGGAAGAATCAATATCATTAAAATGGCCATACTGCCAAAAGCAATTTATAGATTCAATGCTTTTACTATTAAACTACCATTGAGACTCTTCACTGAACTAGAAAAAAATATTTTAAAATCTATATAGAACCAAAAAAGAGCCCAAATAGTCAAGCCAATCCTAACCAAAAAGAACAAAGCTGAAGGCATCATGCTGCCTGACTTCAAACTACACTACAGGGCTACAGTAACCAAAGCATAGTACTGGTACAAAAACAGAAACACAGGCCAATGGAACAAAATAGAGAACTCAGAAATAAGTACACATACCTACAACTATCTGATCTTTGCCAAACCTGACAAAAACAAGCAATGGGGAAAGGATTCCCTATTCAATAAATGTTGCTGGGATAACTGGCTGACCATATGCAGAAGATTGAAACTAGACCCCTTCCTTACATCATATACAAAAATTAACTCAAAATAGATTAAAGACTTATTGTAAAACCCCAAACTATAAAAACACTGGAATTCAAGACCTTCAAATTATGAAATCGCATGTATCTCTCATTGTCTTCTAAACAGATTTTAGTATAATGGAATTGATCAGAAAAGGAATATACATTTTAAAAATGTAATGCTTACCACCAAATTGTCCATTTGAAAGGCCATCAGCAACTTTAAGCAGCAGTATAATATCACTGTTTTTCATCTTCACAAAATTTGTGGACAGAAAACAATATTTTATACCTCTTTTAAATTCCTTCTCTTACCAAGAACACAAAATATTTTTTCCTATGAGCATAGGTCACTTGCAGATCTGAAAGAACTGCTTTGCTCAATGTTAAATTAGAGTCTTTTTTGTTTCAGGCTGATTTGAAATAATTCTCTGTAAAATGAAAATCCATATTTAATCTAATATGTATACACATATGGTAAATATTTTATGTTACCTTATGTTTTGTTATTTTTTGTTATTATAGGGTGATTTAATTTTATTTTGCTAGATCAACCTTCAGAAGGCTTGCTTGTGAGCTTCTTAGACAGGTTTTTGTCAACACAAAAATGCTTCTGTATAAATAAGGCATTTGTGTTTTCTTCTGATGTTTCTCTCATCTTACATATTTAAAATTTTCAGTCTATATTGTATGAGGAACTTATTTTTGTGGCATAAAAATCTAGCTAGTTTCCTCCAAAAAGCAGGCCTTTCATTAATGAAAATAATTCATCTTTTCCTACTAGTACAAAGTATCACCATTATCAAGTTCTGAATTCTTACATATATTTGAGTGTCCCTGGATTTTCTATTCTCTTGTATTCATTTATCTATCTTTTCAGCTGTTAGCAAACTATTTGTGGAAATCAATAGCACATTTGATATCTAGAAAGGTAAGACTTTTTTAACCGTTACAAAAATTTTCTTAATGTCATCACAATAGTGAAAGCATGTGTAATTCAAAAACGTTAAAAATTTTGATAGCTTTATTTGGTTTATGTAAAATTGATAAAGAGCTCACATCTTGAGAAAAATGAGTCTTCTTATTCAAGAACATGAACCATCTTCCCACTTCAAAGTGTCCTTCTAAGCTCCCTCAGTAAAGAACATATTTATGTAGGCATTCATTAATATAAAATAAATATTGGATTTTAGCCAAAGAATTTTTAGCCCAGAAGGTGATATATTATGGGAATTATTTCTTTCATTACGTTCCTTTCTATAATGTATCTAATATTATCTTTTAAAATGTGTACATTAAAAATAAAACACAGTATATACTTAATTTTGTTATACCGCTTTAAAATTCTCTCTGAAGTGCTCTGTAAGAGGAACTGTGGGTGGAGAAACCAGCTAAAGTTTTGGGTTTCTTTTGCTGCTCATAAAGATGACTTGGGCCCTCCGCCTCCAAGGCGTCCACATCTCAGGCGCTGCGGAGTCTGCCAGGGAAGAAAGCCCAGCGCCCTGGGGACCAGGACGGCCCGCCCCACACACTCCATTCTTTCCAAGCCTCCCCTCGCCCCCACTCCCCAAGCCCCCAGCTCTGAAGGGGGTGCTTCTCCCCACCTGCCCACCTCCTCCAGTAGCCCCCAGCCCACAGCCCGCAGTTCCCGACACATGTTCTTCTTGTAGGTTTCAGACTGGCCTTTTCTCTTGAGCAGGAGGCTCCGCTGCAGCTTCCACGCGTTCCCCTGGACGCAGCTTTGTGGATATTCCAGATCCTCATCTGGGGTCTGGTACCAGGGGTCAGAAAAGATGCGGTTATTCCAGGAGCTCAGGGGCACCTGGCCCTTCTGGCTCTCCACAGCCAAGATCTTCTTCATGGCCCGGCTATCGGCTTCAGAGACGCCACAACTAGCCCTCGCCCTTCCCGCCGCCCAGCCCCCACCCTGACCAGCACCATAAAGCAAGACGGTCTGGCCCAGACCTCAGACAGGGACCCTCCAGCTTCTCTGAGAGGGACGTCTCCAAACTCTCGGAGAAGAAATATACGGAGCAGAGCCATTGGGCCCCAGCGCGCACTGGCACCTCGGAAGGTAATGGCCCCGCGCGTGGCCACAAACTGCGCGTGGCCAGAAACCGCCCTGAGTCGCGCTCTCGTGGGCACAGCATGCAGGTGGCAGCTGCAGCTGAGGCGCCGACCACCAAACTGAGCTCATGGTGCGGTCTGCCCCAGGCCCCAGGTGACTGCGCAGCCCCAGTCCACTGCTCCTGCTCGACCCGCGCCCAAAGTTGGGGGTCCCTGGAGCTGGGCACTCTGCAGCCACCAGGATGGGACTGGGCACTGGTTTCCACCCTCCTGCAGCTGCGGTTGCAACTGCGTGACTTAGGCGCCACGGCAGCGTCTGGCCCTGTGGACCGCGATAGTAGTCACGGAAATAGCCCGGGTTGCCCCAGTTGCTGACCCCGCCATATTCAGGTGGCGGCTGCAGCTGAACCCATGGCAGAGGCTGGCAGGAATGGACCCAGATGGCCTGAGGGTCGCCGAGTGCTCAGCGCCCCAACCTAGGGTCCGCTCTTTCTTGGCCCCCCGCCCATATTGCTAGGTCGCGGGTGCTGGGCTTTGAGCAGCCACAGGAATGGGGCTGAACGCCAGTTCTAGCCCTGCTGCAGCTGCGAGGCCGACCGCCTGAATTAGGCGCCTAGAAGGCATCTGGCCCTGCGGTCCCTGCAGCTGGTGATGCCTGCAAGGTCAGGGGTTGCCAGCTTTGCGGCTGTCCGCCATGTGCAGGTGGCTGCTGCAAATGACCCCACGGCGGTGTCTGGCATGGCTGGTCCCAGATGGCCTGAAGGAGGCCGAGTGCTCAGCCCTCCCACAATAAGTTCGGCTCTTTCTTGGCCCGCGCCCCAAGCATGGGGTCACGAGCGTTGGGCACTGCTCAGCCGCTGGGTTGGGGCTCAGCAGTCGGTTCCCGCCCTCCTGCAGCTATTGGGCCGACCGCCTGACAGGCAGGGTCGGGGGTTGCCACCGCTGCTGCCGCAGTACCTGCTCTTCTTTGGCCGGTGCAGAAGCGCGGACTCGCAGGCCGTGGGCATTGTGCAGCCATGGGGTTTGGCTGAGCGCCGATTCCCGCCCTCCTGCGGCTACGGGGCTGACTGCCTAACCGAGGGGTCATGGCAGCGTATGGTCCTGGAGTCTATGCTGCTGGTGGCTGCTGGCCGAGTTGGGGGTTGCCACTCCCGCGGCCCCGTGCCATGTGCAGGTGGTAACTGCACATAAGTTCAGGGCGGAGGCTGGCAGGGCTAGCCCAGACGTCCTGAGTTTCGCCAAGTTCACTGCCCTCACACCGTGGGATCCGCTCTTCCTTGGCCCCAGTCCAGAGCTCTGGGCCCAGGGCGCTGGACTCTTTGCAGCCATCGCGATGGGGATGAGGGCCGGTTCCCGCCCTCCTGCAGCTGCGGAACAGACTACCCAAATCAGGCACAGTGGCGGTGTCTGACCTTGGGGACCGCGCTGCTAGTGGGGCGGGCAAGGTCGGGATTTGCCACAGGTGCTGCCGTGGGGCATGTGCAGATGGCAGCAATAGCTGAGCCCACGGTGGAAGCTGGCAGGGCTGGTCCCAGACCTCCTGAGAGTCGCCAAGTGCACCACCCTCCCGCCCTAGGGCTCGCTCTTCCATAGCTCGCGCCCTGAGCGCGTGGTCGCGGGCGCTGGGTACTATGCAGCCGCCAGGAAGGGGCTGAACGGCCACCCTGCTGCAGCTGTGCTGCGGGCTTCGGCGCGTGGCTGCCTGGCCGCGGGGTCCCCGTGCTGGTGGTGGCAGCAGGGTCGGCAGTTGCCTCCACTACTACAGCGCACTATGTGCAGGTGACAGCTACAGCTGAGCCTAAGGCAAAGGATGACAGGGCTGGCCCCAGAGGGCCTCAGGGTCTCCGAGTGCACCGCCCTCCCACCCAAGGGTCCACTTTTTCTTGATTCGCGCCCAGAGCACGGAGTCGTGGGCGCTGGGCACTCTGAAGCCCCGGGGTTGGGCTGAGAGCAGGTTCCCTCACTCCTGCAGATGCGGGAGTGGGGGCCGCCTAAACTGGGCGTCTTCACAGAGTCTGGCCCTGGGGTCCGCGCTGCTGGTGGCGCCGGCAGGGCCGTGGGTTGCCACTGCGGCTGGAGCGCACCATGTGCAGGTGGCAGCTGCAGCTGAGCCCACCATAGTGGCTGGCCGGGCTTGTCCCCGAGTACAGTCAAGTGCACCCAAGGGTCGCCGAGCGTACTGCCCTCCCTCCTCCCTAGGGTCCACTCTGCCTTGGCCTGCGCTTACAGAGCTAGGTAGTGGGCGCTGGGCACTGTGCAGCAGCCGCCTGGATGGGGCTGAGAGGCCTGTTACCTCCTTCCTGCAGCTGCTGGGCGGACTGCCTGATTTAGGCTCAGCGGCCTCCTCTGGCCCTGCGGTCCTCCCTGCTGGCTGCACAAAGGGTTGAGGGTTGCCACTGCTGATTTTGGGCGCCATGTGCAGGTGTTAGCTACAGTTGAGGCCACAGCGGAGGCTGTCAGGGATGGGCACAGATGACTTGAAGGTCGCAGAGTGCAGCGCCTTCCCGCACTAGGGTCTGCTCTTCCTTGGCCCAGGCCCAGAGCACAGTGTCCCCGGCGCTGGGCACTCTGCAGCCACCTGGAAGGGGCTTGGTGGCCGGTTCCCGCCCTCCTGCAGTTGTGGGGCCGACAGCCTGACTTAGGCGCCACAGAGGTGTCTGGCCCTCGGGTTCCTGCTGCTTGTGATGGTGGGCAGGGTCAGGTTAGCCATCGCTACTGCTGTGCGTCATATGCAGGTGGCAGCTGCAGCTGAACCCACTTCGGATGCTGGCAGGGCTGGTCCCAGATGTCCAGAGGATCACTGAGTGCTTTGCCCTCCCACCCTAGGGTCTGTTCTTTCTTAGCCGGTGCCCAGAGTGCAGGGTCCTCAGAGCTGGGCATTGTGCAGCCGCCAGGATGAGGCTGAGCATCTGGTACCTGCCCTTCTTTAGCTGTGGGGCCAAAAGTCTAAATTAGTCGCTGTGGCGACGTCTGGCCCTGGGGTACTCGCTGCTGGTGGCCCTGGCAGTGTTGAGTGTTGCCCCCGCTGCTGCCAGGCGCCATGTGCAGCTGCAGGCGCCATGTGCAGGCGCCATGTGCAGCAGGTGGCAGCTGCAGCTAAGCCCAAGGTGGAGGCTGGCAGGGCAGGTCCCAGAGGGTCTGAGGGTCGCTGAGTGCCCTGGTCTCCCACCCTAGGGCCTGATCTCCCTTGGCCCCTGCGCCAGAGCCCTGGGTCTCAGGCACTGTGAGCGGTGAAGCAGCTGGGATGGTAATAAGCAACAGTTTCCTGCCCTCCTGCAGCTGCAGGGATGACTTAGACTGTGCAGCTGCGTCTGGCCCAGAAGTCTGCACAGCTGGAGCCCCGACGGGAAGAGAGGCATTTGGGATGGTCTGGCCACCACTGCCCATGAGCAAGGTGTAGGTGGCAGTTGTAGCTCAGGCACTGGTGCGGGATGGCAGGGCTTCCCTTGAGCCTCAAGTGTGCCTGCTGCCAGGCCTCAGGGTCTACTCGTCCTTGACCTATGTCTGGAGTGGGTCCCTGGCACTGGGTAATCTGCAGCCAATGGGGATAGGTCTGAGCTGTGGTCTCTGCCTTGTGCTGCCGGCCAGTCAACCACTTGTCTTGGCGCCACCATG
Source organism: Homo sapiens (assembly GCF_000001405.40). NCBI lineage: Eukaryota > Metazoa > Chordata > Mammalia > Primates > Hominidae > Homo > Homo sapiens. The sequence continues at coordinate 57,257,622 of NC_000008.11, read as the reverse complement.
GAGTCTTGCCATGGAGTCCCTGCTTCTCGGGAGCGCTCAAACTAAAGTAACATACATGTTAGTAACACACATGTAGCTTAAAGTACATGTGTGTTACTTTAGTTTCAGCTTGAACTTGATGGAATTCAGATTGTTGATCCTGTTTCCTGACAAAGATCAAAGAGAGAGAAAATTTCTTATTTGAGCCAAAATTAGCACTCACCTCACCTGATTTTCCAGGTCAGTGTCAGTGTGGAAGCTGCACAACAAGAGGAAGGCCAAGACGTGGCTTTTAGGAAGCTGGGCAGAAAGTGAGCTGATTATAGGAGAATTCTTTTTTGGAATTTTATATGCCATTGTTCTTCCTATTTTTGGCCACATTTATCCTAGCTCATATTTTCCAAACCTTCCTTTTGCTTTACCTCAGACATTTAAACAACATTTCAGCTCAGTTGGGCTAAGATTCACAATGCTACCTCTTGTCCAGAAAGAATGACAATTGCCACCTACCTGCTTGGAGGTGTGAAAGAATGTTTATAAAGCAGTTAGGAGATCTCCAGGGAAAGGCCAACTTAATATATAAAGTGTGATTTTCTTACTAATGGGTGAGATTCTCACCTTCAGGAAGTCTGTGAATTTTCTCTGCAGTGATGCAGGATGAAGGGAAAAACAAGGTGCCTTCAGAAATATGGCATGTGTGAAATTAAACTGGTTATGAAGTCAGCCCAGTTTCAGGAGTTCTTTTCCTTTTCCCAGCTGGATGTGAAAATCCCGGAAAGACTCCAAGGGCTGCCTCTGTGCTGAGAAGTGACTTTCTTTTCTTCTCTTTTTTTTTTAAATTTTATTATTATTATACTCTAAGTTTTAGGGTACATGTGCACAACGTGAAGGCTTGTTACATATGTATACATGTGCCATGTTGGTGTGCTGCACCCATTAACTCGTCATTTAGCGTTAGGTATATCTCCTAATGCTATCCCTCCCCCCTCCCCCACCCCACAACAGGCCCCGGTGTGAGAAGTGACTTTCTAATGAAAGACTGCTATGCAGGGCAGATCTCTGAAAGGTCTTTGATGTTAGAGGGTTGTTACTGAAAGATGTCCTTATAGTCTGCAGAACCCACTCTACCTGAAGACCAGCATCCATTAAAAGCAATGACCAGCAGTGCTGAGCTGAGGATGGAGTTGGAGTGTGAAATCCAAGGTAACCTTGGGCTGAGGAATTTTCCCTCACCCATATCGAAAGAGGAATCTGAAAGCTCTACCAACCAACATGTGTATCAGTTACCATTTGTTTCTTTCTTTTTTTAATACAAATGATGTGAGTTAGAAGACATTATAGCTAACCTTACTAGGGAGCTAGTAAGATTCTGTTGGGATGAGCCATAGCTTGTGGCTTCGTCCATATGTGCTGTTTCTAGCAGAGAGGCATCCTTACCTGGCTCCACTGGTGGTGGTACAGCAGGACTCTCTGCCCAGCACTGTCAGGCTTAGGTTAAGTATGAGCTGATTCTTCTTATTAATAAAGCTTGTCTCATCACTCAATATAGAGATCTTGCTACCAGAGGTTCTCACCCTCAGCACTTCCATAGACTTTCTTTTCTTTTCTTGAAAATGTGTTGTATTTTTAAATGTCCTACTTTTTAAAATTAAACAGAAGCAATAATCATAGCTTCATCTTTTTGGGAGGAAGATTTAAGTCACTATTTTGGGCATAAACTAATGAACTGTGCTGAAATCTAGACACATCCTCAATGGCTTGTGGTATACGGGAATATCTGCCCTTAGATTAGTCCTGGACTATTTGACTTCCATTTGTGACATTTGCTTGCTAATATTCTGACTTTTTCCTAATGGTTGTCCTTTTTACTGCTATCAGTGCTTGCCTCTAATGTCTCGTTTCACAGTGCTATGAACTGAAAAGCAAGATGATGTGGCTTGTTAGACTTGTGTGCAAATTAGGAGTCCAAAAGCTCTGTCCGAGGAGGACTTGAGGGCTAGGGCACTTCAATAGGAGGAGAGAGAGAATACATGGATAAACTTGCGGACAGTCACTTCAGGCACCTAGAAACCTCTACCACTTAGGTTTTATTATGGCCTTATTTATAGCTAGAAATTCCTTGTCTAAGACTCAAAAGAGATAAACATTAAGCTACTCCCTATACTCACAAATCTCTAACCAAAGATGAAAGCATATTCTTAGTTTGATCAAGACAATGAAGAACTATAAGGCTGATGTCAGAGATCCATGTTTTGGTTGTAGCACAGCTGTGTAATTAATAGGTTTACAATGGACTTTGATACTATTTCTTTTTGGGGTTGGGGCAATGCTATGTCATTGTAAGCCACACAGTCCAGCAACTTCTAGAGGTTAGAGAAAGTGGGAAACCCCACAGTGGGCAAAAATCGAGTAGTAAGGCCTTGGACATGGGAGGGAGAGCTCACAGACACAAGGACTGCATGCTTGCTGGGTGCTGTTCACATGCTGGTACTGTAATGGGGCAGAGAGCTCTGGTAACTCCTGCCTGGGTGGGAGACACAGATGCCTTTATCAGAACACAGCGTATGCCATGATGACCACCGGTAGCCCACAGAGCCCTAAGGGTGCAGCAATGGAAGCAGGGAGCAGTGACTCCCTATCCCAGGCCTTGGGTCCTGGTTCCCTGGATCCCTGGGGGTGGAGGGGATAGCACTGTTGCAAGGGTCTACTGCACACAAGCATGCTTGCAAGGTTTAGAAACAAATGTCTTGACAACTGCTCAAATCTATGTTGGACATGTGATTTCTGTTTGAAAGTATTAATAAAACTAAAGCAGAGTTTGTTTTTGTTTTTATCATTGTGTGTTTTTCAGTTGCTGGCTATTGAAAGGACAACTGCCACAATGTAGCAGATCTCAAACTTTTAAAAATAATTGCCAAACCTACAAGATGCTGTGTGAAGGGGCTGTAGTGGGGATGTACATACAGGGTGGAGAGGCTGTAGTAAGCATGTAGATTCCAATTGAAGAGGCTGTACTGGGGGTGTAGATATGGCATGGAGGGGCTTTAATGAGAATGTAGACATGGGGTGGACAGGCTATAGTCTGGGTGTAGGTATGAGGTTGAGGGGCTATAAGGGGGATTAGATATGAGGTGAAGGGCTGTAGGGGGGTGTAGATATGGGGTGGAGGGGCTGTAATAGATGAGAATGTGAATGAAGGAGGTAGGGGGCTGCATGCACAGCAGGGGTGCAGAAGAGCAGCCCTGTTGGCTTGGGTGCCTGTGAGGTGGCAGGGATGTTTTCCCAGACTTTCTTAAAGGCAGAAGAGCAGCTGCAGGTGAAAGCATAGGGACCACAGATGTTCACTATTCTAAGAACGATAACCGAAGAGAAAAGCCATATGGGAAGAGTTTCTAGGGTGAGAGGGGCTTGAGTCTGTTTCTGGGCCCCAAGGAAGGAGCTGGAAGCTGGAAGAGGTTGATGGGAAGGAAGACAGGGGGCTGTGAGCTGTGGAGACCCTGAGTCTCTTTGTCCTGTGTCACTGATGGAATTGTCAGCAAACTTATAAAGATCAGTTCAATGCATGCTTGTGTACAATCCCTTTTCTTGGGAACTTTCAGCTGTTTGTTAATTATTACTTAAAATCTGAAAACTGGTACTCACATCAGTGCCCACATATTCCAGGTTCTAGCTTGCAAACGCTTGGATGAGGTTTGCTTCACCAGCACCCCAGGCTTGCACCTGGAGAGCATCACTGGAATTTCCTGGGGCTTCTTAGAAAATCAGCCTCCTTAGGCCTGCTGAGCCAAAATCTTCAGTAAGAGCCCAGGCGACAGTGGGCATAGGGAAGCTTGAGAAGCACTGCTCAGGATCAGAAATTCTCAAAGTGCAGCCTCTGGGCCAGCAGCACCCGCAGCACCCAGAAGTTGTTAGAAATGCACAGTCCTGGCCTCCACACCTTCCCTACAGAGTTGTGGTTCTCCAGGTGGAGGGCATCAGCACCACCTATTAAGGTTATAATAGGCATCAGCACCACCTATTAAGCTTAATAGCCCACACCTATTAAGCTCCCGAAGAGTTTCTGATTCTACAGATCTGGGATAAGTCCCAAGATTTTGCATTTCTTACGTGTTTCCTAGTAATGCTGGCCTTGCTGGTTAGGAGCCACACTGAGAACCAGTGCCTGGAGGACAGCCTGGGTCAAGTGCTTCTGACTCTTATCCTTGATGAAATAGACACTTAGGGTGCCGAAGGTCTGAGTCCAGAGCAAATACTTTCTAAATTTGGATTTTTGGAGGTAACATGAAAAATCTTTCATTAAACATTTCAGTAAATGTTTCACCATCATATGGGTTTTAGAAGTAGTCATGAGTTGGCCAAGTGCAGTGGTCACGTCTGTAGTCCCAGAACTTTGGGAGACCAAGGTAGCAGAATCACTCGAGCCCAGGAAGTTGAGGCTGCAGTGAGCTGTGGTCATGCCACTACACTTCTGCCTGGGTGACACAGCGAGACCCTGACTCAAAACAAAACAAAAAACAAAAAAATAGAAGTATAGGTGCCTGAGTTATAGGTGCCTGAGTCCTGGGTTCTCTGGTGCTGCTCCCCAGGTCTCAGAACCAGCTTTCAGCAGGTGTCAACATGGTTGTAGGTAGCTTCCTGACATGTATGACTGATCATTTATTCTAGTGGAGACTGGTTGAGGGCCCAATTTTCTCTCCACTTAGAGCCTGAAAGACGAGAGCATTTGACTGCAAGAGAAGCAACATTAAGAGCAGAAACCAAGTCAGTGATTTCCTTTCTTGTTCTGGTGTGAAAGTTGCCAATGTGTTTTTGGCAGCTCCTTGGTTTTGATCTTTCAGTTTGTGTTAAACAGTCAAGATCAGCATGGACTTCCCCACTTTCCTTTTTAGTTACACTATCAACAACTCTGCTGCCACAGACAGGGCTGTTCAGGAGGGCCCTCTGTGAGAGTGCATAGGCAGGAGTGTGTGTGTTCGTGTGTGCATGCATGTGCATGCATGTTCATGTGCATGTATGCATGTGCATGCATGTTCATGTGCATGTATGCATGTGTGAAAGTGTTTTCATGTGCATGTGTTTACATGTGTGTACTAGACTTTAAGGCCACACTGTCTATAGCCCAGGGGAAGTCTCTTCACTTACACCAAAAATGAAAGTGGCCGTGATGGTTTGCCTGTTTAAAGCTCCCTCATACATATCTGATGAACTACTTTGTGTAAAGAGAATAGGACTTTTTGATGGAGATAGCACTTGGGACGGCAGCAGGTACCCAGCCCCAGCTTATCCTGATCTGACCTCATGGGAAATGTAAGCCATCTTGCCCTGTGAAGGCAGAAGGCTCTTTTTAAGTCCAACCATCTTTAATAATGAACTGACAGGGAGAGCTCTGGCTTCAGAGTTCTCAGCCAACTCTGATAATAATAGTTGTGTGATTTGGAGGCAAAGTGGATGGCCCAACCCCCTCTTTGTTCCCACGTCTGCAAAATGGGGGTCACAGCACCTACTTCTCAGAGTAACTGTAAGGATTAAATGAGATGAAATGGCCTGTGCCATTTGGTGGTTTATTCAGGCCATTTGACTTAGTACCTTCTGATTCTCCGAAATAGTTTTGCCTGGGTGCCTATCCTTTCATATAAGCAGCCTTTAGAAGGAACACAGAGAGCTGTCCTTTGAACCTGCCAGGCACACTTCCATCCCATGACCTTTGTGTTAGAGTCCCCTCAGTTCAGAGTACACTATCCCCAGATTTTCTCATGGCTCTCTGCCTCGCTTCCTTTGCACTCTGCTCCAATGCCACCTTATAAAAAGGCCTTCCTGATCATTATTTGAAAGAGTCCCTTGACATCTTTATATGTGACATCCAGAGCATCATCCAAACTGGAAACAACTCAAACATTCACCAAAAGGTGTCTGCCTAAAAAAACGATAGTGTATCCATATGATGGAACAGTATATGGCAAGAAAAAGGAGTAAACTACTGGCACACACAACTACATTAATAAATCTCAAAGTAATTATGCTCAGTCTCAAAATATTTATGCAAGAAATCCGATGAAAAGGAGTACAGTTGGATGATTCCATATATTCTGTATAAAATACTAGAAAATGCAGAGTTCTGTGGTGGCAAAGAAGATCAGTGATTGCTAGGGATTGGGGTTAAGGAGCTGGGATTGCAAATAGGGGTCAGAGAAATATCTGGGGGTGACAGAGTACATTCATAATCTGGATTTAATTTCATAGGTGTATCCGTGTGTTACAATGTATCAGGGCATATACTTTAAATGTGTATGGCTTATTGTATGTCAATTACACTTCAATAAAGCTGCTTAAAACTATTAAAAAGCCATTTGTTGAAAGTGTTACTGTCCAATAGAACTTTTTGCATTGATGGAAATGGGGTATATCTGCTTTGTTAAATATAGTAAGTCGCTAGACACATGTGATTATTGCACTTGAAATGTGGCTAGAGAAACTGAGGAACTCAGGTTTTAACTTTATTAAAGTTTAATCCATTTAAGCATGAAGAGGTGCATGTAGTTAGCATCTATCCTATGGGACATCACAGGTCCAATGCCTACTTTTCACCTTTTTGTGCCTGCTCATCAACACTGCCTCACACACGTCCTAGACCTTGGACTCCAGTTCCTGGAGGCAGCTGGAAGCTTTCAGCACTAGAAGGCTGTTTCACACTTGCATATCATTGTTCATATTGAAACATCTGCTAAGAATAGCCATAATTGAAACGAGTCTTTCTGCAACTGTCCAATCTTTGACAAGCTGTCACCTGGCCTGTGCAGAAGGTGAAGAGGTGGATTGTTTTCTTTGAAACTTTGAGTTTTCCTAATTAACTCTATGATCAGGCAGCATTGCTGAAGTCAACAAGAATATTTCAAAGCATCATCTTTTCTACCTCTCAAGTTCCTCATAAATGGGGCATATTCAAATAAATGGCATGGTACAGTAAGATCCTTTGGTCATGTTTTATATTATACACCGAAAAAATGTTTTTTCAGAAAAAGCTGATTATCCTTGAAGCAAATTGAACTCTGTTAAGGGTTTTGGAGGCAAGCCCTGAAAAGACCTATTTTTTCTACAACTGTGAGCCCTGCAGCTTGAAAGGTTCTGCCCAGTGACTTCTGCCTGCTCCCGAAAAATAGCTATGATGCAAAAATTCTGTCTAGCTTCAGGCTTCTAGATGGATCCCTTTGGGCAAGGTCATTTGGCAAAGCAGACTTACTCACTGCCTAAGTCAAAGAGAAGGCAGCACCGCAGCTCCCTGGGGTGGGACTGCCTGCCACACTTTGGCTGGATCAGCATCTGGTAACCAACGGCCAGAGAGCAGGGGAGAGGGTGACCTGTGAACTGAGAGGTGGAGAAGGTGGGAAGTGACAGAGCTACAGGCAAGGGATTTTAAGACTGAAAAAAAATCAGGAAGGAGAATGTGAAGAGATGACTGTTTGGAAGGCTCTATTTCCCCATCTGTGTCTTCCTGTCTATCTTTGTTTGCTAATCAGCTGTGACATTAGCTTAATGATTTTGTTCTTTATATCTAATAGCCTTGTTTGCTGCCTGCCCCACTGACTGAATCATTTTATTTCTACTTGGGAGATCATAAAATTTTGACTATTTATCCCGTCAGACATACCCAAGTGAACTGAGGAAAAGCAAAGACAGAAAGAAAGAGAGTGGGGGAAAGGGAGAACTGTTATTTGAAATTATTGCCTGGGCCGGGCAATCACTCACACCCACACTCCCATGAAATCACTCAACCATCATTCACACACATACACATAATCACTCACACCCTCACACAATAACACTCACACAATCACATCCACACTCACACACAATCACACCCTGACAATCACTTCATTCACACACACTCATACCCACACTCATACACCCACACATACACTCACACCCTGACACACAATCACACGTACATCCTCTCACACAATCTCCACACCCTCACTTATACACACAATTACACACAGCTTCACTTACACAATGAGCCACACCATTACCCATGTACACACACTCACATACACAATCACTCATACATTTACTCACACACATCCTCCCTCGTGTGCATTCACTCATACTCAGGCACACAACTACACACAGTCACTTATCCCTTTACACACCCTCAATCTTATACTTACGCACACATACACACACACAGTCATACACAATCACACGTACCTACCCTTCCTACCTCAATGACACAAACTCATTTCTTTCCTCATTTGCAACCAGCATTCATATGTATGACTTCACAGCAGACAGAAGACTTTGCCTTTTTTTCCCCTACTAGGAGCTTGCTGTGGAGGCTTGGGGCCTGGGAACCCAGAGTTCTGACCCCAGCACAGCCTTAGCACATGGATTGGAGCCGCGATTGAGAGTCAGAAGTGGAAGTTTCCTTTTATTCCAGAATGTGATTCTGTAATTGAGTGTTTTGAAATATTTTTTTCTTCGTCGTAATGGTTGTCTTTTCGCAATCTTCATAGTGTAACAATATAAGATCATTACTGTGAAAAATATACAGATCTAGACTTTTCATTAGACCTATATTTGTCTTGTAAGACCAAATCATTAGAAAGAATGTAAGGCTGAACAAGGCAATTGTACATGTGATGGCCAGATTTTAAGTGGAGGTTAATCATTATCAATTGTTCTCTCTAACATCCTTGCTGTCCTTACTGTAGATTAACAAATAGGCCAAATAATAATAATTCTTTTCAATTCAGAACATCAATGTAATCTCCTTCCCTTTGGACAGTTTGCTAAATGGGAACCAGAAATGAGTAAAATGTGTATGATGTTGACACTGTGACACAGGGAGCACATTTCATACCATGTAGAAGCACAGTAAATTGGTCCCCCAGGGCAGCAGCTATGCCAATATGTTTTTATTGGGAAGACAAAATGGCTTTTTGCTATCTCCGCTTCCTTTGACTTGCCATCCTGGGACCACCTTTTATCCAGACTGTGGTACTTTTGGCCTTTCTGGCTGTCCTGTTGATTCAACAAACATGGTGGTGAGGGGAGGAGAATGGGAGGGGAAAAACCCTTCTATTTTGGAAAGAGTGGAGTTCTGGTCTCTCTCAGTTGGGCAGAGAAACCTGTGGGAGAAGTCTGGTTTTCTAGCTGGCACATCACAAATTTACCACTGGGAAAAGATCCTAGCAAGGATTTATTTTCCTGCTGGAAAGATCACAGTTGTAAGGCATGAGCTGACTTCATTTTTCTGTCCTTCAGAGGATGTTGGCTGTTTAGGACATGCCTCGCCACTATAAACATGTAGGCCAGGAGCTGCTTCGGTGAGAAGCAGGCAGGGCTGGATGGGCATTTGCTGAGCAGTGTGCTGTTTCTAAACATTGTCGGCCCTGACAGATGTGCACCATGAAAGGGACATGATTGTGGCTACGTTCTTGGGAGACTCTAGTCCTTTGGTTCTGCACTTGATTCCAGAGTCACATCTGGATGACTGGAAACCCAGTCTGACCCATCTCGGGGACCTCTACAGAAGCCTCTCAGGATCTCCTTCACAGAGTGTGCCAGGGGATAGCTGTTAGGACACATTTCCTGTCAAGCCTTCAGGGGTCTGGGGAACAGATGAGTGGAGTTACCCCAACACAGGGGAGGGAAGGCACCCCAGGCAGAGAAAAGATGCAGGCACGCACATGGGAGCAGTAATCAGCAATGCATGCCAGGCTGCCAGGGTGCAGGAGGAGCCAGTTCATGAAGGACCTTGTATGCCAGGCTGTGGCACTTGGGCCTTACGTAAGGTTATTGAAAAGCCAAAACATAGAAAGCAACAACAAAAAGATTTCTCTCTCCCCAAAGAACCCCTTTGAAGGGAGCATAAATGGGTGAGGACTATTTGATAGAATTTCTAGTGGCTCAGTAGTTATTTAAGCCAGGCTTTACCAGAGCATATGAAGTCCTGAATTTCAGACAGAAGAGCTGTAGGAGACCCCAGGAGGATGTAGGTGACGTTTACATTCCTGTCGTTGGCCTTAAAGCAGGGTTATATGTGTTGAGATTCATCAGGTAAAAAGTTAGCACTCCTTTCTTGTAGAGAGACAGACTGAAATATTTGCAGAGTAAATGTTGCCTTTCAGGGTTTACTTTCAGATTAAAGCCAGGACAGGGAATAGGGTACAGGTGACACATGGTCGCCCAGGAGTGTCATAACTGGGTGAAGGCACCTTGCTATTGTGGGCATTTAGTATATTCTATTATAAATATATGTATTTATATAAGAGAAGGCAAGGAAATACCACCACTAATCTACTTAAAAGCCTGTACTCTGGGTTATTTTTCATATGATTACATACACGATTTATTTCAGAAATTAATGATCCTTTCAGGACTAGGCTAGGGATAAGTAAGTTTAGCTTGGACAGAAGTGAATTATTAGTCCTGCCTAATGTATTACCCTCTGTTTAAAGAATCTGAAAAAGCCTTTTGATAAAGCTTAGAAGGAGTATGAAACAAAAATGTGTTCTCATTTTTAAAATTATGTATAGGTAATTTGATACTTCAATTTTAAACCAAGCTTTTATTACTTAAAGGGATTTTCTAAATGAGCCTTAATCCAGAATTTTTGTCAACTATATTACTGTGGTTTGTTTTGATGACAGATATGTTCAGTGATGCTATATTATTTTAACCAGTTTTTTCCTGCTCCTTTTTCTATAATGTCACAGTGGTTATAGGATGTTATTTTCAGGGAAGTTCATTGAAAGAGTTAAGGCCAGCTCTCTCATGAGTTATTTCTTTCCGTTTTTGTTTTTAAACACTTTCTCCATTTCATTACTGGTTTTGAAAGCAGGGCAATTTTCAGACTTCACCTTTCAGGTGATTTGTGAAAAACATTTACTTTCGTATATGTATTTCTCTGAATTACCAGTTCTTTTGGTTTTAGAAAGAGACTGTTCAACACCCACCTCCTTCACCTTCAACTGCCAAAAGAGATTCTGAAAAATGGGTAGCTGATTCTTAGATGTGAACCACAGTTTCTACTAAAGACAAGATTCTATTGGTTGAATTCAGAAAGGTGTAACTTTCCCAATCACAGTTTCTCATCCCTAGAGTGGAGAGAGCTTAGCTAGAAGGAATTGATTAAGCAAATGACTGCAGGGAAATAGTGGCTTCAATTATTTTAAATACCGGAAAAATATGAAATATATTTAAATGTCTCATGTTTATTTTGTAATCTCTGTGCCTTGGGTAATGTAGTATGTTCTGATTGGAAAAAGAAACTGTCATATGAAGCCACCTAGTAAAGTAAAAGGTGTTAAGAGGAAAGTCATTTCAAGTCCAACTACAAGTATTTCATTGGGTTGTTTGAGTTTTTAAAAACTAGCCCTGGGTATCTTTTCAGTGGTGAAGGATCACAGAACTCAAACTGCTGAACACCAAACCTTTTATACTTACTGCATCCATAGAAATCTTAAACTTCCATACCTGAGTTTGCTTGGCCCCCAAGTTCTGAAGTTTCATTAATACTGTACATTCATATGGAAGGATAAGCAGAGTGTTCTACTGGAGAAGCTTGCAGGTCCCTTTAGCCCAAGGAGGCCTCCATCCATTATTCCTGGCCTGTCAGCATCCTTGATATGTGTGCCAGTTTGGTGAAATAAATGGGAAGGGATCAGCACATTCTTACTTTGCAGATGGAAAACCAAGACTCAGTGGTTTGCTGCTGGTCAACCAGCAAGTGTAATTGAGCCAGAGTCAGGAAGTGGGTTTCCTGACTTCCATTTAGCCACACTTGCTGCCTGTCTCCGTGCCTGAGAGCAAACTTTTCTGAGTGTGACTAAACCAATGGCAGAAAGGGGATTCTGAAGAAGACTGCCTGAGAGAGTCCTCTGTTTCTGAATGGAAAAGGCTTGAAATGAGAATAACATCAAATTCTGAAAAATTGAAACACGCATAGGTAGGGCAGGGGAAGAATTCCTCACAAAATCCCAGAATTTAGGAGGAGGGAGGAGCACTCTTTAAACTTGAAGCAATTATAGGATAAATAAATAATTATTTACCTATTAGTGTGAGAAACTCATTTATTCCAAGAGGTTTTGTGATATGTAATAACTAGGTTTAAGATGTCTTTAAAATTCCTGGGCAATAGTCCCATGCCTGATTATTAAGAGAAATGATCTGTCTGAACTGTGTCTTGCCTTTGAGGTGTTGCAGTGCCTTGGAGTTATATAATTCCAGTCCCAGGGACCTCAGAAATCCTCTAGTCATGCTCCCTCTCAGATGCATAAAGTGATTAAACAATATCCCTCTCAAAGTGTCTTCTGAGTTTTTATATCTTCTGAGCATTTATATTTTCACCCACTCATTCTTTCAAATTGTTGAGAACCTACTTTGTGTCCCACACTGTGCTCCACACTAAAGAACAAAAAAATTACACTTCTTGCCTCTTCTTAAACACTCTAGTCCTCCACCCCGCAATGACAGGGAGCCCTCTGGAACCACAAGTAGCCATTTCATCATTGAATGCTGTTTAAAGAAAATGCTGCCATGTTTTCCAGTGTTTACATTGAGTCTCTTTAGAAAGTGCCTCTTCCTTTGTCTTCATAACAACGCTTCATATTTTTTGAGTAATTTTTATTGGTTTTGTTTAGTCTCGTTTTCTCCAGAATAAAAATTCATAGTTATTTCAAGCCTTCCTTAGCAGACATGATGATGTAGCTTCTTTTTACCATGGTTGCTCTTCTTTGGATGTGCTCCAGTTGGTCAGTTTTACCCTGAACTGCACACTCAACATTTAGGTAATACATTTCAGGCATGAGATAAATGTGGGAGGGATAATTAAGTTGACAGCATGGAAAGGTGGTTGTATTTTTTTTTTTTTCTCCTACAGTGATGAGCAGGGTCATAGATCAAGTCAGAGAGCTGGCATGAATTCCCTAAGTGAGGAAGTGAAGACAGGGATTTAGCAAGAAGTCCAGGGAGACAAATGGTGGGTATGAAAGAGTCAGACAGTGCCCTTGGGATACTCAGAAGGCAGGCAGGCAGGTTCTGAATGTTGGAGCTGAAGGAGCTTTCTGGGCCATGTGCAGACTTTCCACCACACTTTCCTGTGACCCAGATGTGACTCAAAGTAGGCGCTTAGGAAGTACTTTTTGAGTAAGTAGTGAGAAGGCCAGGCTTGACATTTTCATGACACCCATTTTCCTTTGAAGGGATTTAAGAGGCTTCCTGTGCTGAAATGTCTATTGAGCATTGGTCTCAGCAGACTGGGTACTGGCATGACTTCAAGGTTGTCCAGTAAAGTTTCATGCCAAGAGGCATCTTGATTTATCCTTGCTTTCACACTTGGAACTAAGAAAAGGAGAAAAAGGAACACATCAGGCTCCACGGGATGATCTGGACTAAAATAAGCAGGATGGAAATTGCTGAAGAGATGGAAAAGGAGAGGCACTTCTTCCAGCTACGGATGTACCAGGTAAGTTGCTGGCAAAAAGCAGGTCCCATCAGCCCTCACCTGTGGGAGGCCCCAGGGAGGCCACTGCCTCAGCAAGCATCCTCTTCTCACTAATATCAGCAGCTTCCGAGAAAATGACAAATACATTTTTGGACTCCTTTTGTCCCTGTGTTGACGTTTCTTTTACTAGGGGAGTCTTAGCCTCCTGGTGGGTGGAATTAGATTAATCTAACACTAACTTTTGCTTAAAATTAGAGAATTAAAAGAATGTTCTTTCTAGCCTCACAGGTGTTCTCTCTCAAACTCACCTTTCACTGGAATTTACCTAAAATCCTTACTCCTGGGGTGTTTTCTAAGTAAGAAATCTGAGGTTCCCTTGCCCCAGTGGAGTCAGTGAGTGGCTTGGGGGAGGATGAGAAGTCAACTGGGAAAAACATACAGCATAAGAGATAACAGACCATGTCCTGTGTCCATGTGATGTGGATAGGAAGCCATGTCACCTATCTGGAGCACTTCCACCCAGACTTCACCTCTCAGGTGGGGGAGCTTATCCAGCCAGGAGGCCCATGTGGCCTGTGCAACACATCTCTGCTCCACTCCATCCTGCAGCCTCAACCCTTGCCTTGGGGAGGAGAAGACAACAAGACAAACACTCTCAAGAGTATTTTTCCGAGATCAGAGACCATCAATCATAAAGGTCTTTGCTCACAGCCTTTTTATTTTTGTGCCTTGCTTGCAAGTGCATGCATACAAATGGCATATGGAAGCGGTTCCCACCTCTGCCTGAGGATTGGCTACTCCTGGAAGCTGCCTCATACTACAAGGAATTTGTTTCCCTCTCAAAGTGGTGCAAACTTAGGATTTAAATTTACAAAATGCGTGGGTAATACTTGCGACAGGTATTGAAACTGGTTTTGGCCAGTTCGTGATTCCCTGTAAGCAATCAACAGCAAGCTAATCCAGAAGGCACTTTTTTATTTTGGAATGTTTGTTAATTCCAGCAGGAGCTTAGCCTTTATAAAGATAAATAGATACATAGATAGATAGATAGATAGATAGATAGATAGATAGATAGATAGATAGACAGATGATAGATATAGATCGATAGAATCTATATTTATCTATCTTAGAAATATATTTGAATGAGTTTTTATTCCCAGAGCAAACTCTTTAAGTGGTCATCAGAGCAGAAACAGTGCCAGGGATCAGGGTGGTAGCTGAAAATTAAGTCTATTTTGTCTGACGTTAGTATGTATACTTACCTTAGTCTCTTTCCTGTTGCTATAACTGAATACCTGAGACTATTTTATAAATTACTCACAAGCGATAGCCAAATTGGCTTTTATAAGAGATCCACTTTTGTCATAAGTGACCCACTCCCTCATTAACCCATGAATGGATTAATTCACTCATGAGGACTTTGCCACCCAAAGGTTCTACCTCTCAAAAGTTTTACCTCTGAAAGGTTCTACTGGTCACCTCCCAGAGGTTCTACCTCTCAACACTGCTATGTTGGAGACCAAGTTTTCAACACAAGAACTTTTAGAGGACACACTCAAACCATGTTACTACTTCAGCTCTCTTAGCTACTATTTGCACCTTTTATATTCAGTCCATGTATATCTTTGAATCTAAAGTGTGTCTCTTATAAATAATACAGTTGGATCATGGTTTTCTTATCAGTCTGACAATCTCTACCTTTAGATTGCATTGTTTAATCCATGCACATTTAATGTTACTGTTGAGATGATTGAATTTATTTACTTTTTATATTTCATGTGATTTTTGTTCTTCTATTCCTCCTTTACTGCTTTGTTTTTCATCAAGTGAATATTTAGAAAGTTAACTCGAAGGGGCTGGGCACGGTGGCTCACGCCTGTAATCCCAGCACTTTGGGAGGCCGAGGTGGGCGGATCACGAGGTCAGGAGATAGAGACCATCCTGGCTAACACGGTGAAACCCCGTCTCTACTAAAAATACAAAAAAATTAGCCGGGCATGGTGGCGGGCGCCTGTGGTCCCAGCTACTCGGGAGGCTGAGTCAGGAGAATGGCATGAACCCAGGAGGCGGAGCTTGCAGTGAGCCGAGATGGCACCACTGCACTCCAGTCTGGGGAACAGAGTGAGACTCCGTCTCAACAAAAAAAAAAAAAAAAAAAAAAAAAAAAAAAAGCAGAGGTGGGCTCACCTAACAGCAAACTTGAACTTGGAGGTCACAGAAGAGAAAACATCTGATGTACAATGTAGAAGTTGGCCAAACAGTCATGGCCTATTAAGAGCTTTGCGTAGGTTGAGAAAGTACCTTTAAAAGCAGTTACTTGAGAATTCAACTCTAAAGTGAATTAGATTGCCTTCACTAAAATCATTTTAAAAGGCCAAGTGTAGTGACTCATGCCTGCAATTTCAGCACTTGGGGAGGCTGAGGTGGGAGGATTGCTTACTTGAGGCCAGGAGTCCGAGACCAGCCTGGGCAACAACACATGGAGGTCCCACATTTACCAAAAAAAAAAAAAAAAAAAAAAAAAAAAATCGTTTTAAAATTGTTTAACCATTCAGATATCAAGGGTGGAAACAAAAATTGTTCAACCATTTTTCTTAAATTTAAGTTCTCAAGCTTTAAGTGCTTGGTGTTGTTTAGGTGTTTAAAATTTTAGTTGCCCAGGATCTAATCTGAAAGAGTGGTTTTTAGGCCTTTATTTTAAAGCTGTGGAAACTTTTATTCAGTATTAATTTTAGAAAAAAATTCACTATGTAATAGGTAATACAGAAGAATGGAGAAGGTATGAGAGCTCCTCTCTTGCTGTTGTATGATTATAAAAATAGTATCTACTTTTTAAGAAAACTGGTCAATATAAGAAAATATATTAAAAAATTTAAATTGCCCCCAAATTTTACTTAAGCAAAGATAATTATTTTGACATTAACCAAATACATTTTATATACCCTAAGTATACACTCAAAAAATTAATTTGTACAAATAGACCTTTCACTGATGATGTTTTATAACCTCGTTATTGTCACTCTGCTATGTCAATGTCCATGTCAGAAATTTTGGGCTTCATTGGCTTACTCGCTGCACAGTATTTTTGTATGGATGCACCATATATTAATTCTCCATTCATGACATTTGGGCTGTTGCTATTTTTCACTTTTACAAATAAGGCTGCAGTGACTCTTCTTTTCTATTCATCTTTGTAAACTTTTCTGATTATCTTCTTAGGAGAAATTCCTGGGAGTAGAATTTCTAGGTCAAAAGGGACACACATTTAAAAATTTGATACATTGCCAAATAACTTATTTAATAATAAATATCAAAAGGTTTACATGTTGACTCAGTTTATGCAGGCACATTTTGCTTTTCTGTGTTGTTTTACACTAATTAGAAAGAACAAAAACTTGAGTGGCTAAAATATTTGAAAAACAAACTTTTACCTTTAATAAATTTAAATATTTATCATAAATGCATGAAAGAAAGCTATACCGTCTAATACTTCTTTAAAAACATTAATATTTAAATTATTAGACAGTTACTTCAGAATATTTTCATTCACAGAAGAGCATGCTTGAGCTTCCAAATATGAAAAACTGACCCTAACGCATGTCAGTGTTAAAGCAAATGGATTTCAAATATTTTGAAAATAATGTTGGTTATTCTCTACTCCATTTTTCACTTAGATGTTTGTGTTGTGTGAAAGCAGTTTTGCCACCACTGACATATTCTCACTATAGACAGCACAGTGGAGAGCAGTTTTTCTGTTGATATCTGTAATATCTGGATAGGCACCAAAGTCCAGCAGAATAGTTGCATAAACATCTTCTTGGCATTGTATAGCCTGTCAGTATTAGACCAAGAAACACATTGTAAATTCTAGAAAATACAAATAAATATTCCATAGGTTCACAAATTAGTTACATTTCAATGAAATAAATCCATTTTTATTCTATGTATTTAAACCAAATCCATCTCATGCTGAAATAACTGGCTACTATATATCTTCATCAGAGGTGTCGTGTTTTCACCGTCACACACGTTAAGCTGGCACTTTCTGTGCACCAGCAAAGTTACCGCTTCTGGATAGCCATTGACACAGGACAAATGTAGATCCATTCTATGAGATTGAGATAAATTTTTAGAAAGTTTCAGTACACCATCTCAAAACATAGAGTAATTCATGTAATAGTAAACATTAAATAGCATGCTCTTCCTCTACCTTCAAAACAAATAATTTTCTCCTGAAAAAAACATAATATTTTTTAGCTCTTATTACTCACTACAATAATAAAAGAGTGGCCTGTTTGAATAGAAAAAAGCTTGGCCTTTGGGTTCAGTTCAACTTGGGCTTGAATTCTACTTTAAGGCCTTTCACTTACAAGCAAAGTTACATAGGCTTCCTGTGCCTCAATTTTCTCATCGATAAAGTGGAGATAAATATAGTAGCTATCTCACAGGACATCATTGTGATGCCTAAGTGAGAACTTACACAAAATATTTAGAACAGATTCTAATGCAAATAACAGCTGTTTCATGGGCACAGAGTTTCTGTTTGGCATGATGGAAAAGTTCTGGAAATGGATGGTGGTGATGAGTGCACAACACTGTGAATTTAGTTAATGCCACTGTATGCTTTACCAAAAAACAAACACTAAAACAAACAAAAAACACACTGCTTAGGCATCCCAGTCAGAAAGATGATGTGATTGGTTGGAGCCAGGGCCTAAGCCTCACCATCAACAGACGACTTGTGCCCCAAGCTTTCCTCTCCAGAACTGCTCCAAGGTCCCTCTCGGTTCCACTTAGGCCTGATTACTTCATAGAGCCCCATGCATAAAAGCCACCTCTTTTGCTGTCTCTTCTCACTCCAGTCCTCTCCCTCCAGCCTCCCCTAGCTACACATTATGATAAAATCAAGATGACTAAACATTTTCTGATGATTTATATGATCAAATAATCTCAAGGACTATTGCTTACTTAACCCATATGACTCCCACAACTTACATGGAATTCTGATGAGGTGAAGGATCCCTAAAATTCTACCACCTAGTCAGAAATTTAGGTGTCAGTAATTTATTTGTGATACAAGCAGGGGTGGGGAAAAAGAAATGAACAGACCTGGAAGCTTCTCTGAGGCCCTAGAAAAGACCTCTGGGCTTCCAATGCCAGAGGCCAGGAGCAGTGAGGGAAGTTGATGACTCTTCACGCTTACTTTATTCCCTACTTTTCTGTTGCTCCCCTTTACTCATTGCATCTTTCCCAGGTCCTGGATCCCGGGCCATCCTCCCATCAAATCACATCCCTTCTACCTCCTTTAATAAAGAAGCATGGGTTAAGTGATCATGGTGATTTGCATTAAACTACATTAACTCAGAAATCATGTTTAGTTCCACACAAGAAAAAGGATGTGGATCTCTTTCACTGAAAAAGAAAAGTCACTATGTGTCATCTTAATCATGTTTTCCTAGGATATAATCTATACATGATGTCTATGTAAGCTTTCATTGCAACTGGATACATGGTTTGCTTTCCTCTTGTGTAAAATAGAGTGTTGAAATAAACAGGTCTGGGCCATAATCCAGAAAGACACAATCCTGAATGCCATTATCCCAAATGTTGAACTCCAAAAAGATATACATCTCTACAGTCTAAAATCCTAAAATTACAATCCCCCAAACCCCAAAATTCTAAAACTATAAATCTGGAAAAAATGATTTAAAAGGCATTTATTGACATTTTTAGGAGGGGATTTATTTGAGAAACATAAAAAACACAACAGAATACTTCCTAGGTCACCTTACAAAATAAAATAGGCAACAACATCATACATATGTTTGCAAGCATAAACAGGTATATTAATCAGAGTCACATGGGTATAACATTTATGAGCAGATGAATCATATAAAAAATAGGTCAATAAGCAAAATGCATAAATGCATGGTTAGTAGTTGTGTGCATCCAGTGTTATAACAGGTCATCTGAAATACTGTGACAGACTACCTAGGTCTTTAGACCAGATTGATCAAAAGCTGTCACAGATCATCACCGAATATGCAGTCAAAGTCAAAGAGATTCTCAGAAATTTTCTCTTTCACAAATGCAGATATGCAAAAAGAATATCTCATCTATTGAGAAAGTTTTAATATTTTTAGGTTTACAAACAACGCTTACACATAAAGTCAATGTGATAATGCACTTTTGTGGAGTCAAAGTTGCAAAAAAAATGCATAAAGCAAATTAGAACTCTCTAAAACTCTTTACACAGTTTATACCTTCAGTACTGGAAATGATGCTAAGAAGAAATACACAGCATAGTGAGTTGTAAATAAATAATGCTGACAATTTAAAATAGTGGAAAAAAACTTAAAAATAAAACTAAAAAGAAAACTGACATATAAAAATACATTACAGGGATAGATTATGGGCAACTACGCAGAGTTCATAATAGCTAGTTGACTTTTATGATTATTAACTGTATTTTGAAGTCTTGCATCACAATAAATAGCTGCCTTTAAGGACATGACTTTCCTCAGAGAATATGTTCACATCTCAGAGAATATGTTCACATTCATTTTCTATGTCGCACTGCTCACTCTGAAATTCTTCTGTAATTCAATATACACTGAGATGAACACTTCCTATTATGTTTTTCAATCTTCTACGCCATGCTTCTATATTGTTTTGAGTATCTACTTTGCATGCACTAATCTACAGGCCACAAATTTGGCAGAAACAATACTGTTGATTGGACAGCAACACCATTGCCTAAATGACTTTTCTTTTTTTTTAATAAGACAGAGTCTCACTCTGTTGCCCAGGCTGGAGTGCAGTGGCATGACCTCGGCTCACTGCAACCTCCCCCTCTTGGGTTCAAGGGATCCTCCTGCCTCAGCCTTCCGAGTAGCTGAGATTACAGGTGTGTGCCACCACACTCGGATAATTTTTGTATTTTTAGTAGAGACAAGGTATCGCCATGTTGGCCAGGCTGGTCTTGAACTCCTGACTTCAAGTGATTCACCCACCTTTGCCTCCCAAAATCCTGTGATTACAGGCATAAGCCACCATGCCTGGCCCTAAATGACTTCTTATCTTACCTTGCACATAATTATTTTTAAACCAGTAAGTAACCTTGCTGGCTTCTTTAGGAAAATGTGGTTTAATTTGTTAAAAGCTCCTGGAATTTTATCGGGTAGAAGAAATGCCACTATGGATAAACGATGCATTTTTAAACTAAAATTTTCATCACTGCCATATGGGCTTGGCCACTAAACTCACCTGAATTTTCCACCAAATGAATTGGACTAAATGGAAAAGCAAACTTTACTGGTAACACCTTGCAATTCACTTTCAGAAGCCTTTGTCACACCTAGTTCCAAACCTGTCATTTTAACTTGGGGATGCAATTGAAATCTATTTTCTTCTGCAAAGTCCACCAAATCTTCAAATAAACATTTATAAAATGCCTCACTTTTTCCAGCCAGTAATACATAAACAGTATATTACATTATAGAATTTTGGAATCTGATAGACGCATAAATTGTATAAAGTTGGTAAAAACAAACAAAGAAACACTAGGGATGGTTTTGAAAGTGACATTCATTAGCCAAAGTAAAACATGCATTTTTTTTAATGTTAGATTTAGTGGTAAATAAATATGTCTATCTTCTTTCACAGTCAAATCTTTAATCAAGAATAGTTCATGACTTAATGTGTCTTGTAGCCCTGAAGGAACCTCTGTGCCAGCAAGTACCTGGTTCAGAAGGCCGCCAAGCTTGTTGAACTCTTTTTATTCTCTGACAAAGGGCATTTTGTGAAGGCAAGTGTCAGAAGTTGTACATCAATAATAATTCGGCAGGAAAGATTCTGTGCATTTTTTACCTTCATTTTCACTTTTTCTATATTCCAGACATTGACAGATCTTTCCCACCTAGTCCACTCAGACCTACACATTAATCTTTTCTGAGAACACCCTCGAGGCATACCCAAAATAATGCTTTACCAAGTTTCCAGACATTCCTTAACCCAGCCAAGTTGACACCTAAAATTAAGTCCATGGGTCCACCCCTTGTTGACTTGGCACCTCTACATACCTTCTTAGCCATGCTTAATTTCCGAATAAAGAGTAAACAAGGAAATAATTACATTTAACATGATGCAATACCATGGTGCAACTGTCCTGTGATAGTGATCTTCTGGATGTTAGATAAGGATTTTAGACTTAGGGATTTTGATGTTTCAGGATTTCAACATTCAGGATTATAGTGTTTAGGATCGGGTGTTTTTGGATTAGGAACGACATGGGGGACTTAACAGCCTCTCAGCTCTCTTCAAACTATAATGGTACTCTTCTTTGACAGAGTTCCTTTTTCTCCCAGTGCCTCCTGAGTCTAGTCTCTTTCTTTGGCTTGGCTAAGCCTGCCTTCTCCTTTCCTATCCATCTACTTTCTTCCCTCTGGTTAATCCAATGTAAAATTTGACTCTTTTTATTCAAACAATTCCAGCTTCTATCATATATCTTCTTTTGTGAATCTGGCATCTATAATGTTTCTGTTGAAAATATATATAGACAAGATTACATATAGTTAAACTATGTCTTGTATTTATTCAGTAGTAACACTCTGATAAGGAATTAAAAATGTTTCTTCTAAAATCATAATTTAATCACCAGGCAAAGCAGATAAAGAAAAATGAATTTCAGATCCTTACATCAGTCAAATGTAGACACTGGTTTTTATTGAGGACTTTCTTATTTTTGTCACTAGTTGACTCCGATACTTCTTGGCCCAAATGGAATACAGGATGGAATTGACAAATGGAATGTCATATGTGCAGTGCTCTAATGGAGGTGAAAATTAAATACTCAGAAATTTTGTGACATGTTTGTCAAACCATCGGTTGAAATATTCACACAATGGAAATCAGCAAATGCTACAAATCTGGGCTTTTTTTTCCTTCCCCCAACCAGGTTTACCAGTGCACCACTTTTATTTATCTTGCAAACATTCAGAATATCTATAAATATTCACAGACTCTTCTATACTCCATGTGTCATTCAGACTAAGCCAACGTTCTTAAAGATAATGAAGCTGTAAGTGAGTTGACTCAACTAAATCTCTCTCTCACCTGTCTCCTCCTACCCTTCTGACTCCCAGTCTTGCTCTACTTCATGCCACTGGGCTAGACATGCTCCTGATCAGGGCGTGTACCCTGCTGTCTGCCTTTTCTTCCTGGAGTGCTCTTCCCCAGGTATCTGCAAAGCTGGTGCACTTACCTCCTTGGAGTCTTTGTTCAAATGTTGTCTTCTCAGAAAGACTTTCTATATTAGTTTCCTGACTACTGGAATAAATTAGCATACATTTAGTTGCTAAAAGGAACACGCTTCTCCCCTATAATCCTCTAGGGGAGAATTCATTTTCTTGCCTTCACCAGCGTTGAGAGAATGCACACATCCCATGGCTCATGGCTTCCTTCCAGTCAGCAACTACATTATTCTGACCTCTGTCACCACATCTCTTGCCTCTGACTTTCTTGCCTCCTTCTTTTGCTTATAATCACTCTCGTGATTACACTGAGTTCACCTGGCTAATCCGGAATAATCTTCTCATCTCATGATCCATAACTTAATCACACCCACAAGTCTCTTCGCCATATAAAGATACAGACGTAGGAAAGCTATTATTCTGCCTACTACACCTTCCTTGAGCATTTGATATGTCTTTACTTCTACCCACTTCCAGTGTTGTGTATCCCCCTTCCATGCTTAATTTTTCTCTGTACCGTTATCACCTTTTGGAATATTATGTATTTTATATAGTTATTTTGTTAATAGTGTGTCCTGCCTCACATGAATGTAATCTGTATGACGGTAAGCATTTTTGTTTTATATCCTTGCTATATTATCATTACATAGGACAGTGCCCAGCTCACAGTAAAGATTCAATAGATATATATTTTTTGACAGAATAAATTAGGTTAAAAAGTTTGAGGGAAAACCTGACATGATATGGTGGCTTCCAAGTGATGGGAAAAGGCCATGTGGTGGGGCCTATAGAGAAAGCCAGGATGTTCCAGAGATACCCCAAGGCAGAGCTGCTTTGCTGACACTGAACTCTTTGCCCAAGCTCTGATTTCTAATGTTTTCTCTCATATTTGCTTTTGCTTTCTTTTTAAAATAATTTTTAAAAGTTTTTTCATAGAGACAAGGTCTCACTATGTTGCCCAGGCTGGTCTTGAACTCCTGAGCTCAAGCAATCCTCTCACTTTGGCCTTCCAAAATGCTAGGATTTCAGCTGAGAGCCACTGCACCTGACGTGCTTTTGCTCTTTCTATACTCAAAATTTTTATATTAGTTTCTGACTACAGATTGTAAACTCCTAAAACAAAATAACTGTTTTGTTCTTCATATTTCTTTAAATCTTCTACTCTGCATGGTTCTAGATATTGAATATGTAGATGCCAAATATTTGCTTTTCTGATGTATTATCTTTTATTTCTTAAAAATCAGCCCAACCATGTTGTAAAGAGGGATGATTTTCTTCTGTAGATATGAAAAATTGCACATGTTCAATGCTTACATCGTATGGTTCGATGTCACTACAGCTTTTTTGTTTTTGGCAGACTTTTGATACTCTTTTAAAACTTATTTGTAGTTAGCACACAAGGAACAAAATAAAGCTTTGAAAAAATTTTAACACAACAAAATGCACTGACGTTTAAAAAATATATAGTCTGGCCTTTACTTGCATATGCACATGCTCTGAATTGTCCTACTAGGCTGACCATGTATCACCTCTTTAGCTTGGATCCTATTGTGGATTTATTTACAAACATCAATTGCCTTTAAGCCAATTCTTTTTGCTGTATGTTTTGCAGTTTACAGTGTGGTTGGGGAGAAGAGATAGGAGAAAGCTAATAAGAGACTTTGCCAAGAGTGTAGTCTTCTTGGTTCCTTTTAAGAATGTGCTGCCTTTCTACTATGACAGCAGAACAGCATTTTGTTACTGACTGCCTAAAACTACTTAATCCCAGATGAAAGCATCACTTGCCAAACGTTTGGAATGCTGTTTGTGTTTTGTTGCACTGTTATTTTTGTTTATTTGGTTGGCTTTTTGGAGAGGGAAATTTGGAAATGGGACATACACAAAAGTCATAACCCATCCACATTCCCATTTCATTATTACAAGAAGCAGCTAGAAGAGCTAAGAATGGAGTAAAGAAGGGCAGTATGGCAAGCACCAGCAAAGAGTTAAGGGCTGTTGCTCTTTAAAGATTATTATTTTATTATTACCTTAAAAGTATGAAAGTTTTCCAGTCACTGGGGAAAGGAGAAAAAACATACTTAGTTTTATACAGTTACTTAATTACATCCAAAACACATATGTTGGAAATCATTTTTGCTGGCGCAAAGTATTTTAATGAGCAGGAATACATATAGCAAGGTTATGACTAGAGAGCTCAATTTATACATTTGCTATCTTCCTCAAACCCAACATGGCATGAAAGCCCAAGTTTATTTCAAAAGTATGTAACTTCAAAATTACAAATACCAAAGTTTGCTCTAATAACTATTTTGTACTTCTTTCTTAAATGAAATTAATTTTTATTACCTAAAGAAATGTTCACTAAACACAATCATTCACTTTGAGTATATATAGGTAAAACAGGAAGAGGAATCACACAGTAAATTATAGTTTATATTAGAGATAATATTCAATTGGCTCAAATAAACGTATCAGCATTCATAAGACTACAACATTCCCCAAGGTACTAACAGTAACAATGTCTTTTTTGAAAAGGAATTTAGCTCTGATGTTTTTAATGAAAACCATAATCTCTGATGTTGCAACACATGTGAAATGGGCATTAGATCTATCCTACCCTTAACCCCACAATTAATAAAGTGGCTGAAAATAATGTTAAAATAATTAGTCTAAGAGAGAAAAGATCAGTGCTCTAAATTCTCTCTCTCTCTTCGTGTGTGTGTGTGTGTGTGTGTGTGTGTGTGTGTGTGTGTGTATGTGTCGGGTGGGTTGGGAGGAGGCCTTTACTGTTAGAAGAAAGCTTTTTTGTACAGGAAGCATATTTCAGTTTGGACACAATTATAAGGAAGTTTAATTTTATAATCTATAAAACCAAATACCTTCAGAAATGGTTTTGCCATTTGTGATTTATATGAATAGTATTCTGATTAATGTAAAATTATAGGTTTGGATGTCTATATCTACACCCATTGAAGCCTCAGAGCTTCATGTACTGCTATAACTTTTGTGTTAACCCTGGGTAAAATCAGAATGGTGGTACAAAGAATAATTTTCATTTCAAATTTTACAGTATGTTTATCTGAAGGACAAAAAGATCTACTTTCCAGTGATATGTATTTTAAGATGTCAAGAGACTTTTCCTGATGCTATTTTATGATTATGGAGAAAATAGAATTCGTATTAGAAATCTCAACTCCAAGTTGGGAATAGATGTTTTGATACTTATACTGCTATGGCCTGAGACTCTGAATCATTAAAAGAGAGCTTGCTGGTTGGCCACGATGGTGACACGTGTAATCCTAGCACTTTGGGAGGCCAAGGTGGGTGGATCACTGGAGCTTAGGAGTTCAAGACAAATCTGGCCAACGTGGCAAAATCCTGTGTCTACAAAAAATACAAAAATTAGCAAGGCTTGGTGGCACATGCCAATAATCCCAGATACTCAAAAGACTGAGGTGGGAGGATCACTTGAGCCCAGGTGAGCTAATATGTACTTCAGGAGAAGGTTGCAGTGAGCCAAGGTTGTGCCACTACACTCCAAGTGGGCAACAAAGCCGACCCTGTACCAAAACAAAAAATAAAAATTTAAAAAAAGACCCTGCTATCTACAGATTAGGAAACACAAATAAGCATCAACCTAAAACCTTCGATGGCATTTTTGGTAGTTATATTTCCTTATTGCAGAGCAAAATTAATATATAAGAAATGGAATATTTTCTGTTGATATCTAGGGTAAAATGACAAGACCCTTCCTCAGAAAAGTAATAGTGTGTTATGAGGACACTAGATACAATACTCTTCACCTTCAACGCATTGCAAACAACTTGAATCAATCCAGTAACCTTATTAAGTACAAGCAACTAGTAAAAATGAAAGCTGTTTATCTAAAATAGCAAGCCAAGAACTTCACTGATACACTTTGAAGGTGGCTCAATAACCCTGTCAAAGCTTTGCTCCATCAGATCACAGCATAAATATCTCATTGGCCCAATAATCAAGGCCTTTAGAGTTTCACAGTGTTTTATCTCTAATAGCTAATACGTGGAGTATTGCTGACATTCTGCCTATAGTTACCCAGAAAGAAATCAAACTTGCCTTGATATAATATAAAAACATTAAAATGAATCTCTGCTGTAGAAAACAGAGTTCAACTATGGGCTCTATACAAAACCACTTAAGGTGGGAGGGAGTTGATTTTAGGTAACAGAAACAAACTTCTTTATTCGATTTCTCTGGGAAAAAAGTAAAGAAAATCCAAACATTATCTGTTCTGGTCAACACGTGTAAGGCTCAGTCCTGTTTTATTTCTCCCCTTCCCCTTCAAATCCTTTTTCCTTACACTTGATTCTACATACTGAGAAAAGTTCCAGTGCATCTAAAGGAGTATGTAACCCTGAGAATTTATCAACTTATTCCCATGACGCAACAATTGCTTAGACAGCATTTGGGAATGCTTCTATTCAGAGCTAGTGATAAGCCTCAAGAGGAAGTCAGTCTTATTGGTTTACAGTTGCATTTTAGGCTCATGTATAGAAGAGCTAATATAGATTTCAGAGTCTTACAGGTGTTTGAAATCTAGGCTCCACTTTTAGTACATGTGAAGTTTTGGTAAGTTACTCAATCTCTTTGAGCCTCAGTTTTCTGAGTACAGTGGCCACACCTTACAGGATTGTTGTGTGGATGAGTTACAATGATATATATAAATCTATTACAATGTCTTTATTCCCTCCTTCTTTCCTCCCTGACCCCGATTTCCCAGAAAAGCACACTTCTGAGGTCTGACTTCTGAGAGGTTACAGACACAATCAAGCTTGATGCTTGCCAGGAAATGAGGGGCTAGACTTGAGCGTTAGGGAACCAGGGAATGACATCTATCATCCATCCCATAAGACCTAGGAGGAAAGTGAGGCAGGGCAGGAGAGTGGGAAGTGATGCTCTTGAAGGCTACTATTAGGTAGTCACTGGGGTCTCTGCCCAAGGCACTGTTAGTGCTTATTTAGGGGCACATGTAAGAGATGGATGGCAGTAATTGTCTAGTCAGGAGTTTAGCAATTTCTATTTCATTTCAAACCTCATTTAATCCCTCCCATCCTAGACAAATTCAGTCAATTAAACTTCCTCCTGCATCTGTGACTGGGCCTCTTCATCATTTCTCCTCTGCAAGAGTATCTTCTTTGGGCATGTGGAAAGGTCTCAGTACATCTTCGGTGTTTAGGGACTTACCTGATCCTCTTTCCTCTTCGTTGTCAAACTCATAAGTAACCAAGGTCAGAGTCTGATTATGATATGTTGGCAATCATCACCTCTCATTTATGAATAAATATATTTTTATGCAGTTTGATGTTCCATTCACTTCGCTTATTCATTTGTTCATTCATTCAACACATTTATTTGTGGAGCATTTGGCCTAGGAAAAAGAAACCTTCCTTAGCATTGAGGGGGAAGAAGACAGAATGCACAAATATACAGGCTTGGTTTTGTATGGCTTTTGATGTTTCTAAAATAAAATACGATCTAACTTGAAGAGTGAAGACTTATCACTGAGATATTTAAAAATTCTAAAAAGTCAGTTCCAAAAGAACTTTCAAAATGTTTTAAACAATGATTATTTACGTTGGAATGGCTATGTAGCATTCCAAGATTTTAGTGCTCAACCAGCACTTCAAGTGCCTGCCGGGTGCATGGTGAAGGACAATTGTAGTGGGAGTTAGACAATGAATTGGAAAATCCCTGCCCAAAAGTCCTGTTACTGTCAAAGCATAGACAGCACCCTGTAGAAAGTGTCATGTGTTCTGAGCAAGAGGATACAGTCAACCAGCAAGTATATTTGATGGGTAGAACAGGAAAGTTGTTACAGAGGAGGTGCTATTTCAGGCAGTTATGAAAAATGACTATAGGTTTATGAGGCAGAGATGAGAGGCACTTAAACAATGTTAAACAACGTTAAATTTAAACAAATGTTAAAATTGCATCTCCTACCCAGGCACTTGTTTGAAATTTCTGTTTTATTTGCTCTTTGGAGATTACTTCTTGGTATACTTACATTTTCTATGTCAAGATAAAAAGAGAGAAGTGATAGTGTGTGTCTGTCTGTGTGTGTGTGAGTGTGTAGTATTTTTCACAGAATTTGTGTTTCCAAGCTTACTTGTAACTCAGGCTTGTCAGAGTTCTCATAACAAATACATGATTAAACCATATTACAATCTGTCACCTCCAATGTCAAAGTTTTATGGTACCTCAATGCTTCCAGGGAGGATGGTCTACCTTCATGATTTATTTACAGACCAAATCATAATCAAAAATAATTCCTAGGCTTATACCTATTATCAGGGGTAAGAAATAGTTTAAACACATTTGCATGAACAAAGGTAGTCTAATGTTTATAAAAAACAATTTGAAATGATCTTTCCCTTTAGAATACAATGTTTTTTAAAATTTCTTGATGTATATTTTTATATACTGTGAATTATATATTTTATATACAGTTGGGCACATTAGTGTCTTTGTGATATAGCAAGATTTTGTACAGACTTTTAATCTATCAAAGACAAAGCTAGATAAGTAAGCGGATTCTCATTTGTCTCATAGACCATTATTTTAGGATGATTTGAGACCACAGGAAATACTGACTCACTTTTTCTAAAGAGACAACTGATTTTCTTGTACTTTATAAAGTTTAAATTGATCCTCTCTCCTTTTGATTAATTGAAACAATGGGATTTCATAAACCTTAACAGGAAGATTCTTATTATTTATCTAACCAGAAGGGAAATGTAAAATATTTGGCTCTCTTGGGCCTGTTTTCTATCTCAACATCACAAAACATTGTTGTTACTTCCATAATGCTCAGCTTCAATTTTTTTTGCTTGCTCAATCAAAATGAATTACCAAATTTTTTTCCTCTTCCTGTCTAAAATGGAACCCCATTAATCCTCCTACCCACAGCCCTGGGACTGTTTCTTTTATTCCTGTAGCTTCTAATATCCTTAATTTTGGGTTAAAATACTGTGAGTATCTCACACCCCCTCATCCAGGTCCTGCGGAGCCTGTCTTCTGAAGTCTCTTAAGTCTTCTTAAATCTTCTCTTAAGAATTCTCATGTAGAATCAACTGCTCGCTGTTTAACATGGTCTAAATAGTCCTTCAAATTCTGACTACAAGTTATTTTCTTAGCCTCAAAAAAGTACCTCCTCTCCTAATATATCAAATAGCTTGCACCCTCCTGTCTCCTGTTCACATCTTCATTCCTTTCACTTTACCTGAACGGCCCTTCCCTCAGCTACCCCTCCTGGTGTAAGCTTCAGTGGATTGACTCGTGCTTGAGTATTTTATTGCAATTTGGACATCTCACCTCTCACTCCTGGCTTCTGTCTATCTACCTGTCTTGACCTGCCACTTGTGCTGCCTCTGGCTTATCTCCCTACTTCTGATTCACAGTGCTATTTGTTAGCTTCATATCTACTTGTTCTCTCAATTATTGCTCAGCCTGCCCAGGCCAGGCTTTTTGTCCTGTATTTATAAACTGCTATTGACTTGAGAGTGACTGTGCATTTCTAATCAAAGTACTGTGTATAGACTGATAGCTAAAATGGTACAGTAGAAAAAAATGGATCTGCCTTTGAGTGTATTACATTATCTAGTGACCCATAAATATTTTCTTCTTATTTTTATCATTATTGTTATTTTTAAATGGGAGGATCAAGGAAGGCAGAGTCTAGGCCACCAATCTGAACTTAGGTTTTCATCTTTATTAAGATATTTGGGATCACTGCAAATATTCTGAATTTTAAATGCTATTCAGCGACCCAAAAAAATAAAAATTGTGTTTTACCATGAACTGAGTAGGGTTTCAGCATTAGGCTATTGTGCCATCATTTCTATAAATGCGAACTGTCAAAGAAACATTCATCTTTTAACATGGGAGTATCCCAGGCCTCAGTCTTCAGCCCTTTTTCTATGTGCACTCATCCCTATGGGATCTCACAAAGCCTGATGGTATTAAATTCCATCTATATGCACATGATACATAAATGTATATCTCCAGCTCTTACATTTCCTCTGAAGTCTAGACTCCTATATAATTGCCTGCTAATTATTGCCACTAGGAAGATTAATATACAATGAAAACAGCACACTTCCACAAGGAAATCCTTGATCCTCCACTCTTAACCCCTGGACCCTCCACTCATCGGTCTTCCCCATCTCAGTAAATAATCTCTCTAGTGTACCAGCTACTAGGCCAGAAAACTCACCCTGACTCCTTTTTGTTTCTTACACCTCATATCAGCATACACTGTTGAGCTCTATTCAGAATCTAATCTCCTTACCATACCCATCACGTGCACCTTGCATTACTTTACGTTGTCATTGTCATGGATTACTGAAGTAGCATCTTGATTGATCTCCCATGTATTCTCTCATGTTCCCTGTACTTTATTCTTCACTGAGCAACCAGGGTAAGCCTTAAAAGCATAAGACAATTAATGTTTTTTGTCTGCTTAAAACCTTCCAATGATTTTGCAGATCAAAGTAAAAGCCAATATCCTGTCATGGCAAACAAGATCTCAAACTTGTCCCCTAACACTTCTCTGATCTGCAGTTCGGTCATTCTCCCCTTGCTTACTGCAATCTTCAAAGACGCCAGGCGTGTGTGCTTCTATCCCAGGGCCTTTGCATATGTGGTGCTCTTTTCCTGGAGTGCTTTTTTTTTTTTTTAAATCAGACAACAGTATGGTTTATTTCCTCTTTTATCCAGGCCTTTGCTTATTACCCTGTCATAAGAGGAGTATTTTGTGACCATTTGACTTCAAATAGTACCTACTTCATTCTCTAATCTCTTCTATTTTTTAAAGCACTTTTTATCACCTCATCTATTTTATATACACATTTTCCAGTTTGTTCACTGGTTGCTCCCACTCTCCCCACTATGTAAGATCTATAAGAGGAGAGGCTTTATTTTGTTCCTTGCTGTATCTCTAGCTCTTCAAATACTGCTTAGCAGATAGTAGGCATGCAGGTTAGTATTGCATGCATGAATGAGTATTCAAGAGATACAGTAAATCATATTAAAGGTTGTTTCAGTGGATGAGATGCTGAATATTCATTTGTTAAAAAAAGAAAACAAACAAACACATAATAAGCACCTCAAATTCTTTCTGAACATTTTCTCTCAAATTTAAGCTACTCTATTATCCTTAATTTTTTTGGTTTCTTGATCACTAATGACTCACTTACTGTATCTCAGTCCCATTTAAAGGCATACACTGAAAATATTTCAAGCTAAGTTCCAGACCAATGACGCAAAGCAAACATCACAATAGAGTGAGTCACACAAATTTGTTGGTTTTCCAGTGCATAAAGGTGATGTTTACACTATGCTGTATGTAGTCTATTAGGACAATAGGCTATTAAGTGTCCAATACAATGTTTCTTCTGCCAAACATTTCATCCTGTCATATGTTCCGGTTAGTCAAACATAAACAGGGCACGAGGGGGGGGCCCCCAACCAAAAATGTAAGGTGATCAGGAGGTGATGGTCAGGTGGTTGTAAACTGCATCTCTGAAATATTTACTGTTCGCAGCCAGTGCCAGCTGGTGCCAGGGAAAAATGGTTCCTGCCACAGACAGAAACACCAGATAGTGTTCAGCAGCTTCCTGATAAGCTCAAAGGAGTTCGGCTAGTGGGCTCACGCATGGTAGTGGGTGTAGTTTAAGAGCTCTAGTACCTTTCTCTGGCAACATTTGACTGGTTCAGGAGGAACACATCAAGCGAGCGTGCATACAACTCCAGTAACCATACTGCACATTCAGCCCCTACCAAGTGCTGATGGACCACTCTGCATGTGGACAACCTGCCCCAAGGGAAGCATCAGTGAGAAAAAACAATCCCCGAAGCCTGCTAACCTATGAGACCCCAAGTCAAAAATCAAACCATGCACTTGATCTCTCAGGTCACCCGTTTGGCCCACTTCCAGATGTACTTTATTACCTTTGGCTCTTATTCTGATGCTGTTTAATAAACTTTCACTCCTGTTTTAAAACTTTCCTTGGTCTCTCCCTCTGGCTTACTCCCTTCAGTCAAATTCTTTCTTCTTAGAAGACAAGAATTGAGGTTGCTGCAGACCCATACAGATCTGCTGCCATGATACAGGAGGTAGAAATAAATGATTTAGGATGCTAGTAGCTGCGCCAATAGAAAAGGGCTACCTGGGGGCCAGGCATGTCCAACACAGAGGCTCCATCTTCCCTTTTATTGTTACTATGTTTACAGTAAAAAAGAAAAAAAAAGAAAAAAGGGCAATGTGACACTGGCCAGGCAGAAAAGCCATCTGCATAATAAAAGGTTATGGTGGGGGCAGCCAGCTTTTCATGCCCTATGCAAATGGCACACCTGGTCAAACCAATCTTTTGTGTCTTAGGTAAATCAGACACCTCCCCACTTCAAGCTCATCTATAAAGCCCCTTGCACTTCACTGCCGAACCAGCAACCCATTTCTCTGGGACCCTTCTCTGTAGCAAGAGAGCTTTTCTCTTTCTTTCACCTATTAAACTTCTGCTCTGAGCCTCACTCTGAGTGTCTGTGGCCTAGTTTTCCAGGTCTGTGAGACAACGAATCTCAGATATTTACCACAGACAATAATGCCATTTCATTGTGGGGGCTGGTTGGGGATCCAAGGTAGATTCATCGGAAAGGTGAGTAGAGGAGTGGACCCTAAACCTTTACTTTGATTTTGAGGGCTTCTGCCCTCAACTTTAAAATTATAAACTAAAAACTGGGCAACTGATAGCAAATTAAAAAAACCTTTAGGGTGGCAACCATTCTCAATACTAAGACAACAGAGAAAACTTAGTGAATCCCCCAGGGCCCTCAAAGTGCTGGGAATGTTGACTCTCTTTTGAACCAGTTTTCTTTCACAGACAGCCTAGGTGTCATGTGGGTCTGGAAGAGGTCCAGAGGCAACTAATGCTTCCTTCCCAGGACCATACCCCACTGTTACCCAAAGGCTTCTGGACTAACTCCACCCTCTGACTGCCGGATGGGCATCTGCAACAGGATCTTGGAGCCTTTCCTATTGCAATTTTCCTCCTTTCCTGTCTAAGACAACCATGTCTCTTATCTACTGTGTGTGTGCAATGCTGCAGAAATTTTTAAAGCTCAGGGAAATAATCCTGTTAGGCAAGATTTGGAAATGCTCTGGTAACTGGGAATATAGATCAAGGGAGTGCCATTTTTGTGATTTTCTAGAAACAGAGGGTCTCACCCATCCCATCCAGTGAACGACTCTCTCTCTCTCTCTCTCTCTCTCTCTCTCTCTCTCTCTCTCAGCCCTTGGTCTGTAGAGCACATGGTATTTCAAGGTCAACAGCACCACCTATTGCAATTAGAATCCTCTCCATGAGACAGCTTGTCAGCCCTTTGCTGAAACATTCTAGTTTCTGAATTCTCACTTTTGCACTCTCTACTAGAGACCAGGCTTTATGCTGCTTCTGTGAATGGGAAAACTCAACAATGAGGGGGAAAATGTCCTCCAAAATGAAGTTTTAGCCCCAGTACTGTCCCATGAGCAGGAAAACCACCTTTCATTCCTTACATTATTTTAAGGCACCTATTCTGCCTCCAATTAACATGTTACTTAAATAGTAACATTTTATGTCTGAAAGTTAACCAGAATCACTGCCTAAGAATAAGTACATGACTCGAGGCCATGATAGCAAAATAGAGAGCTCAACTCAGTACACTGTCTCCATTAAAGAGGCCTTGCCCAAATACAACTATTACATCCTATTTTCCAAGATCCATCTATTGAGGAACCATACAGGTCACACAGGTTTACAAAGTCAAAAAAAAACAATCACCAGTGGAGAACCAAAGGTTACTAGACATTTGTAAGCATTGCACAATCAACACAGCTATTTTAACAGTCATATCAGGCAGGCCCAAAGGAAGTAACTCCCCCACACTAGCGAAACAAATTCTGGGAAAAACATCTAAGGCAGTTGTTCAGGCCCCTCTTGGTCCCCCTTATTCAGGGCCCCTTCCAAATGCAATGTCAGCCCCTCCAGTGTCATCACTCCTCATTCCACAGTCTGACGCTTACCACTGCAGGCAATGCCTAATGGAGACAATGTCACTAAGGTTCCAGTTCCCTTCTCATTGCAGAACCACAGGCAGATAAAGAGAATTAGGCTGGTTTTCGAATGACCCTGACAGGTATAAAGAAGCTTTCCAAAATTTAACTCAGGTGTCGGACCTTACCTGGAGGGATGTTATGCTTCTCCTCAGACAAACCCTAACTGCAGCTGAAAAACAGGAAGATCTGCAGGCAGCTGAGAAGTTCAGAGACAAGCAATATGTGTCCTACAGTGCGACAAAAAAACATATAAAAATAAATAAATAAATAAAAATGCAAGACAAAATAGGGAAAGAAAAGAAACAAGGGAAACTCCATTACCAAAAGGAAGAGGGGCAGTACATATTGACAACCCTGATTGGAACCCCAATGACTCAAGAGTTTAATAGAAATACTGAATACTTTTAATATTCAATATTGGACATTTTTAATATTGAAAGGCCTACAAAGAACTAGGGCCAAGCTTCTAAAATTAGTCTGTTTTAAAACTGCTGACAAAAACATACCTGAGAGAGGGTAATTTAAATGGAAAAAAGATTAATGGACTCACAGTTCCACATGGCTGGGGACACTTCACAATCATGACAGAAGGCGAAAGGCAAGTCTCACATAACAGATCAAAATGGGCAAGGTTTAGCAGCTCCATCATCTTTCTTTGAGAACACTCGACCGGTGGAGTAAGAATGCCTCAAGTAAGCACGTGTAAGATTCCAGACATCGCACTGTGTATGCCACACACCCCGCCCAAAGAGCTCACTGGCCGCTGCACTGGTGAACAGCCCCACTCAAGGGAAGGATCAGGGCAGAGGCAATGACGCCAACTCAGAAGCATGCCAATGAAGGAGAATCCAAGTCAAAAATAATACCATGAACTCGATTCATCAAGTCACCCACTACACCCTCTTCCAACTGTATCTTGCTTCCATTCCTTCCTGCTCCAAAGTGTTGAAGAAGCTATCACTCCTACTCTTAATCTAACTGTCCTGTTATGCCCTAGCAACAACTTCTCACAAGCCTTTTGGGGCAGTCTGAACAGCTGTCAGGATAGAGCCTAGTACTGTGGCCCTTTAAAGACCCCACCTACTTGCTCGTTTCCAGTCATTGCCCCTCTGGGAAGAGGGAAGATTCTTCCTTCACCCAGGGTGAGTTTTCACCCCTAACCACAAGTGCTCCAGAGTTTACTACCTTATGTAAACAAGACATTAAATGTAAACCTCTCATTTCCACTGTTTGCCATGACATCATCTCAGGTGTTCCTGGCGCCCACCAGGCAATCTCCCGAAGCACTCCTTCTGCTGTCCATGCAATGTTCTTAAGTCTTCTTTCTGCCCAGTGTGCAATCTTCCTGGATGGCCCTTCTGTCACACGTTCACGTCTGACAGAGGTTTCTTCTGCCAAACACTGAATCTTCTCGGACGTTCTTCTGCCAAATGTGCAATCCTGTCAGACATTCCAGTCACTCTAGGTAACTGGTCTGACATAAGCAGGGTATGAGGGGCTTCCCCCACCACCACGAGAAATGTCAGACAACCATTAGATGACGGCCAGGCAGTTGTTGAAATGTTTCTATGGAAGAAAACCATTCGCAGCCTGCCGGTGCCAAAAAAGGGCAGCCTCCCAAAGAACAAAAGAGCCGGAAGGTGGACATCAGCAGCTTCCCAGTAAAATCCCAGGAATCAGGTGCGTGGGCTCATGCAGGACACTTAACAGCCAGAAGGGCTGGGTTTAGCAGCTCCATAACCTTCCTCTAAAAACACTCAATGGGTAAGAAAAGAGCACATGCCTAAGACTCCAGGAACCACATGCACGTGTGACACCCAAAACCCATGGGCTGACAGGCCACGGCACTGGGAGACCCACACAAAGGAAGGATCAGGGGAGAGGCAAAAACACTACCCTGAAAGCCTGCCAACAAATGACACCCTGAGTCAAACCCTGCACTTGTTAACTCAGGTCTCGAAAGAGAAATGATCATTCTAAGCACATCACAGGAATCACATGGCCTTCACCAGTGATGGGTTTAGCAATAGGCATGTGCTGTAATACAGACCATATGATGTTTCCGGAAGGTCACTATGAGCTGCAGACTTGACTGCCTGTTGAAAAGACACCTGGGAAGAAGACCAACCCATCCACACTTCAGATACTGCCTTCAGACAACACGCCAACTGCAGCTGTTGCTACTCAGTCCACCGGAAAAGCACACATGAACTAAAAACTGCCCACGGCATGGCTGGAAGGGAAATGTGAGCATGACACAACGATACCAACACAACTCTGGTGCCTATGGCGTCAGCTGCTATTATTTGGGTCGTCTACTATTTAAAGCCACGAGCATCCTGAGAATGTGGCCGTGGCCCGCAAAATATATCCTCTACCCCTCCTGTTCTGGACTGCTCAAAAATCTTCCCTAAGCTCACTTTTTCTAG
The DNA here is from genome assembly GCF_000001405.40 of Homo sapiens. Classification (NCBI taxonomy): domain Eukaryota; kingdom Metazoa; phylum Chordata; class Mammalia; order Primates; family Hominidae; genus Homo; species Homo sapiens. Next base: position 57,220,392 of record NC_000008.11, on the reverse strand, counting down.
ACATTCAAATTATGCCCAACGACGTCAGTACCACACTCTTTACAATAGCAACAATGTATGGTTCCTAAAACGGAAAGAATTCATGTGAGTCTCTGACCTTTGGAACTTGACATTCCTTCGGAAAACAGGGAATCTTCTACAAATGTTCCTTCTGCAAATCGCGTGAGCTTCTCAGACGTTCTTTCTGCCACACATTCCACCTTTAAGAGGTTTCAACGATGAAACGTTCAGTCTTCTCGCATGTCTACTCTGCCAAACCGGGGATCCGATCACATAGCTCTTCTGCAAAACATTCGACCTCATCAGAAGTGTCTTCCACCAACCATTCCATCTTGCCAGATGTTTCTGTGTTACTGTGGATGGCTGGACACACAGGATCAGCGCATGAGAGGGTCTAGCCCACACCCCACCAGATATGTCAGGTGACCAGGAAGTGACAGGGCAGGCCGTCGTTAAATTGCCTTTCTCAAATAAGAAATGATGGCTGGGAGGCAGCGCCAGGGACGGCAGTGCCCCCAACAGACAGAAATCCCAGAAGGTGGTGATGAGCAGCTCCCCAAGAAGGTATCAGGAGGCAGGCGAGGGGGCTCACACACACCTCCTCACAGGCATACCGGCCAGGTTTCACTACCCTATGACCTTCCCCGGGCAACATCCTACTGCCGAAAAAGACACGCCTCAAGTGAGAGTGCCTGCAACTGCAGGAAAAACGCCATGCCTACGGCCCCTCCCAGCTGTCAACAGGACACAGCCAATGTGGACAGCATACCACGTGAAAAGGGCAGCTCTTTTGGAGAGTGCAGCAAGGCTTTCCGTGAGTCCTCTCGCTTCCTCCTGCTTTAGCCTGTATCCTCTGTTTCTCTACTCACAGCCATGCCCTTCTCCAGATGCTTCCAGGCCTTCCAGGTCCTATTTGAAGGGAGAAATGTCCAGCTCCTTGCAGCAGCTAGCTGAAAAACAGGCTCCTCGTCTACTGTGAGAATCTGGGAAGTGGGAATCAGACAGCAGAGATCATCATTGTCTTGCTGGAACGCTCTCACCCACAGTCACTCTCACGTCACGCAGACAAGGACAGAGTCCGGACAAAGGCCACAGGTGCAACAGAACGATAGCACCCAGACCAAGGCTGATCCCAGGCTAACACACGTCCATTAGAGCAGGGAGGAAGGCAAGAACAGGGGCACATGGTAACAACGGTTCATTCTGGGACCCCAGGGATGAATGGGGCTTCCCCGAACCGGTTCACTCCAGCACCTCCTCTCTTCTCCAGTGGGTGATCATGACGAGATGGCACCGGGTTTGGCAGGGAAACAGTAAGACCAAGACATCCCAGAGCCCTATGGATGAACGGGGGATGCCCTATTCAGGATCCTGGGAAAGATAAGAGAGCCCAAGCATGATGGACACAGTCCTTGTAAGCCGCCAAAAACTTTCCTGAAACAGGACCTGGGAAAGAAACCCTGTGCGGTTTGAAAGGTTATTAGGTCTGTTAAATGCTTCTGGAATCGACGCTTTACCAGAGGCCAGTCAGGACCATTTGCTTACGTGTCATCTCTGACTGCTTCCACACTGCTACAGCAGGCTTCAGCAGACATGACAGAGACCACCGGGCCTACAAGCGTTTCCCACCTGCCCCTTTACAGGAAGAACTGGCCAAACCCTGCGTCACGCCGTGACTGGAAAGTCCTAATACTCACCGCTCATCTTCTGACTCCCCTGCTCAAAAGCTTCCCGTGAATCTCTGCAGGAAACCTGGCTGGCTCCCTATCCACGGAATTTCTTCTTTCTCGCTGGAGAAATGCAAGGTTATCAGGATCTTTATCGTTCCCTCAACCCACCCCAGCTCCTGAAGGAGGAATGATCATTCTAAGCTCATCACAGCAATCACATGGTTTTCCCCAGTGACTGGCTTAGCAGTCGGCATGTGCTGTAACCCAGCCCATACGATGTTACCAGAAGGCCACTGTGAGCTGCTGACTTGACTGCCTCTTCAAAAGACACCTGGGAAGAAGAGCAACCCCTCCACCCTTCACACGCTGCCTTCAGAGAACACGCCGACTGCAGCTGTTGCTACTTGGCCCGCCAGCAAAGCAGACATGAAGTAAACACTGCCCACAGCACAGCTGGAAGGGAAAACGTGAGCGTGACACGACGATGCCAACACAATTCTGGTGCCTATGGCTTCAGCCGCTCTTACTTGGGTCATCTACTATTTACAGCCACGAGCATCCTGAGAATGTGGCTGTGGCCCATAGAATATGTCTCTACCCCTCCTACTCCGGACTGTTCAAAAATCTACCCTCAGCTCGCCTTTTCTAGATATTCAAACCACGCCCAACCACTCTCGTACCACACTCTTGCCACCAGCAACACTGAGCTGCTCCTGAACCCGACAGAGTTCACATGAGCCTCTGACCTTTGGAACTTGCCGTTCCTTCGGGAAAACAGGCAATCTACTCCCAGTGCTCCTTCTGGGAATCCTGCGAGCTTCTCAGATATTCTCTCTGCCACACCTGTTCCCTCCGTTCCACCCTGCCAGATGTCTCCTCGGCCAAAACGTTCCGTCTTCTCGCATGTCTCCTCTGCCAAACCAGGGATCTGGTCACATGGCTCTTCTGCAAAACATTCGATCTCGTCAGATGTGTCTTCCGCCAACCACTCCATCCTGCCAGATGTTTCTGTGTTACCGTGGGCGGCTGGTCAGACAGGAGCAGCGCAGGAGAGGGCCACGCCCACACCCCACCTGACACCTCAGGTGACCAGGAGGTGATGGGTCAGGCCACCATTAAACTGCCTCTCTCAAATAACAGATGATTGCTGGGAGCCCCGCCGGGGACGGGCAGTCCCCCAGACAGACAGAAACCCTGGAAGGTGGCGATGAGCAGCTCCCCGAGATCTCAGGGGGTGGGCGAGGGGGTTCACGCTTGCGCATTCACAGGCAAACCGGCCGGGTTTCACTGTCCTATGACCCTCCCTGGGCAACATCCAACTGCCGAGGGAGGCACGCCTCAAGTGAGCACCCCTACGACTCCAGGAAACACGCTGCGCCTGCGGTCCCTCCCAAGTGCCGACAGGCCACTGCCCATGTGGATGGCCCGCCCTGTGAAAAGGCTCAGGGGAGGAAGCGACGCAACCCCTGGCTCCTGGAAGCCTGCCAATGTGTGAGACCTCTCCTCAAAGGTCGAACAATGCATGCCCCTGACCTCTCCAGTTGCACACATGGCATTCTTCTAAGTGTACCTTATTGCCTCGCCTCCCTGCTCCGGTACCATCTGGGAGACCCGCGCTTAAAGTGGCCTCGGTTTCTCTCCCTCCGCCTCATGCCCCTCAGTCAAACTCCCTCTGACGAGGCAAGAGCTCAGGTTGCTGCGTGCAGGCCTCTATGGATCCACCGCCGCGGACGTCCCTACCGCCAAACACCCCATCTTAGCGGATGTTTTCTCTCCCAAATGTTCCCTCTTTCCAGCTGTTTCCTTTGCACGGCATGCAATCTTCCTAGGTGTTCCGTCTACCCACCGTGGAATCTGCTCAGAGGTTCCTTCTGCCCACCATGAGACCTGCTTAAGGGTTTTCTGCTGTTGACCACGCCATCTTCGCACTTAGGCCTTCTGCTAAACGTGCAGTCTACCTGAGTGTTCCTTCTGCCAAACAGCTAGTTGTGTCCGCTCCCTCCCCTGACAAGCGCTCAGTCTTGTCCGGCGCACCATGGGCCCAATACTTCCTCCACCCAGATGTTTCTTGGGCAGGCCTTGCAATCTGCCTAGGGCGTCCAACTGCCCATCCTGCAGTCTTCTCACGGGTTCCCTCACCCTGCCAGCCCCCCCTGCAATCTCCCTACCCTAAGGTTTCCTCATGCTGATCACCAGATGTTCTTAGCAGTTCCTTCCGAAATCGCTGCAGTCTGCTTAGATGTTACCTCTGTCACACTCGGCTGTCAGATGTTCCTTCCGCCAGACACTCCATCTCGTCAGATGATCTTCTGGCACACGTTCAATCCTGTCAGGTGTCCCTCTCCGTCACACGTGCAGAGCGGGGCCCGAGAGGGTTCCCCACCACCAGTAAATGTTAGGCAGCCGCGAGGTGATGGTCGTGTGGTCTCAAAGCAGACTCTCTAGAGAAATCACTGGCGCAGGCAGTGCCAGGGAAAGGCAGTCCCCCTCCCCCACAGCAGTCAGGAACATCGGAAGCATCCCTGGCAGACCTTGTGAGTTGGGCAAGTGGGCTCACGCACGTGCCCTGAGAGGCAAACTGGTGGGAGGTTCACTGCTGTAGGACCTTTACCCCTGGACACATTCGTCTGCTTGCTGGAGAAATGCCTCAAGCAAGCACGCTAACAACTCCAGTAAGCACACAGCACCTGCGGCCCCCGCCCCTCCACCCCACAAGAAGATGCTAACAGGCCACTGCGCCAGTGGACTGCCCCCTCTTCCCCGACAAGAGAAGCATCAGGGGACCGGCAGCAATGCTGCCAATGGGGGAGACCCCGAGTCGAAGGTCCAGCCCTGCACTGCACCTCTCAGGCTGCTGCCTGCCTGGGCCTCTTCCAAGCCTCCTTGACTTCCTTTGGCTCCTGCCACAATACCGTTTCAGGAACTTTCGCCCCTGCTCCAACGTGTTCCTCAGTCTCTCCCTCTGCCTTGTGCCCCTCGGTCGATGTCCTTCTGCTCAGGAGGCAGGAACCGAGGTTGCCGCAGGCCTGCACGCATCTGCCGCCACTCACGGGCCCCACTGCCAAACGTGGAATCTTGCCCAATGTGCCTGTCCTCAGCCAGACATGCCATCCCTTCAGATGCTTCTTTCGCAGGCCACGCACTTGCATGCTTCCTACGTTTTCCTCCCTGCTGCTGTGCCATCAGCTGCAAGGTTTCTGCTGTCCACCATGCAACCTTCTCACATGTTCCTTCCACCACACGTGCAATCTCCCTAAGCATCCCTTCTCCCAAACGCTCCACTCTGTCCCTTGTTCCCCCTGGCAAGCATCCCATCTTCTCAGGTGTTTCTTCTGCCACATATTTAATCATCTTCACATGTTGCCTCCCAAGGCCTTGAATCCTTCCCAGCTCATCCTCCCGCACACCCCGCAATCCTCCCAGATGCTACCGCCGCCCACCGGGCAATCTCCAGAGGCACTCCTTCTGCTGTCCAGTGCTCTTAGGTCTTCCTACTACCCAATGTGCAATCTTCCCAGATGGGCCTTCTGCCACACATTCACATCTGATCTGGCAGGTGTTTCTTCTGCCAAAGCTTCAATCTTCTCGGATGCTCTTCTGCCACATGTGCAATCCTGTCAGACGTTCCTATCACTTGAGGTACTTGGTCTGACGTGAGCATAGTACCGGGGGTCCCCCCACCACCACCAGGAATGTCAGATGACCATGAGGTGACAGTTGGGCGGTACTTGAACCCTATCTATGGAGGAAAACTCCTCACGGCCGGCTGCAGCCAAGGAAGGGCAGGCACCTGATGGATGGAAGCGCAGGAAGGTGGACATCAGCAGCCTCCCTGTAAGATCCCAGGAGTTGGGCGTGTGGGATAATGCAGGACACCTTGACAGCCACAAGAGCAGGGTTGAGCAGCTCCGTCCCCTCCCTCTGAGAACACTCAACGAATAGGGGAAGAATGCCTCAAGTGAGCAGGCCTAAGACTCCAAGAACCCCACAGTGCCTGTGACTCACCTCGCCCATGGGCTGACAGGCAGCGGCACCGGTTGACAGCACCGCCCAAGGGAAGGATCAGTGGAGAGGCAATGACGCCACCCCAGAAGGCTGCCCAAGGAGGAGACCCCAAGTTGAAGGTCAAACCCTGCACTCCATCCCTCAGGTTGTCCACTTCACTATCTTCCAACTGTATCTCGCTTTCTTTCCTTCCTGCTCCAAAGTGCTGAAGCAGCTTTCACTCCGGCTCTTCACCGTGCCTACCTCTGAAGCCCTAGGGCCAACTGCTCAGGGGGGTTTTGGGACAGTCTGTACCGACACCTGCATAGGGCCTCGTTCTGTGGCCCTTTAGGGACCCCACCTTCATGCATATTTCCAGTCAGCACCCCTCTGGGAACAGGGAAGATTCTTCCTTCACCCCGGCTGAGTTTTTGCCCCAGGCCACAAGTGCTCCAGAGGTGACTACCTTATGTCAGGTTGGCATTGAACGTGGCCCTCTTGAGTCCGAGGGCAGTTCTTTTGGCAAGCGCAGCAAGGCTTTCCATGAGTCTTCCTCTCTCGCTTCTTCCCACTTCCGCCCATAGCCTCGATTTCTCTACTCATGGCGACACCCTTCCTCAGATGCTTCCGGGCCTTCCTGGTCCTGTCTGAAGGGAGAAATGTCCAGCCCCTCTGCGGCAGCTGGCTGAAAAACAGGATCCTCATCTATTGTGAGAACCTGGGAAGCGGGAATCAGACAGTGGAGATCATCATTGTCTTGCTGGAACGCTCTCAGGCACAGTCACTCTCATTTCACAGAGACAAGGACAGAGGCCGGACCAAGGCCACAGGCGCAACAGACCCATAGCACCCAGACCCAAACTGATCTCCGGCTAACACACGGCCATTAGAGCAGGGAGGAAGGCAAGGGCAGGGGTACATGGTAACACTGGTTCATTCTGGGACCCTGGGGATGAACGGGGCTCCCCTGACCCTGTTCACTCTAGCACCTCCTCTCTTCTGCAGTGGGTGATCATGACGAGATGGGACCAGGGTTGGCAGGGACACAGTAAGAACGAGACATCCCGGAGCCCTAAGGACGAATGGCGGATACCCTACTCAGGATCCTGGGAAAGTTCACAGAGCCTAAGCATGTTGGAGACGGTCCTTGTAGCCAACAGAAACGTTCCTGAAACGGGATCCGGGAAAGAAACGCCATGCGGTTTGAAAGGTTGTTAGGTCTGTTAAATGCTTCCGGAATCAATGCTTTACCGGAGGTCAGTCGGGACCATTTGCTTACACGTCATCTCTGACTGCTTCCATGCTACTACGGCAGGCTTCAGCAGACACGACAGAGACCACGGGGCCTACGAGTGCTTCCCACCTGGCCCTTTACAGGAAGAGCTGGCCAATCCCTGTGTCACACCGTGACCGGAAAGCCCTAATACTCACCGCTCATCTTCTGACTCCCCTGCTCAAAAGCTTCCCATGATTTTCTGCAGGAAACCTGGCTGGCTCCCTATCCACGGAATTTCTTTCTTCTTTCTCGCTGGAGAAATGCAAGGTTATCGGGATCTTTATCACTCCCTCAACCCACCCCAGCTCCCGAAGGAGGAATGATCATTCTAAGCTCATCACAGCAATCACATGGTTTTCCCCAGTGACCGGCTTAGCAGTCGGCATGTGCTGTAACCCAGCCCATACGATGTTACCAGAAGGTCACCGCGAGCTGCTGACTTGACTGCCTCTTCAAAAGACACCTGGGAAGAAAAGCAACCCCTCCAGCCTTCGGATACTGCCTTCAGAGAACACACCAACTGCAGCTGTTGCTACTCGGCCCGCCAGCAAAGCAGACATGAACTAAACACTGCCCACAGCACAGCTGGAAGGGAAAACATGAGCATGACACGACGATGCTGACACAATTCTGGTGCCTATGGCTTCAGCCGCTCTTACTTGGGTCATCTACTATTTACAGCCACGAGCATCCTGAGAATGTGGCCGTGGCCCACAGAATATATCCTCTACCCCTTCTGCTCTGGACCACTCAAAAATCTACCCTCAGCTCGCCTTTTCTAGACATTCAAACCACACCCAACCATTCCCGTACCACACTCTTGCCACCAGCAACACTGAGCTGCTCTCGAACCCGACAGAGTTCACGCGAGCCTCTGACCTTTGGAACTTGCCATTCCTTCGGGCAAGCAGGCAATCTTTTCCCGATGCTCCTGCGAATCCTGCGACCTTCTCAGACGTTCTCTCCACCATACCTGTTCTCTCCGTTCCACCCTGCCAGATGTCTATTCGGACAAAACGTTCCGTCTTCTCGCATGTCTCCTCTGCCAAACCACGGATCCCGTCACATGGCTCTTCTGCAAAACATTCGATCTCGTCAGATGTGTCTTCCGCCAACCACTCCATCCTGCCAGATGTTTCTGTGTTACCGTGGGCGGCTGGTCAGACAGGAGCAGCGCAGGAGAGGGCCACGCCCACACCCCACCAGACACATCAGGCGACCAGGAGGCGACGGGTCAGGCTGCCATTAAACTACCTGTCTCAAATAATAAATGATTGCCGGGAGCCGGTGCCAGGGACGGGCGGTCCCCCAGACAGACAGAAACCCCGGAAGGTGGCGATTAGCAGCTCCCTGAGAAGATCTCAGGGGGCGCGTGACGGGGCTCATGCTTGCACACTCACAGGCAAACCGGCCGGGTTTTACTGTCCTACGACCCTCCCCAGGCAACATCCGACTGCCAAGGGAGGCACGCCTCATGTGAGCGCCCCTATGACTCCAGGAAACACGCCACGCCTGCGGTCCCTCCCAGGTGATGACAGGCCACTGCCCATGTGGATGGCCCACCCTGAGAAAAGGCTCAGGGGAGGAAGCAATGCAACCCCTGGCTCTTGGAAGCCTGCCAATGTGTGAGACCTCGCCTCAAAGGTCGAACAAAGCGTGCCCCCGACCTCTCCAGTTGCCCACATGGCCCTCTTCCAAGTATACCTTACTGCCTCGTCTTTCTGCTCTGGTACCATCTGGGAGACCTGCACTCCTGCGCTCAAAGAGGCCTCGGTCTCTTTCACTCCGCCTCACGCCCCTCAGTTAAACTCCCTCTGATGAGGTGAGAGCTCGGGTTGCTGCCTGCAGGCCCCTATGGATCTGCCACCGCTGACATCCCTACCGCCAAACGCTCCATCTTGGTGGATGTTTTCTCTCCCAGATGTTCCCTCTTTCCAGATGCTTCCTTTGCAAGCCACGCACTCTTCCTAGGCATTCCGTCTGCCCACCATGGAATCTGCTCAGAGGTTCCTTCTGCCCACCGTGCGACCTGCTAAAGGGTTTCTGCTGTCTACCATGTCATCTTCACACTTGGGCCTTCTGCCAAACGTGCAATCTACCTGAGGGTTCCCTCTGCCAAACAGCCAGTTGCGTCCACTTCTTCCCCTGACAAGCATTCAGTTTTGTCTGGCGCACCATGGGCCCAATACTTCCTCTACCCAGATGTCTCTTGGGCAGGCCTTGCAATCTCCCTAGGGCATCCAACTGCTGATCCCGCAGTCTTCTCACGGGTTCCCTTGCCCCCCAGCACCCCTGCAATCACCCTACCCTAAGGTTTCCTCCTGCTGACCATGCGATGTTCTTAGCCGTTCCTTCTGAAATCGCTGCAGTCTGCTTAGATGTTCCCTCTGCCACACGCTCAGGGCTGTCAGATGTTCCTTCCACCAGACACTCCATCTCGTCGGATGATCTGCCACGCGTTCAATCCTGTCAGGTGTCCCTCTCAGTCACACGTGTGGAGCGGGGCCCGAGAGGGTTCCCCACCACCAGTAAACATCAGGCAGCCGCAAGGTGATGGCCCGGTGGTCACGAAGCAGACTCTCTAGAGAAATCACTGATCACAGGCAGCACCAGGGAAAGGCAGTCCCCCTCCCCCACAGCAGTCACGAACCTCAGAAGCCTCCCCAGCACACCTCGGGAGTTGGGTGAATGGGCTCACACGTGCACCCTGAGAGGCAAACTGGTGGAAGGTTCACTGATCTGGGATGTTTTCCCCTGGGCACATTCATCTGCTTGTGGGAGGAACGCCTCAAGAGAGCATGAGAACAACTCCAGTAAGCACACGGCGCCTCCGCACCCCCATGAGATGGTGACAGGCCACTGTGCTAGTGAACAGCCCCCTCTTCCCCGCCGAGGGAAGCATCAGAGGACAGGCAGCGATGCTGCCGACGCGGGAGACCCTGAGTCCAAGGTCCAGTCCTGTACTCCACCTCGGGCACATGGGCTAATGCGGGACACCCTGCCAGCCACACCGGCAGGGCTGAGCAGCTCAGTCTCCTTCCTCTGAGATCAGTCGACAGGTAGGGGAAGAACGCCTCAAGTGAGCATGCCTAAGACTAGGAACCGCACTGTGCCTGCAACGCCCCCCGCCCACGGTCTGACAGGCCGTGGTGCCAGTCGACAGCCCCACCCGAAGGAAGGATCGGCAGAGAGGCAACAACGCCACCCCGGAAGCCTGCTAATGGAGGAGATCCAGAATCGAAGGTCAAACCCTGCACTCCATCCCTCAGGTTGCCCGCTTCGCCCTCTTCCAACTGTATCTCACTTCCTTTCCTTCCTGCTCCAAAGTGCTGAAGCAGCTTTCACTCCTGCTCTTCACTGTGCCTTCCTCTTACACCCCAGGACCAACTTCTCAGGGGGCTTTTGGGGCAGTCTGTACCGACACCTGCATAGGGCCTCGTTCTGTGGCCCTTTAGGGACCCCACCTTCATGCTCATTTCCAGTCAGTGCCCCTCTGGGAACAGGGAAGACTCTTCCTTCAATCCAGCTGTGTTTTTGCCCCAGGCCACAAGTGCTCCAGAGGTGACTACCTTATGTCAGGTTGACATTGAACGTGGCCCTCTTGAGTCCGAGGGCAGCTCTTTTGGCGAGTGCAGCAAGGCTTTCCATGAGTCTTCCTCTCTCGCTTCCTCCCACTTCTGCCTGTAGCCTGGATTTCTCTACTCGTGGCCATGCCCTTCTCCAGATGCTTCCAAGCCTTCCAGGTCCACTCTGAAGGGAGAAATTTCCAGCCCCCTTGTGGCAGCTAGCTGAAAAACAGGCTCCTCGTCTACTGTGAGAACCTGGGAAGCGGGAATCAGACAGTGGAGATCATCATTGTCTTGCTGGAACGCTCTCAGGCACAGTCACTCTCATTTCACAGAGACAAGGACAGAGGCCGGACCAAGGCCACAGGCGCAACAGACCCATAGCACCCAGACCCAAACTGATCTCCGGCTAACACACGGCCATTAGAGCAGGGAGGAAGGCAAGGGCAGGGGTACATGGTAACACTGGTTCATTCTGGGACCCTGGGGATGAACGGGGCTCCCCTGACCCTGTTCACTCTAGCACCTCCTCTCTTCTGCAGTGGGTGATCATGACGAGATGGGACCAGGGTTGGCAGGGACACAGTAAGAACGAGACATCCCGGAGCCCTAAGGACGAATGGCGGATACCCTACTCAGGATCCTGGGAAAGTTCACAGAGCCTAAGCATGTTGGAGACGGTCCTTGTAGCCAACAGAAACGTTCCTGAAACGGGATCCGGGAAAGAAACGCCATGCGGTTTGAAAGGTTGTTAGGTCTGTTAAATGCTTCCGGAATCAATGCTTTACCGGAGGTCAGTCGGGACCATTTGCTTACACGTCATCTCTGACTGCTTCCACGCTACTACGGCAGGCTTCAGCAGACACGACAGAGACCACGGGGCCTACGAGTGCTTCCCACCTGGCCCTTTACAGGAAGAGCTGGCCAATCCCTGTGTCACACCGTGACCGGAAAGCCCTAATACTCACCGCTCATCTTCTGACTCCCCTGCTCAAAAGCTTCCCATGATTTTCTGCAGGAAACCTGGCTGGCTCCCTATCCACGGAATTTCTTTCTTCTTTCTCGCTGGAGAAATGCAAGGTTATCGTGATCTTTATCACTCCCTCAACCCACCCCAGCTCCCGAAGGAGGAATGATCATTCTAAGCTCATCACAGCAATCACATGGTTTTCCCCAGTGACCGGCTTAGCAGTCGGCATGTGCTGTAACCCAGCCCATACGATGTTACCAGAAGTTCACCGCGAGCTGCTGACTTGACTGCCTCTTCAAAAGACACCTGGGAAGAAAAGCAACCCCTCCAGCCTTCGGATACTGCCTTCAGAGAACACACCAACTGCAGCTGTTGCTACTCGGCCCGCCAGCAAAGCAGACATGAACTAAACACTGCCCACAGCACAGCTGGAAGGGAAAACATGAGCATGACACGACGATGCTGACACAATTCTGGTGCCTATGGCTTCAGCCGCTCTTACTTGGGTCATCTACTATTTACAGCCACGAGCATCCTGAGAATGTGGCCGTGGCCCACAGAATATATCCTCTACCCCTTCTGCTCTGGACCGCTCAAAAATCTACCCTCAGCTCGCCTTTTCTAGACATTCAAACCACACCCAACCATTCCCGTACCACACTCTTGCCACCAGCAACACTGAGCTGCTCTCGAACCCGACAGAGTTCACGCGAGCCTCTGACCTTTGGAACTTGCCATTCCTTCGGGCAAGCAGGCAATCTTTTCCCGATGCTCCTGCGAATCCTGCGACCTTCTCAGACGTTCTCTCCACCATACCTGTTCTCTCCGTTCCACCCTGCCAGATGTCTATTCGGACAAAACGTTCCGTCTTCTCGCATGTCTCCTCTGCCAAACCACGGATCCCGTCACATGGCTCTTCTGCAAAACATTCGATCTCGTCAGATGTGTCTTCCGCCAACCACTCCATCCTGCCAGATGTTTCTGTGTTACCGTGGGCGGCTGGTCAGACAGGAGCAGCGCGGGAGAGGGCCACGCCCACACCCCACCAGACACATCAGGCGACCAGGAGGCGACGGGTCAGGCTGCCATTAAACTACCTGTCTCAAATAATAAATGATTGCCGGGAGCCGGTGCCAGGGACGGGCGGTCCCCCAGACAGACAGAAACCCCGGAAGGTGGCGATTAGCAGCTCCCTGAGAAGATCTCAGGGGGCGCGTGACGGGGCTCATGCTTGCACACTCACAGGCAAACCGGCCGGGTTTTACTGTCCTACGACCCTCCCCAGGCAACATCCGACTGCCAAGGGAGGCACGCCTCATGTGAGCGCCCCTATGACTCCAGGAAACACGCCACGCCTGCGGTCCCTCCCAGGTGATGACAGGCCACTGCCCATGTGGATGGCCCACCCTGAGAAAAGGCTCAGGGGAGGAAGCAATGCAACCCCTGGCTCTTGGAAGCCTGCCAATGTGTGAGACCTCGCCTCAAAGGTCGAACAAAGCGTGCCCCCGACCTCTCCAGTTGCCCACATGGCCCTCTTCCAAGTATACCTTACTGCCTCGTCTTTCTGCTCTGGTACCATCTGGGAGACCTGCACTCCTGCGCTCAAACAGGCCTCGGTCTCTTTCACTCCGCCTCACGCCCCTCAGTTAAACTCCCTCTGATGAGGTGAGAGCTCGGGTTGCTGCCTGCAGGCCCCTATGGATCTGCCACCGCTGACATCCCTACCGCCAAACGCTCCATCTTGGTGGATGTTTTCTCTCCCAGATGTTCCCTCTTTCCAGATGCTTCCTTTGCAAGCCACGCACTCTTCCTAGGCATTCCGTCTGCCCACCATGGAATCTGCTCAGAGGTTCCTTCTGCCCACCGTGCGACCTGCTAAAGGGTTTCTGCTGTCTACCATGTCATCTTCACACTTGGGCCTTCTGCCAAACGTGCAATCTACCTGAGGGTTCCCTCTGCCAAACAGCCAGTTGCGTCCACTTCTTCCCCTGACAAGCATTCAGTTTTGTCTGGCGCACCATGGGCCCAATACTTCCTCTACCCAGATGTCTCTTGGGCAGGCCTTGCAATCTCCCTAGGGCATCCAACTGCTGATCCCGCAGTCTTCTCACGGGTTCCCTTGCCCCCCAGCACCCCTGCAATCACCCTACCCTAAGGTTTCCTCCTGCTGACCATGCGATGTTCTTAGCCGTTCCTTCTGAAATCGCTGCAGTCTGCTTAGATGTTCCCTCTGCCACACGCTCAGGGCTGTCAGATGTTCCTTCCACCAGACACTCCATCTCGTCGGATGATCTGCCACGCGTTCAATCCTGTCAGGTGTCCCTCTCAGTCACACGTGTGGAGCGGGGCCCGAGAGGGTTCCCCACCACCAGTAAACATCAGGCAGCCACAAGGTGATGGCCCGGTGGTCACGAAGCAGACTCTCTAGAGAAATCACTGATCACAGGCAGCACCAGGGAAAGGCAGTCCCCCTCCCCGACAGCAGTCACGAACCTCAGAAGCCTCCCCAGCACACCTCGGGAGTTGGGTGAATGGGCTCATACGTGCACCCTGAGAGGCAAACTGGTGGAAGGTTCACTGATCTGGGATGTTTTCCCCTGGGCACATTCATCTGCTTGTGGGACGAACGCCTCAAGAGAGCATGAGAACAACTCCAGTAAGCACACGGCGCCTCCGCGCCCCCATGAGATGGTGACAGGCCACTGTGCTAGTGAACAGCCCCCTCTTCCCCGCCGAGGGAAGCATCAGAGGACAGGCAGCGATGCTGCCGACGCGGGAGACCCTGAGTCCAAGGTCCAGTCCTGTACTCCACCTCTCAGGTCACCGCCCACCTGGGCCTCTTCCAAGCCTCCTTGACTTCCTTTGGCTCCTGCCACGATACCATTTCAGGAACTTTCGCCCCTGCTCTAATGCGTGCCTCGGTCTCTCACTCTACCGTGTGCCACTCGATGTCTTTCTTCTCAGGAGGCAGGAACCGAGGTTGCCACAGGCCCATACGCGTCTGTCGCCGCTCACGGGCCTGCTGCCAAACGTGGAATCTTGCCCAATGTGTCCTCTGCCAGACATGCCATCTCTTCAGATGCTTCTTTCGCAGGCCACGCGCTTGCAAGCTTCCTATGTTTTCCTCCCCACCGCTGTGCCATCGGCTGCAATTTTTCTGCTGTCCACCATGGCAACCTTCTCACGTGTTCCTTCTGCCACACATGCAATCTCCCTACCGTGCGACCTGCTAAAGGCTTTCTGCTGTCTTCCATGTCATCTTCACACTTGGGCCTTCTGCCCAACGTGCAATCTACCTGAGTGTTCCTTCTGCCAAACAGCCAACTGCGTCCATTCCTTCCCCTGACAAGTGCTCAGTATTATCCGGCGCACCGTGGGCCCAATACTTCCTCTTCCCAGATGTCTCTCGGGCAGGCCTTGCAATCTGCCTAGGGTGTCCAACTGCCGATCCCTCAGTCTTCTCATGGGTTCCCTTGCCCCACCATACCCCTGCAATCTTCCTACCCTAAGGTTTCCTCCTGCTGACCATGTGATGTTCTTAGCCATTCCTTCCTAAAACACTGCAATCTGCTTAGATGTTCCCTCTGCCACATGCTCAGGGCTGTCAGACGTTCCTTTCCCAGACACTCCATCTCGTTTGATGATCTTCTGGCACACGTTCAATCCTGTCAGGTGTCCCTCTCAGTCACACGTGCAGAGTGGGGCCCGAGAGGGTTCCCCACCACCAGAAAACATCAGGTGGCTGCGAGGTGATGCTCAGGTGTTCGTGAAGCAGACTCTCTAGAGATATCACTGGTCGCACGCGGCGCCAGGGAAAGGCAGCCCCGCCACCCCCCACAGCTATCAGGAACGTCGGAAGCCTCTCCGGCAGACCTCGAGTGTCAGGTGAGTGGGCTCTCGTACGCACCCTGAGAGGCAAACTGGTGGGAGGTTCACTGCTTTACGACCTTTACCTCGGGCACATTCGTCTGCTTACAGGAGGAACGCCTCAAGCGACCATGCGAACAACTCCAGTGAGCACACGGCGCCTGCGCTGCCACCCGCACCCCCCCAAAAGGTGCTGACAGGCCACTGCGCCAGTGCACAGCACTGCCCTTCCCCCACCAAGGGAAGCATCAGGGGACTGGCAGCGATGCCGCCAGTGGGGGAGACCCCAAGTCCACAGTCCAGCCCTGCACTCCACCTCTCAGGTCGCTGCCCACCTGGGCCTCTTCCAAGCCTCCTTGACTTCCTTTGGCTCCTGCCACCATACCATTTCAGGAACTTTTGCCTCTGCTCTTATGCGTGCCTCGGTCTCTCCCTCTGCCTTGTGCCCCTCAGTTGATGACTTTCTTCTCAGGAGGCAGGAACCGAGACTGTCGCAGGCCCATACGCATCTGCCTCCGCTCATGGGCCCACTGCCAAACGTGGAATCTTGCCCGATGTGTCCTCTCTCAGACATGCCATGGCTTCAGATGCTTCTTTCGCAAGCCATGCACTTCCATGCTTCCTACGTTTTCCTCCCCACTGCCGTGCCATCGGCTGCAACGTTTCTGCTGTCCGCCATTCACCCTTCTCATATGTACCTTTGGCCACACGTGCAATCTACCTAAGCATCCCTTCTCCCAAACACTCCACTCTGTCCCTTGTTTCCCCTGGCAAGCATCCCATCTTCTCAGGTATTTCTCCTGCCACATATTTAATCGTCTTCATATGTTACCTTCCCAGGCCCTGCATCCTTCCCAGCTCATCCTCCCGCCCACCCCGCAATCCTCTCAGATGCTACCACCACCCCACCGGGCAATCTCCCAAGGCGCTCCTTCTGCTGTCCGTCCAACGTTCTCAGGTCTTCCTTCTTCCCAGTGTGCAATCTTCCTGGATGGGCCTTCTGCCACACGTTCACATCTGATCTGGCAGGTGTTTCTTCTGCCAAACATGCAATCCTGTCAGACGTTCCTGTCACTCACGGTAGCTGGTCTGACGTGAGCATGGTACCAGGGGGTCTCCCTACCTCCATCAGGAATGTCAGACCACCATGAGGTGACTGTCACGTGGTTCTTGAACCCTATCTATGGAGGAAAACCGCTCACAGCCAGCCAGTGCCAAGGAAGGGCAGGCTCCCAATGGACGGAAGCGCAGGAAAGTGGACATCAGCAGCCTCCCTCTGAGATCCCAGGAGTCAGGCATGTGGGCTCACACAGGACCCCCTGACAGCCACACTGGCGGGGTTCAGCAGCTCTGTCTCCTTCCTCTGAGAACACTCGACAGGTAGAGGATGTACACCTCAAGTGAGCACACCTAAGCCTCCAGGTATGGCATTGCGGCTGTCACACCCCCCGCCCACAAGCTGACAGGCCGCGATGCCAGTCAACAGCCCCACCCAAGGGAAGGATCAGTGGAGAGGCAACAATGCCACCCCCAAAACCTACCAATGGAGGAGACCCCAAGTCGAAGGTCAAACCCTGCACTCTGTCCCTTAGGTTGCCCGCTTCGCCCTCTTCCAACTGTATCTTGCTTGCTTTCCTTCCTGCTCCAAAGTGCTGAAGCAGCTTTCACTCCTGCTCTTCACCCTGCCTTCCTCTTACGCCCCAGGGCCAACTTCTTAGGGGGCTTTTGGGGCAGTCTGTCCCACCACCTGCATAGGGCCTCATTCTGTGGCTCTTTGGGACCCCATCTACTTGCTCATTTCCAGTCAGCACCCCTCTGGGAAGAGCAAAGATTCTTCCTTCACGCCAGGCGCGTTTTCACCCCAAGCCACAAGTGCTCCAGAGGTTACTACCTTTCTTCAGGTAGGCATTAAACATGGCCCTCTCGAGTGCGAGGGCAGCTCTTTTGGCGAGCGCAACAAGGCTTTCCATGAGTCTTCCTCTCTCGCTTCCTCCTGCTTCAGTCTGTAGCCTGTTTCTCTACTCCCAGCCGCACCCTTCTCCAGATGCTTTCAGACCTTCTAGGTCCTATCTGAAGGGAGAAATTTCCAGCTCCCTTGCAGCAGCTAGCTGAAAAACAGGCTCCTCGTCTAGTGTGAGAATCTAGGAAACAGGAATCAGACAGCAGAGATCATCATTGTCTTGCTGGAATGCTCTCAGCCACAGTCACTCTCATGTCACAGACACAAGGACAGAGACCGGACCAAGGCCGCAGGCGCAACAGATCCATAGCACCGAGACAAAGGCTGATCCCAGGCTAACACATGACCATTAGAGCAGGGATGTAGGCAAGGCCAGGGGTACATGGTAACACCGGTTCATTCCGGGCTCCCAGGGATGAACAGGCCTCCCCCGATCCCATTCACTCCAGCACCTCCTCTCTTCTCCAGTGGGTGATCATGACAAGATGGGAATGGGGTTAGCGGGGACACAGTAAGGCCAATGCTTCCCGGAGCCCTAAGGCCAAATTGGGGACGCTGTATTCAGGATCCTAGGAAAGTCAAGAGAGCCCAAGCACGTTGGAGAAGGTCCTTGTAAGCTGCCAGAAACATTCTCAAAAGGGGACCCGGGAAACAAATGCCATGCGGTTTGAAAGGTTGTTAGGTCTGTTAAACACTTCCACAACGGACGCTTTACCAGAGGCCGGTCGGGAGTATTTGCTTACGTGTCATCTCTGACTGCTTTCACGCTGCTACGGCGTGAACGGAGACCATGATACCTATGAGTGTTTTCCACCTGGCCCTTTACAGGAAGAGCTAGCCAATCCCTGCATCGTGCCATGACCAGAATGCCCTAATACTGACTGCTCATCTTCTGACTCCCCTGCTCAAAAGCTTCCCATGAATCTCTGCAGGAAACCTGGTTGGCTCCCTATCCACAGCCATTGTTTCTTCTCACTGGAGAAACACAATTTTATTTGGATCTTTATCATTTCCCCAGATCCAAAAGTAGAAATAATCATTCTAAGCTCATCATAGGAATCATCACGTATTCACAAACCTCATTCGTTAGAACATGCCAGTAAAGGAAAAATATAACTCACTTACTTAAATTGTTATTTATTCAAAAATATTTTTTAAAATTGTAGGCAACAAAATTCAATAAAGGATTGTTTTTAAGACAATAGGTTTTGAGATTATAAACTATCTACAAACTAAATTCTTAACTGTGAATACTAAACTATTCAAAGAAAAAATTTTATATAAATACAAACATATTTACACACACATGCACAGCCACACAGACATACCATTGACACACTAAATTTCTTTTTTGTGATCGAAACTCAATAATCTTATGCTAGCACCACCAAGAGTAGCTTAGTATTAAAAGTCTTACCTGGATTGCTGTTTTGAGGACTTTTAGGTATCTTTATTTCAGATTCCAAACATTCTTGGTAAATGCTATGTATCAAATATGTGATAAATTGAGGTATTATTTCAACACTGATATTAAAAATTTACCCAATGTGTTAAATTCCTAGGGTATTTCAGAGTGTCGGGGTAATATCTGAAATCTACTTATTCCACAGACTTCTAACTTATTAGCTCTATGCACTTATTAAGCTTCAAATTGAAGAAAGCAAAGTGAAATACTCATGAATTCAGGGCAGTATAGCTCAGGAAATTAACTAGAGTTAGCTTGACGTAATGGAAAATGTCCTGATCTCCTAAGTTTGAGTTCTGTAACCAACACCTATTTGTTCTTCAGCAAGTTGCTTCTCTTAGGCTCAATGTCTTCTTCTAATATGAGGTTTTTAGTGCCTTATTTCAGTAGGTTATTACAAAGTTTTAACAACATAACATTTGAAAAACTGTTCAAAGAAACAGTAATGGAATACTTAATCTTGAAGCTTATAGCTGAAACTATTTTAAAATCCCAAATAAAACCCAATGTGTTGGCCAGATGCAGTGACTCGCCTGTGATACCAGCACTTTGGGAGGCTGAGACAGGAGGATCACTTGGGCTCAATACTTCAAGACCAGCCTGCGCAACAGGGAGACCCTGTAACTACAAAAAATAAAAGATAAATTATAAAAAACCAATGTGTGTTTCTTCATAGGATCTAATATTCAAATGTTGTAGTTTTCAGAAACTTATTAAGTCCTACTTTTGGTTATTAGATGTTCCATTTTTTTGTGGCTTGTGATTCAGGGCATCTAGGCTATTTGATAATTTGTAATAAAATTTATTTATAAATTAATTCATCAAATTAGATAACATGATTATCCCCTATTTCTGAGCTCATCAATCACACCCAGGGCAGAAAACTAATAGATTTCAAGACCTGGCTTGGACTCCTACTTTTCTTTACTGATCTCCTCGAACTCTGAACCAACAAATCTTTGTTACAGTGATGCTTAAACCCCAGTTATTTTAAAATATTTTCACTCAGGGAGCTTGAGCTTCCAAATATGAAAAACTGACCCCTACATATGACAATGTTAAAACAAATGTGTGGGGAAAAGCAAGAGAGATCAGATTGTTACTGTGTCTGTGTAGAAAGAAGTAGACATAGGAGACTCCATTTTGTTATGTACTAAGAAAAATTCTTCTGCCTTGAGATTCTGTGACCTCACCCCCAACCTCGTGCTCTCTGAAACATGTGCTGTGTCAAACTCAGAGTTAAATGGATTAAGGGCGGTGCAAGATGTGCTTTGTTAAACAGATGCTTGAAGGCAGCATGCTCCTTAAGAGTCATCACCACTCCTTAATCTCAAGTACTCAGGGACACAAAAACTGCAGAAGGCCGCAGGGACCTCTGCCTAGGAAAGCCAGGTATTGTCCAAGGTTTCTCCCCATGTGATAGTCTGAAATATGGCCTCGTGGGAAAGGAAAGACCTGACCTGTCCCTCAGCCCGACACCCATAAAGGGTCTGTGCTGAGGAGGATTAGTAAAAGAGGAAGGAATGCCTCTTGCAGTTGAGACAAGAGGAAGGCATCTGTCTCCTGCCTGTCCTTGGGCAATGGAATGTCTCGGTATAAAACCTGATTGTATGCTCCATCTACTGAGATAGAGAAAAACCGCCTTAGGGCTGGAAGTAGGACCTGCAGGCAGCAATACTGCTTTGTAAAGCATTGAGATGTTTATGTGTATGCATATCTAAAAGCACAGCACTTAATCCTTTACATTGTCTATGATGCAAAGACCTTTGTTCACGTGTTTGTCTGCTGACCCTCTCCCCACAATTGTCTTGTGACCCTGACACATCCCCCTCTTCGAGAAACACCCACAGATGATCAATAAATACTAAGGGAACTCAGAGGCTGGCGGGATCCTCCATATGCTGAACGCTGGTTCCCCGGGTCCCCTTATTTCTTTCTCTATACTTTGTCTCTGTGTCTTTTTCTTTTCCAAATCTCTCGTCCCACCTTACAAGAAACACCCACAGCTGTGGAAGGGCAACCCACCCCTACACAAATGGATTTCAAATATTTTGAAAATAACATTGGTTGATCTCTACCTTGTTTTTCACTTCAATGTCTGGGTTGTGTGAAAGCAGTTTTGCTACCTTTTGTATATTCTTACTATAGACAGCGTCGTGGAGAGCAGTGTTGCAACAGACATCTACAACATTTGGATCAGCACCAAAGTCGAGCAGAATAGTTGCAAAAACATCTTATTGGCATTGAATAACCTATCAGTATTAGTCCAAGAAATTTTAAGTTCTAAACAATCAATATACACATTCCACGTTTCACAAACTGTGGATATTTCGGTGAGATAAATTCATTTTTATTCTGTGTATTTCAGCCAAATTCATCTCATGCTGAAAAAATTGGCCACTATGTACCTTCATCAGAGGTGCCCTGTTTTCACTATCACAGATGTTAAGCTGGCACTTTCTATGTGCCAGAAAAGTTACCACTTCTGGAACATCATTGGCACAGGCCAAATGTAGAACAGTCCTACAAGACTGAAAGAATTTTCCAGGGAAGTTTAGCCTACTCTCTCAAGACATACATACATGATTCATGTGATTGTAAACATTAAATAGCATGCCCTTCCTCTGCCTTCGAAACATCTAATTTGCCCCTGAAGAAAGTGCAACACTTATTAGCTCGTATTAGTCACTACATTAATAAAAGAGTAGCCCATTTGACTAGAAAGTTTTTGGCTTTTGGATTCAGTTCAACTTGAGCTTGAATACTACATTAAAGTCTTTCATTTATGAGCTATCACTTAACCTTTCTGTGCCTCAATTTTCTCATCAATAACGTGGAGATGAATATAGTAGTTATCTCACAGGACATCACTGTGATACCTAATTGGGAATCTATGCCAAGTATTTGTAACAGTTCCTGGCACAAATAATGGCTCAATAATTGTTAGATATTATAATTATTACTACTACTTAATGAAGACAACATTTTAATTAAGTAAAATGGTACAATTATACCTCCTTTGAGGTATGTTTCAAAGGTTAGAGATAACACCGTATTTCAATGATTCTAAGGTGCACAGTTTCTCGTATTTTAACAGATCTGATGCTGAAATCCTATTTATAATTCATTATTTTTACAACTATATTTGGCAGCATTTAAACATTCTTTTATTGATACATAAAATAGAGGCATCACATAATCCACGGTGACATTAAGTAGAGTACAGTATACACAACAGGACAATAGCAGTCCTAGTCATATGGCTAACATTTAAATCAATTTTAGCTCTTAAAAGTGCTATGGAAAAAAAAGGGTTGAAATACTGAAACAAATTTTTAAAACACAGTCATTTTTACTTTAATTTTTTAAAAACTTTAAGCCAAAGGAAAGTCAGGATTCAAATAAGAATGGCTCATTTTATTCAGTAGATTTACAGAATGTATGCAAATTAGTATTTAGATGTATAGAATTCATGTAACATATGAGATTAATATTACCATTAAGACAGTTATAAATTTTCAAAATGGCAGAAGTTTACTTTACCAGAAGTTAAAGACTGTACCCCAACAGAAAGATCCTATGATCATCTACGTTTGAGAAATATTGTAAAACTGTGAATCATTTGTTCAGTATTCAAGAAATGTCTTGAACTTTGCCTATTCCCTATTTGAAAATACTTTTTTGTGGCAAACATTACTATTTGAGGAATTAAAACTTCAGGAAAACAATTTTAAAGCTTTCCAATAAAGGTGGAGGTTTCCTCCAGGTGACACAAACTTGCCTGATTCTATCAATGGTCCCAGGATCCCAAATGCCAAAGTCAGGCCCTCCTGCTCCAAATAAGTCGCTAAGGAAATGGGCTCTAAATTAAAAGAGTCTGGCTTCAAATGAACTTCGATTGCTTATAAATAATTGAATGGTCCATGGGATTTGTTCTATACAAGATGACAGAATTTTCTCTTAGCTGTTAGAAAGTTCAGTATGAAATTTTATTCTCAATTATAATGATAATCCTAAGACCCCAATGCACATCTACTTATTCAAATGCATTAATCCATTTTTATTCTGGTATCTATTTCCATTGCTACTTAAAATTACTTACTATTTTTGGCAAAATATCAAAACTACAAATACAATGACTTATCAATAAAAATTCTACCCTATCTATATGGATTATTTTGACATAATAAAAGCGACTAAATCACTTCGATTTTAAGGGACAACGCTCAGGAGAAAGATATCTTTTCTGCAATATTCATAACCTATCCAAATATAACAACGATTAACCTAAAAAGGCTTATAAACATTCTAATGAGATGATTATTTATGGCATAAAGAAAAATCGTTGTTTTAACAAACAACTTCTAAATTCTAAAAGTCAACTCCATTATTAAGGGATTAATATATAACTACATACTATAATTTTCAACTGTCTTAAAAACCTTGAAATCTTTACAATACGACAGGAATTGTTAACTAAAATATTTACAGAGGTAAAGGGTGTGACCTGAGTAAGTGACGTACCTAGGTGGGCACAGTGACAAACTAGAGAACATAGACTTACTTTAATCTACAGCCTCTTCATAGCACACCAAACAGTAATATGGGCTCAAGGGAAACCAGAATTGATTGTTTAAGAGGAGCGTGAAATACAGATTTTTGCATGTCTCCTAAATTTTACATGTTGATTCAATTTATGCCGGCCAATTTTGCTTTCCTGTGTTGTTTTACAGTAGGTTAGAAAGAAAAAAAAATCCTGGGTGAAAAACTTTTTGAAAAAAATGTTTTAACTCTAACAAATTCAAATATGTATCGTAAATGCATAAAAGAAAGGCATACTCTCTAATACTTCTTTTAAAATATTGATATTTAAAGTAAAATGTATACTGCTTTCTCACATCAGAAATGCTTTTGTTTGAAAAACAAGGAAAAAAGCTTCAATTGCGATTCAGTCCTAATACTCCAATTTTAAACCTCTCAGCTTGCTCTCAGGCTGGGAAGGTAAACATGAAATTTTTAAGGATGGAAGGGTCTTGAGAGTTAGCAGAATATGTCTTCTATACAACAGGTATTCAGCTTATAGGTGATGAATAAATGGATTTTCTTTTTTCTTCTTTTTTTTTTTTTTTTTTTTTTTTTGAGACAAAGTCTCACTCTGTCACCAGGCTGGAGTGCAGTGGCGTGACCTTGGCTCATTGCAACCTCTGCCTCCCGGGTTCAAGCGATTCTCCTGCCTCACCCTCCAGAGTAGCTGGGACTATAGTCACACGCCACCACGCCAGGCTACTTTTCGTATTTTTAGTAGAGATGGGGTTTCACCACGTTGGCCAGGATGGTCTAGATCTCTTGACCTCGTGATTCACCTGCGTCGGCCTCCCAAAGTGTGGGATTACAGGCATGAGCCACCACTCTTGGCCAAATAAATGGATTTTTAAAAATGGATAAATACCGCTGTGACGTTCGATATTTTAAAAAACTACTACAAATAAAGCAATATTTGTGCAATGGTAATAATCACTTATACTTGCTATTTTTATTTTCATAATAAAACTAAACTAAAATTATTAATCTATAATGATTGCCATATAGGAAATAAATCTATATATAATACAAACATATGTGTCTAATAAAATGTATATATAGGTTGGGCGCAGTGGCTCACGCCTGTAATCCCAGCACTTGGGGACGCCGAGGCGGGTGAACTGCTTGAGGCCAGGAGTTCAAAACCAGTCTGACCAACATGGCAAAACTAAAACTACATCTCCGCTAAAAATAAAAAAATTTAGCTAGGCGTCATAATGTATGGCTGTAATCCCAGCTACTTTGGAGGCTGAGGCATGAGAATAGCTTGAACTCGGCAGGCAGAGGTGGCATTGAGCCGAGAACGTGAGACTCTGTCTCAAAGAAAGAAAGAAAAAAAAAGTATATAAATCAACAAACACAGATAAAAAGGTTCTCTTCACTTCTGAAGGTGCTAAAAGTTCACAGAATACTCTAATCCACAAATTTATGACTTCCACTATATGGACTCTTTTTAATACAATAATATTTTAAGCACTGCTGAAAAAATCAAATTGCATATATCTCTCATTGTTTCCTAAATATATTTTAGTATAATAGAATTGATTGGTAAGGGGCATAAACATTTTCTAAATGTGCTACTTACAATCAAATTGTCTATTTAAAAAGTCATCAGCAACTTAAACTTTAAGCAGTAGTGTAAATATCACTGCTCTTCATCCTTACAAACTTTGTAGCTAGAAAACAGTATTTCATTCCGCTTTTAAATTAAATTCCTTCTCTTACCAGGAACACTAATTTTTCCTAAGTGCATAAATCACTTGCAGAGCTGAAAAAAATACTTTGCCCAATTTTAGAGTTCTTTTCACGTCGATCTGAAAGAATTATCTGTAAAATAAAGATCTATTTCTGATATAATATGTACACACACACACGGTAAGTATTTTACAAGTATGTTGTCTTTTGCTTTTTGTCATATACAGACTTAATTTTAATTTTGCTAAATTAAACCTTCGGAATGCTTGCTTGTGAGGTTCTTAGGAAGGTCTTTGTTAACATCATAATCTATCTATATAAATAGGCATTTGTGTTTTCTTCTGGTATTTTTTATAATTTTTTCTAATTTTGTATATTTAAATTTTTTAATCTAAATTCCATGAGGAACTTGTTTTGTTGACATAAAAATCTAGCTTGTTTTCTCCACAAGGCAGGCATTTCATTTATAAACATAATTCATCTTTTCCTACTTGTATAAAGTCTCACCATTACCATGCTATAAATTCTTACACATATTTGGGTGTTTCTGGATTTTCTATTCTCCTGCATTCATTTACCTGTCTTTTCAGCTGGTAGCAAACTATTAGTGAAAATTGATAGCATATTTTGATATATAGAAAACTAAAATTTTAACTCCATTACAAAAATTTTCTTAATGCTACCACAATACTAAAAGCATGTGTATTTCAAAAATGTTAACTTTGATAAATTTATTTATGTAAAATTGATAGAGAACTCACACCTTGAGAAAAATGAGTCGTCTTATTCGAGAACATAAACAATCTTCCCACTTCAAAGTTTCCTTCTAAGGTCCCTCCGCAAAGAACATATTTACATAAGAATTCATTGATATAAAATATTGGATTTTACCCAAAATGTTCTTAGCCCAGAAGGCGATATATTATGGAAATTATTTCTTTCATTATGCTTCTTTCTATAATGTATCTAACATTATATTTTAAACTGTATACATAAAAAATAAAACACTGTACATACTTTTATTAATTAAATCACTTTAAAATTGTCTCTGAAGTGCTCTGTAAGAGGAACTGTGGGTGAGTCAGAAACCAGCTAAAGTTTTGG
Organism: Homo sapiens; assembly: GCF_000001405.40. Classification (NCBI taxonomy): domain Eukaryota; kingdom Metazoa; phylum Chordata; class Mammalia; order Primates; family Hominidae; genus Homo; species Homo sapiens. Next base: position 57,194,254 of record NC_000008.11, on the reverse strand, counting down.
GTTTATTTTGCTGCTCATAAGGATGGCCCGGGCCCTCCGCCTCCAAGGCGTCCACATCTCAGGCGCTGCGGAGCCCGTCCGGGAAGAAAGCCCAGCACCCTGGGCACCAGAACGGCCCGCTCCGCACACCCATTCTTTCCATGCCTCCCCTCGCCCCCACTCCCCAAGCCCCAACTCTGAAGGGGGTGCTTCTCCCCACCCGCCCACCTCCTCCCGCAGCCCGCAGCCTGCAGCCCCCGACACCTGTTCTTGTAGGTTTCAGACCGGTCCTTTACTCTTGAGCAGGAGGCTCCGCTGCAGCTTCCACACGTTCGTTCCCCTGGACGCAGCTTTGTGGATCTTCCTGAGATCCTCATCTGGGGTCTAGTACCTGACGTCAGTAAAGATATGGTTACCCAAGTTGCTCAAGGGCACCTGGCCCTTGTGGCTCTCCACAGCCACTATCTTTGTGGCCCCGCTACCAGCTTCAGAGAGGCCACAACTTGCCCTCGCCCTTCCCCCTGCCCAACCCCCACCCAGACCCCACCCAGCCCAGCACCAGAGAGCAAGGTGGGCTGGCCCCGACCTCCGACAGGCGCACTCCAACCTCTCTGAAGACTTGGCAGAGGTTGGAGAAGACAGGGAATCTCCAACCTCTGAGAAGACTCGAAGAAGAGCCGTTAGGTGCCAGTGCGCATGCGCACCTCAACCAGCTGCCCCCTGGCGCCCCCGCGAGAGGCGAGAATCTGCGCATGGCGGAAAAACCGTCCCTGAGCCAAGTTCTCGCGGCACCACGTGCCTGCCGCAGATGGGCCTGTGGGCTGGCAGGGCTCCCAAGAACGGAGCGCTGGGCCAGGCCTGCCCCAGGGCCCGCTTGACTGCACCACCCCCTTCTTCCTCCTGGACAAGCGCCCAAAGCGAGGGATCCTGGCACTGGGCACTGTGCAGCCACTGGGATGGGGCTGAGCACCAGCTCCTGCCCTCCTACAGCTGCTGGGCTGACTTCCTGAATAAGGTGCCCGGCAGCATCTGGCCAGGGGTCCATGCTCCTGGTGGCGGGCAGGGTCGGGGTTTGCCACAGCTGCTGATGCACACACACCACATGCAACCAAGTGTCTAAAGTTATCACTGTTTCCCAAAAGATAAATAAATTGACATTTAGGGTCAACATGGAATACTAAGGATAGTTGAGACATAAAGTCATCTTAAGCAAGGTTTCTTCCCTTAATCGCATAAAATCAATCACTAAGGCCACCACACGTAAGTCAGAGTTTGAATTCAGTCTTTTTTCATGTTCTAGTCCACTGTTCCATTTTATCATCAATAAAGCAGACTTCCGAGGAAAATATCACAATATGCCCCAATATGTTAAATATATGTTACCGGAATTCTACTTAATACCAAATATCTGTACTCTGTTTCCAACTGTTTTAGTCTACTAAATACACAGTCAGTGGCTGATACATAGTCTGGGTTTTACTGCTTTCCACATTAGTTGCTCCCTCCCAGATCCCCCCCACCCCTACCCCAGCTTATGGTATACCCCTCTTTTGTAACAGTAATCATGTGTTGGAGGAATCACTGTCTTAATGTTCTCAACTGTGTGTTTCAAAGAATAAGCGCCCCATCTCCTTTGAGTTTCTGGAAATACTGTGGCACACAGTAAGTATTTGTTCAAATTGGTGGGCAGCTAAGCCACACGATGGTATGTTTAAAATCACTTTAAAATTACAGTTCTTACAATATAATCCCATACACAGCTTGGCAACCCATTAGATTTATGCAATTTTGCTGCATATACTTCCATCTTTTACATGTTTTCTTTGGGTCATTTACATCATTAAAAATTACTTCCAAGTTATAAAGAAAGTATTTCAGCTTAACTTCCCAAGGTTAATAGGTGTCCACTCTTCCCACTTTAACCATCCCATGTTTCTGCTGTTTATATTTGAATATTGGCAGTTCTCTCGTGCTGTGTTCCAGAAATATGAGACTAATTTTTGGAACTCAAAACAAATTTTTCCCACAGAAAAGTTAGAAGACAAAGAACAAAATACACAAAGGTCACCTGCGTTTCCACACCCATCCACAAAAACTTGTTTAACACACTCCAATATAAAAGAACCTGGCCACACTGTGCTATCTTCTCTAGAAAAAATGTCTTTTTCCAATTGGCTATGCCTGAAACACATTTCTCTTCCCTCTCCTCTTCCACAACCTAAGTGGTGAGGCTCCCTACATTCAGCCCTTCCCTCCTTTCCAGCCCTATGCTTCTTCTCTAGGAACAGAGAGTGAAGTATAGACCAGCAACAGATATTCCAGGTACAAGAATCAGAGAGGAGACATTGTTCCGGGGCATAGAAAAGAAACAAGAGAGAATTTATAGTGCTACAGTGGCTGTTCACAAGATCCCCATGGGGCAGGCCCTGAGGTGCACCCAGCATTCTAAGGGAGACAGAGGCTATAGCTGGGAGGCAAGAGCTCTAGGAGCCTCCTTGGACAGGGTGTGTTCTCATGTAGAAGCACATCATCACTCATTCATCCACCGGTAAACACTGAGAACATACAATCTCTTAGTACTGACTATATTCAGAAAATAAAATAGGTGCATAGAAGTTGCAGTCAATGGGGGCAGAACACATTACTCAAGTAACTCTCTCAAACATTTATCATTAAAAACTGAGATAAATTCACAGAAGGAAAGGAAAACAATTCCGTGAGAGTGTGTGTAAATCATCTGTCCTAGCTTGAGAGATCAAGGCAAGATTCACTAAGGGTGTAATACTTAATGTGAAATCTGAAAGATCAGGAAGAGAGAGGGGATGGAGAAGACAGGAGAAACTCTAGGCAGAGAGAACAGGATGAAAAACGCCTGTGGAAAAAAAGAGACAATATTTTCCAGAGAGGAAGAAAGAACAGTCATGGAGAACAAGGCAAAGGGGGTGGTAGAGGGTAAACAAAAACAGGCTGTCTCATAAACTCATTCTTTACAAGTATTCAGTGAGAAGCTACCATATACCAGGCACTCTGTGAGGCCCTTGGGATGGAGCAGTACCTAAGACAAGCAGGACCATCCCTCCCACAGCACTCACAGTGCATGGGAAGGACAGACTAAAAAGTAAGCAAGATAATGTCAAACAACGATGTACCAGTGAGCTGAATTTCTATGTGAGCAAAGTCCATGCACACAGATTATACCTACCCATGGAGCCTTATTTAAATGTTGCTGGTTGTGGCACACATCAAGATGCATGCAGGAATTGTTCCCAAAGCCAGACCATACTTTTTTTATAGGCAAGGCACACCTGTGTCCATTTTTAAGACATATATACTAAATAACAGTCAGATAAAAGAAGAATTTAGCCCTATGTCGATATCCCTTAGCACATGAAACATATTTGATATATTTGTTTCTCATTTGACAGGAAAGGGAAACTATCACCCAAACAATATACTTCAGCCAAAGGAGAAGGAAGGACTGGGAAAGCGTGCCTTGAGATGTGTCACCCCACCCCCACCAGCTCACACGCTTGCCTGTTCTTTTCTCTCTCTCTCTCTCTCTCTCTCACACACACACACACACACACACACACACACAAACTGCCCCCTCTAATCAGGCTATTTATTAAGCTGCTAGTGCTTCCACGCCATGCTGTTTCATGCCTCCATGCCTTTGCCTGTGCTGTCCACCCTGCAGTAAAATCCTCCCATGTTACCTCTTCAGCTCCTTGGGGTCCTCGTATCTAATTCACGCATGACATCCCGCAGGAAGCTGTTGCCTGAGTTGCTTGCTGCTAGTTGGGTTAGTTATTCTTACAAACTCTCTCCTACCAGAGCTCTTAGCACACAGTATTAAAATGTGTGTTCACATGCCTCCCACCATACTGAACTCCTCAGCGGGGAAGCTGCCAGACAGTGCCTAGGACGTAAGAGAGGGGTGCGAAGTTGGTCTAATAAATAAGATGAATAAATGAATGAACAAATAAACAAATGGCCTGATTTCACAATTCACAGCGTTTACTGGAATTCTGTCTACCACAAAAGAGTGAAGAGATCTTTCTATAAATTGAGACTGATGTTCATGCATCTCAGGGATTTAACCTCAATTCTGTCCTTTCCTACTCTGACACACTCCACTTGTCCACCACGCCCACATTCTGTGCCTGAGGAACACACTCCACAGCTGAATCTGATGGAGGACCGAAGCTCCAGCGAAGTGGCCCTCAAGTAAATCCTGCTGCTCACTCCTCCTGGCCTGGAGTCAGATATCCTGTGAGTGCTGAGGCCAAAGAAAATGGAAGGACAGAGTCAGATGGCATCAACCACAGTGGGGAGCACAGGTGAAAGATGTCTTGTGAAAGAGGGATGAAGGGAGGCTCTAGGACAAGGTGATCAGGGCTGGGGCACAGCTTCAGGATGTACGCTGAAGCAAGCAAGCTTATGCCAGGCTGCAGTGACAGAGAGACAGGCCAAAAACGCTCTCGGACCCTCCGCACCACACAGGTCCTAGGAAAAAGGCTCTGGTGGATGCTTTTCAGAGGACACAATCCCCTGGGGAATTCTGAGGCCAGAAAAGACGCCTGGCTAATCATTTCCCCTGAGTAATCTTAAAACACATACAAACACACAATAAACTTTACACAGCATGTTCTCAAAATCAAGAAAAAGAAACTGACTTGTACTTCCTCATCCTACCTCTCAAGAAAGATTCTGTCTGCTGATACCTTTAATTCCTTTAACAGCAATAGTTTTTCATTTCATAAAGAGAAATAAAGGGCAAACTGCCTGTGACACACAGTTTGAATAAATTTCAGCCAAATGAAATTAGATTACTTAAAAACACCATGCTCAGAGTAGAACAGATACAGATTCAAATCCAGTTTCCACTGTTTCCTAGCTATACCACCAGACCCCGGCCTTTTTGGCACCAGGGACCAGTTTCGTGGAAGATAATTTTTCTTCATTGTTGGAGGGGATGGTTTTGGGATGATTCAAGCACATTACATTTACTGTGCACTTTGTTATTATTACATTGTAATATATAATGAAATTATACAACTCACCATAATGTAGAATCAGTGAGAGGCATCAGCTTCTTTCCCTGCAACTAGACTGTCCCATCTGGGGGTGATGGGAGATAGTGACAGATCATCAGTCATTAGATTCTCATAAGAAGCACACAACCTAGATCCCCTGCATGCACCACAAGCATGTTCACAACAGGGTTCACGCTCCTGTGAGAATCTAATGCCACTGCTGATCTGACAGTAGGCAGAGCTCAGGCCGTAATGCGAATGACGGGGAACAGCTGTAAACACACATGAATCTGCTCTAATGCCCACTCACCACCTCCTGCTGTACAACCAGGTTGTTAAAAGGCCAGGGACCAGGACCCCTAAGCTACATGGCCTCAAAATACATAATAACTCAGTCTCCATTTGTTTATTTATACAATGAGGTGCCACCACCTCTCCAGGAGTAAAGCCGTCAGCAGGACACACAATCGGCTACCACTCCCCTTCCACATGTTTTGATGGGGGATAAAAAACAAAGAGAAAGAATGGATGAACTAAGGCATAAAAGGCAGAGAAAAGGGAAAAAACCAATATTGAAATGATAGAACTTTTCAATTTTCTTTAGTTCTTTATGGATTTAAGGGAAAGGCACTCTTGAACAGATGACATCGGCGGCTCAGCAACTCCCCCTGTGGCTTGTTAGGAATGACCACCAGAAGAGAATGTAGAAGCCACCTGGCAAAATCTCCTACGGCATCCAAAACAAAATGTCCCCTCAGCATCTATTTATATATTTCCAATGACAAATGCAATATTCCACAAATCACATTGTTAAATATTCTCACTGTAACTAAGGTCATCCTTCCTTGGGCCATGTGTACCTTTTCTTATTTCATCAGGTGGTACTCCATCTCAGCACACCAAAGAACTACTCCCTTCCAACATGTGAAGGATCATGCCTCCCCCTCAACATCTACATCTCCTTCCTTCAAGGGCACCCTCTTTTGAAGGTCAATGTTCCTTTTGATCCTTCATTCTTAAAATTAAACTCAAAAAAATACAGATGCATATAAACATCTATACATTTGCTTAAATGAGCAAATATACAAAATCCTTAAACCAACATTCAAGCTGTGCCTCAATTTTATTTTAGTACTGATATTCCTCGTTACATCTCCCTTTATAATATTTATCTTTTATTCTTCAGCTTCAAGGTAGATTTACATGTCATAAAACTCACCTAATTTAAGTGTACAACTCAATGTGTTTTAGTGAATTGACACTGCAGTCCAAGTTTAGAATCCTCCCATCACCCCAAAAGTTCCTTCATTCCCATCCGCAGTTAATCCTGTCTCCTACCTCTAGCCCCTGGGCAGCCACTGACTTACTTGCTGTCACTAGTTTTGTCATTTGTAGAAATTTCATATAAATGGGATCATATAAACTAGTCTTGTGTCTAGCTTCTTTCACTCAGCATGTGGAGTTGAGCATTTATCCATGTTGTGGCACGTGGCACATTCCTTGTCACTGTTCACTAGTATTCCACTGTGTGGATGTACCACAGTTCACTCATAGCTGATGAACATTTGGGTTGTTTCCAATTTGGGCTATTATGAACAATACTGCCATAACCATTCACATACAAGTCTTCATGAGGATATGTTTCCATTTATTTTGGAGTAGAATACTAGGTTTTATGGTAAGTAAAAGTTTAACTTTTTAAGAAACTACAAACTCTTTCCCTCAGTGGCTGCTCCATTTTGTATTCCCACCAGCAACATGTGAGGGTTCCACTTTCCCACAGCATCACCCACACTTGGTACTGCCACTCTTTCTGGATGTGAAGTGGTATCTCACTTTCGTTTCTATTTGCATTTTGCCAATCACTAATGGTGCTGAGTATATCTTTTCATAAGCTTACTTTCCATTTATATATCTTTTTTGATAAAATGTCGATTCAAGTCTTTTGCCGTCTGCTTACTGGGTTGCTTATTTAGTTCTTTAAATATTCTGGGTACAATACTTTATCAGATATGAATTTTTCAAGTATTTTATCCTAGTCTATGGCTTGTTTTTTTCATTTTGTTAATGGTGTCTTCTTCATAAGAGTTTTTTTTTTATTTTAATGAAGTCCAAACTACTAATTTTCCTTTTATTTTGTCATGTCTTCAAAAAAATAATGTCATATCTTTTAATGTCATATCTTTGCTAATCCAATGTCAAAAATATTTACTCCTATTTTTTCCTACAGGTTGTACAGTTTTTTCTCACTTGTAAGTTTCTGGTCTATTTTGAGTTAATTTCTGTGTATGTTCTGAGGTGGACCTCAAGATTTATTATTTATTTGTTTGCATGTGTATATATACAATTGTTACCACATCATCTGTTGAAAAGATAATCCTTCCCCCAGTGACTTGTCCTAGCACATTTGTCAACAATCTTTGACCATATTTTACTCAACTAATTAACATGTCTATCTCTACACTATTAGCACACTGTCTTGATGACTGTAGCTTTATGGTAAGTTTTGTAATGCGGTAGTGTAAGCCCTTCAACTTTTTTCCTCTGTTTTTTTTTTTTTTTAAACTATCCTAGATCCTTTGTGTTTCCATTTAAGTTTTAGAATCAGCTTGTTCATTTCTATAAAATCACTTGAAGCCAGGGGAGGTGGAGGTTGCAGTGAGCTGAGATCGTGCCCCTGCACTCCAGCCTGGGTGACAGAGCAAGACTCTGTCTCAAAAAAAAAAAAATCCTGCTAGAATTCTGCCAGGGATTACAATGAACCTATTGCTCAAATGTGGAAGAATTGCCGTCTTAACAAGATTTGAGTCCCCCATAAATATGGTGTATGCCTCTGTTTATTTATTAATAGATCTTCTTTAATTTCTCTCAGCAATGCTTTTTATTTCCAGTGTAGCTCTTGCACTTCTTTTTAAAATTTATTCCTAAGCATATTGTTCTTTTTGATGCTATTGTGAATAGATTTTTAAAAATTTTAGACTATTCATTTCTTTTATATGGACACAACACTGATTTTTGCATATTGCTCTTACATCCTGTGATTTAACTACTTCTTTCATATTGTTTTGAATAAATACATCTCACTTGAAATGTTAAACTTCATGCCCTGCATTATTTTACTTCCCTTTTACACAAAAGCTATACCAAGAGGAAGGCAAACATTTCAACCACCTTTTTAGAAATCACCTGCTTTGGAACAATAATTCATAATAGGTCATTAATAAACAAACTTCATATATTTCATTATTTGTGCTAAAGCAGGTTTAAAATTTCCACTTAGCAAACTTAAACTTATATTTTTAAAGCTAGTAGGAAAAGTGACTGTCTGCCTCCTGCTCTTTTTAAAAATCCCTGTGGCAGGAGTCTACTTATAATACAGATTTGCCAAATCCAATCCACCTTCGGTTTTTGTAAACAAAGTTTTCCTGAAACACAGCCATGCTCCTTTGCTTACATATTGTGTATATATACATTTGCACTATGACAGCAGACCGGAACAGCGACACAGACTGCATGTCCTGCAAGGCTAACAGTTCAGTATCTGGTTCTTTACAAAGATAGTTTGCCAAACCTGCTCTCAGAAATGCTGGGTGAATATGGTGAGAGTTAAATTCCTGCTTTGTTACTTAAGAAGCATTAATGTCTTAATATATAGTGCCACAGAGTGTTTGTGTTCCCTTAAAATTTATATTTGAAACCTAATCCCCAATATGAGGATACCTGGAGGTGAGTCCTTTTGGAGGTGATTAGGTCATGAGGGCAGAACCCTCACGAGTGGAATTAGTGCCCTTAGAGAAGACACCCAGAGCTATTCTGCCCCTTCTACCATGTGAGGTTAAAAAGAAGATGGTGACTATGAAAAAAGAAGCAGGCCTTTGCCGGACACCAAATTGCTCAGCACTTTGATCTTGGAGGGTCCACACTCCCAAACTGGGAAAGACAAATTTCTTTAGTTTCTCAGACACACAGTTTATGATATTTTGTTAAGGCAGCTCAAACTAAGGCATATAGGATATTCTATTCCTAAATACTCTTTTCTTTGTCTCTAATACCTAAATTGTTCAATTTTTTTCCTCAAAAATCTCAAAACGTACATGAAAATACAGACTAGGAAAAAGCACTGAATTCTAAAGTAGACTATAGATTAGAGGTAAATTATCCAGATATGGATCAGAAGACTAAAGCATACACATAAGCATTAAAGGGAGCTATAAAAATTAAGTTTATATGTATTAAAATATTTTAATTTGCACATGGGTCTGTTATAGCACGTGCATTAACTACATTATGAACATCTCATAAAGAACATAAAGCAAAAACTATCATAAAGCAGAGAGAGGCCAGAATGTAAAAACTGTTCAGTACTTACAGAAGTCCAAATCCTTCATCTGAAATATTTAAACCCTGGCTGGTCAAAGAAATATATTATATATACCATGTAAAACTAGGCTAAAATAAATAGATGGTATTGTACATAAAAAATAACTGGACAATACATAGTAATGCTCTAAGTCCCATCTTGTGTATTTGAGTGAAATTCTTAAGGTCTGACCGATTAAACATTTTTAATTACTACCAAGGCCTAAGTAGAAAGAAAATGAGCATATACAGATAAGAAGAACATAAGAAAGAAAAAGTCAAACAGAAAAATATATATATGGCTATAAACTAAAATAGAAAAGACATCAAAAAGATATTAAAATATACACTTTTCAGCTGGGCGCGGTGGCTCACACCTGTAATCCCAGCACTTTGGGAGGCCAAGGTGGGTGGATCACCTGAGGTCAAGAGTTCAAGACCACCTTGACCAACATGGTGAAACCCCATCTCTACTAATACAAAATTAGCCGGGCATGGTGGTAGGTGCCTGTAATCCCAGCTATTCAGGAGGCTAAGTCAGGAGAATTGCTTGAACCCGGGAGGCAGAGGTTACAGTGAGCCGAGATCACGCCATTGCACTCCAGCCTGGGCAACAGAGCGAAGACTCTATCTCAATAAATGAATAAATAAATAAATAAATAAATAAATAAATAAATAAATAAATAAAATATACACTTTTCAAATTAATTATCCACCTGCTATTTATTGCTAACACAAGCAATTCATCCATATGGCAAATCTTACCTACCCTAATCTGTTCCATCAACAGTCAAATCCCAACACGGAGATTCTATTCTAAATATCAGCAGCATATAAACAAGTAGCATTTTCTCCCTGAATACTTACTGTAAAAGAGTAACATTAATTTTATACAACTGTAAGTCTCTAGAGCGGCACTATCCAATATCGTTTTCCGCAATGACAGAAGTGTTCTCTATTTGCACTGACCAATGTAGCTGCTAGCCACATGTGGCCAGTGAGCACCTGAAATGTGGCTGGTGTGACTAAGAAACCGATTTTTTTTTTTTGAGACAGGGCCTCACTCCTGTTGCCCAGGTGGGAGTGCAGCGGCATGATGACAGCTCACTGCAGCCTCGACCTCCAGGGATCAAGGGATCCTCCCACCTCACTTTTTGATTTCCTTGTAGAGACGAGGTCTCACTATGTTGCCCAGGTTGGTCTCAAACTCCTGGGCTCAAGTGATCCTCCCGCCTTGGCCTCCCAAAGTGCTAGGATTACAGGTATGAGCCACTGTGCCCAGCCTGAGTTTTAAATTTTAATTAATTTAAATTTACACAGTCACATGTGGCTGAGAACTGTCATACTGAACAGTGTAGGTCTAAATTATTATAAAGTTAACTTCACAGACTGCAATTGCCTTTCAGAAAAAGAAATAATTTCCTATTCCTAAACAAGAATTTACTAGCCTTCCAACTGAAAAGCATGATGTTACTTTTGCTTTAGCCAGTAATATATAAATCCTCCGTTTACAGTAATCTAATCTAAACCTGATTCATAACTTTTTCATCAGATACTAACTGCAGCATCACCGTGAACCTGTCATCTGTACAAGATTTTAAAAATAGGGTCATAATGGTATAAAAATTGCTTCCTCTGAAACGACATCTAAATATTCTTTCTCCTCTTATAAATATTAAAATCAAAATATCAAAAACTTGTAAGTGTTGGTTTACAGAAGAGAAAAGTCATTACAGGCAGTATCAATGGAAATTGAGAAGACAGTACATTACAACAGAGGGGGTGACTAACAGTGCCAAACACAGAAGATGCAAAATAGAATGAGACTGAAAGGCTAATAAAAGCCATAGGTCTGATTCCTTATGCAAAACTCTTACAGATATATGTGTTTCAGAATTCAGAAATATGGTGCACATGTCATATATCACAGCTCAGATACTACAGAATACTCCAGTAGGGTCTGCTGGTATACCCTATCCCTGAGTTTTCAACCAAGTACATTTACCCATCTCTATTCCCAAATTTACATCTCTGGTCCAGCTACCTAGCTCCTACTGCATGATTCCTTAGCTACCTATCTCCTATTTTATGTCTCACAGATACCTTAAAGTCAGCCTTCACTTACTCAGCAAAAATTGAGTGTTTACTACATACCAAGCACTGTTTAGGGGCTACATATTTACCACCTTGAAATACTCTATCCCCTGAACAAGCTCTCCACTTTTAGGGCTCCCTACCTCAGAAAACAGTGCTTCCATCTACCCTGTTGTTCAAACCAGAAACACAGGAGTCCATCCTTGACACCTTATTTTCTATCTGTACTTTCCCAGCCATCACTCAGTCCTTTTAAATCTCTCTCCAATCTACTAATTTCACTACATCTCTCCACTGCCATCGCCTACATACTATAAGTCTGTGGTTCTTAACAGGAGGCAATTTTGCTCCTCCAAGGCACATATGAAAATAACTAGATACATTAATGGTTGTTACAATTCCAAGTGCTACTACCATCTAGTGAGTAGAAGCTAGTAATGCAACTTAACGTCCTACAATGCACAGGTTAGTCCTAAATGTCAAAGAATTATCCATTCCAAAATATCAACAGTGCTGAGGTTAAAAACCTCTGCTTTAAGTAAAAAGAGGAATGATACATACCAATGATTTTATTTTTGTATTTATGGCAATTCTTCTTTAAAAAGTTATCACAGCCGGGTATGGTGGCTCACACCAGTAATCCCAGCACTTTGGGAGGCCGAGGCAGGCAGATCACCTGAGGTCAGGCGTTCAAGAACAGCCTGGCCAGCATGGTGAAACACCATCTCTACTAAAAACACAAAAATTAGCTGGGCGTGGTGGCAGGTGCCTGTAATCCCAGCTACTCAGGAGGCTTACGCAGGAGAATCGCTTGAACTCAGGAGGTGGAGGTTGCAATGAGTTGAGCTCACGCCACTGCACTCCAGCCTGGATGACAAGAGTGAAACTCCATCTCAAAAAAAAAAAAAAAGTTATCACAATTCAGAATTACTTTAATGTAATAAAATTCTACTCTGATCCAATTATATCAAAGTGAAATACATATTTCTACGTGAACAAAGTAAATACTTATATATGTTCTCCACTCCTATTAGGATCATGATACAGTAGGAAATTCCACTTTGTACAAGAAAATGTAAGGCATGCCTGTAAAAAGAAAGCACAATTAGAAGAGAGATACCCAGTCACAAACATCAAGTTAATGATTTAGGCTAAAGAATATTTATAGGAGCATTCCCAGATAAAAATAAAAAATAAAACCTCCAAAGCCTAAAATTCTGTGAACACCCAACAAAGGGGTCCCATACACAGGCTCCAGAAGATCTGGGAAAAAAAAACCAAAAAAAAAAAAACAAAAATACCAAGCCCTAAAGCCATGCACAGCACTACGCAGCACTGTCTCTTGGCTGCATGGAAGCTGTGCAGCATTACGTGGCTCAGGGATTACAGCTTTCTTCATAACTCAAGGCACAAAGATAAAAACAAACAGTAATTAGGATGAATTTCAGAACAGCCCTGACAGAACATCAGTTGTTCTCCCAAACTAATTTCTCCAATACCAGCCTTGTACTCTTGTCTTTACCTTTTTAACAATGACTCAAAAAACAACAAAAACTACTAAATATTAGAATTTACTAAAAAAAAAAAGTACTCAAATCTATTCTCAACACATGATGACTCAAGTCAAATAAACTTGCTTATATAAATCTAGTCATTCGTTAATTTGCTGTGATGTATCTACAAAACATTCTGGCTAACATGACACAATATTTTCTATTATTTAAATATTCTAAAAATCTGCCATTAAATGAGAGAACTAATTTATCCACTCATTTCACAAAATGCAGGCAAAACACGGTTAGAATGTCTCTGATTAAAATAAATCAAAACTATCCCAGAGATTATATGTATCTGTGCATGTGCACACAGACACACACGCACATATACACACGTATGAACACGCACACTCTCAACTTTCCCCTTTGGTGACAAGAACAATGTATAATAAAATTTTCAAATCATTATGTACTATTTACATTATTAATAAGGATGTTAACCTACAATTAAAATTACTTCTAAATTTAAACCTTATGGAATAACTGGCACCTTCAATGTAGAACATTTATTAAAAATTTTGAACACATTTTTTCCACAGAAATATTATAAATCAGTAATAGGCTCCAAGGCAGGCCAGTAGAAGAAACTTATTTGATCCACTGTACAGAATAGGTCAGTCTATCTATTTCTCTCCCCCCAACACACATGTGTACACACATACACACACACTGAGAACATAACATTGGCCTGGAGTACTATTAATCAGAGGGCTTTGAGGAAGCAGAATAACCTAAATGAGTATAAATGGAAACAAAAGACAGCTTAAAACACAGAGTTAAAGTACACTTTTCAAAACTAATGATCCACTTTCTATTTATTGCCAACACTATCAGTTCACCAACAGCCCTTATGTGAAAATGCTGACAAGGACTGCTAGATACCTTTAAGGGCTTTTTAAATAGAGAGAACTCATTCCAGGTACTTATCCTAAAGAAGGAAAAAACACTTTTGAGGACTCCAGGAGGAAAAATTTTCCTTCATTATGAGTCAATTTCTTGGAACATAAGGGACATATCCCAAGTTTAGAAGTTAAGGGTCTTATTTCTCAAACAATGCTTTGGTGCTTTATTTCACCTTAAGGTGATGCCCCCTTTTTCTGGTGTCACCACTCAGATGATAGGTTTGGCCATCTTTGGGGTGCAGCATAATATCTGGACAGCCTCCTTCTGTGTAAGTCTTTGTTACTGCAACAATCCAAGTTTAGCAGTAGAGAGTGAATCTGCATTCGCCTCTATTTCACTGACCTCCACGACAAGCATCAAGTTATTTTCTACTCAATGATTGCGCTGGTGATATTCTTCATAATTTCCTGTCCTGAGCTACTCTGCTTGTTCGCATTGGTAAAATGCCTATAATAAACATAGTAGTCACTAAAGATTTTTCAGAATTAAGACATAATACATGAAAAGTGTTGACTGGGTTAGCTGGCACGCAGTAAGCACTGTATTATTAATTATTATTAATAAGACAAAAATTAAAGAGAGTAATATCTTAAAAGTCTATTATAATTCAACTTTCATCATTTCCGAGTTGAGGAAACCTAAGGTCTAGTCAGTATCCTAACTGACATCAAAACTCAACGTTGTTTCCGGGCAATTTATCCACTGGCTGATTCTCCAAGGAATGGAGTCAGGTAGAATGAAACCCCATGGGCTATGCATCATAATCTTTTAAGTTATTTAATAAGCACTTTGAAAATGAGATAGTGCTTTATTACAAAACATCAGCTTGTTTTTAGATACCACCTTTTACTTTATTTTAAACTTCAAGTAACACTAAAGGCAGGTATAAAATTTACTTTTAGCAAAAAAGAGTACAGGTTTAACAAAGGTTGAAAAACATCTCAATTATTCAAGTAATCTTTACTGAATATCTACTTTCTGAAAGACACTATACTGAACACTAGAAATACAAGAGTCAATAAGACAGTCTACCCTCAGAGAGCTTCCCGTCTAGAGAAAAAGACATAAATAGGTTATTTCAGCATTGTATGATAAATGCTAAAAAGGAGACTAAAACACAAAAATTTCCAATCTGAATTACCAACTGGATGATGGTATTAACAGACGACGGACCCTGAGCAACTTTCCACGTTCACAATGACTAGCTTTTGTGTCATGGACTTCCTGTAGTTTAGTGGATTTCAGTCCTCACAGTTATCACTAGTTTTACTTCACAGATGAAGCTAAGAGGCGCTACATAACATGTGCAAAGTCATACAGCCACTAACACCAACACACTCACAGTGGAATACAGGTCTGTCTGACTTCACAGTTTAAGCTCTATTCCATTACCCTATATAATATATATATTATATAATATAATATATAATATAATATAATAAATATATAATATAATATATATTATATATATATTATATATATATTATATATATATATAATATATATATATATATATTTTTTTTTAAGTGAAGACCAACCCGGGCGCGGTGGCTCATGCCTGTAATCCCAGCACATTGTGGGGAGGCCAAGATGGGCAGATCACCTGAGGTCAGGAGTTCATGACCAGCCTGGCCAACATGGTGAAACCCTGTCTCTACAAAACTACAAAAAGTAGCTGGGCGTGACAGCGGGTACCTGTAATCCCAGCTACTCAGGAGGCTGAGGCGGAAGAATTGCTTGATCCCAGGAGGCGGAGGTTGCAGTGAGCCAAGATTGTGCCACTGCACTCCAGCCTAGGCGACTGAGCAAGACTCCGTCTCAATAAAAAACATTAAAATAAAATAAAATGGAAAGAAAAGCAAAGACCAAACAGAAGCAGGTAAAAATAGTAATACAAGCATAACTCGTTTCATTGCACTGTGCTTTGCAGATACTGAGTTTTTTCCAACTTGAAGGTTTGTGGCAACCCTGCACTGTGTCAGACGGTTAGCACTATTTTTCTAGTCCCATATACTCCCTTCAAGTCACATTTTGGTAATTCTCACAATATTTCCAATTTTTACTATGATTATGCCTGTTATAGTAGTCTGTGATCAGCAATCTTTGATGTTATGACTGTAATTATTTGCGGTGGGACCGCAAACCGTGCCCACCTGAGATAGCAAACTTAATTGATCAATGTTGTGTGTGTTCTGACTGCTCCACCGACCAGCCAATTCCCCATCTCGCTCCCTCTTTTGGGGCCTCCTCATTCCCTGAGACACAACAATCATTAAAATTAGGCCAATTAATAACCCTACAATGGCCCCTGTGTGTTCAAATGAAAGGGAAGAGTCCCAGGTCTCACGTTAAATCAAAAGCTAGAAATCATTAAGCTTGGTGAGGAAGGCATGCCAAAAGCAGAGACAGGCTGAAAGCTAGGCCTCTTGCACCAGTCATGTTGTGAATGCAAAATAAAAAGTTCTTGGAAAAAATTAAAAGTGCTATTCCACTGAACACACAACAGATAAGAAAGCAAAACAGCCTTATTGCTAATATAAAGTTTAATCATATGGATAGAAGCTCAAACCAGCCACAACATTCCCTTAAGCTAAAGCCTAGTCCACATCAAGACCCTAACTTCTTCAATTCTATAAAGGCTGAGAGAGGTGAAACTGCAGAAGAAAATTTTGAAGCTAACAGGTGCTGTTATGACGTTTAAGAAAAGAAGCTATCTCCAGAACACAAAAATGCAAGGTGAAGCAGCAAGTGCTGAGGTAACAGCTGCAGCAAGTTATCCAGAAGATCTTACTAAGATGACAGATAAAGGTGGCTACACCAAATAACGGATTTTCAGTGTAGATCAAACAGCCTCCTATTGGAAGAAGACGCCATTCAGACGTTTCCTAGCTATAGAAGAGAAGTCAATGCCTGGTTTGAAAGCTTCAACAGACAGGCTGACATTCTTGTTAGAGGCTATCTTGAGTTGATTTTTGCACATGGTGAAAGGCAGGTATCCAGTTTCATTCTTCTGCAGATGGCTGGCCAGTTTCCTAGCACCACTTATTTTTGTCAATTTTGTT